>NC_000002.12:226864618-227489618 GCF_000001405.40 Homo sapiens | reverse complement strand
CTCATTTTTTCCTTCTGTTGTCATAAAATAGGGAAATAAAGGCTGAACAAGAAGAACTAAGTAACCGAAATTTTATTCTGGTAAAACTCTCAAACTTGGCCAGGTGTGGTGGCTCACACCTGTAATCTCAGTACTTTGGGAGGCCAAGGTGGGCATATCACTTGAGGTCAGAAGTTTGAGACCAGCCTGGCCAACATGGTGAAACCCCATCTCTACTAAAAATACGAAAATTAGGCAGGTGTGGTGGCGCTTGCCAGCTACTTAGGAGGCTGAGGCAGGAGAATCGCTTGACCCCAGGAGGCGGAAGTTGCAGTGAGCTGAGATTGCGCCACTGCATTCCATCCTGGGCAGCAGACTGAGACTCCGTCTCAAAAAAAAAAAAAAAAAAAAAAAAACTCTCAAAACTAACTCTGAAGAAACAACCTCAGTAGTAACTTGCAAGTACCTTTAAAGCTTGCAATCATAAAATAAGGCTCTAAAGACTAGTTTCAAATTTCCAAAAGTGGCCGGGCACAGTGGCTCATGCCTGTAATCCCAGTACTTTGGGAGGCCAAGGTGGAAAGATCACTTGAGGTCAGGAGTTCGAGATCAGCCTGGCCAACATGTTGAAACCCTGTCTCTACTAAAAACTACAAAAATTATCTGGGCATGGTGTCGCACGCCTGTAGTCCCAGCTACTCGGGAGGCTGAGGCAGCAGAATCACCTGAACCTGGGAGGCAGAGGGTGCAGTGAGCCAAGATTGCACCACTGCAGTCCAGCATGGGCAACAGAGCTAGACTCTCAAATAAATAAATAAATAAGTAAATAAATTTCCAAAAGTGAAAATTTAGAAAAGTCATTATTACTCACTTAGGGCACAACACTTTGTTTCCAACTCATCAGTATTATGAGAACACTAATCCACCCCTTTCAGGGAGGGTTTAATCATTTATGATAAAATACATTCTACCTTGCCCCAAAACAATTCGCAAAGGAATTAACATCTTATTGTTCTCTCAAATGCCTCTACTCCTTCCTTCTCACTTTGCAACTTTGTCTCTCCTTATTCTGTAATATCTCCTCCTTGTTCCAGACAAGCCTTAACCTTTCCACCTACTGGTAATATCTCCTTTTAAAAATGGAAAAGGCAAAGGAGTAACTTTCTGATGAGGACATATCAAACACTATTAAAAGGATGTATGTTTTGGAAATTTTGGAGCAAACAACTATACCCGTATACTTCTCAAACTGTTCAATGAGGAAACAACAATTCATAAAGCTGACCCTAACTCTTTTTAAGTTACGTCACACATATGTAATCTCACAAATGCAGTACAGTGTGTAAATATATCCCAGGCCCTATCATATCACAGGGTATATTAATGCACAAAGAAGGTATTCATATTACCTAAATAAGTGAACATTTTGAACTTATGAAACAAGTACAACCAGAATGTACTCATAACCAAATGTGGAAAGGACATTTTTTCCAAGTGAAATCTATTACAGGATTTGTTACTCGTTACAGGATTTATTCAAATGAGCTCTCTCAGTACACTCAAAATGAGATTCAATTTACAAAATGGCAGACAATTTTACAAGGCTACACTTATTACATAAATTGAGTAAGCATGAGGAAATTTTATGTGTTCATGTTGCTTTCTCTAATTGCTCTTTTATATTCCATTTATTCAGGGATATTAACTGTATCTCAGTGCAAGGCTGTACATGGATTTTTCATTTTTTAGCCTTCAAAAGCTTTGTACATGGATTTTACATGCTTATAAGAGTCTGAGAAAAAGCTGAAGACTGATTCCATCAATGTCTTAAGTAGCATTCAGAGTGATGAGTTGCAATGAAAATGAGTAGTCTCGCCCCTATACCACCCACACCCCACCCTACCCACCCGTGTGCCAAAACATGAGTAGTCTCAAACACTGATTGTGGGATAAACTCACCAATTTTTATTAAGAACCTCATTACTCCCATTTGACCCAGCTATGCCACTTTTGGGAATCAATTCTAAAAAAAGAATTGGAAATAGAGCTGACCACCTATGTACAAGATGTTCACCAAACATTATTCATAATAGGAAAACATCAGAAACACTTCACACCAAAGAGGAAATGGTTAAACAAATAACAATTTTAAAAAGTATGACATTATGCACTTACAATTGTGCTTTAACTTTTTAAGATAAAAATTATATAGTATTCTCAGAGCTAATTTTTTTAATCAGCAAAAAAAAAACAGACAAACCAAATACTCCAAAATGTTAACAGGTCTTGTATATAAGTGACGAGATCGAATGAATTTTTTTCTATTCATAATTTTCTATTCTCTCCAAGTTTTCTATAATAAAGATAACTTACTCTGCAGTAGAAAAAAAGGGTAAGAAATAATGGAAAGTCCAAGTGACTAGCAGTAGTATTCCAAAAATTTAGATTTTTAGTCTTGGCTTTATGAATGTGAACGTCTATGCTGAAGAATTAGAAAAAGAAATTAACAGAAGGAGGGCGGTTTTCCATTCTAAGGCTTTCTTTCCATTTTTCTAAAACCTGGAAAACCTTCCCTCGCAAATCCTGTGATACCCACCAGCATCAACACCTTATCTTGATTTCTCTAAATCAAGGCTTCTTAACTTTGACACTATTGACATTTTGGGTTGGATAATTCTTTATTGTGGAGGGGTGTCCTATGCATTGTACGATGTTGAGCAGCATCTGCATTCCTGGCTCTACTCACTAAATGTCAGTAGCACCCTTCATCAAACAGTGACAATCAAAAATGTTTCCAGACACTGCCAAATATCCCCCACAGGGTAAAACCCCTGCAGTTGAGAACCACTGCTCTAAATATAATAAATATGTAAATTACCAAGCAAAAGAAATTCATGGAAGTTCTTTGGCTCTCTACTAAGATATAAACTCTACCAAGGTTCAATCTTGCATAACTTTCTTTTCAGAACAACAGAAAACAGAATAAATATTTCTCTCTCTGAAACAATAAACAACAAAGTAAACATACATGTTTAAAATCCATATAGAATATATATTAAAATTTAAGTTAGAAAACAGACTAAGGAAAGTGTCCACAACAAATAACCAAAAATAAACTATATAATATAAAGCACTCTTATATGAACTGGTTGGCAAAATGTAAGTTAATAAGGCAGTAGGAAATTAATATGTATACAGTATCTAGACTGGCACTTTACATATTTAATCTCATTAATTTCTACTTCCAACAGTATGGCAAACTGAAAAGGCTCCTCTACTACAATATGATAGTCCATAAATTACCCCCCGAAAACCCTACGACTATTAACATACTATTGAACTTTTCAGAAAGGGAAATCTCTAAGGATCCCCCACCCCACAGAAAAGAAAGACAAAAAATTAAAAATTAAGCTGAAACCAGAAATGTGTCCCATGTTATACACAAGAAGCAATGTTGTTCAGAAAGCAAGTGCCAACAATAGCCAAGGCGAGATGAGAGAGCTCAACCTCAGATATCTCTCTTAAGTTAAACCTAAGACCCTGGATGGGAAATAAAATACCTTCAGGTTACATAGGATCCTAGGATCCCATGAACACGCAAATTCTCTCTAAAGGAATGCATTTTCAATTTAAGCTATCAAGATTTCCAAATATTAAGTTCAATAAAATATGAGGCTGCAGTAAAAATTATCGCACAAAAATGAAACAAACCAATGAGCTTGAGTCAGTAAATGCAAAAGATTAACACCACCTCCCTCCAAGACTAGCTATCTGAATTACCAGTTACGAAATATAGTATATAGGAAACATTAAATGAAAGATGGAGTAAAAATGAGCAGGAAATATGTAATTATCAGAATGAGGCAAATTTAAAAATCAGAATTTTCAGAAATGAAAAATTATAAATGTGGAAATTAAAAATTCACCAAATCAGGTAGAGAGCAGATTAGACATAACTAGAGAGAATTAATGAACTGGAAGGTAACACTGAAGTGATAATGACTGAGATTTTTTTCAGATCCAATAAAAGTCATGCATCTACAGATATAAAAAGCACAGCTCATCAAAATCTGGATAAATAAAATCCAATTTAAAAACAATTTGGGCTGGGTGCGGTGGCTCACACCTGTAATCCCAGTACTTTGGGAGGCTGAGGCAGGTGGATCACCTGAGGTCAGGAGTTCCTGGCCAACCTGGTGAAACCCCATCTCTACTGGAAAAAAAAAAAAAAAAAAATTAGCTGGGCATGGTGGCGGGTGCCTGTAATCCTAGCTACTCAGGAGGCTTAGGCAGGAGAATCACTTGAACCTGGGAGTTGGAGGTTGCAGTGAGCTAAGATCACGCCATTGCACTCTAGCCTGAGCGAGACTCTGTCTCAAAAAAAAAAAAAAAAAAAGAAACGATTCGGTGAAACTTCAAAGACAGAGAAGATCTTAAAAGCAACTGGAATGAAAATATAGGGAACAAAATTTGGCTCGTAGTAGACTTCTCAATGGAAGGGAGAAGACCATGGAATATTATCTTCAAGTGGTAAGAAAAAATAACTTGTGAATCCAGCAAAGCTATGTTTGAAGTATAAGATCAAAATAACAGTATCTTCAGATAAAAAACAAAACAAAAAAACCCACTAGGCTAGGTACGGTGGCTTATGTGTGTAATCCCAGCACTTTAGGAGGCCAAGGTGGGCAGATCACCTGAGCTCAGGAGTTCGAGACCAGCCTGGCTAACATGGTGAAACCCCATCTCTACTAACAACAAAAATACAAAAATTAGCCGGGCATGTTGGCGCACACTTGTAATCCCAGCTACTGGGGAGGCTGAGGCAGGAAGATCACTTGAACCCAGGAGGCAGAGGTTACAGTGAGCCAAGATCGTACCACTGCACTCCAGCCTGGGTAACAGAGTGAGACTCCATCTCAAAAAAAAAAAAAAAAAAAAAAAAAAAAAAAAACAAAAAAAAAACTAAGAGATCTTCATTAAAGAAGCTTATACTGTATATACTTTAAGAAGAAAAATGACCCAAGAAAGTCTTGAGATGCTAAGGGGTAAGCAAACTGTAAACTGGCAAATCTAAACAAATATCATCTTATTACAGTAACATCCAACTAACAGAAGGAAAAAAGGGACAAATAATATGTTTACCAACAATAACACTTAAATGAGCCAGGCGCGGTGGCTCACACCTGTAATCTTAATCCCAGCAGGCGGGTGGATCACTTGTGATCAGGAGTTCGAGAGCAGCCTGGCCAACATGGTTAAAACTCCATCTCTACTAAAAATAGAAAAATTAGCCAGGTGTGGTGGCAGTCCTCAATCCCAGCTACTCAGGAGTCTGAGGCAGCAGAATCACTTGAACCTGGGAGGCAGAGGTTGCAGTGAGCCGAGATCACGCCACTGCACTCCAGCCTGGGCCACAGAGTAAAACTCCGTCTCAAAAAAAAAGAAACACCACTTAAATGAAACTACTTTGTATTTTTAAAGACCTTGTATTAACAGAAGATTAAAATACTGATTAACTCTGGAATGTTAATATCAATAGTACAATTTCAATTGTGACCATAAAAGAAAATGGAGGGTGGGGGTAGGGGGGAGGGATAGCATTAGGAGATATACCTAATGTTAATGGGTGCAGCACACCAACATGGCATGTGTATATATATGTAACAAACCTGCACGTTGTGCACATGTACCCCAAAACTTAAAGTATAATAAAAAAAAGAAAACGGAATTCCACAAGTAAAAGGGAAAAATCAAAACAAAACCAAAAAAACTTGGCCAATTTTTTAATTAAACATGCATGTGCCATACAACCTAGCCCTAGATATTTACCCAAGTGAAATGAAAACTTACGTTCACCCAAAAACTTGAGCATAAACATTTACAGCATTTCCATTCATATATATCAAAAACTAGAAACTCCTCAAACAGAAAATGGAAAAACAAACAAGCAATGGAATACTACTTAGCAACAAGGAGGAACAAACTATTAAGATAAACAACAACTAACTTGGATTAATCTTAAAGATAATATGTTGAGTGAAAAAAGGCAATCTAGAAAAGTTATGAGTCCATTTACACAACATTCTTGGAAAGACAAAACCTGCAGTGTTGGAGAACAGATCAGTAATTGCCAGGAGTACAGTAAAAACAAGGGCTAAAAGTTTTTTGGGGTGATGGAAAACTTGCATGTTCTAATTTGAGTGGTGGCTATATGAATCTATACATATGTTAAGATTCACAGAACTGCATACCAAAAAATTATAACGTATGTCAAGAAATAAAAAAACTGTAGTCCTGATTTCGTGTTAGTATCTATAGTAACCACAATTTTTAGAGTAATTAAATTTATCATTAGCAGACTATCTTCACCTACCAAATTTGATCATTTAAGTGAATAAAATCCTGCAGTGAATCAAAACAAGTATTTTTAAGATGTGAACCTGAGGTCACTTCCCTTTTTTGCTAAAGCCCTTCTAGCTACAGGGTGAATTCAGGGTTTATAAAACACTTTTCTGTCATATTAGTCATAACTATTGGATGAAAGTGTTGGGTAAGTAAACCACATTACTTTCATGGGGCCAATACTGAAGTACCACCCATTCCAGATCCTCAAATACACATTTTAAGTCTTCAGTTTTGTGCAAAAAAAAAAAAAAAAAAGACTCAATAACTGCAGTTTTGATATCTTGAAAACATGTTTGCAAGTTAACTGGTTTCAAGAAGTTCAAAGTAGCCTACTGGTGCAGCCCAATACATTTTTGTAGTATAATTAAGACATCTGCAGATCCCCAGGAGATTTAGTTTTAATGACCACCACCCAGGTATGACTGTAACCAGATGGTGTGGCTCATTCCATATGTCCATCAGTGTGCTGCTCTTAACTAGGCCTCAAACAATCTTGCAAATAACCATTTGTTCAATTCAAATAACAATCTGTGCTGGATGAGTAAGTAGGAAAGCTTATTTAGTTAGTTTTATTAATTGTTTTTCTCCTGCTGTGGGAGAAGCTGGTAAAAATATTTTTAATAACCTGTGGAAGTTTATGTAGTTGCCAATAATACTGGCAGAAAGTAATAAAGTTGACATTTAGATCTAGCCCATCCTAGTTATTTACTAAAAATATTACATATGTTTCATAGCATAAAATTATACATTTAAAATCTAGAACAGATGGAAGGAAGGTGCCTTTAGTAGGTTATCAAATCTACAAACTATTGATGCCAAGACACCGTATATGTTGGCTAGTCCAAAATATTCGTCTATCCAGAGTCCAACATTAAAAAACTGAATATATTTAGCTTTCTATATATAATAATAAGCATGATATAAATCCCTATTGTTATTCTGAGTTTCTGGGAAAGCCACAAATACTACACCATAAGGTCCTTGTAACACTTAGAGCAAGCATCTAAAAAATAATATTCAAGTTATGACTTAAACCTAATTAAGGCATTCTAGTTAAAAGTAGTGGACAAGGCTGGGTGCGGTGGCTCACGCCTGTAATCTCAGCACTTTGGGAGGCCGAAGCGGGCAGATCACGAGGTCAGGAGATCGAGACCATCCTGGCTGACATGGTGAAACCCCGTCTTTACTAAAAATACAAAAAATTAGCGGGGCAAGGTGGCGGGCGCCTGTAGTCCCAGCTACGTGGGAGGCTGAGGCAGGAAAATGGCGTGAACCCGGGAGGCAGAGCTTGCAGTGAGCAGAGATCGCGCCCCTGCACTCCAACCTGGGCAACAGCGAGACTCTGTCTCAAAAAAAAAAAAAAAAAAAAAAGTAGTGGACAAAATCTAAATCTCTTCACATGCCCAAACCCACAACGAAATGACAGTAAAGGAATAAGAAGGTATTAACCCACAAGAGACAGAGGGTTACCATGATGTGTTTATCTCATACTGCATGCCTGTATCAAAACTCCTATCTTGTGTACCTCATAAATACATACACCTACTATGTGCCCACAAAAATTAAAATAAACAGAGCGTCAGAGAACAAGAGAAGAGTCCAAAAGCACACGACAGTTCTTGAATAACAAAATTTGGAAGATTTAAAAACAAAATACCAGCAGTAAGTGACTTTATGGAGAAAGCCAAAACAGAAGCTTCTGCAAAGGTGGGAGAAGCCAACTGGAAACTGATTCCCACCACAGGACATATCAAGATTTACTGAAGGAACTGGATACAGGTGAGGGCTTAAAGTGGGGTCAGAAATCATTAGACTCTCCAGTTCCTTAACAGCCAAAAGCATACTCCCACCAGCCCTAGGTGGGAAGTCTGAAGGAAAGTTTTAAAGAGGTTATACCACAGAGACTTCAAACTCAAGACACTGCTGAAGACTCTTGTTAGGGACCATGTGGAAAGCTGGAGGATTATCTAAGATCAAACACACAGAATGACAGTCACCTCCCTCAACTTGGTTCCCAGAACAGTGGCATCACAGGCTTTTATATTCCCCAAAAAAGAAGATTGGAGAAAATATGTCTGCACTATAAAAAGCGTGAGTTTCCAAACAAATTCAAAAAAAAAAAAAAAAAAAAAAAAGCCTAAAACACTGAACAAAAGACCTACACCAAAATACTTCAATATGAGGTTCTGAACAGCAGGAAGAAAAGAAGATCTTACATACTCCAAAAGAGGGAAGAAAAGAAGTGGGTCAGAAAGACTCAGTAATAAGAATAGCATCAGACTTCTCAACAGCAACACTGAAGGTTTGAAGACAACTAAGCAATATATTGAAAGTTCCAAGGGTAAAGTATTTTCACCTTTGTGAATGTAGGCAAACTAATTTTTAAAAAGAAGGCAGAATAAAACATTTTCAGCTTTGTGGCTTTCAAAAATGACCTCTCATTCACCTTTCATCAGGAGGCTAACGGAAATGTTGGGGGTCCTGGAAACAGAGCATCTAACATAGGTTACAAGTGAAGGGAATTTCCAGAATGAAGATAGAAGAAAAGTTCTGGTATGAGAGCCGCACAGCAGGCCTAGACAGCAGCATTTCCAGAGCAGAAGATTATAAAAGTACCCAGAAACAGTTAAAAAAAAAAAAAAAGTAGCTGATGCATCTGATCATATTGAAGGAAGTTCATTGCAGCTCATGCCTGTAATCCCAGCTACCAGGGAGGCTGAGGCAGGAGAATCACCTGAACCTGACAGATGAAAGTTGTAGTGAGCTGAGTTGGCGCCACTGCACTCCAGCCTGGGAGATGGAGTGAGACTCCATCTCAAAAATAAAATAAAATAAAATAAGAAATATGGAAAGACAAGAATTTTTGGAATCTGACAATTACAAGGAAAATTCCTCTTTCCTTTTCTGAACATACACTGTTTCTCCATAACTTACAAACACTGGTGTTGCATCTCCCCCTAGAGTCGTAAAAATAAATGTATTACCTCTCCCAATGCCTTAAATTACCCAATGACAGTGATCATGTGTACAGCTCCCCCACTGTCTAATCTTTTCTTCTTTAAGCTAGTAGCATTTTTGGTTCCTGCAAATGTTCCTCTAATACATAGTTTCAAACTTCCTTACCATCTTGATCAGATTCCTTGGAGCATGCTCCAGTTTGTTAACATTCCTCTTAAAACAAGCAACCAGAATAAAAGTAAGGTATAATTATGACCTCTACAAAACATGTATGGTGTCAATCAAAAAGATTGCTATCTTAGTCAGAAGTCTTTGAGCAAAGTATGTTCTAACACAAACAAAAATTAATTCTCTGTATTTCAAACAACTCAAATAAGTTTCCTGTCCCCACTGAATAGCTCATGAATTTCATTCTAATGTTCAATCAGGTGTCTTTAGCAATAGTTCTCGTGTGTAAGGTTGTAAAAAATGTCACAAGGAACATGCTATTAATGTAAGTACTCAAAGTTATAACTGATTTTAAAACGTTTTTACATACATTAAAGGTATCCAAGTTGTATTTCCCTAGACAATCATCACTTTGATTTGAATTAGAAAACACATTCAAGTGGGGGAAAAAATGAGGGGGAGTAGTAAAACCTAGTCCCGAATATTTCCATAGGAGTTTCTCACAAATGTGAACATCATGCACGCTGCACAGAAAAGAAGGAAAATATCAAATAAGGAGATTTGCCTGTTTTCCAAAGAATGCTATTGGAACAGATACAGAGGTTTCTAAAAAGACAATGATTTTCAAATTGAGATCCAGAGGTCGGCAAGTTCTTTTAAAACAATGTCTTAATTCTTTTCATTTATAATGCACTAATATTATAAAATTTAATGTAAATTTAATCTAAACTGTATTTTATCCACTTTGAAACTAAAAGCCAGTGTTTAAAAATCACATGCCAAAAATGATGGATGAATGAATAGGGAACAGAAAAAGGCTTAACATGGCAATAATGCCTTTATACTCAGTTATGGTCAAATGATGTCACCACAACCTGAATGCTGGAGTTTTCCCAGTATAAAAGGTACCCACAGCACTATACAGAAGAGTCCTTCTTATCCAATTTGCTGGTTAAATCTATGTTTCTCCTTCCCTCTGAGAAACCTAAAGTTAATGCCTACTGCACAATGAACATTCATGGCTAGAAGGCCACTTTCTCCTGCTCCTCTCTCAGGAGAGAGTGAGTTTTATGCTTATCAAAATTTGTCTGGTATAGTATTTGGTAATATAGTTGGTACAGTACTTGGTAAGTATATAGTTTAAGTGAATGTCATGTAAAACAATGGCATGAGTGAGAAGAATTATTTCCATGTAAACTAAGTATTTTTAGAGACTAAAACAAGTCACTAGGATAAGCTGTTATTTGACCATGGAAAAGAACTGTAAAAGACTGAGAGAAAAATCATAAAAATCTAGAAGAATTCAGCATTCAAACTGTTTTATAAGTACATTAAAATGCTAAAAATCATAAATAGTACAGCATGAGTCTGGGTTATATTAGGGGACAAAGAATCTAATCAGTGGACCCATATTCAAAGCCTTATGTGCCAGCAAATTAACAGTTGTATGTTAAAATTTAAAAACCTAAGCTTGAGGCAGGGCATGGTAATTCACGCCTGTAATCCCCACAATTTGGAAGACCAAGGTAGGAGGATTGCTTGAGCCAGGAGTTGGAGATCAGCCTGGGCAACATGGCGAAACCCCATCTCTACAAAAATTAGCTGGGCATGGTGGCACGCGCCTGTAGTCCCAGGTACCTGGGAAGCTGAGGTCGGAGGATCACCTAAGCCTGGGGAGGTCAAGGCTGCAGTGAACCATGATAATGCCACTGCACTCCAGCCTGGGCGACAGAGTGAGACCCTGTCTCAAACCAACAACAAAACCCAAACAAACAAAAAAACCTATGCTTGCTAAATATATATATTATATATGTATATATAATAGATACATGTATATGTATGTGTGCATGTATGTATTTTTTTTTTTTTACTGATTGCTTGCTTTAACTGAATTTTTTGATAAACTTATCCACTATCAAACTTGACTGCATACAATGAGGGGTTCTAATTAGAATTCAAATATAAAAAATAGCACGAGAATTACGGCACATGGTAGTATGCACATGCCAAATTGAAAAGAATCGCTGTTGGAACGGCACCATCATTCCCATTGATTTCAGAATACACAACAGTATTTTCTCAATGAAACTCAAAAATAAGAACACACATTTTGGAGCTAAGAAGTTCCCTAAAAATAATAAAAAGCATGACACAGCCATAAAACAAACATTTATGATGCATCATAAAATATCTATTCTGGGCTGGGCATGGTGGCTCATGCTTGTAATCCAAGCACTTTGGGAGGCCGAGGTAGGTGGATCACCTGAGGTCAGAAGTTCAAGACCAGCCTGGCCAACATGGTGAAACCCCATCTCTACTAAAAATACAAAAAAAATTTAGCCAGGCATGGTGGTGCATGCCTGTAATCCCAGCTGCTTGGGAGGCTGAGGCAGGAGAGTCGCTTGAACCTGGGAGGTGGAGGTTGCAGTGAGGTGAGATCGCACCACTGCACTCCAGCCTGGGTGACGAGTGAAACTCCGTCTCAAAAAATAAAAACAAAAAAAAGAAAAAGTCTTTTTTCTGCCATTTGAAACACAATGAAGTAAAATCTACCATTTAAATCCCCAAAATATAGAATTCACAACAATTTACGGTAACCATGGTAACCATACATTCTTTGGTGGTGGAATCAGCATCAGTTCCAGATCCCAACTTCTAGCAGGTTATAACAGCAAAACACTAAGAGTGTGCACTAATTTTACAACTTAAAGTTGAGCTTGGATAATAGTACCTTCCTCACATCACTGTTACTAGAATGTCTGTCACACAGCTAGCACTCAATAGTTTTTTCTTTTTTTTCAATAAATACTTTAACTGTTGTATCTCCAGCACATGGGCTAGTATCTGGCACTTAATAAATATTTGCTTAAAATAAAAAATTTGTCCTTCACAATTGAAAAAGTATCTAGGCCAGGCGAGGTGGCTCATGCCTGTAATTCCAGCACTTTGAGAGGCCAAGGCGGTGGATCACCTGAGGTCAGGAGTTTAAGACGAGCCTGGCCAACATGGCGAAACCCAGTCTCTACTATAAATACAAAAACTAGCCGGGCATGGTGGCGGGCGCCTGTAATCCCAGCTACTTGGGAGGCTGAGGCAGGAGAATGGCTTGAACCCGGGAGACAGAGGTTGCAGTGAGCCGTGATCGTACCACTGCACTCCAGCCTGGGTGACGGAGTGAGACTATGTCTCAAAAAAAAAAAAAAAAGAGAGAGAGAGAAAGTATAAAATATTTTGGCCACTTACTCTAAATACTTAACTGAATGTGGCCATATCAGAGTATCCAAAAAAAGTAAAAAAGGAATTAAGAATATAAATCCCTGCTCACTGTGACCTCACAAGGTCCTGAATATTATACACAGAGCTCCAAAAGAGCATCTGATTTGCAATCCATCCTAATGCTACTAATTGTATAAAAACATTAAATACCTCTTTTCATCTGTCATCTAAAAAAAATTAAAATTCTTGTAACATTCATCTCAAGAGTCAATGTACACAGAATCAACAGAATATAAGTTACTATCCAGCTACATTTATTACCTGTGAAATTTCAAGCTTAAATGCACTGTCCACATAAAATAGATGGTATTAAAGTGGCAACCTCTTTCTCAAATGTTATTTTTTATTTTATCTAAACCCTCACTGAAAAATTTATGGATCACTTTTTAAGGCTAGGACAATCTTTTATATTACATATCAATTATACTAATGTTTATAGTCTCCATAAAACAAATAATTTAGTCTAAAACTAGTCTTTAAATCAACTAGAAGTTATTTAACATGAAGGCCATTTTTACTGTTGGCTATATTTTAAATGTCTGAAGTGTCCATTCAGAATTTTAGGGATTTCCATAAATACAACCAGAAAGACAGTGAAAGATAGTGACAAACCAATCAGTTAGGATGCCTTCATCATTCTGCCTCAGTAACAAATAGTTTAACTGCATCTAACTCTGAAGTTCATTTTAAAGTTTTACAATCTAAATTCAGTTACACTCTGAATGAACATCATTCAAGCATATAGGACAGTCATCTGAAAAAAAAGAAACAAGAAAGATTAGCTCCAAGTCTAGTAACATTAACAACAAGATGCTAGTTCAATTTATTTTAAAAAAAGGTATTAGTATAAATGATAGAAGGTATGTCACTATCCTAAAATTTAGAATTCATGATAGTGGATACTATTTGCTATGTATTCATATTTTCCAGGTAAATCAAGGAACGGCAGCTAGCATGCCTTATTTCAATATTTGTAACTCCAGTGCTTAGCCCTATCCTCAAATACGGTATGTGCTCAATAAGTAAATACAGTAACGATGTGTATCATTGAATCCTCTTAACAACCCTGAGCTATATGATATCTTCTTAACATAAATAAAGAAACTGAGGCTACAAGGATGGATCTGGGCCAATCTGCATGTAGTGGCCTAGCATAACACCTTGCCCTAAGCCACGAAGCTAGTAGCATTGTCAAAATCTGACTTCAAAATTCATATTCTTTCAATTATACCATGTCATCTAAACATCAGATACATAATTATTAAACCCAAGAGTTATATTATTCTTCCTAAATTATTTTCCTGCACTATTGCTTGTCAAAGAAAAAAATCTTCAGAAGCTATTGTCCCTCCAACGTTCTGCAGTAGACATTTGATGGTTGCCACTCTAGTCTTCATTCCCTACATCCCAAGAATTCTAGATTTCAGATTTGGGAACTCTATTTGGGGATCCTTGTGACAATGAAGTCAGGTTAGAACATGTGTCCAGTTGTGGCATGATCTAAGCTAACCCAATCAGAGGGAAATGCAGAACTTCTGAAAGTATTGGACCAACGACATAATTAAGGCAGTATACCCAGGAGCTGGGGACAACCATGCTCGAATGAGGAAAATCTAGGCAATATTATTAAGCCACTGTATAGTTTTACTTTAAAATCAATCAATAAACCCTTCATATTTTTAAACCAATTAGATTCCGGTTTTGAGTTACAACCATAAAATCCAAAGTGACAGATTTTTATTAGGATATTTCTTATTTAATATCTTTCACATACAGTACTGTTCCCTTACTCATGGCATGTCCTCTTCCTTGATGCTTCTCATCTATAGGGCACTTGCTATATACCAGGCATTACGTGAGATGTTTAACATACATTATTTTTAATACTGAAAACAAATCTACATCCAAAACTTACAAGGGAAATCTTATCCTCACTGTTTCATATAAGAGAAAAATCAAGCTCAAATAGATTGAGTGACATTCTCAATACCGTATAACTAATACTTGGAGTCAGGATTCAAAGCCATGTGTACCTAGCTCATAAGTACTTGATCTTTCAAACATATGAAGCAGAATTTCTCGTTAAAGGTCTTTGCTCAGGCATCAACTCCCAGAGAAGCTGTATCATTTACATATTTCCTGGCTATCTCATTCACAGAAAGGAAATACTACAATATATTGTAACTCTACGTTTACATACTTACAAGGCACGCTCCATAGAACAGTTAAGATCCAGGTAACTTATGACACAGGACAAGTAGGCAATAAATATTTGTGGAATGACTCAATAGAGAAATGAAGTCCTATCTGCCACAGATTAAGTTCCATTAAGATAAATAATTGTCATTATACTGAGATATCCTTTTATGCACAATGTTTCTGAAATGTGGTATCTAGGAAGAAATTTGAAAATATGTCCTTGATATTACACATTTGCTGCTGTACTTACAGGGACTACACAGAAATGTCAGAAATCCGGAAGTGTAAATATATGTATTTTTTCCAAATCAAATACTTTACATGGATTAAAGGACCTGTGTTTAGTAAAAGCAGGACATACATCTTAACCATGTAATAAAAATCAAATACAATTACAATTGTTCTATTGGCTTCATTTTGGAACCAATATTGTCCAACGTAAGTAACAACTTTCTAGCTTAACTCCTTTTTCTGTAAATGAAATGCATGAACCAGGCTACCTCCTTGATATCACCTAGCTCTGTGATTCTGTAGTAATTCGAGAATATTATTAACTGGCAACTTCTCAGAGTGTCTCCCTGGCCACACAGCCTAAAAGTAACCATGAGCACTCTCCTATCAAACAATTTTCATGTTCAGCATAGTACTTGCCCAAGACATTTTTCTTACTTTTGCATCCCCACTGGACTGTAAGAACCAAGAGAACAAGACTTTGCTATATTTACTGGCACACCCCAGGGCCTTACACAACCTAATAGGCACCAAAAAAAATGTCTGCTGAAGAAATAACACTCATGTAATACTAATAATGCCTCTTTGCCCAACTTTAAAAAGCAAATAGTACATACTAGACATGTTCTGCATTTTCTAAGTTTTAAGAAATCAATTTTCCCACATAAAGTATTATGTGCTTTGTATTAATCTTACAAGCAAAGGTTTTAAAAATACTTAGTAACTGCCACGTTGTTAGTAACTTTAAATACAAGATAATAATATAAAAGCATTTTATCAATTCCAAAACCACCTGCAAATTTTCCGAATGAAATTGCACGGCAATAAAAATCTTTATCAAAATAAAGCTTAATGAAGCAAAGAACAACAAACACAAATCATCCCAGTAACTCAGGACGGTAGTGTCTTTCTGAAATCATGGTGACTTGCTAGCTCTCCTCATTTCTGTGTACAGCCAGGGCACTCGGGTATTGATAGCGAGATACAGATAAATCTCACAGATAACTCCATCATATTTAGAATCACACAGCTCCTAGTGGGTACCTTATTGCCATTAAAACTTTCCCCCAACTCCTCAACACTCTCTTCGGACCATAAAACTAAAATCCCACAGCTTCAAATCTGCTCCTCTGCCTCCCCCTCCCGCAATTAATCCTTTCGAACTTTTCCCAGGGGATTCACATCTGCCATCAAGATGCTTTCATCCTGCTACTATTCCTAAGTGCCTGCTTCCTCCCAGTTACGTAGGTACTCTCGACCCAGAAAAAAGGCACGGGCGAGGCAGGCGTCCCTCCCTCCCACCCCAGCTTCTCCCCGACCCCCAGCAGGAGCGCCCAGCAGGTGCCTCGCTCCGCACCGCGGCTCCCGGGCCGCTGAGAGGCGGGGCACACAAAGGACCCGCATGGACCTCCCCCCCGGCCTCCTAGCGTCTTCCCCCACCCCCCACAGCCCGGCGCCCCGGGTAGCTGGAGAGCGAGGGCGGCGGCCGCAGGCTCGACGGAGACCAGGGACGCTCGCCCCGGTCGCCCCCTCCCTGACCCCAACCCCGCCCACGTCCCACCCACGAAGGCTGCCCAGAACGTAAACCCTCGCCCGGCAAAACCGAAAACGCATCCCCAGCCCGGCTGCCCGGGCCCTGCGCATCCAGCCCGCAGCCTCCCACGCCGCGCCCGCCAGCCGGCGCCCAACGGCCGCCCCCGACCGCCTCCCACGGCACCCGGCTCTTTCCCAGCCCCGGAAGGGTCCCGGTCCCGCCGCCCGCTCCCCCACCTCCCGGGAAGGGCCCGACACCCGCCCGGCCGCCCCGCACTCACAGGCTGCCGGAGCAGGAGGTACACACGAAGGAGCCGACCGTCATGTTAACGTAGGTGGGGCCGCGCTGGTCGCAGTCGAAGCACTTTCGGTTGTGCGGGAGGCCGGTCATGTCCCGCAGCATCTTCAGGTGCTTCTCCTCCTGCTTCCGCTTCGCGCTGGCCGCCATGGCCGCGGCGCCAAGGGAGGAGGCCGGCAGGGCCGGGAGCCGGGCAGCGCTGCGCCGGGGGCCCGCGGTCCCACGGGCCGCCCTGGCCGCGGCCGCCGCCCTCCGTCTGCGCGCGCCGCCCGCGCCGGACCCGGCCGCAGCGGCTTGGCTGTACTGGGCTCGACGCGGCCCGGGCGCTGTGGTACGCGGGCTGACGGGCCACACCAACCGGCACAGCCGGGACAACCGCCGCCGCCGCCGCCACCTTCCCGACTTCTCCTGAGGGGAAAAGACGAGGAAGGGGACGGCAAGAGGAGGCCCGCCCTGGGCGGCCGGTAGCCAAGTGTCCGCTGGCGCCCTCTGCTGGCCAGGAGGAGTCACTGCGGCCTCGCTGAGGCATGGGCCGGGTCTGGAGCCAAGTAGGGTAGACACAATGGTGATAATAATATTAATAATAGACAGTATTTATTGAGCGCTTATATATGCAAAGCGTTTCACATGGGTTACCTTCCCCTTCTGTTTAAAACTCTTCAAGGGCTTTCCACTGCTTTGAGTATAATTCCAAATTCCTCACCGTGCCGTAAAAAGTGCTCCATAGTCTAGCCCAGTCTACCTCATTCTTCGTCGTCCTCACTCAGCCACACTGGATTTTGAGTTTTCTGAACACAGCAAGCTCCTTTCTGACTCCTGCAGGACCTTTGCCCTTGCTCTTCTCTCTTTATCTTTGGGCCAGCTAATTTGGGGGGGCTTGGGGTGTCCTGTGCACTGTAGGATACTGGGCGGCGTTCCTAGCCTATACCCACTAGATACAAGAACAAACCCCCCAATTCCCATTGCTGGCAACCAAAAATCCCCAGACATTGCCAAAAGTGGAGGGAACTTTAGGGCGGTGCAGTCACCTGGCTTGAGAACTGCTGCGTGTGGAAACCCGGATCATCCATAGCTGACATCCTCTAAGTCAGGTGGGGCTCAGATGTCACCTCCCCCGCCAGACTGTCCCAGATCAGCCGAGTTAATGTTGCAGCTCACCTTTCTCGAAGTTGCTCTCCATCAAATTGCTGCGTTGTATTTTCGTCTCAGTTCTAGCTATTTGAAATACTGCATCTTATTTCGTGTTTACCATGGGTGATCTGGACTCTCCCTTTAGGCGCTAAACAGCCTGGCCCCCGTATTTTCTGTGCCACTCCACCCCATTCCCCTCGCAGAGCTGGAGACTAGGTGTTCAATGTTGACGGAATGAATACATGAAATCGTTCATGTAATCTTCACAACAACCCTTCGAGGTGAGCGTTATTGTTATTTACATTTTACAAAACAGGAAGATGAAACCCTGAGGGATTAAGTAAATTTACCCAAGGGTACCTATGGCGAAGCTCAATTCCAACCCAGACAGCCAGACTGCAGGACCCAAATCCCCACTGCAACAATCAACTTCGTCTCTCGTTTTCCAAAGGAGTACAGGGAGACCCAGAGAGCTGAAGTTCTCAAATCACTGGGCTGTTGAATGGATTAGAATCTACGTTTCCTAACAGCCAAGACCAACCTCCACATCTCTCATGAAAGGGATTGGGTGAATCAACAAAGTGAGACTTCATATTAATATAATACTACTAATAATAATTAATGTTTTTAATATTAAAAGAAATGGACAGATAGATTGGCCAATGAATGTTTTTAAACTTTTCTATTATGGAAAATATCAAACTACCATGAGCCCATGGACCACTTTCAGCAATGATTAAGCCCATGGCTAATCTTGCTTTATAAATACCTCAACCCTCCATCCCCTCTCCTATTATTTTAAAGCAAATTCTAGGTTTCGTACCATTCATCTAAATGGTACATAGTTCCATTTGTATCCCTAAAAAATAAAAACTTTATCTCTTTCAAACTTAGCCATGATACCGTTAGCATATCTAAAAAGTTAACAATAGGCTGGGCACGATGGCGCACACCTGTAATCCCAGCACTGTGGGAGGCCAAGGCAGGTGGATTACCTGAGGTCAGGAGTTCAGGACCAGCCTGGCCTACATGGCGAAACCGGGTCTCTACTAAAAATATGAAAATTAGCCAGGCATGGTGGCATGCACTTGTAGTCCCAGCTACTTGGGAAGCTGAGGCAGGAGAATCACTTGAACCTGGGAGGCAGAGGTGGCAGTGAGCCAAGATTGTGCCACTGCACTCCAACCTGGGCAATAGAGCAAGACTCCGCCTCAAAAAAAAAAAAGTTAATAACTCCTAAAGATCATCAAATATCGCACTAGTGTTTAAGTTGGCAATTATCAATATTTTAATGAGATTTTTACAGTTTGTTTGAACCCACTCCTTGCAACTGGGTAATATGTCTCATAAGGTTTCTTTGGGTCTCTCCACCATCTCTTTTTTTTTAATTATAATTCATTTGTTTTAGTAATTGGGCACTTTATTCTGTAGAGTTTCTCATAATCTGTATCATTTAACATGTCCCTCTGTTCTATTTCCTAAAAATTGGTAGTTAGATCTAGTTCACTAGTATCCAGTTCAGTATTTTTGCGGGGCAGGCATTCATTTCATTGTGTTCTTCCATCAAGAGGGACATAATTGAGGAGAGGATATCTTTTTCATGATGTTGGTAACCATTGATGATTAATGTCTAGATTCATTAATTCATTAATGATTAGAAAATACTGATATTCTAATTCTGCCATTCTGGCTGGGTGCGGTGACTCACGCCTGTAATCCCAGCAACTTTGGGAGGCTGGGGCAGGAGGATCATCTAAGGTCAGGAGTTCGAGACCAGCCTGGCCAACATGGCGAAACCCCGTCTCTACTAAAAATACAAAAATTAGCTGAGCATGGTGGCAGGCACCTGTAATCCCAGCTACTCGGGAGGCTGGGGCAGGAGAATTGCTTGAACCCAGGAGGTGGAGGTTGCAGTGAGCTGAGATCCCACCACTGCACTCCAGCCTGGGTGACAGAATGAGACTCTGTCTCAAAAAAATAAAAAATAAAAATAAATAAATAAATAAAACTAATTCTACCATTCCTTCATTTATCAGCTCAAATTTTCTATAAAGAAAAAATTTCCCCTCATCTACCATTTTATTTGGTATAGTACATGTCAGAAAGGCAGGATAAATATTTGATTCCTTTCCTTTATTCACAAATTTTCAAAATAATGTATTGGCTTCATTTCACCTTCCAGTGGTGATCAATATATATAGACAGAGATATATAGATATATCTATATTTATATTTTGGAGACAGGGTCTCACTCAGTCACCCAGGCTGGAGTACAATGGTACAATCATAGCTCACTACAGCCTCGAACTCCTGGGCTCAAGTGTTCCTCCTGCCTCGGCACACCCCCTCAAGAAGCTAGGACCACCACTCCCGGCTAACTTTTGTATTTGTTGTAGAGACAAGCTGTCGCTATGTTGCCCAGGCTAGGCGATCAATATTTTTAAAGTGCTATTACAAACTCAAGGATTTAAATGTATTTAATATATTTTACATCCCCAGTGCTCACATTGTCTCATCATTGGCCAGTGGGAACCACTGAAAGCTGGCTTTTGAGTATTTTGACAAGACCCTTGACTTAATCCTGAAGTCAACTGAAGTTTTTGTTGTTGTTGTTGAGATGGAGTCTCACTCTGTTGCCCAAGCTGGAGTGCAGTGGTGCAATCTCAGCCCTGTCTCCTGTATTCAAGTGATTCTCCTGCCTTGGCCTCCCAAGTAACGGGGATTACAGATGCCCCCGACACCACACCCGACTAATTTTTGTATTTTTAGGAGAGATGAGGTTTCAGCATGTTGGCCAGGCTGGTCTCCAACTTTTGACCTCAAGTGATCCACCAGCCTCAGCCTCCCAAAGTGCTGGGATTATAGGCATGAGCCATTGAGACTGGCCCTGGAGTTATATTCTGACAGGGCCCCGGGCCATTCAAGAGATGAAAGCAATGTTGAATTCTTGACTGATCCAAACAGAAGGCTTACTGACCAGCCCCATGCTGGCTAAATATGACACCCAGCAGTCTCTTATTCATAACCAACAAATGCCCTCACGCCACAGCCAGTGGCTTATTTGTTTCTATATTTGCAGTGCTCCTTTGTCATTTGTTTGTTCTCTGGTTGCTCATCTCTCCATGGTCTATCATCTGATAAATTCCAAAATCAGAAGGCATGGCTGTAGCACCTTATGTATGCAAACAGTGGAATGAGTGGTTGGTTGATTATTGTGTTTTAGTTGTTTTAAAGAGACAGGAGTAAGGCTGGGCACAGTGGCTCATGCCTGTAATCCCAGCACTTTGGGAGGCCAAGGCAGGAGGATTGCTTAAGCCCAGGAGTTTAAGACCAGCCTGGGCAACATAGTAAGACCTTGTCTCTACAAAAAGAAAAAAAAAATTGATTAGCTGAGTGTGGTGGCATGTGCCTATAGTTCCAGCTACTCAGGTGGCTAAAGCCAGAGGATTGCCTGAGCCCAGCAGGTTGAGGCTGCTGTGAGCCATGGTCGTGCTACCGCACTGCAGGCTGAGTGACAGAGCGAGTGCTACCGCACTGCAGGCTGAGTGACAGAGCGAGACCCTGTCTCAAAAAAAAAAAAGAGAGAGAGAGAGACAAATGTAGGTGCAGTATTTCCAAACTATAGACCTGTAGGAAGGCGAATGTTTTCCTCAAGCTGAAAGTTTATACAACCCTTTTGGATGTTAGCTGTTTCATGCCATACATAGTATCAAAGTTGGTTTCTACTTTAAAATATCCCAAGGAGAGTTTGCTGTGTATCAAGCAAGACTACTTATTTACTTTAATTTCCGTAACTTTCATAACAACGCAGAAAGAGGTATTATTACCGCTGTTTTATATATGAGGAAACTAAGGCTCTGAAAGGCTGGCCTGCCCAAGGCCATGCCAGAAGTGAGGCATGAAGCCAGGATTCAAACCCAGATCTGGCTGCCAAGGCACCAGCTTCTGCTTCCAGTGACTGAAGACTGATCCTGCTTATTGGACTTGCAAAGCAGAAATTACCTTTAGAGATGTTAACACTGCAGCCAGAGTAATCTCTTCAAAATCCAAATGTGATTCAGATGTCCCCAGTTCCCTCCCCCTACTTAAGCTTTTGCATTGCTCTTAGGATGAAAGAAAACCTCAGAGGCTCAGACGCCCTGCACAGGCAGCCTCCTTCCTGCTCACCCTAGGTCTCTCCCAGCCTAGCCCAGCATCCCCCAGCAGCGCCCACCTGCCCTCCGCCGCCCCCTGGCCTCTGCCCCGTGCCCCAGTGCCTTGGGCACCATTCTAAGTCCCCACCACTCTGCTCCAGCCCTACTTCCTCTCAGTTCTTTACATTCTCCTGGCTCCCACCACAGGGCCTTTGCACACACTATTTTTGTTGGTAAAAATGGTCTTCCATCTCCACTTTCCCTTCTCAACCATAACAGATCCAGCTTAATATCTGTTTTTCAGAGATCCTTTCCTGACATGCCTAAACATGTCAGACCTCATTATATGTACTCATAGCCCCATGGGCCTCTCCTTTATAGCATTTGCTGCTGTGGCTACTTACATTGCTTTGTGATTTTCAGTTAGGGCCCCTCTTCCTTCCCCCCAGCCCCATACACTGCAGGCCTCCTCCGGGAAGGGACCAAGTCTGTGTTTGTCCACTACTCTTTCTCCAGCACTCACTGTGAGACTTGGCACTTAGAAAGGGCTCAGTAAATATTGGTTGGATGAATAAATAGATGCAGCAATGAGGAGGCAGAGATAAAGCTTTCCTCACTTTGATGCAGCAGGTTCAGCATTCTGTGTATTGTTGTCTCTGCTGTTTTGGCTCCCAGAATGACTACAGTTCTGTCAAAGCTACAACGGTTTTGTTAAGGAACTTGCAAATTCTGAAATCAGACTTCCAGTGGTAAGAATCTAAAACCTCCCTGAATGCTGTCTGACTTGCTTAAAGGTTCTTGGCCTGTCTTATCACTAGTGGTGAGTCAGAGACTATATCCCCGACAAACCCTGGTGTTTGGAGAGGCCCCAGGGAGCCAGGGAGCCAGCAGCAAGCTGCCAGGTCATCTTAGACTGCTCCACCCTCCATGCCTGCAGGCAAGGCCCCAAGAGGAGGCCTCCTGTTTGCTTGAGAGCAAAGCAGGACTAGCAATAACCAACATCATGGAATGGCCAGTGGTGGCTTTGTCCCTGGAGGGCTTTCCATTCATAAAGGACCTCAATTAAGACTTTTCTTTTTTTTTTTTTTTTTTGTGACAGAGTCTTGCTCTATTGCCCAGGCTGGAGTGCAGTGGCACCATCTTGGCTTGCTGCAACCTCCACCTCTTGGGTTCAAGCGATTCTCCTGCCTCAGCCTCCCAAGTAGCTGGGATTACAGGTATGAGCCACCATGCCTGGCTAATTTGTGTGTGTGTGCATGTTTTTTTGTTTTCTTTTTTTTAGTAGAGACAGGTTTTTGCCATGTTGGCCAGGCTGGTCTCAAACTCCTGACCTCCAGTGATCCTGTCACCTCAGCCTCCCAAAGTGCTGGGATTACAGGCATGAGCTGCCGCGCCTGACTTAGGTTTAGACTTTTGACAATATCTCTGAGTTACTGCAGTGTCAGAAAGATCCATTGACAGAATAGAAAAAAGATGTTGCCAGTCATGTCCCATGCCATTCTTGCCACCTGCATTGCACTCATATTTTTAGTAAGTCTTGGACCTACATTGTGAATAGTGCAATTACCGTGTTTTCTTTGTTTACTTGTATATTGTTTAATATTAGTTTAATATTAAACAATATATTGGTTAAGTTTAATTATTTTAGAATATGCCACAGTTTGGGGAGGCCCTGTTTTGACATCTCTTCATGTTTTAATATTCTGGGACCCTCAAAAAAATTGAACTGGTCACAAAGCAAGCTACCTTCTTCCCCAAGCCCCCACGTTGCTGATCGGCTTTCCCTAGCCCCAAGTCTTAGAGCACAGAGCCTCTCTCAGAAGCCCCTAAATCCTCTCTTAAACACTCAGTTTCAGTCAGGTAGCTCTGGGTGGCTGGGGACCCTCAATATTGTTCATTCTTTTTTTTTTTTTTTTTTTTTGAGACAAGATCTTGCTGTGTCACCCAGGAATACAGTGCAGCAGCCTAATCATGGCTCACTGCAGCCTTCGACTTCTGAGCTCAAGTGATCCTCCAGAGTAGCTAGGACTACAGGCATGCACCAACATGCCCTTCTAATTATTGTTTTTAATATTTTTTGTAGAGACCAGGGTCTTGCTGTGTTGCCCAGGCTGATCTCGAACTCCTGGCCTCAAGCGATCTTGTTGCCTTGGCTTCCCAAAGTGCTGCTATTACAGGTGTGAGCAACTGTGTCTGGCCTCAATACTGTCCATACTTAGAGTCTTCAGATCTTCCCTTCCCCTGCCCCTGCGGTGCCCGGAGCTGCTTTGGATTACGGAGAGGAGTTACCTGATAGCAATAAGCATTTACAATGTAGGAAAACTGGAGCTGTAGGTTTTGCATTTTGATTCACATTCTTCGCTCCCCATGGTGTGACATTTTCCGCTTTTGGCCATGGAGCCAAAGCTCATTTTTACAGCCCACATAAGTAATGCAAAAGAAAAGTAACATTGGCCCCATTAACTCCCCCAGGTTCCACTGGGTTTCACAGAGTGAATAATCACAGGGCCTCAAGTATAAAGCACTGTGGAATAATAGTCGACTCAATTTTTTTCCCCCGTTTCTTCTTTTGAAGGTACCTTCCTTTAGCTGTGGTTTGATTATTTTTAACATTGCTTCCTGACTTGCTTTTTAATTTGTAAGAAGTAGCATGATAGAAAAGAAAGAAGGGGCAAAACCTACAGAGAACAGCACTTGGTGTATACTTCCTGGAAATACCAGTGTGGTTTCTGGGCATACTCTACAGAGAGCACCAGGGATGTAGAAGCTAGACACCTGAATGGCACACATCCCTTACCACCAGTGGCTGTGGCACTGACAGGTGGATACCTGGCTTCTCTTTCCTTAGAGATGCCAGGAAAAACAGAGAAACTGCAGACCTGCCCTCCAGCTGTCCGTGTTGTTGGAGACTTTTTCTTTTACCTCGGTTCATTTTCCACTGTCATTTGTGAGCTGAATTTTGTGCACTCAGAGAGCAGGGACCAGGTCATATCCTTCTGTGTCTCTACTTTGCTGGGCTATAAAAGATCGCTCATAAATTGCATCAGTTGATTGACTGATCCAAACTCAGGCCATTCTAAAAGCCCAAAACCATTGCAACCTGACTTTAGTTATCCATTTATCAGAAAGACATTTTTTTTTTATTTTAGAGGGAAACCAGAAGTAGCTTTCAGCCTGCCTTTCTTCATTCATTCAGTGAATATTTACTGAGTATCTACTCTTTACCAGGCACTGTGCCAGACACTGGGGATTCAGCAATGAACAAGACAACATCTACTTTCCTGGGGTTTATGTTCCGTTGGGAGGGAGAACAGACAAACAAATTAATATAATGGACCAGGTGATGCTAAGTGCTCTAAAGGAAAATGAAGCAGGGTAAGGTAATAGCATGTGAAAGGAGAGGATGCTACTGGGTGGTTAGGGGAGGCCCAGAGTAGGCGAAGCAGGGGAAATTCTCGGGGTTGCACATATCAGAAGTCACAGGTAAGTGGACTTCTGTGCATGGAGGCTCTGCAACCAAGCAGCCTCCCTCCCTTGGTCAGTTCGTGCCAGAATCAGGATTCCTGGGCTGCCCTAGTCGCCTGTAGAGGACTTGAATCATAATCTTCAGAAGCCAAGCGGGAGAGAAAAGGTCCCTGCCTCTGCAGTGCGAAGAGAGTCCAGGGTAAGAAATGCTCCATTCACGTTGTCAATGGAACTTTGTTCTTGCCCATTACTGAAAAGAGAAAGGGGATCTTCCCTTCTGGTTCAGGGGAAAGAAAGAGGCCCCTGTGGGGAGAGAAACCTGCTTTAGTTATCAGAAAAGAAACATTAGTGGGGCTTGCTGGGCCTACAGAAAAGGAAAATGGACGCTACCCATCAGCCCTCCATTTTGAAGGGGTCAGATGGGGGTATTTTAAAAGTGGGTCTCTAAAAAAACCTCCTCTCTTTCTTTTTGTATTTCTCAACAAATGCTGGCAGATAGGCAATGGCTCATTAGACAGCATGTGCTGAACTGAGTGCAAAGTAATTCCCTTGAGCCCAGTTGACTGATGTTGCCATCATACCCCATCCCCTGAGAAGAGAATCGATTGCATAGAGCTCCACCGTTGATCCCCCAATACCAGTGACTAATGTTTCCCGGTTGACTAAGCACCCAGTTAATACTCACAGCAGCCTTTGGACATAGATTTTATTGTTATATCCATTTTACAGATGAAGAAACTAAGGCTCCCGAGTTGAGGGCTTGCCAAGGTCACATAGCTGGGAAGTGATGGAGCTGGGATTGGAAGGCCAGTGGTTGGACTTTAGAGGCCATAATTTAACCGGTACAGTCAGCACTGTACTCTGTTGAATCCTTTTCTTGTGAATCCAAACCAAGGCCACATGGAAACAGGAAAACCTAGGAGGCACTTCCTGGTCTCGAGCTGGGCTCTAGGAATACAAACATCCCAGGACATAACTGGGCTCTGTTAGCCTGAGGTTTCTGCTTTATAAGGATGCTATGCCAGCCCCGGGGCTCCAGGATGTGCACTTGAAGGACCTGTTTTCACTCAAGAAGTTATTCAAATGAGGGAAATTACCTGAAAATTTACACATACCAAGTTCCCAGAGTGAAAACAGCCTGAATATTCATTTAGGTAACTTGCTACACAGAGGTGTCCCTGTTGAATGTGCGTAGAACTTATAGCAAAGGACTTACGGCGAAAATTCCAAGTCCGCTTATGAGTGGGGAAGTCCCTGGAGCAACTTTACAGGAACAAGGTCATGGCCATTTTTACCATAAGGATACCCTTATCAGTTTATCATTAGTCACCACCCCACCTCTGGGGCATTAATGATTCAGAAGGTTACAGTAAGAACAGAGTAAGAAAATGTACTCAGCACAGCATCTGGCATTAATGGAAGCACTGCTATCATTATTCTCATTGTTTTAAATATGGTATACCAATTCCTTTTCCATTCAGCGTGTGCTGTTTGTAAGTTACCAAGTCAACTGGAACTGCAGTTTAGCTGCAATTTGCCAGAAGCTGCCGTTAAGTGAACCACCTTGTGTGCGGCTACCCTTTGCTCAGAGCATTGCTGCACTTTGACTGGTTGAAATCCATTGTGCTCTAAGTGATCTGAACAGCAATCAGTGATATACATGAACAACTATTTTTCACTCAGTTCATGGAAGTTTTTATTTCTTCTAAGTAAATATCAGACAATGTTCAGTTTGGAAGATTCTGCAGATAAAATTCTCCAAACACATCTAACCACAGAAACAACATTCATTTATAGATGCTTTATTTGGGGAGAAAAAGGAGAGTGTGTGTGTTTAGGAAGTGATGTCAAATTTTCTTGACTCAGACCTGTATCGCCTATGTGTGCCCATACATGAAGGACAGTACAGCATGGTGGTATCAGCAAAGTTTCTGAATCAGACTGTCCAAGCCTGGATCTCCCCTGGGAGCTTGAGCAAGCAACTTAACTTTTCTGTGCTTCAGTTTCTTCACCTATAAAATAGAAATGATCATACCACCTACTTCATAAGGTTCCAATGAGGATTAAGTGATTTAATATACGAAAAGCACTTAAAACAATGTCTGGCAGATAGTAAGCATTCTACAAGTGTTAGCAATCATTGTATTTCCCTCTTTTCCCATCAACAACCTCCTCTACAACCTAGACAGAATAAGCAAGTGTATACATGTATACATTAGCTTCCCATAGTATAATGTATATTATATTTTATATATATATTTTCTTGTTTCATTTTGTTGTTTAATATCCTAAGTAGGGCCAGGCACAGTGGCTCATGCCTGTAATCCCAGCTCTTTGGGAGGCTGAGGTGGGTGGATCACCCAAGACTGGGGGTTCGAGACCAGCCTGACCAACATGGAGAAACCCATCTCTACTAAAAATACAAAATTAGCCAGGCATGGTGGCGCACACTTGTAATCCCAGCTACTCGGGAGGCTGAGGCAGGAGAATTGCTTGAACCCGGGAGGCAGAGTTTGCGGTGAGCCGAGACTGCACCATTGCACTCCAGCCTGGGCAACAGAGTGAAACTCTGTCTCAAAAAAAAAAAAAAAAAAAAAAAAATCCTAAGTAATACATGAATATAATCTCATTTTTAAAAGAAAGCAAAACAAAACAAAACAATGCTGGTATAGTGAGTTGAAGCATCTCCTAAAACTTCACATTCAACCAGAACCTCAGGATGTGACCTTATTTAGAAATAGGACCTTTGAAGATGTGATTCATTGGAGAACTCAAGATGAAATCATTCTGATTTAGAGTGGGCCCTAAATCCAATGACTAGTGTCTCTATGAGAAGAAGAGAGGACACATACAGACATACGGGGAGGAAGGCCATGTGATGATGGAGGCAGAGGTGGGAGTCATGCTGCCACGAGCCGAGGAACACCTAGGACCACCAGAAACTGGAAGAGGCAAGGAAGGATTCTTCCCTAGAGCCTTTGGACCTGCTGATTCCTTGATTCCTCACCTGTAGCATAAAGAATTGTGAGCATAAATCCCTGTTATTTTCAACCACCTAGCTTGTGACAGTTTGTTACAGAAGCCCTGGGAAGCTAACACAGCCAGTAAAGCCAAAAGTTCCCCAGCCCACAGCTCACACTCTCCCATTCACATCGCCTCGTCCAGCAGTCGCAGCACATCGTTACCTTTCCAGACCTTTTTTCTATGCTTTTACATATCCAATACTATGGATTGGATAAGTAATATTTGGAATGCTATTACTATCCAAGTACATAGAATGCTTACTATCTGCCAGACACTGTTCTAAGTGCTGTTCATACATTAAATCACTTTATCCTCATAGGAACTTTATGAAGTAGGTGATAGGATTATTTCTATTTTACAGGTAAAGAAACTGAGGCACAGAAAAATTAAGTTGCTTGCTCAAGCTCCCAGGGGAGATCCAGGATTGGACAGTCTGATTCAGAAACTGTGCTCATAATCACCGTACTATACTTTATCTAGTTGACAATAACCACATTTGATGAATGTGGCAAAACCGCAGAACAGCAACTCAACATTCTGCAGCCTTAGTCGCAGCCAGGCACCGTGGACCACAGCCAGGACGAGGGTGCTGCTGCCGCCGCCCCCAGGAGACCTGGGGAGCGTGGCCTTGTCTCCCATAAGCATTGCTTCTGATTTACAGCCCTTAAAAGGCAGGAAACCCTCTAGAATAATGACTCATTTTTATTACACATGGGCTTTCAGGGAAATTTTAACAACCCCTATTTCTCCTTTTTTATACAGGTTACATTTTTGGTCTATTTTAAACATCTTCAAATCTGATAAATATGGGTCCATTCTCTATAAGATCTAGAAGTTGCCATTTGAAGAGTATTTTGCTGCATCTTCCAGCTGTGAGCATCATACATAGGGTATATGATTGCATGAAAAGATACCTTCTTTTTTTTTTTTTTTTTTTTTTAGATGGAGTCTCACTCTATAACCCAGGCTGGAGTGCAGTGGTGAGATCTCAGCTCATTGTGGTCTCTGCCTCCTGGGTTCAAGCTATCCTCCCACCTCAGCCTCCCGAATAACTGGGATTACAGGCATGCACCACCCCACCCAGCTAATTTTTGTATTTTTAGTAGAGACGGGGTTTCACCCTGTTGGCCAGGCTGGTCTCAAACTCCTGACCTCAAGTGATCCACCCACCTTAGCCTCCCAGAGTGCTGAGATTACAGGTGTGAGCCACGGCCCCAGTGAAAATGGATCTTCACATGCAAAGTTTCAAATGGAAAGAATATTAGAAATCACTTAGATTGGGAGGCCGAGGCGGGCGGATCACGAGGTTAGGAGATTGAGACCATCCTGCCTAACACGGTGAAACCCCGTCTCTACTAAAAATACAAAAAATTAGACAGGTGCGATGGCCGGCGCCTGTAGTCCCAGCTACTCACGAGGCTGAGGCAGGAGAATGGCATGAACCCGGGAGGCAGAGCTTGCAGTGAGCCAAGATCGCGCCACTGCACTCCAGCCTGGGCGACAGAGCGAGACTCCGTCTCAAAAAAAGAAAAAAACAGAAAAGAAAAGAAAAAGAAATCACTTAGACCAATGACTCAACAGGTTTAGAGTTAGAGCCCCTTTTGAGAATCAGATAAAAGATACCACTCCCCTTTCCTTAACTATGCACCAGACACGTAAAATATCATCTCAGGCTGATCCCGTGCCCAAGGTTAAAATCCCCCTCATTCTACTAAGGAAAACGAGGGATCTGATGGCAGAACCAAAACAGGAACCCAGATTCTCCACAATGCATCGTCTCCCTGAGGTTCCCTCTGTCTGAATCTGAAGTCTCCAGTTTGTCTACAGGGGCAACAAAGGTCAGGGGGTGGGAACAGAGGGAGGGGAACCCTGGATTTAAGGAGGATGGGCCAGAGGAAGGAGAGTGTCTAACAGGTAGACTAAGTTTGTCCGACCCACCGCCTGTGGGCCGCACGGGGCACAGGACAGCTTTGAATGCGGCCCAACACAAATTCATAAACTTTCTTTAAACACTATGAGGTTTTCTGTGATTTTTTTTTAACAGCTCATCAGCTATCGTTAGTATTAGTGTATTTTATGTGTGGCCCAAGACAATTCTTCTTCTTCCAGTGTGGCCCAGGGAAGCCAAAAGATTGGACACCCCCGATCTAGACCATAGACACAGATGGATTCCTGGACATGGTACTCCTCCATTCTCCACAAAGGCCAGGACAACAGAAACCAGATTTACATTAAAGCAGTCCCACCTCGGATAAAAGAAGAAGAATTCATTTTAATCTTTGCATTTCTGAAAGGATTATATATCATGTCCTCTTCATGCTTTTTTTTTTTTTTTTTTTTTTTTGAGACAGTCTCACTCTGTTGCCCAGGCTGGCATGCAGTGATGCGATCTCGGCTCACTGCAACCTCCGCCTCCCGGGTTCAAGCGATTCTTCTGCCTCAGCCTCCCAAGTAGCTGGGAATACAGGCATGTACCACCACACCTGGCTAATGTTTGTATTTTTAATAGAGACAGGGTTTCGCCATGTTGGCCAGGCTGGTCTCGAACTCCTGACTTCAGGTGATCTGTCCGGCTTGGCCTCCCAAAGTGTTGGGATTACAGGCCATAAGCCACCGTGCCTGGCCAAAGCTTCTTAAAAATAGAATTAGCATCTCATCTTTCTAAGATGGTCTGAATGTAGACAGATAAGAAGGCAAGAGAACCGACCCATCAAGAATGTTAACTATACACCACTCCTGCCTCTTTCACGTGGAGCCGGCATCACTCATGTTCATTACACCATTTCTAGCTAATACCACGTGTAGCCTTGGAATCCCTTGCAACTAACTCTCTGCTCCAGAAGATGCTGCTAATGATCCCAGTTGGCTGTGAGATCTGTACCCTGTTTGCCACTCTGTGGCTAGATGACCTTCCCACATTGCTTCCAGTCTCTTGTGATAGTTCCCTGTAGTCTCATTTGAACTTTCTGATGGCTTTACTTGATTCAGCAGAGGCCCAGAGACCTCTCTTTCTAGGGCAGTAATCTCTCCTAGGATTTCTTCTAATAGCTGTACTCCTGCATTCTCAGTCATGTGAAATAATTAAGAAAGCCCCAAGTATTCTTGCTTCTAACTTATTTTTTCACAGACTATGAAGGCAGGTCCTCAGAAGCATAAAATTCAATCTCATTATTGCCCTTCGATCTTGGGTCTCCATTTTGTGATGCCCTTTTATGTATCGGTGATTGTTCTCTCAGTGGACTATATCCCTAATATTAGACTTTGGAAAAGGGGGGAAAAAAAGGCCAGGCACGGTGGCTCACGCCAGTAGTCTTAGCAGTTTGGGAGGCCAAGGGCGGGCAGATCACTTGAGGTCAGGAGTTCGAGACCAGCCTGGCCAACATAGTGAAAACCCATCTTACTAAAAAAAAAAAAAAAAAAAATTAGCCAGGTGTGGTGGCTCACTCCTGTAATCCCAGCTACTCAGGAGGCTGAGGCGGGAGAATCGCTTGAACCTGGGAGGCAGAGGTTGCAGTGAGCGGAGATCGCACCACTGCTCTCCAGCCTACGTGACGGAGCAAGACGCCATCTCAAAAAAAAAAAAAGAAAAGTAAATAGACTGATACAAGTCTAAGCTGCATCATGACAGTTCAAAGGCAAAAACAGAGTGAGGTAAGGTTTGCTATTTTGCATCTTGTTACTCTAAATATCAAAGAACATGCACTCTGTCTTTAGCATCAGTGAGACACAGTGAGCATAGAGCACCTGCTGGCCCCCCTTCCCTGATTCCAGTCCTGGTTTGCATCACCAAGCAAGCATTCTGGAACTACTTCTGGAACTTCCCACCCTTGTGTTTGCCTCTGTGCCCCTTGACTTGATGACTGTCTTCTGTGACGTAATTGCACCGCCCCCACAGGGCACTACCAAGTTAGCTTAAGCGGGTCTGATGCTCCTCCAACGTAGAAAAGCCAGGGGGCTAGGAATGTACCTTCCTCCAGGAGGGTGCTGAAGTTTCTATGCAAGGGATGTAGTCCAAGAAGGTGACTGAACAGGAAGTTTTTTTGTTTGTTTGTTTCTAGTTCTAAGTCTGGTTTACAACAATGTAAACCAAAAAGGGTTTTTAGTATTTTCTAATGTGACTGTAGAATATAGTAATTTGGTCTTCCTGCTTCCACACTGAGCCCCCTCCACTGTCCATTCTCAACCCAGTACTAGCGGGGTCCTTTGTTTGTTTGTTTGTTTGTTTATGTAGAGACAAGGGTATTACTGTATTGCCTAGGCTGGTCTCAACCCCTGGGCTCAAGCAATCCCCCTACCTTGGCCTCCCCAAAGTGCTGGGATTACAGGCATAAGCCACCATGCCCTAAAAGGCCCTAAAGGGGAATCCTTTTAAACACTGAGTCAGATCATGTTGCTACTCAAATTCCTGCAGTGTCCACCCTGTCCCCCAGCACCCCTGACCTCCTGTCCCACAAAGCTCTTTCTTCTCTCCCATTCATTCCAGCCACTCAGACCTTCTTGCCACATTGGGAACAGGCCAAGCTCCTGCCTGGGGCCTTTACTCTAGCTGTTGCCTCTGCTTTAAGCCAGGTATCGGCTTGGTTAACTCCTTCACTTCTCTCCATCCCTATTTCTCAGCCAGGCCTGTCCATGATTACCCTATTTAATATGGCAGTCTGCCCCTTCCTCCCTGCTGCGTATACCAGTTCTCCACTCCCCTGGTGCCATTTTTTATTTTTTCCAGATCACTTGTGAACTTTCAATATACTATATAGTTCTTGTATTTGTTATGTTTATTATTTATTATCTAACTATCCCTTATGAGACTTTAAGCCCCAGGAGGGCAGGAATCTCTTCCTGCTTTTTCATTAATGTATTCCAAGTTCCTTGAATAGTGCTAGGCACATAATAGGTGCTCAGTTAGTATTTGATGAATAAATGGTTGAATGAATAAATAAATGAATAAAGCCATTGTTCTGGTTAACTGCTGATTAGTAGCAAGAACATCACCTCTAGGGGGTTTCTGAAGTAAGGAAATGGGAGGGAAACAGACTAGAAAGTGTGAACACATAATAGGTATCATTTAACTCTCTCCTTAGTATATATTAATTGATGTAATTTACCTATTTTAATGGGAGCAAAATTGACAAAACCACTAGCAGAGTTTACACAGTAATTTATTTTAAGAGTAGTAATTTTTTAAATAAAAAAAATTAACCAAAGACGATTATAGCAGTTCCTTGGGTCTTCCTGGCAAAAAAAAACAGTTGCCTAGATTATTCTAATAGAACATTAGGTTTTGCTTCATTGAATGATGAGTATAGGAAGCAAAAATGCACGTACAAGGAAGTTACTTAAAAGTCGGAAACATTTTGCAAAAGAAAGTTGCTTTTGTGGTTGAGTGATAAAGTAATTTATGCTAACTACCTTTTAGGGACTCATTTTGCATGCAGAGGTGACCTCATGTGTTTAGGAGCCAAAAAGCCTTAGTGAGACATGCTCTCTGGACTGTTAATGAAATGACAGGCCCAGGGGTCACAGTAAGACAGTGTAATGTATTATCATTGAATAACCATCATCCCATCCAATTAACTTTTGCAGAGGAAGTAACCTTGAATCTAAATGCTAACAATATTTGGCCATATAAAGACATCATGATTCCATCGAAGAGAAAGTCTGACACTTCTGGCCTGATGAAATTGTCTATAAAACTCTGAATTTGAGAGAGAGAGGAGGAAATTTCATGCAGAATAACATGCAAACTTGGCATCCATTGAGTCCTCATGATTCTTAAGGAAAGTGTTCATTTTTGTTGCAGTTTGTGTTTTAAAGACTGAAGGATGTTTATTATTTTCTTCAAGGTGCTTTGCAGACTTGCTTTTCACAGTCTAGATGCCAGCTTGATTAATTAAACATGCACACAATGACATTCTACTGTGCAAGCTTGAAAAATTGCTAGTCTAACCTTTTTAAGAAATGTACATAATTGCCAGGACCTGGTGAGAGGTGACACCAGATGAAAGCTTTTCTGGCAAAAGTCAAAGGTCAGCAGCATTTTGTGGACAGAGGAGGGGATTACCTTGCCCTCTTGGACCAGGTAGCCTCCTAAGAAAACACTGGCCTTATGTTTACATCTGGCCTGGACTTGCAAAATCTGGAACTCTCCTTCTTGCTGCCTTCATAATCAACAGGTATGAACTGGGCTCAGTGGTGAGGCCACCTCTCTGCAACTCAGTGACAACACTCTCCCTCTGGCCTTTTGTCTCCCCAGTTTTTCCATCACACAGGGCTCCTTTCCCACTGTGCCTCTGACCTATTCACACTACTTTCTCTCAGGAGGGGAAGACCCTAGGGTTTTCATTCATCATCTCTGCACCTATAATGCTTTTGGTTGCCTGTCTCCTCCATCCCTCTCACCCTCCAGCTCACTGTCCCATTCTGTTTATTTATTTTTATTTTTTTGGACACAGAGTCTTGCACTGTCCCCCAAGCTGGAATGCAGTGGAGTAATCATAGCTCACCGTAGCCTTGATCTCCTGGGCACAAGCCATCCTCACACCTCAGCCTCCCTAGTAGCTAGGACTACAGGCCCACACCCTCACACCCAGCTATTTTTTTTTAAGAGATGGAGTCTTTCTATGTTGCCCAGGCTGGTCTTGAATTCCTAGGCTCAAGCAATTCTCCTGCCTCCACCTCCCAAAGTGCTGGGATTATAGGCATGAGCCACTGCATTGGTCCCCACTGCCCCTTCTAAGTGGTGGTTATGAGCTGAGGCTCAGGAACCAGACTGTTTAGGTCTGGTCCTTGCTCTCCCCCAAATCATCTGTGAGACTATGGGTTAGTCTCTTCAACTCTGGTACCTCAGTCTTCTCATTTGCAAAATGGGGATGAAAATACCAACTGCGTTTTGGTATTAAATGAGTTAATACATGTAAAGTGCTTTGAACAGTGTGTGGCAAATATTGGCCATTGCTGCTATTATCTTCAAATGCAGAAATCTGTTTGTACATTGAGCCTCTGCTCAGATTCTAAATCTTCTATAAAGCCTTTCCAGACTTTTCGAACTAGACATAATGGTTCTTGCTTATTAATTTGAAGCCTTATAATACTAGGTGGGCACTTTTCTTATTCTTTGAAAAGGTACCATTTACTGAGCAACTAGACGTGACAGGTACTATGCCAATGCTTCATGTGTATTACCTCCTTTGTTCTCGAAAAATAGTTATTACTACTTCCATTTTACAGATGAGGAAACCAATACTCACAGAAGAAAAGCCACTTTTTTAGATTCACAAAGCAAACATAATTAAACTTATTTTTAAACGTAACTTAAAAGGCCATGTGCAGTGGCTCACACCTGTAATTCCAGCACTTTGGGAAGCCAAGGCGGGCAGATCACTTGAGGTCAGGAGTTCAAGACCAACCTGGCCAACATGGTGAAACCCCGTCTCTACTAAAAATACAAAAATTAGCCAGGCATGGGGGCACGTGCCTGTAATCCCAGCTGCTCGGGAGGCTGAGGCAGGAGAATCACTTGAACCCCAGGAGCAGAGGTTGCAGTGAGCCGAGATTGCACCACTGCACTCCAGCCTGGGTGACACAGTAAGTCTCTGCCTGGAAAAAAAAAAAAAGAAGGAAGGAAGGAAACTTAAAGGTTAAGGCCTGGTGTGGCTCATGCCTGTAATCCCAGCACTTTGGGAGGCTGAGGTGGGCGGACCACTTGAGGTCAAGAGTTTGAGACCAGCCTGGCCAACATGGTAAAACCCTGTCTCTACTAAAAATGGAAAAATTAGCCGGGCATAGTGGCAGGTGCCTGTAATCCCAGCTACTCGGGAGACTGAGGCAGGAGAATTGCTTGAGCCAGGGAGGCAGAGGTTGCAGTGAGCCAAGATCGCGTGATCTTGGCTAGGTGACAGAGCCTAGGTGACAGAGCAAGACTCCATCTCAAAAAAAAAAAAAAAAAAAAAAGGTTAAATACTCTGCAAAGGCAAGGTCAGCATCTCTTAAATTTCTGTCCTCTGCATCTCATATGGAGAAGATGTTCGTAAACACCAAGTGCTGATTTCAATGAATGTGGCAGAGTCTGGTGATATAGGAAGAAGGGTTGGTATTTGTATAGTATTGTATACAGTGCATTTTCTCATGCATTATCTCATTAAAATCTCACAAAAATTCTGGGAAATATGTATTGTTATTGTCTCAATTTTTCAGATAGGAGACTGAGAGGCGAAGACTTGGCTTTCCCCAAACCAAACTGCCAGTAGTGGCATAGCCCAAACTCAAATGCCATCTTTTTCCAGGTGCTGTCCAGTAGACCACCATGGCCTTCCCCCACCGATACCAGCTGAGACTCAAATTCTGGTATATAGTCCTGGTGACAAAATAAACTTCATATAAGATTCAAATCCTGCAAAAGGACAATAACCACAAATTAGCAGAAAATATGACATTGTTTTGCCAGAGTTTCAGATCTTCAAAAAAAGGAAGACAGAGAGACCCTAAGCCAGGCTAAGTTAAAGAAATCTAATTCCCATTCTGTGGGAGAAAATATTCAGTTCAAATAGTTCTTTTAATCAAAATGCTTATTTATATAAAATAACAAGCCAATAGGGGTTTCTTTAAAAAAAAAAGAAAAAAAAAAAAAACCTCTGAATGTTGGCCAGGCATGGTGGCTCATGCCTGTAATCCCAGCACTTTGGGTGGCCAAGGCAGGTGGGTCACCTGAGGTCAGGAGTTCAAGACCAGCCTGGCCAACATGGTGAAACCTCATTTCTACTAAAAATAGAAAAAATTATCTGGGCATGGTGGCAGGCGCCTGTAATCCCAGCTACTCAGGAGGCTGAGGCAGGACAATCACTTGAACCCAGGAGGCAGAGGTTGCAGTGAGCCAAGATTACACCATTGCACTCAAGCCTGGGTGACAGAGTGAGACTCCAAAGAAAAAAAAAAAAGAAAAAAAAAAAGAACTCCAAGTGTTGTCCATCCTCATTTGTAAGAATTTACTTCTGGAGCATTATCCTTTTCAGAAAGGTCAGGTGTAATGTCATTTTAACATCTCTCTGGCAGTGATCCCTACAAAGGGGTTGGATTTACATAATGTAATCATTTTTATATTTCTGAATGTGCAAGTGGAGGTTGGTGTGTTATACAGCAGAGAAGGGAGATAAAAAGAATGCTGTGTATTTAGTAACATGCCCCATTTCAATAAGCCAGTGTTTCTTAGGGAGTTTGTTCACTGCGGATATGTAGAAAGATATGGAAGCAGAAACGCTGACACATGTTTGCAAAGAGAATGATTGCAACATTAGTCCAGGGAGTTGATCTATAACAGGCCTTTGCCTTTCTTCACCTAGGACTGCTGATGGGGTTGGAAAGGAGCTGAACGACATTATCTCACCCTCCAGATGGACTCACTCTGGGTAGAACAAATATCAGACACCAACATGATATCTAATGGGTCATTCATTTAAATTGTTATCTGCTAAACAGTGTACAAAGTCCCGAGCCATGTGGTGTGGGGAATGGAACAAGGAACCAGGTGCAAGTCCTTTCCACAAAGGACTTTTATATAATAAAATGGAATAAAAAAGGAAACACAAAAGATCTTAAAACAAGACAGAAAGTGAAGTGTCACAAGAGGGGTGAGATAATTCACTAAGGCAGTTCACAGGAAGGCATGAGTCCCTCAGTCTTGAAGGATAAGGGAAGGGAGACTTCTTGGAGGAAGTAGCAGTTAAGATGGGCAGGATTTGGAGTGCACATGGCGCTGGGAGGAAAGAACATCTCAGGCAGAGGAAGCAACCTGGGCTAGGGCTGGTAGTGGAAAATGCAGTAGCCAGAAAATAGAGAGTTCAGTTTATAGTATAGCATGCTTGAAGGTCAGATTATTACTGGTTTTTAACTTTTAACACTAATTTCTGTTAATGGGGTTTAGAAAGCACTCAGAAGGGTGTCTTTCAGTTAAGTGAAATCCTTACAAATTAGCCACTCATTGGTCTGACCCCCTCTTAACTCGCCTAGTAGAAGATGTTTTCTGATCTGTAAAGTCACATGGGCAGTGCAGCCAGGGAGCCAAAGTCACCCACTAGGAGCCATCCATGGAATAATGTTTAGCTTTTACGACTGAAAACCTGTCCTTGGTTGGTACAATCTGAATTTTTTTCCAAGCTATGGAGAAGCTAGTAAAATCTACACTCTCTTCTTTATAGCACTTGCTAAGTCAACTGTTTGATTTCAAATATTTAATTAAACATTAACAGTATGCAATACTTGTACTGCCTGTCCACACCTTATGCTTTATTTCACAATCCAGATGCATTGAATCAACTTTTCTTCTATGTGTGAATGCTGTCAGAAAAAAAAGGAAGGAAAGAAGAAAGGAAACGGGGGGGGGGGGGAGGGATAAAAAAATAGTATACTTTTTGTACCCATTTCAATTTCTGCATTTCATAATTCAGTTGAATCTAGGAAGCATAGTGCGGTATTTTTCCCAAACAGGAAATAAGTAACGTGTTTTACTGCCAAGTTGACCGTATAGATTCAGCTGTGATTTTTAAGCCACCTGGTAGCATATTTCGAGATTTCTCCTTTTGTCACTATATCTTAACTCCATCCATGCATGGATGTATACTGGACTTGAATACAATAAAAAGAATGATTTTTACTTCTCCTTGAATCATGGAGTTTTCTGCTTTATGAAAAATGTATATCACAATGTTATGTCTGGTCCATGCTACTAAAAAAGAATCTTTCTTCAGGACGATTTGACCCTGTTCCCATTGTTTTCTCAGCATGTTTTCAGCATCAGCGCATTGATTATGCTGTCATTGTCCAGAATACTGAGACAGAAAAGAAGATCTATTAGATCATCAAAGACCTGGAGCAGGCCCAGGTCTCCAGAGAGAGCCTGTGACATGCTGTCTTAGGCAAATGACGGAGGAAAATTTAGAGCCACGTAAAATTTTAGGCAGGCTCTGTCCCAGTTTTTAATTTTTGAAAGTTTCTGAAATAAATCTCAGAGAGACACAGTTCATAAAACAGTTTCACTGCTGAATTTAGGTTAGTAGTTCTCAACTGGGGGCAATTTTGACCCCCTGGGGATATTTAGCAATATCTGGAGACTTTTTTTGATTGTCACATATCAAGGAAAGGGGTTGCTACTGGTTGGGTAGAGGCCAGGAAGGCTGCCAAACCTCCTACAGTTCCCAGTACAACCCCACGACAAAGAGTTATCCAGCCTGAAATGTCAATGGTGCCAACGTTAAAAAACCCCAATTTAGGTCTTTTCCTAAGCTTTTTTTTTTTCCTGCTGCTTATCTATTCACTGCCCCAAACAAAGCAGATTACTTGACTGATTAAATGACTCTGAGGAGCACACACTATTTTGAAATAAACCGTTTCAAACACAATTTTTACTAATTCTATTTCTTTCTTTCTTTCTTTCTTTCTTTCTTTTTTTTTTTTTTTTGAGATGGAGTCTCGCTCTGTTGCTCAAACTAGAGTGCAGTGGCACGATCTCGGGTCACTGCAACCTCTGCCTCCCAGGTTGAAGCAATTCTTCTGCCTCAGCCTCCTAAGTAGCTGGGGCTACAGGCGTGCACCACCACACCCGGCTAATTTTTGTATTTTTAGTAGAGATGGGTTTTCACCATGTTGGCCAGGCTGGTCTCAAACTCCTGACCTCAGGTGATCCACCCACCTCGGCCCCCCGAAGTGCTGGGATTACAGGCGCGAGCCACCGTGCCCAGCCTATTAATTATATTTTTTAGTCCCAAGATAAGCAAGCATTAACAATCACACAGAGAAACAAAATTATATTTTCTAGTTATTCTAAAATTAGGATTGTGTTGAGTTTAGTAAGACTCCAGATTAACCAAATAACTTTCGAGAAACCCAAGGAAAAAAGCCATTAAATGTAGAAGGGAAAAAAACTGCTTGCCTCAATCATTAGGGCCCTGTTGTTAATCAGAAGCTTGTATTCTTGTTTCTACATATTCAAGTTTGTATAGGCAGAGCAGAGTCAAGCAAAGTCAAAGAGTTAAAAGTGAAAAACTTTTCATAGCAAACAAATATCTCAAGAATATTCAAGAGGTACCCCCACCCCAAATTATACTCTCCATTTTTTAAAGGGGAGAATTCAATTTCTTAGGAAAAAAGAATATACGGTGAATGGAGTGATACAATAAGAGAAGGTTAAAGAAAAAGGCAAGGAGAGGGAGAAAAGAAAGGGAAGGGAAGAGGGGAAAGGAAGGGAAGAGGAAAGGAAAGGCTAGGGCATATTTTTTTTTTTTTTTTTCCTGCAGGTTTGGAAGGACTTTGGCTAACAGAAGCTTCCTGAGTGGTTGTTCCATCCCCAACTTTTTGTGGAATCTGGCACTGGCCTTGGTGTCATCTATAATATAGATTTCAATGCTAAATGTCAGGAGGAAAATGGATAGGGCAGTGTGCTTTATGAACTGTTACCAAAATACTAGCATCGAAAAAGCAAGCAGCAATTACAAACAATAGGCTTAAGGTTATCACGTCATCATATTTTTGCTTGCTTCAAGTTTGTAGTTTTGTGAATCTAACCTAAATTAATATTTTCAAAGACCACAAGGTTGTTACCCATTAATTCCAGGTTAGAGCAGACATTTTGAAAGTATGGGAAGCAAGCTGGATCCGCTGAGAATCCTTGTTAAATACGGTTTTTTAATAATGTGTTGATATCATTATAGGAATAATGCTTGTATACTTGAAACATTGAATACATTTACTCTTCAGCCTATTGGAGAGTTATCCCTTCCTTGAAGTCTGGCCTTGATTATGACATTCTTTTGTTTCTGCTCCCTCCCCACCCCCGACAGAATCAAGATTGGACTTTACTGCACTGTTGAGCTAATCTGAATTAAAATCTGTCACTTGTGTTCAGTCACGACTCCGTTACATTTCCTAATGAGCCGTGCCTGATCTTTGGGCATTTCTCAGGGTATTTATGAGAAGGGTGCAGCTAAGGCTTAGTGGAGACTCCGTGGTGATATTTAGTATGTGAAGCATCTGTACAAAGCATACAGTTGAGAATGTTCATCGTTTATTGTTGTTAAACTTAGTCACTCACATTCCTTCCCTACTGAATGAGGCTTCCAAGGACACCTCAAACACAAATTCATCACAGGGAAGACAGTTGCACTGAACATTAGCAGAACTAAGAATCGATGCATCAGGTCCTAACTGGAGATATATTTAATACACTTTTTCCTTAGTTTTGTTTTACTTGTAAAGATTACAATAGTCGGCCGGCCACAGTGGTGCACACCTGTAATCCCAGCAGTTTGGGAGGCTGAGGCGGGCAGATCGCCTGAGGTCAGCAGTTCGAGACCAGCCTGACTAACATGGTGAAACCCCATCTCTACTAAATATAAGAAATTAGCGGGGCGTGGTGGTACATGCCTGTAATCCCAGCTACTTGGGAGGCTGAGGCAAGAGAATTGTTTGAACCCGGGAGGTGGAGGTTGCAGTGAGCCGAGATCCCAAGATCGCAGCATTGCACTCCAGCCTGGGCAACAAGAGCGAAACCTCGTCTAAAAAAAAAAAAAAAATGACAGTAGTTATATGAGCTCATGATGTATGAAAAAAAAAATGCCTACCACACAGAATGGTGGTAAATGTAAGACTTCCTTTCCCTACCTGTTCAACCCAAAGTCCCATTGCTCAGAAGTAAGCACTATTAATAGTTCCTCATGTGTTCTCCTAGGATTTTTCAGAAAGGAGAATAGAGGAAAATTATTTTTTTCTGTGCTCCAATTTCTTTTTTTTCCTTCTCTCTCCCCAGAGCGCACAGTACTATCTATCATCACTAAATCTTTACCAGGCCAGACCCATAAATATCTCAAAAACGATTCCAAATAAGTTAGAGAGATGATTAGAGAAAGAGATTGTGATTACCAGTAGTGGCAGATTTTAAATAACGTTTTTTCCAGACTTCAGTGGTTTCTTTTTATGTTTATGTGCTTTTAATTCAAGTTCTTGAGTTCATTTTGAATTTTGAAGCTTTTTTTTAATTTAAAAAAATAGCCTTCATTTACTGAAATTAACTGGGGGCTTAAACTAACATTGATCCTGTAAATCCATGGAAGCTGTAGGACTAGCGTATTCATTAGTGGACCACAGACCTGAATGTGGTGGTCCTGTATCTTTGAATACCTTGTTGCTTCAAGATACTGTACCCTCACTATTCCCTCTAAATCCCAAATGGAATGTAACAGTCCCCTGGCCTGTCTTCCTGGCTCATTTCCTGTTCTTCCTAGACATACCCTTAATCTTTGTTTTTTAAACACATACTGGGAACACACTCCTGTGTCTGGGTGTGCCCCCCAGGTTCTCTGTCGGTTTATTCTGGCCTTCAATCTTCTTTTAGGGAGACCTACCACATCACCCAAGCCACTGAGGGGCCTGGCGACAGGTCCCTGTCATCCTGTCACCTACTGGGCACTGTCTGTCTTTCCATCCACCTGGACTTAGAGATCCGCCTGGGTCATCTCTCCCCAAGCCTGTACATCTCTCCTTGTAATGTAGGCCCAGAATTTTTTTTAATAAGTAACACTCCCCACCTGGCTCTGGCCTGAGGCCTTTTAGCATATATTATCATGGACAGAAAACATGTGGAAGAAAGTTTCTCTTTTCTCTCTGTTTTTGTTTGTTTGTTTGTTTTTGTTTGTTTTTGAGACAGGGTCTTGTTCTGTTGCCCAGGCTAGAGTGCAGTGGCACTGTCTTGGCTCACTGCAGCCTCCACTTCCGGGGCTCAAGTGATCCTCCCATCTCAGCCTCCAGAGTAGCTGGGACTACAGGTGTGGGCCATCACGCTGGCTAAGTTTCTCTGTTCAGGTCAGCCAGGAATATTAAACCCCAGTACCACCTGATGCAAAGAAGCAAAGCTGAATAAATTTGCAGAAAGAGAGAGGCATGAATAAAAGCCATAGCTTGACCAAGGGCTGACAGGGAGATTAGGATGGACTTTCTTGTTAGCCTCCGTCACCACTCCAGAACCCCAAGCCTGTTTCTCAGAGGCGTTCAAACCAGAGCAACTCCATTTTGAATGAGGGCTGGAAAATGAGGCTGGGACCTGCTGGGCTGCATTCCCAGAGAGTTAAGCATTCTGAACCTCTAGATGTTTATGGTTAAGGGAACAAATTAATAATGTTTACTCAACAGACCCAGACTTGGGAGTATCCAGATATCCCAATATCTGGAGAACAAAGGCATTCCTAATTTTGCTTTAAATATAATATCAATTTTTGCAAAATATAATAATTAAGAAAATTAATCCCTTATCACAGACCCTCGTAGCAGAGCCCATCTCCCCAAGATCTTTTTTTATCCTGTATATAAACAAGCATCGTACCTAGGGTGGGCACGTTCCTCCTCTTACTTTTGGGAATGTCCTGCTCTGTCTGTGGAGTTGCTATTCTTTCACTGCTTTACTTTCTTTCTTTCTTTTTTTTTTTTTTGAGACGGAGTCTTACTCTGTTGCCCAGGCTGGAGTGCAGTGGTGCGATCTCGGCTCACTGCAACCTCTGCTGCCTGGGTTCAAGCGATTCTCTTGCCTCAGCCTCCCGAGTAGCTGGGATTACAGGTGCCTGCCACCGCACCCAGCTATTTTTTTTTTTTTGGTAGTTTTTAGTAGAGATGGGGTTTCACCATCTTGGCCAAGCTGGTCTTGAACTCCTGACCTCGTGATCCACCCGCCTCTGCCTCCCAAAGTGCTGGGATTACAGGTGTGAGCCACCGTGCCCGGCCCTGCTTTACTTTCTTAATAAACTTGCTTTTACTTTGCACTGAGGACTCGCCTGAATTCTTTCCTGCGCAATATCCAAGAACCCTCTCTTGGGGTCTGTATCGGGACCCCTTTCCTGTAACATGTTCAGGTAACTGTCAGGCCTCTGAGCCCAAGCCAAGCCATCACATCCCCTGTGACTTGCACTTATACACCCAGATGGCCTGAAGTAACTGAAGAATCACAAAAGAAGTGAAAATGCCCTGCCCCGCCTTAACTGATGACATTCCACCACAAAAGAAGTGAAAATGGCCAGGCCTTGCCTTAAGTGATGACATTACCTTGTGAAAGTCCTTTTCCTGGCTCATCCTGGCTCAAAAAGCTCCCCCACTGAGCACCTTGCGACCTCCACTCCTGCCCGCCAGAGAACAAACCCCCTTTGACTGTAATTTTCCTTTACCTACCCAAATCTTATAAAATGGCCCCACCCCTATCTCCCTTCGCTGACTCTCTTTTCAGACTCAGCCCGCCTGCACCCAGGTGATTGAAAGCTTTATTGCTCACACAAAGCCTATTTGGTGGTCTCTTCACACGGACACGCATGAAAGTAGCCACCCTTCTCCCAGACAGCCCTCAGGTCCTCCAGGGCAGGGAGCCTTCAGGATGGGCAAGAGGCCCGGCTGGTCTGGGGGGATTCCATCCCCGCTGCCAGCAACTGGCTCAGCAATGGGCATGTGAGCCAATAATGCAAGGAGAGGTTTCCTGGGGCATCCTGGGGGCGTCTCCTCAGGCTAAGGAGAAAGCAAGATGAAGAGAGGGTCTTTCTCTTCCTCTGGATATCATCATGTGAGGATATGAGGCCTAGAACTTGCCAATATTAAGCTACAAATGAAATCAGCCCACAGGGGAATGCAGAGCCCCAGGAAACGGAACTGGAGCCTCTGGATTCTGATGACCCTGATCATGCCCTATCAACACTCTCCCGCTCTGAGAGCCAAGACAGTTACTCAGTGTTTCAGCCGGTGAAGTTCAATGTCTGTTACTCGACACCAGAAGCATTCTAAACACCACGAAGATAGAGAAGTGGGCATCAAAGGAACCAAAACAAAATTTCCACTCCACAAAAGACATTTGTCCCCTTGGGCAAAAGAACCGCTTTGGAAAAAAGCACACTGTGGGTCCTTTTCAATACCCTTCCTTATGATTTCTTTGAATTGCTGTAACTTATGGTGCATTTATTTTGGCTGGATTTTTTCTTTGTGGAATGAAGACTCAAATTGTGTGGGCTTTTTTGGTTTCTTTCTAATTTAGATCCCTTAGACACAGCTAAATACACAAAAATAATGGTGTATCAGTAAGAATAACCATTGCATTCAAGGCAGTGGATTAAATATGGGAGTTATGGGAAGCGGTGTAAAGAAAGAAAAATGACAAGATGCTCTTATTCTGATTTTACCCCCATGGAATCATGGAGGAAGAGCAGCTAATGTCATTCTATCTGACAATAGCCTTAAGTGGAGGAGACATTTGACCTAAGTCTTGAAGTATTTTTTTTATTTTTTATTTTTGAGATGGATTCTCACTGTGTTGCCCAGGCTGGAGTGCAGTGGTGTGATCTCAGCTCACTGCAACCTCCATCTCCCAGGTTCATGCGATTCTCCTGCCTCAGCCTCCTGAGTAGCTGGGATTACAGGTGCCAGCCACCATGCTTGGCTAATTTTTGTATTTGTAGTAGAGACAGGGTTTTGCCATGTTAGACAGGCGGGTCTCAAACTTCTGACCTCAGGTGATCCACCCAACTCCGCCTCCCAAAGTGCTGGGATTACAGGCATAAGCCACCATGCCTGGCTGAAGTATTTTTTTTTAATAAAATAACTTATAAAAAGTACAGAAAATTATATAATACACACTAATGTAACCACCAAACGCTTTTATAAATACTAGCATTTTTGTTTCAGTTCCATTTTTAAACTTTTCATTTTGAAATAACTGTAGAATAACATGTATTATAAGTGTTAAAAGATGAACTGAAGCACGTGAACATTTTAGTTTATTTGAGCAGACTGTGATTCAGGAATCAGGCAACACCAACTGCAAGCAGGTGGGGTTCCACCAAGGGGGCCAAGGGGAAAACTTCTATAAGGTATTCTTGGGAGCAAGACAAAATACAGCTATGCATCACTTAACAACAGGAATACATTCTGAGAAATGCATGGTTAGGTGATTTCGTCATTGTGTGACCATCATAGAGTGCTTTTACACAAACCTAGATGTTGCAGCCTACTACACACCTAGCCTAGATGGTATAGCCTATTGTTCACAAGCTACAAACCTATGCAGTATGTTACTGCACTGAATAACTGTAGGCAACTGTAACACAATGGCAAGTGTTTGTGCACCTAAACATAGAAAAGGTACAGTAAAAATACAGTATTATACCCTTTGGGACCACCGTCGTATATGCGGTCTGTTGTTGACCAAAATGTTATGCAGTACATGACTGTATTTGGCTGGTTAAAGTGAAACAGTAGCTTTAATGTCCCTGTTCTGGCCAGGTTCAGTGGCTCATGCCTGTAATCCCAGCACCTTGGGAAGCAGAGGCAGGTGGATCTCTTGAGACCAGGAGTTTGAGACCAGCCTGGCCAACATGGCAAAACCCTGTCTCTACTAAAAATACAAAAATTAGCCAGGCATGGTGGCACATGTCTGTAGTCCCAGCTACTTGGGAGACTGAAGCAAGAGGATCGTTTGAGCCCAGGATGTGGAGGTTGCAGTGAGTCAAGACCCTGTCTCAAAAAAAGAAAAAATACATAGCTTTATGCTTTACATTTATGTCTGTAATTCAATTTGGGTTAATATTTTTGTGAGATTTGAGACTTAGGTTGGGACTCATATTTTCACCAATGGCTGGTTGTTGATGTACTGTAGTGACATTTGTTGAAAAGGCTTTATGTACCCATGGGTTCCTTTTGCTTAGACTCAACTGAAGATTAAAAAAAAAAATACAGTATTTGTGGGATGCAAAATTCACAGATACAGGTCGGGGGTGGTGGCTCACACCTGTAATCCCAGCACATTGGGAGGCAGAGGTGGGCAGATCACCTGAGGTCGGGAGTTCAAGACCAGCCTGGCCAACATGGTGAAACCCTGCCTCTACTAAAAATACACAAATTAGGCATGGTGGCGCACACCTATAGTCCCAGCTACTCCCGGGAGGCCAAGGCAGGAGAATCACTTGAATCCAGGAGGCGGAGTTTGCAGTGAACTGAGATCGTGCCACTGCACTCCAGCCTGGGCGACGGAGTGAGACTCCGTCTCAAAAAAACAAAACAAAACAAAACAAAACTCATAGGTACCGAAGGCTAACTTTTTGCACCCGTGGAATCCTCAGGGCCTGCTGTGGGACTTGAGCATCATGGATTTCGGTATCTCCAGGGTTCCTGGAACCAGTCCCCTGCCAGCACCTGCAGATGACTATATTTTCTCCATTGCGTTGTTTTTGCACCTTTGTCACAAAGTAGTTAGGGATATTTGTGTGGTTCTATTTCGGAGTTCTGTATTCTGTTGTATTGATCTATGTGTCTATCCCTCCACCAATACCACACAGTCATAACAGTCACAGCTATAGAATTAGTCTTGAAATCAGGCAGACTGATTCCTTCCACTTGATTCTTCTTTTCCAAAATTGTTTTGGCTATTCTAATTCTTTTCCCTTTCCATAGAAATTTTAGAATAATCTTGCCTATATCTAAAAAATCTTGCATGGTTTTTTTGTTTCGTTTTGTTTTTGTTTTTGTTTTTTGTTTTTTGTTTTTTTTTTGAGACAGAGCCTCACTGTCTTGCCCAGGCTGGAGTGCAGTGGTGCGATCTCGGCTCACTGCAAGCTCCGCTTCCTGGGTTCATGCCATTCTCCTGCCTCAGCCTCCCGAGTAGCTGGGACTACAGGCACCCACCACCACACCCGGCTAAGTTTTTGTATTTTTAGTAGAGACGGGGGTTTCACCGTGTTAGCCAGGGTGGTCTCGATCTCCTGACCTAGTGATCCACCCGCCTCAGCCTCCCAAAGTGCGGGGATTACAGGCGTGAGCCACCGTGCCAAGCCCTTGCATGGGTTTTGATAAAAACTGTGCTAAAATTGTATTTAAATTTGGGGAGTATTGACATCATCATTACATTGAGTATTCCAATCCATGAACATAACGTGTCTCTCAATTTATTTAGATCGTCTTTGATTCCTTTAATTAGCATGGTATAGTTTTCAACATACAAGTCCTGTATATATTTTGTTAGATTAACATCTAAACATTTTATTTTTAAAGCAACTGTGAGTAGAATTGTATGCTAAATCTCAGTGTTTGTTCATTGCTAGTATATGGAAATATAATTGATTGCTGTAAGTTTATTACGTATCCTATGACTTCGCTGAACTCACTTATTCTAGAAACTTTTTGTTGCTGTTGTTTCTTCCTTGCTATCTTTTATGCAGACAATTATGTCATGGTCATGGGAACACATTTTAATATATCTTCATTTTAATTAATCTCAATGTATTTTTTATTTCCTCTGATACATCCTCTTTGACCCATGGATTATTTAAAAGTGTGTTACTTAGTTTCCAAGTGTTTGGAGATTTCTATGTTATCTTTTTATTTTTGATTTCTAACTTTATTCCATCGTGTTCAGAAAATACACTCTATGACTTCAACTATTTTACATTTTTTGAGGTCTGTTTTGGGGCTTAGAATGCAGTCTATTTTGGCATATATTCCATGGGCACTCGGAAAGAATGTGTATTCTAATGTACTTTTTTTTTTTTTTGAGACAGAGTTTCACTCTTGTTGCCCAGGCTGGAGTGCAATGGCACGATCTTGGCTCACTGCAACCTCCACCTCCCAGGTTCAAGCAGTTCTCCTGCCTCAGCCTCCCGAGTAGCTGGGATTACAGGCATGCGCCACCATGCCCAGCTAATTTTGTAATTTTAATAGAGACAGGGTTTCTCCATGTTGGTCAGGCCAGTCTCGAACTCCCGACCTCAGGTGATCCACCTGCCTCGGCCTCCCAAAGTGCTGGGATTACAGGCGTGAGCCACTGCGCCTGGCCTTCTGATGTTCTTAAGTGGGGTATTCTCTAAATGATTAGATCCTGTTGGTTATCAGTGGTATTTAGTTCTCCATCTGCTGATTTTCATATTATGTTATGAGACTCTGGATGTTTATTGAAACCTTTTTCTGGCTGGGTGCAGTGGCTCACACCTGTAATCCCAGCACTTTGGGAGGCCAAGGAGGGTGGATCACCTGAGGTCAGGAATTCAAGACTAGCATGGCCAACATGGTGAAACCCTGTTTCTACTAAAAATACAAAAATTAGCCAGGCGTGGTGGTGGGTGCCTGTAATCCCAGCTACTCAAGAGGCTGAGGCAGGAGAATTGCTTGAACCCAGGAGGCAGGTGTTTCAGTGAGCTGATACAGTGCCATTGCACTCCATCCTTGGTGACAAAAGCCAAACTCTGTCTCAAAAAAAAACCCTTCTTTTTCAGCTGGCTGGCTGAGTAAGGGGAACGTGCTGCCTCATTACTGCCAGGTGATAGTAGCAGTCCAGGTTCCCAACATTGCCTAAGCTGACACCTGAAGGGGTGGTTCCTTGTTACTGCTGGTCAAGGGTGGGAGTTCTGGCTCCTCACGTGGTCTCCAATGACACATCATGGGATGGGGGCCAATTGCCAGCTGCCTGGTATGCAAGTCCTGGCTCCTTGCTTGGCCTTCTCTTGACACCGTTGCAGTGCGGTGCTGACACGCATTGTTACAGTCTCACAAGAGTAGAAGTCTCAGCTCCCAACTTGTCTTAGTCCATTCAGACTGCCATAACACAAATACCATGAACTGGGCTGAGTGGCTTATAAACAGCAAACATTTATTTCTCATACTTCTGGAGGCTGGAAAGTCCAAATCAAAGCACTATGGGATTCAGTGTCAGAGAATAACCTCTTCCTCATAGATGGCTCCTCCTCACCAAGTCCTCACCTAGTGGAAGAGGGAAAACAGCTCTCTGAGGTCTCTTTCATAAGGGCACTAATCCCATTCATGAACAGTCTGCACTCATGATTTAATCATCTCATAAAGATCCCCACCTCTTAATATCATCACCTTGAGATTTCAACATATGAATTTTAAGGGGCCACAAACTTTCAGACCGAAGTAGTATTGAATCTTTGCTGACATGGGTGGAGTTGGGGGCCACTTTTTTTTTCTGTGGATTTTGACTGCAGTATAGCAGGTATTGTCTACAAGTATTTTGTCTTACTACACTGCCTCCTTCCTGATCCTTTGGCTGGAGTGAGAAGGCTTGTTGAGGATTTTTTTCCATATGCATCATCTGGAGTTTCTGGGTTGCCAGCTTCCTCAATTCCAAGTCTGGAATATAAATGAGACAGAAAGAAGACCCAGGGAACTCACCACTGTGTCATTCCTTAGGCCCCTAAATCGCTAGTTAATATGCCTTTTTCCTCCACTTCTCAGAGTCTTATGTCTTATATATAATACCCAGGCTTTTTAGTTGTACTTAGCAAAAAGAATAGAGGATGTTACTTGTATGTCATCTTCCCATAACTCCAAGATTGATTATTTTAAAGGGAATAAAATGTTATCGTTGCTGTTGAAGACTTCTTTGCCAATTTTACCCAAACTCATGGGTACTCCCTCCCACCCCGTGTATCCATCCATCATCCATGTTTGTTTTAAATTTAATTGCACACATACATGACTGTACATTATATATAGTGATTTTTGTGGCTTCAAATTGGTATATCACATCTTAAACAAAAATTAATCCAAAATGGACCATTAGCCTAAACGTAAAACATAAAACTGTAAAACTTTTTATTTTGAGACAGGGTCTCACTCTATCACCCAGGCTGGAGTGCAGTGGTGTGATCTCAGCTCACTGCAACCACCTCCCAGGTTCAAACGATTCTCCCACCTCAGCCTCCTGAATAGCTGGGACTACAGGCATGCACCACCATGCCTGGCTAATTTTTGAATTTTTTGGTAGAGATGGGGTTTCACCATGTTGGCCAGGCTGGTCTCGAACTCCTGACCTCAAGTGATCCAACCTCCTTGTCCTCCCAAAGTGCTGGGTCAGGCATGAGCCACCATGCCCAGCCAAAGCTCTAAAACTTTTAAAAGAAACATTGTTAGTCAAAGTGTTCTCAGATGTGGTATAAATAGCAATGCTTCATATAAAAAAATTGACAAATTAGACTTTATCAACATTAGAAATTTTTGCTCTGTGAAAGACACCTTTAAGAAATTCACAAGAAAGAGAAAAAAGAGAAAGTATTTGCAAGTCACATATCTGACACGGGACTTCTAGATAGACTATATAAAGAACTCTCAAAATTCAACAGTAAGAAAACAATATTTTTAAAATGGGAAAAATATTTGAGCAAGTGCTTCACCACAGAAGATACACACATGGCAAATAATCATATGAAAAGATCTTCAAATTATTCATAATTAGAAAAATTGTAATTAAACTACAATGAGGCCGGGCGTGGTGGCTCATGCCTATAATCCCAGCACTTTGGGAGGCTGAGGTGGGAGGACCACTTGAGGTCAGGGACTCAAGACCAGCCTGGCCAACATGGTGAAACCCCACCTCTACTAAAAATACGAAAATTAGCTGGGCGTGGTGGCGAGCGCCTGTAATTTCAGTCTTCCCTACTTGGGAGGCTGAGGCAAGAGAATCACTTGAATTCAGGAGGTGGAGGTTGCAGTGAGTCGAGATCGTGCCCACTGCACTCCAGCCTGGGTGACAAGAGCGAGACTCCATCTCAAAATAAATAAATAAATAAATAAAAAATAAACTGCAATGAAATACCACTGTGTACCAACCAAAATGGCTAAAAATAGAATAAAAACCTGACAATGCCATGTACTGGCGAGGATGTGGAGCAATTGGAACTCTCATTCAGTCACTACGGAAAAAGCCTGGCAGTTTCTTACAAAGTTAAACAACATTTAACCTACAACTTAGTGATCCCACTTCTACATTTTTACCCAAGTGAAACGAAAATCTATGTTTATACCAAAACTTGTATGCAAATGTTTATAGCAACTTTATTCATAATTGTAAAAAACTGAACAGTCTCCCAACAAACTGTGGTCTATGGCAAAATGTAATATTTCTTAAGAATAAAAACAGAACTATTGATTTATGTAACAACTTGGATGGATCTCAAGAACATTATGTTGAGTAAAAAAAAAAAAAAATCAGTGTAAAAAGGTAGCATCCCATATGATTCCATTTATACGACATTTTGGAAAAGGGTATAGTAACATACTACAGATCAATGATTGCCAGAGAGAAGAGGGGGTCTGAAAGAAGGGTGAGCTTTGACTATAAAGACACAGCACAAGGAAATTTGAGGGTGTATGTGATGCAACTGTTCTGTGTCTTGATTGCGGTGGTAGTTACACAACCGTATGCATTTCTCAAAACTCACAGAACTGTACACCAAAAAGTGACTTTTACTGTGTATGACTAAAAATGGAGAAAAAAAGTTACATGACTGTTGCCATACTATATTCATCTTTCTGCGACTTTTTTATTCACTCAACATTTTTTAAACTCCCAGATCCATTTATGTCTTTAACATTGTTAATAAAAAAATGTATTCTAAGTGGAAGGACTATTAGGAACAAGAGTTTAGAAGTGATATGACCTTAGCGTCATCTATGCAATGGATTCCAGAATGAAAAATGTCATTAAATGGAGTAGGTTCCAGTTAATCCTCTGGGAACATTGCTTTGATATAAAGGTTGACAGAGGTTATCCATCACTAGCCATTGACTCTGATCTTCAAGGCTGTTACTCCCAAAGTGAATTCTTTCAGAGACATCAGCTATGTCAACAGTAAGTAAAGAACAAGGGGGAAATTAGACTCTACATTCTCTCTAATTTGTTTTTTGTTGTTGTTGTTGTTTTTGTGTTTTGTTTTTTGAGAAGGAGTCTCCCTCTGTTACCCAGGCTGGAGTGCAGTGGCACCATCTCAGCTCACTGCAACACCCATCTCCTGGCTTCAAGCAATTCTCCCACCTCAGCCTCCCAAGTAGCTGGGACTACAGGTGTGCATCACCATGCCTGCCTCATTTTTGTATCTTTAGTAGAGACGAGGTTTCACCATGTTGGCCAGGCTGGTTTTGAACTCCTGACCTCAGGTGATCCGCCCACTTCAGCCTCCCAAAGTGCTGAGATTACAGGCATGAGCCACCACTCCCAGCCAAATTTGTTTTTGTCCAGTCCTGTAAGAATCAAAAATTGTTAAATACATGCTGCCATGAAAAAAGAACCAGGTAATTTTTAGTCCTGTTCTACCAACTAAAGAGTGGGTGACATTGACCAGGTGTTTAACCACTCAAAGTTGCTTTCCTCTTCGATAAAAAGTTGTGTTGTTTTAGATCATTTTAAGTCTCTTTCTAGCTATAAAATATTATATGATATTAATCAAACCTCTGAAGCATTTCATTATCCATTCAACCACCCAACAGGTCTCAGGAACTCATCTAGGTGCCCTGGATACAAATACATATAGGAAAGAGTCCCAGGTTTAGTGGGAGCAACAGCACAGCCATATTCAATGGTATGATCAATGGGGGAGGACCCAGAAGAGAGCAATTCATGGCCAATGTGGGAGTCAGGGAAGGAAACAAAGGATGAGACACCAAATAAGCATCCAGATATACCCAACCTCCGAAATTCACTGTTGCTTCTCTGTTCTCCACATTTTATTTTATTTGAAAAAGACAACAGGAGGCCTTACCTCTGCTTCCACTGGTCTATCAGTGCATGTAAATGAACAGGAAGCTAGACTCTCAGTCATATTTAATGTTCAAATATGTGCCCCCTAAAGTCTAAATTTCTTATTTAATAAAACATAAAATGAAGGCATCTGATAACAGAGGGCCCTGTGCTTCAGTAAATGTAAAGATGTAAAAGCTTTTCCAGCAATGAGTAAGCATGCATTTAGAATCTGACCTTTGTTTTTAAGGGGTAACAGCCTCGTTTTGAGAAATGTTTGTAGCACATTTTCCCACACTTCTTCTAAAGAAACAACAAAAGAAATAAATATTCTAGAAGATGATTTTAGAGAATGAACATAATTCCTCCCCATTAATTACCAGATGATTTGAGGCCAGGAATGTTCATTTGAAAACAGCCCAGAAGGTTAAATGACAAGGGAAATTATTGTGGTAAAGAGTTCATCAGTGTAATGTCACAGTGTGTGGAAAGGCATAAAATATTAAATATGGAATAAAACACAGCCAGTCAATAATGATAGAAACAAACAATATTGCATTTGTTAGAAATATATTTGTCAAAGATGGAATAGGATTTCATTATATGCTAGAAAACTTCAACTAATCTGAAAGCATTTATTCAAATGTAAATAGGAAATGGGGAAATTTATTTTAGCACTTTAACATCAGTTGTTGAAACTCTTTCTAAAATACATAAGCTTTTCTGACTTAGATATTTATACATTAATATATTTGACTTATACATTTATATATGACTTCTTCACCGAAGAATCATCACAGTTGAGTTAACCCTTAAGACTGAGGTATCTAAACGTCCAGTGATAATGGGCAACTACAATAGATGCCAGTGTTGTAAACCAGTATTCAGAACTTCAGGTGGACCCTACAAAGTTCTTTTAGTGAGATAAATTCCTGATGTGAGCTCTAAAACATGTTTTAAGTTCTCTCCTTTCACCAGGTTGTAGGGTGCAAAAAAAAGGTTAGCAAAAGACAACTTCTACTTAATTGATTCTGGCCAATTGAGATTCTCTCATCTTAAGAGAAAAATGTTCATGAGTATAAATGTTGAAGAATATAGTGGATCTCAATGAATATTACCAGAAATACTACCGAATTATTGATATGGTTTGGGTGTTTTTTGTCCCTTCCAAATCTCATGTTGAAATGTGATCCCAGCTGGGTGTGGTGGCTCACACCTGTAATCCCAGCACTTTGGGAGGCTGAGGCGGGTGGATCACTTGAGGTCAAGAGTTCAAGACCAGCCTGACCAACATGGTGAAACCCTGTCTTTTCTAAATACAAAAAAGTAGCCAGGCATTGTGGTGCATGCCTGTAATCCCAGGTACTTAGGAGGCTGAGGCAGGAGGATCACTGGAACCCAGGAGATGGATGTTGCAGTGAGCCGAGATTGCGCCATTGCACTCCAGCCTGGGCAACAAGAGTGAAACTCTGTCTCAAAAGAAAAAAAAAAAAAAAAAAAAAAGAAATGTGATCCCAAATGTTGAAGGTGGGGCCTGGTGGGAGGTGTTTGGGTCATGAAGATGGATTCCTCATGAGTGGCTCAGTGCAGTCCCCATGGTAATGAATGAGTTCTTGCTCTGTTAGCTCACATGAGAGCTGGTTGTTTAAAGAAGTCTGGAACACACCCCCCTCCACCCACCTTCTTGCTTTCTCTGTCACCATGTGACATGCCTGCTCCCTCTGTGGCATCCACCACAGGTAAAAGCTTCCTGAGACCTCACCAAAAGCCAAATAGATGCTGGTGCCATGTTTGTACAGCCTGCAGAACCATGAGCCAAATAACCTTTTTTTAAAATAAACTACCTTGTCTTAGATATTCCTTTATAGCGACATAAAATGGAGTAATACAGAAAATTGGTACCAGGAGTGGGGTGTTTGTTGCTATAAAGTTACCTGAACATGTGGAAGCATCTTTGGAACTGGGTAATATGCAGAAGTTTAAAGAGTTTGGAGAGCTCAGAAGACAGGAAAATAAGGGAAAGTTTAGAACTTCTTAGAGACTGGTTAAATGAATGTGACCAAAATGTGGATACAAATATGGATAGTGAAGGCCCGGCTAATGAGGACTCAGATGGAAATGAGAAATTTGTTGGGAGCTGGACTAAAAATCACATGTGTTATGCCTTAGCAAAGAGCTTGGCTGCAATGTGTCCATGCCCTAGGCACTTATGAAAGGTTGAACTTAAGAGCAATGATGTAGGTTATCTGGCAAAAGAAATTTCTAAGCAGCAAGGTGTTTAAGAAATGATGTGGCTGTTTTTAATAACCTATGATCGATTTGGGAGAAAAGGAAACACATAAAGTTGGAACTTATAAGGAAAAGCAGAACATAAAAATTTAGATAATCTGCTAATTTAGATAATCTGCATCTGCCATGTGGTAGAAAAGGAAAGAGTGTTTTCAGGAGAGGAATTGAGGTGGGCTGCAAAGCAACCACTTGCTAGAGTAATTTGCATGACTAAAAGGGAGCCAAGTACTTTTCAGAAGGCATTTCAGAAGTTTTCAGGACAGTCCCTTCCATTACAGACTCAAAGGCCTAGGAGAAAAGAATGGTTATGGGAGGCCGGGGTGGGCAGATCACAAGATCAGGAGATCGAGATCATCCTGGTTTGATGAAACCCCATCTCTACTAAAAATACAAAAAATTAGCTGGGCATGGTGGTGGGCGCCTGTAGTCCCAGCTACTCAGGAGGCTGAGGCAGGAGAATGGCGTGAACCCAGGAGGCGGAGCTTGCAGTGAGCCAAGATCGCACCACTGCACTCCAGCCTGGGCGACAGAGCGAGACTCTGTCTCAAAAAAAAAAAACCAACAATGGTTACGGGGATCAGGCTCAGGGCCCCACTTCTCTGTGTCACTCAGGAGAGGCTGCTGCCCACGTCCTGGCTGCTCCAGCCCCAGGTCCAGCATGCCTCAAAGGGCCCTATGCATAGAACTGGCTGCTGCTTTGGAGATCACAAGCCTTAAGCCTTGGCAGTTTCTATGTGGTGGCAAGTCTGCAGGCACACATAATGCAAGAGTAAAAGAGGTTTGGCAGCTTCCCCTTAGATTTTAGAGGATCTCTGGGAAAGCTTGGTTGTCCAGGCAGAAGCCTGCCTCATGGGTAGAGCCCATACAGAAAGCCTCTACTAGGTCAATACAAGGGGAAATGTGTAGTTGGAGCCCCCACAGAGAGTCCTCACTGGGGCACTTCCTAGTGCAGTTGTGGGAAGGAGGTTGCTGTCTGCCAGACCCAAGAGTGGTAGAGCCACCAGCGGCTTGCACCCTAAGCCTGGAAAGCTGCAGGCATTCAATTCCAACCCATGAGAGCAGCCATGGGGGCTGTACCCTACAAAGCCACAGGGGTGGAACTGGCCAAGGCATTGGGAGCCCACTCCTCACACCAGTGTACCCTGGTTGTGGGACATGGAGTCAAGGATTATTCTGGAGCTTTAAAGTTTAATGTCTTTCCTGCTGGGCTTTGGACTTGTGTGGGGCCTATTGTCCCTTTCTTTTGGCCAATTTCCCTTTTGGAATAGGAATGTTTACCCAATGCCTGTACAGCCATTGTATCTTGGAACTCGTTTTTTATTTTAGAGGCTCATAGGTAGAAGAAATTTTCCTTGAGCCTCAGGTGAGACTTTCGACTTTTGATTGAGCTGATGTTGGAACTAGTTACAACTTTTGATTGAGTTGATGCTGGAACTAGTTAAGACTTTTGATTGAGTTGATGCTGGAACTAGTTAAGACTTTTGACTGAGTTGATACTGGAACTAGTTAAGACTTTTGGGGACTATTGAGAAGGGATGACTGTATTTTGAAACATGGGAAGAACATAATATTTGAAGGACCAGGGGGGGAATGATATGGTTTGGATGTTTCATCCCCTCCAAATATGTTGAAATGTGATTGCTAATGTTGGATTTGGGGCCTGGTAGGAGTGTTTGGATCATGGGAGTGGATTCCTCAATGAATGGCTTCATGCTGTCCTCAACAGTAATGAGTGAGTTCTCACTCTATTAGTTCACATGAGAGTTGGTTGTTTAAAAGAGCCTGGAACCTTCTCCTCTCTCTCTTACTTCCTCTCTCACCATGACATGCCTGCTCCCCCATGCCTTTTGCCATGAGTAAAACCTTCCTAAGGCCTCACCAGAAGCTGAGCAGATGCTGATGCCATGTTTGTACAGCCTATAGAACTGTGAGCCAAATAACCCTTTTTTCTTTATAAATTACCCAGTTTCAGGTATTCCTTTATGGCAATGCAAAATGGACTAATACAATTATGAAGGGGAAAAGAGCAACTTTAAGGTGCGGAAAGATGGCAGGCACTACCTTAACCAAATGACCAAAGGTACTCTTGCAGCAACATCACTAGTAAACAGCATGTAACTCCTGATAAGATTCACTGAGAACAACGCAGCACTACTCCTCTGGTATTCCTGCCAAAAGTTCATAACCTGAACATAGTCATGAGGAAACACCCACAAGCCTGAGTTAATTGAAGAACAATCTACAAAATAACTGTCCTGTACTCTGTACTCCTGTACTCTTCAAAAATGCCAATGTCATGAGAAAGAAAAATAGACTCAGAAAATTATTCCATATCCCAGGAGACTAAAGAGACAAGACGACTGAATTCAAATTCAAATTTTAGATTGTTTTTGCTGTGAAAGACATTGGTGAGACAGCTGGAAAAATCTTAATAAGGTCTGTAGATTAGATAGTAGCATTGTTTCAGAGTTAATTTCTTTCTTTCTTTCTTTCTTTTTTGAGATAGAGTTTTGTTCTTGTTGCCCAGGCTGGAGTGCAATGTTGCAATCTCAGCTCACTGCAACCTCTGCCTCCCAGCTTCAAGTGATTCTTCTGCCTCAGCCTCCTAAGTAGCTGAGATTACAGGCATGCACCACCAAGCCCGGCTAATTTTTTTGTATTTTTAGTAGTAATGGGTTTCAACATGTTGGTCAGGCTGGTCTTGAGCTCCTGACCTCAAGTGATCCTCCCTCCTCAGCCTCCCAAAGTGCTGGGATTACAGGTGTGAGCCACTGCACCCGGCCTCATTTCTTGATTTTGTAAATTGTCCTGTGGTCATATGAGAGAATTCATGGTTTTAGGAAGTATAATATGAAATATTTAGGCAGTAAAAGGTCATCATACCTATGGTTTACTCATAGATGAGCACGAGATAACCTTTTGGCTGATGAAAATGTTCTATGTCTTCCTTGTGGTGATGGTTACAATGGTTGCATGAGTGCAACATGTATCAAAGGCCATTGAACTTAAATGCATACATTTTATTGTTTGTAACCATGCATTGATATACAAAGCTGACTTTTAGAAGTCAGCTACTTTTGTGAAGTAGCTACTCAAGTAATAAGTCATATGAAGTAACTTTATGGTTTTTATGTGTACGGTTTTATATTTTTTATTGATTAATTGCCTAAACTGATGCATGAAATTAAGCAGATTGTCGATGGATTATAACAAGCTCACTCTCTCCATTACATATCATTTTATCTCATCTATTTTAAGCAGTCTGCAACCAAGCTTGTAGGTTTCTATGCAAATCTTAAAAAGAATTAAAAATCTTTTTTAAAGAGCTGCAAATATTTTCTATCAAAAAACCTCTTCTTGCCAATAAAAGAACTCTCCAACACAAAATCATCCCTATATTTTGTATTATATAAAAATAAAAAAGAAACAACAAGAAAAGTATGTTGGCTGCTTCAAAGGAAATGAAAAACTAGGACTACAGCCATTTCTGATCTTAAATAATAGGATTCCAGTTGTTCTGCATCTCACTGTAGCTCAGATATTAACTCGACTCAACAGAGGTATTGTAAAGTGGACTGTTTCGTGTGGTGAAGAGATTCTGATGCCTTTACAATGCATTACCAGAGCACTGAAGAAAGGTGAGCAGCAAGGGTCAGCAAATACCATAGAAATTGGCTCTCAAACCTCAGCAGTAAAAGGCTATGAGTACAAGTAGAAGCAATTGTGACCAACACACGCATTTAGACCGACTCATATTAGCAAGGCAGGGTGAGGCTGCAGGCTGCATCCAGGGGCCAGAGCTTAACAGATAAGTAAATTGAAAATGTGTCAACTTTCCTTCATTCTGGCCTTACCAAATTAATCAGACGTCCTTGCACAAGCCCCTTTTCAATGGCTCAGTTGCCTCATCTGCAAGATGAAAGGGTGTACTAAGTGACCTTTAAACTGCCTAACATCCTATGATTCTGAATCCTAGCATCTTTGGCATGGAACACAGAGGTCTTTTCTATCCCCCGAATTTCTGCCATTTCCTTCCCCTTGGCTTCTCAAATCTGGTGATGTTGTCATTCATTGTATGTATTGCTATGTGGGACATTCTTTGTATAAGAGGAAATATTTAGATTATTTCCATTGTGGTTTCTGCTTCTGGGAAATAGAAAATGTTTTTGTTGTTTCTCTCCCGCCCCCACCCGCTACGTTCCTGGGAGTATCCTTAAAACTTTCCACAGCGTGTATAGTAACAGGGTACAGATATAGTTAATAGATGAAAACACTCTATGTTTGCTTAACTTATATCTCCCAGGAATTTCTAAGTAATTGAATGACAAGTGGATAGTTATAGCATCTGTGGAAATAAGGTTGTAGATTCCCTTATCACCATTTACCAATTAGCAGAGTCTGGATTTAATGACTTGCTTAATGTGGGAACATCCTTTTCTTAGAATATAATCAAGAAACGTAGCCAGGTGCGGTGGCTCACGACTGTCATCCCAGCACTTTGCAAAGCCGAGGCAGGCGGATCACCTGAGGTCAGGAGTTCGAGACCAGCTTGGCCAACATGGTGAAACCCTGCCTCTACCAAAAATACAAAAATTAGCTTGGTGTCACGGCAGGCGCCTGTAATCCCAGCTACTTGGGAGGCTGAGGCACGAGAATAGCTTCAACCTGGGAGGTGGAGTTTGCAATGAGCTGAGACAATGCCATTGCACTCCAGCCTGGGCAACAAGAGCCAAACTCTGTCAAAAAGGAAAGAAAAAAAGGAAAGAAAGAAAGAAAAGAAAGAAAGAAAGAAAGAAAGAAAGAAAGAAAGAAAGAAAGAAAGAAAGAAGGAAGGAAGGAAGGAAGGAAGGAAGGAAGGAAGGAAGGAAAGAAGGAAAGGAAGGAAGGAAGGAAGGGAAGGAAGGAGAAAGAAGAAAAGAGAAGAGAAAAGAAGAAGGAAGGAAGGAAGAAAGAAAGAGAAAGAAAGAAAGAAAGAAAGAAAGAAAGAAAGAAAGAAAGAAAGAAAGAAAGAAAGAAAAGAGAACGGAAAGAAACACATAGGAAAACCACTCCAGCTAAAATATGAGGCCAGTTCAAGCTCTAGCCTCAAATCACATATGACTTTATCTTGTGGTAAAAAGGGCTGGTTTAAACCCAACCTGGGTTCTGAAGCTGAAAAGTGCTCTACTTGAGCTAAAACCCTGGAATACACATTTTTGCCTTGAAGAAGAGAGATGTGCCCAGACTGATGGAAGAAGCCAGTTTTCCTCCCTGCTGTTGCCACCTTTTGGGATGGCCCCAGGGTTCTGTTTGTCAAACTGTCTTCCAGAGAGCAACAGTGTTTTATCTGTTTTGTGCTGCTATATCAGAATACCACAGACTGGGTAATTTATAATGAACAGAAATGTTTTGGCTTACCGTTCTCCAGGCTGGGAAGTACAATATCAAGGTGCCAGCATCTTGCCTTGGCATTTCTCCTGCATTGTACCACCACAAGAGCATCATATGGCAACAGAGTGAAGAGTGAGAGACAGAGAAAAGGGGGCCAAACCCTCCCTTTTATAACAAACCCACTCCCACCATTAATGGCATTAGTTCATTAGTGAAGGCAAAGCCCTCATGGCCTAATTCCATCTTAAAAAGTCCTACCTGTTAACACTGTGACAATAGCAATTATATTTCAACATGAGTTTTGGAGGGGACAAACATTCAATCCGTAACAAGTGGTCATGAAAGATAGACACATACAGAAAAAGAGATTCTGAGATCAAGTAGGTAGAGAAATGCTACAGGTTCTACCCGCTGTAGGAGAGTCACAATCTACATTGGCACATTCAAGATTCTGAGGTGTTCTGCCATCATTAAAATATATTTAACTTTGGCCGGGTGCGGTGGCTCACGCCTGTAATCCCAGCACTTTGGGAGGCCGAGGTGGGTGGATCACGAGGTCAGGAGATCGAGACCATCCTGGCTAACACAGTGAAACCCCGTCTCTACTAAAAATACAAAAAATTAGCTGGGTGTCGTGGCGGGCGCCTGTAGTCCCAGCTACTCGGGAGGCTGAGGCAGGAGAATGGCGTGAACCCGGGAGGTGGAGCTTGCAGTGAGCCGAGATGGCACAACTGCACTCCAGCCTGGGCAACAGAGCGAGAATCTGTCTCAAAAAAATAAATAAATAAATAAATAAATAAATAAATAAATAAAATATATTTAACTTTATCAGTAACTTTACTTAACTTGGAATATTTTGAATCTAAGTGACCTCAGAACACTTTTTCCACATAAGCCCTTCTTATTTTGCAGAATGCACTTTGGTAAACCCAGTGTCAGAGTCAATTTTACTGAGTCCAGAACAGATCCAGGTCCCAGCTGAGCCTGCTCTCTCTGCAGGTCATTCCAACAACTCACAGTTTTCCTTGGCACAGCAGGGTCTTCCTCAGGGCTCAGGACATAGGGTGGCAGTCACCCTGGAAGCACCATCCAGGGCTGGCAGAAGAAAAGATTTGATGGAGCCGCTGTGGCTCAGGCCGGTTGCCCTGGTCCTCGGGGAGGCAAGGCTACACATTCGAGGCCAACCTGGTCAACATTGATTAAAAAAAAAAAAAAAAAGAAAGAAAAGAAAAGATTTGAGCAGGCAATTTGGATGCTTATAAGTAGGAAACGGTTGTGGGGTTGAGTGAGCCAGTGATGAAGGAGAAGAGAATGGTCCCCAATCTTTTTTAGAACTAACCTCAAACTGAGGGTCAGAGCTAGAGTTTCTATCTAGAAATCTTATCTGAGAGGCAATATACTTTCACAATGGAGCTCCCAAACTCTAGGGTCCAAACTGGCCCATTTTAACTCTACACTTAAAATGGTTAAGAGGGTAAAGTTTTATTTATTTATTTATTTTTGAGACGGAGTTTCACTCTTGTTGCCCAGGCTGGAGTGCAATGGCATGATCTTGGCTCACTGCAACCTCTGCCTCCCCTGTTCAAATGATTCTCCTGCCTCAGCCTCCCGAGTAGCTGGGATTACAGGCATGAGCCACCATGCCTGGCTAATTTTGTGTTTTTAGTAGAGATGGGCTTTCACCCTGTTGGCCAGGCTGGTCTCGAACTCCTGACCTCAAGTGATCCGTCCACCTCAGCCTCCCAAAGTGCTGGGATTACAGGTGTGAGCCACTGCGCCTGGCCGAGAGGATAAATTTTATGTTACGTGTTTTTTTACCATGATTAAAAGAGGTTGGGGTAGAGAGAGGGAGAAGAGCTCAATATTTACCTTGCTTTCACATGGACTACAGTGTGGATTACACCTTCAGAGTTGGAAGTGAACAGCCTTCCACAATGGCCCGCTTATTTTAACAGGGGAATAGCATATGGGTGGACACTTAATGGCTTTAGAAAATCTTTTGATTCCATTCAAAATCTGGTAAGAAACTAGGGTGGCTCGTGGGATGTGGGGTTGGGCCCCTTTTTAATGTAACATATTACAATTGGGGAATGTGTCCAAAACTGAACCCAAATTTTTTTGCAAAGCTGCCTCTCCTGTTTCCTACCACCCCCATTCACCTTCTCATCTAAACCAGAAACCTGAGCAATGGCGTGCTGATAAATGTATAACGACCAGCAAACCAGAAAACAAAAAGTATACCTATATGCGTATAAACGTATTTAAAATTTTACTGATATACATTTATGTGTGGCACACAATTTATAAATAATAATCAAACAGCAAGAATACAACAATGTGCATTGTAAATTCCGTGTTGCCAATTGATTCTCACAGAAGGCTTTTGTTGTTTTCTGCTGAACTTTTCTAACTCTAGCCATTCTACGGGGCAACTGGTAAATGAGTGGTTTCAACATGAATATTGGTGTTATTTTTGTTTACAATAATTAATATGAAGGAAGGAAGATGTATATTGCAACTTTTCTCATTCATCAGTGATGTGAGCCACTTCTTAGCTGAATCAGATAGTAGATTTTTGAATATTGGAAGAATATTTTCTCCATTTTTTATGCTAGTCACGATGTAATGGCTACAGACAAGAAACACTTTAAATTTTCATTTGTACTATTAACACTTTCTCCATCACTTTCACAATTCTAAACCAGGAATTGACAAACTATGGCTGGTAGACATAATAATAGTAATAAATATTTTAAGATAATAATATTGAAAACAATTTATACAAATTAAAATTTGTACTGAGGTTTGGGGTATGATTGAAGAAAAAATAAGAAAAAAGCAAAGCATAGAAACAAAATAAATTAAAAAAAGAAAAAATACAAATTAAAATTTTATTGGAACACAAGCACACTTATTTGTCTACATATTATCATTGGCTGCTTTTATGCTTCAACAGCACGGTTAAATAGCCAACGTAATATGGCCCAGAAAGCCCTAAATATTACTATCTGTCCTTTATAGTACAAGTTTGCTGACTCCTGATCTAGAAAATCAACAAAAACAACAAATTAAGCCCTGCTTTGTAGCATTTGCTGATCGTGACGGTGTAAATATTCACACTGTGGCAGATTTCAAATTACTACTGTGACGTCACTGATTGTGGAGTTAGCAAGAGATGTGCAGAATCACGCCACTGTACGGTGTTTCCACCAGACACAGTAAATAAAAGTAACCCTTCAACTTGGATAATAGTAAAATAATTAGGAAGTGATGAGTTTTGAGAATTCATTATCTTTGTTTTTAATATAATTTTATTAAATTATATTAATAAAATATACATATAAAATATTTGTTTTTAATTAATTCTATTTTATTAAAGTGTATATAATTTAATTTTTTATCTCTCCAGTCCATCCTCTGCACCAGTGCTTCTTAAACTATATGGTGCATCTGAATTCCCTGGCATTCTTCTTAAAATGCAGATCCTGATTCAGCAGTTCTGGGAGGGGCTCAAGATTCTGCATTTCTAACAAGCTCCCAGGTGACGCTGATGCTGTTAGTCCTTGGACCACACTCTAAGTAGCAAGGTTAGACTGCTGCTAACCGCCCTTTCAAACATGTGAATCTGACCAGTTACTCCCCTGCATCACACTGTTTATGGTTCCCCAATATTTCATACTTCAGTGCTTTTTAAATATTTCCCCCACTGTCGGAGATCACTCTTCTCCCTCCTGCATCTGCCTGGGAAACATGTTTTTCTCTTTCAAAGCACAGCTGGGTGGCAGCCTCTTCCATGAAGCCTCTTCTGACACCCGCAGCAAGAAATGTGCACCCGCCTCTTGGTCCTGCTGCTCCGTCAGCACATCCATCTCATGACCCTCTGCTGCACTTATCCGTTTATATGACTTTCTCCTTCATTACACTCTGCCAACCAAAATTCCCTAAGCTATATTCTGACCTCAATGCAAATGTCATATTCTCAGAGTTTCCCTGACCTCTCCAAGAAGCCCTCCCACCCCTGCCTGTCATTCTCTATTACCCTATCCTGCCTGTTTCTTTCAGAATGCCCTTCACAATCCGTGATTGTCTGATTTTAGTTTTTGGTAGAAGCCATCTTATTTAACGCAATTGAGACTGGTAGTTGGTAAGTCGGTTAAAAATTAGATGACAAAATTAGGGAATCATAACAAGCGATATATACTATGTATATGAACTATTTTTGTAAAAATATAAATAAATGCTCATTCTTTTTGCCTATGTTTTAACCTAGGCCATCATCCTGAATATGTTGATTGGAATTCAGCATCATCTTTCCTGCATAAACTATAGCCATAAAGCATCATCTACAATTTCTGGTTTCATTTTCTTTAAAGTGGAGCATGAACGTAAGGAGATGTGTAAAGCAAAATTTCAAAAATTGTTCTTATCCTTTACAGTTAGGTCGTGCCCATGCCTAATTTAACAGCATTGTTTAAAAGCAATCCATTATTATCAAATCTTCTGAGGCATGTAATTTAGTTTTTTAAAAACAAACATCTCATTTTGCAGTAATTTTAGATTTACAGATAAATTGCAAAGATAGTACAGAGAGTCCCTGAATACCCGTCACCTAATCCTCCCAATTATTAACACCTACGTTACTCTGGTACATTCGTCAAAACTAAGAAACCAACAATGGCACATTATCATTAACTAAACTCTAGACTTCATTAGTATTTTACCACCGTTTTTTTTTTCTTTTGTTTTTTCTCTTTTTCTGAGATGGAATCTCACTCTGTTGCCAGGCTGGAGTGCAGTGGTGTGATCTTGGCTCACTGCAACTTCCGCCTCCCTGGTTCAAGCGATTCTTCTGCCTCAGCCTCCCGAGTAGCTGGGATTACAGGTGCCCACCACCATGCTCAGCTAATTTTTGTATTTTTAGTAGAGATAGGGTTTCATCATGTTGACCAGGCTGGTCTCACACTCCTGACCTCAGGTGATCTGCCTGCCTCGGCCTCCCAAAGTGCTGGGACCACAGGCATGAGCCACCGTGCCCAGCCTTTGCCACCTTTGTCATTGTTATCTGTCTGCCTCAGGATCCAATCCAAGGTTTCTCCTCACATGTAGTTGTCATATCTGCCCAGTCTCTTCTGGTCTGTGACAGTTTCTCAGTCTTTCCTTGTTTTTCATGACCTTGATAGTCTTGAGACATCCTGGCCAGGTATCCTATAGACTGTCTCCCAATATAGGTTTATCTGAAATTTTTTCCAGATTAGACTGGAGTTATGGGCTTGGGGACAGAATACAAGATAGGTGAAGTGCCCTTCTCAGCCACCTGGTATCTACTTGCATTACTGTTGATAGGAACCTTCCTATAATTAAGTTTTTATAAAAAATAATGCTCATCCTTTTATCACTCACATTTTATTGGTTTACATACTATTTCATTGAATAATGCAATCAGAAATATAAATAAAAATGTCATACACAGGACTGGGGACAAACACAACTGACTCTTGGTTAGTGTGAGTCTCACCTTGGCGAGGGGCTCCAACATAGGAGCATCCATCGCTGGGTTTTATGATGGAATGGGAAGCACTGGCTACTTCAATACTATAAGTTCATTAAGAAGCAAAATGAGGCTGGGTGCGGTGGGTCACGCCTGTAATCCCAGCACTTTGGGAGGCTGAGGCGGGCAGATCACCTGAGGTCAGGAGTTTGAGACCAGCCTGGCCAACATGGTGAAACCTCATCTCTACTAAAAACACAAAAATTGGCTAGACGTGGTGGTGGGCGCTTGTAATCCCAGCTACTTGGGAGGCTGAAGCAGGAGAATCACTTGAAGCCAGGAGGAGGAGGTTGCAGTGAGCCAAGATCTCACCATTGCACTCCAGCCTGGTCAACAAGATTAAAACTCCATCTAAAACAAAACAAAACAAAACGCCAAATGAGCATTAACCATTTATATTACAGATTGAGAGTTAGTTTGTTTATTTATTTATTTATTTATTTATTTATTTATTTATTTATTTATTTTTGAGATGGAGTCTCGCTCTGTCTACCAGGCTGGAGTACAATGGCACTACCGCCACCAAACCCGGCTAATTTTTGTATTTTTAGTAGAGACGGGGGTTTGCCATGTTGGCCAGGCTGGTCTCGAACTCCTGACCTCAGGTGATCTGCCCGCCTTGGCCTCCCAAAGTGCTGGGATTACAGGTGTAAGCCACCGCGCCCAGCCCAGATTGAGAATTTAAATCTCTCCCTCTGGTAAGTGGAGGTGTGTGGAGAGATTCTATTCTATTGGTTATTGTCTTTCCCTCCTCCCTGTGACCTGGCACTCAGTACAGTGCTTGGCACACAGTGGGAACTCATTACGTATTTCCTGAATGAATAAACAGAGGAAACTTTAGGTATGTGTCAATCACGGTCCAATAAGGAGATAGAAAATGCAACAGTTGGCCCGTCGCTGTGGCTCATCCTTGTAATCCCAGCACTTTGGGAGGCGGAGGAGGGCAGATGAGTTGTGGTCAGGAGTTGGAGACCAGTCTGGCCAACATGGTGAAAACCCGTCTCTACTAAAAATAAATATATGCAAAAATTAGCCAGACATGGTGGGCGCCTGTAGTCCCAGCTACTCGGGAGGGTGAGACAGGAGAATAGCTTGAACCTGGAAGGTGGAGGTTGCAGTGAGCCAAGATAGCACCACTGCACTCCAGTCTGGGTGACAGAGAGACTCCGTCTCAAAAAAAAAAAAAAAGCATGAGTTGTTTGAATAGAGAGGATTTAATTGTTAACTAAGCATAAATTTGCTGATAACATAAAATGCGCTAGGTAACATAAATGGCAAAAAGATAACGCAAAACTACCCTGGAGGTAGAAACTAGAGGAAGCAGTGGGAATTGGGGAGCGAAAGGAAGAGGCTCAAACTATTAAAGCTTAGATGTTTGGAGGAAGAGCCGTGTGGAGCTGAGCACCAGATTCTTAAGGAGGGCTACTGTACGTTCCAGCTGAGGTCTGCGAGGGGCTGTGAGGGGACCAGTTCTACAAGCATTGAAAATATTGCAGACTGGCTTCAGTGGTGGACTCGGGAAGGAACTGGTGCTACTGCTGAGCATGAAATGGTTAATGCTCATTTCACTTCTTAATGAAGCATTGCCTGGGTGCCATTCACAGGAGCAGAAAGTGGTCAGGAAAGAAGAGGGGCTTCCTCCTCCTCCGGCTGTGCGGTCTCTCTCTTGCATCTCCCCATGGGAAGATGGGAAGAGCTTCAGAGGGAGCCAGCTCCAAAGCGAAAATGGGGTTTGCAGAGGCCCAGCCCCCGAATCACAAAGCAGAGTACAGAAGGTGGGGCAGGGGCAAGGTTGGAGTTGAGAAATACAGCTTATTGACTGGCCCAGGCACAACTCAGGTCACAGTCATTGTTAATGCGGTATTTCACTACCTCATTATCCCCTTCAGCCTAAGCTGAACTTTTACTGCACTACTGCAGGGCCTTAGCCTCCATTTCTGGGCTCCATTTTTTTCTGGTGTCTTGGGGAGGCCCCAGATGTGTCTCAGCTATAGTAGGAATGTCTCTGGAGTACAGTTTTCAGCACTGTCCTTGTCTCCAGGCCAGTAACTAGGGCTGTCTGATGACCCTGGCCAGTAGGGCTCATCTCACTCCATCCATTAGGAAGCAGTTCTCTCATCTCTAGGTTCTGTCCTTAAATGTGCCCATACTCAAAGTTATTTGGACCCAAGGTGTAACATGGTTAACCAGACAATTCTTTTAATTTCACATAAGGTCCTTTCCTCCCCAGACCATTGACATGCTTCCATTTTTCTGGCCAGGTCAAGGGTGAGTTCAAGGGCAGGTGACTCCAAATTTAACATTTGTGACAATAGTCACAAATGGAACAGGCCTAAGCTGAACCTTTGCTATCTATCCCAATCCTGGAAGCCCATTCAAACTATGGATCTTGGCCTGGTGTAGTGGCTCATGCCTGTAATCCCAGAACTTTGGGAGGCCAAGGAGAGCAGATCATTTGAAGTCAGGAGTTAAATACCAGCCTGGCCAACATGGTGAAACCCCATCTCTACTAAAAAAAAAAAAAGATATATATTAGCCCGGTGTGGTGGCACATGCCTGTAATCCCAGCTACTCAGGAGGCTGAGGCAGGAGAATCACTTGAACCGGGGAGGCAAAGGTTGCAGTGAGCTGAGATGGCACCATTGCACTCCAGCCTTGGCGACAAGAGTGAAATTCCATCTCGAAATAAATAAATAAATGAATAAAATAATAACAAAAAGCAAACTATGGTTCTATAGATATCTATTTTGACAGTAAAATAAAACACAAGTTGATGAACTTATAAACAGATAGCAAAGTGAAACCAAACACTTTAATATAAAAATACATTAAATATTTGGTTTAATATGTACTTTTAAATATATACAATTTTTTTTTTGAGACAGAGCCTCGCTCTGTTGCCTAGGCTGGAGTGCAGTGGCTGTGATCTCAGCTCACTGCAACCTCTGCCTTCCCAGTTTCAAGCGATTCTCCTACCTTAGCTTCCTGAGTAGCTGGGATCACAGACGTGCACCACCACACCCGGCTAATTTTTGTATTTTTAGTAGAGACGGGATTTCACCATGTTGGCCAGGCTGGTCTTGAACTCCCGACCTTAGGTGATCCACCTTCCTCAGCCTCCCAAAGTGCTGGGATTACAGGCATGAACCACTGCACCCGGCCCACAGATTTTTAAAATATAATATTTTGCAAATTTTTTTGAGCAGATTTTTCTTCATGGGCTGGAATGATTGAGTCTTCCTAAAACATTAGTCCAGTAGAGGTTAGACTGAAGATGCCTTCCTTTCCTGGTAAAACTCAGCAAATATAGATGTTCTTCACTGCAGCAAGGACTTTCAAATTGAACTAGAAATTAAGTTCATCTTTCTCAAAGAAAAGAAAAAAAAAATACTGCAATGCATCAAGCACCAAAGCTTCCAAATGGTTTGGATGGCAAATGCTGAGAGAAGAGATGGGAGGAGAATAGCAGTTCCAGGATAACATCACCCATTTCTTGCTAGGTATTTCATCAAGGTTAACTGCCTTAATGCTATTTGCTAATCTTAACTAATTTTGAGGGGAAAAATCTTCTATGTCCCTATATTAGCATCTGTAGCTTACCCCCAAATTCTGATATGATAACAACCAGCTCATTCCTATAGAGATCAAATCATTCACTGCCTAGGATATAAACATTTTACTGAGGCTGTTCTTAAGCATTTCAAAGTGAAAAAAAAATAATCCGAATAGGGAAGGCACAGAAGATTTTCAGGGCAGTGAAACTATTCTGTATGATACTGTAATTGTGGATACATGTCATTATACATTTGTCCAAATCTTTAGAATATACAACACCAAGAGTGAACTCTAATGTAAACTATGGACTTTGGGTGATAACGTGTCAATGTAGTTTCATTGATTGTAAAAAATATATCCTCTGGTGTGGGATTTTCATAGTGAGGCAGGCTGTGTACAGTGGCAAGGGGCATACAGAAACTCTCTGTACCCTCCTCAAAATTTTGCCATGAGGGAACTAAGCTATGAGGACACAAAGGCATAAGAATATACAACGGACTTTGAGGACTCAGAGGAATGGGTAGGAGGCAGGTAAGGAAAAAAAAAAACTACACTTTGGGTACAGTGTATGCTGCTCAGGTGATGGGTGCACCTAAATCTCAGAAATCACTACTAAAGAACTTATTCATGTACAAAAATAAATAAATGAAAAAAATTTTTCTGTGAACCTAAAACTGCTCTAAAAATATAATAAAGTCCATTAAGAAAAAGAAACTTTAGTAATGGCTTTGCTAAAATTATTGCTTGGTTCAAAGGAATCTACCATGATGATTTTTTTTTCTTCTAGAAAACTCTGTGGTATCTCTTTCAATTTAGCATTTATTGTTCACTTCCACTCTTTCAAGCCAAATTCACCATACCTAAGAGGGGGTGGTGAGGGTTATATATGTGGGAGTGCTGGTCACCAGACATACATGGGCCTCAGTTCTGATCATCCAGGAACCTACATGTCTTAGTCCCTTTAGGCTTGTACAACAAAAATATCATCAATGGGGTGGCTTAAACAATAAACATGTATTTCTCACAGTTCTGGAGGTTGGGAGGTCCAAGATCAAGGTGCTAGTAGGTTTGGCATCTGGTGAGGGCCCATTTCTGGTTCATAGATGGCCTCTTTCTCCCCATGCCCTCAACATGGCAGAAAGAGAACAACAGAGCTCTCTGGGGTCTCTTTTATAAGGCACTAATACCATTAATAAGGGTTAGGCCGTCATGACTTAATCACCTCCCAAAGTCCCCACCTCCTAATACCATCACCTTGGGGGTTAGGATGTCAACGTATGAATTTGAGGAGGACGCAAACATTCACTCACCATAGACGTAGGCCCTTCACTGTCAGGGACCAAGTCTGATTTGCCTTGGCCCTCCCCGCACCTAAGGTGGTACTTGGCACACATTATTTGCTTCATAAATGTTTACTGAGTGAATAAATGATTGAACAAATGAGAAAAACAAATGGAGATTCAAGAGGCGAGGCATTTATGGAGAAAAGATTTGAAGAAAAAAGAACACAGAGATGGCAAAGCTTGTATTTTTAGTATCCCTTCATCTGTTCCTTGGCAACTCCTATGTGAAAAGTGGCAGAGACAGAGTCAGGAAGCCTCGCTCCAGGTTTAGAAAACATTGTCAGGGTGGCAGAAAATCTAGTCCATTCCTTCCTGCTGACCCAACTCAGTCAACAGTTCCTTGCTTGGGAACATGAGGTTCAGATGCTGACATTTTTAAACAGCTGTGGCTTAAATAACCCCAAGAATTTCAGTATCCAGAAATAAAGGGAAGAGAAAAACTGGGTATGAGACTGGGTAAGTCAGATACAGCCACAGAAACGCACGGGGGAAGACCACACCTGGAAGCAAGGTTTTGCCATGAGGAATGATGAACACCAGTGAGTTCAGACTAATTTCGACCTTCACCCTTGCCCTTCACCCCTGCCCTTCACCCTGGCCATGGAGTCTCACCAGAGCAGGAGTCATTAACAGGGGTCCTATGGTGGGGTCCAAACCACAGGCAAAAAAAAAAAAGAAAAATCTGTGTTTTTATTTTTTTTTATTTGAATTAGTTGCCAAGATTTAGAAATTAGGAAATTTCACATCAAATCTGGATTTCCGGCTTCTTGTGAAAAAGCAGAAGATTTGGGAACAGCTGGCCTATGTTTCCTCATAACCACAATGGGCTGGGGGCGGTGGGGCGGAGGACGGTGTTTTCTCTGCCTAACTGGCTTCACTCCTTAACCCACGCTCCTGGACCTGCAGACACCGGTATTGGCAACCCTTGTGTCTCTGGGCACTACCCTGAAGAGGCCTTCAAGGAAATGAAGCTGACTGTGACGGCTGACTTCTGCAATATATTTCTGAGAGGATAAAATTATACTAACGAGCCATTCTGTTGAGTAGAAATCGAAGCTTCCTGGAGCTTCTCAATGATAAGCTCAAACAGTGAATGTCACAATACTATAATTGTCTTGGGTGATGTAAAGATACAAGGGCCAGTTATACATAAGACCAATTGTTCCTCTCTTTGCTCTGATCTGTTTGGCCCATTCTATATCATGTATATATCTGGGTCACATGTCCAAATGAAGGTAGGTTTTATCCACATTTATAAATGATTATGAGTTTACCAAAACTCAAAATAAGAAAATGTTGCTGCGAGAAATGGTCTAAAAAATTGGCTGAATTATGAAATTTGTACTTATTTGAAATACCATTTCCTACTGACATTTCCCTTCCGGCTGCCTTGGCATTAATGTAAGAATTATTTATGACTCAGCATTTCCCCACAACAGCTGCCCACAGGGCAGAGCATGAACTGAAGAAAAGAAAAGAACCATGCTGACTTTACTGTTTGAGCTCCAGCCCTCCTGGCTGAGGGGAGGCAGCCTGCTCTCAGGGGGTAGGGCAGGGAACAGGAGTCACTGGTGCTGACTGGGGTTCAAATCCTGACTCTGGGATGTACCAGGTATATGACCTTGAAACAATTGTCTGTATCAGGGATTGGCGAATCATTTCTTTTTCTCTTTCTTTTTCTTTCTTTCTTTCTTTTCTTTTTTTTTTCTTTCTTTCTTTCTTTCTCTCTCTCTCTCTCTTTCTTCTTTCTTTTTTTTTTTTTTTTTTTTTTTTGAGACAGGGTCACACTCTGTAGCCCAGGCTGGAGTGCAGTGGCACGATCATGGCTCACTGCCGTCTCAGCCTCCTAGTTTCAAGTGATCCTCCTGCCTTAGTCTCCTAAGTAGCTGGGACTACAGGTGCATGCCAGCATGCCTAATTTTTTTTTTTGGTTGGCGGGGGCGGGTCGTGGGTATTTTTTTGTAGAGATGGGGTTTTGCCATGTTGCCCAGGATGATCTCAAACTCCTGAGCTCAAAAGATCCACCAACCTTGACCTCCCAAAGTGCTGGGATTACAGGTGAGCTACCATGCCTAGCCTTGGCAAACAATGTCTGTGGAGAGCCAGCTACTGAATATTTTTGGCCTTGCTCACCATACAGCTTCTGTTGTAACTACTCAACTCTGCAACTTGTGTAGTGCAAAAATAGCCAATGGGCTGCTAGGGCTGCCATAACAAAGAACCACAGATTAGGTGCCTTAAGCAACAGAAATTTATTTCCTCACAGTTCTGGACGCTGGAAGTCCGACAACAAGATATTGGTAAGGTTGGTTTCTCCTAAGGCCTCTCTCCTTGGCTTGCAGATGGCCATCTTCTCCCTGTGTCTTCACGTGGCCTGCCTTCTGTGTCTGTCTGTCCTAATCTCCCCCTCTTTATCAGGATTAGGGCCCACCTTAATGACCACATTTTAACTTATTCACCTCTCTAAAGACCCTATCTCTATCTCCAGATACAGTCACATTCTAAGGCACTGGAGTTAGGACTTCAGCATATTAGTTTGGGAGGGACACTATAGTTAATAATAATATTGTATTGTGGCCGGGCACAGTGGCTCACACCTATAATCCTAGCACTTTGGGAGGCTGAGACAGGAGGATTGCTTGAAGCCAGAAGTTCGAGACCAGCCTAGGCAACATTGTGAGATTCCCGTCTCTACAAAAGGTATAACATAAATTTAAAAAGAAATTAGCCAGGTGTGGTGGCACAAAACTGTAGTCCTGGCTACTCAGGACACTGAGGTGGGAGGATCGCTTGAGGCCAGGAGTTTGAAGCGGCAGTGTGAGCTGTGACTGTCACTGCACTCCAGCCTGGGCAACAGAGTGAGACCCTGTCTCTAAGAATAATAATAATTATAATAATAATGTACTGTATACTGGAAATTTGCTAAGTGAGCAGTTGTTAGGTATTTCTACCACACACAAAAAGGTAGCTATATGAGATGAGGGAATGTGTTCATTTCACTGTAGAAATCATTTCACTATAGGAATATTTATTCTTTTTTCTCTCTCTTTTGGCCTGATTAAAATTTTTTAAAAAGGAAATCATTTTCCTATGTTTATGTATATCAAAACATCATGTTATATACCTTAAATATATACAATTTAAAAAATTAAGTGTCAAGGAGGAGGATAAAATTCAGCCCATAATACGTATGTAAGTGAATGGGTATGGCTGTGTTCCAGTGAAATCTCCTTTACAAAAACAGGCCCTTGCAAAATAAATAAATACATCATAAATAAATAAATAGGCCTCCAGCCAGATTTGGTGTGTGGGTCCTGGTTTGCAGACCACTGGGTGATACCATCTCCATTCCCTCCCTTCCCACCCTTTCTCATCTGCCTGTCATCAGACTCTTGCTCACATCATGCCACCTAAGGACCTCTCCCCAGGGTCACCTATGACTTCATTGTCACCTGTTCATCTCTGCGTCCTCCTATCTCTGGCCCCTCAGCAGTGTTGGCTCTGCACACATGATTCCTTTGAGAGCTTTTCTCCACTGGATTTCACATGGCCACAATTCCTACATTCCCTCCTGCCTCTCTCGCCCGCTCCTTCCCGGGCATCTTGGCTGGCAACTCCTCCCCTTCCCAGCCACTACGTGTTAGACTTCCTTAAAGCTCAGGGCTGGACTCCCTTCTTTTCTTGCTGTGTAATTTTTTCCAAGATGATCTCATCGACACCTACAATTTCAATTACCTTCTGTAAGCCAATGACTTCCAAATATATAGTTCCAGCCCGTACCTCTCCTCTGAGCTCCTGCCCATGAATCTAATCGCCTCCTTCCCATTTCCTCTTGTCAGTGTCTCTGTAACGTCTGTGTTGTGTGTCCTGGCTGTTTATGATTTGCTTTTCTTTGACAACTATAATCTCCAGGGTAAGTTTAGTTCCCTTCTAAAACCATTTCCTCGGGCCAATCTTCCCTGACCTGCCCTCCCCGCCCCACAGTCTATGCCAGACCCTCTTTCACTTGCTCTCCAAGCACACTGAGTATTTCTTCTGTATTCTTCAGAAATCCTGGTCTCTTACACCTCTTGGGTTCATTGTTCTCAGGTGGACAGTAAATTCCACAGGGCTAAGTCTACCGCCTTTCTCTTAGTATCGGAGCACTTAGCCCAGAGCCTGGCACATACGAGGGCCTCAGTAAATGCATATGGGATGATTGAAAAACTTTAAGTAAACTAATCAAACCCTCTGAGATACTGAGAATTGTTGTTTGATTTTAGTTCAGAGTATTTTGTATTGGGCTGTGCTTGTTTAAGTTGTAACCCTCAAGAAGGTTTCCTCTGTTTTTATATATATATATATTTGCCATCCCTTCTGTTTTCCTAAATTCTACCTAGGTAGAAAACTGAGATGGTTTCAAGAATGAAACACACTCTACTCGACAATTCTTTAGCTCTTGCATTTGACAAAAGGGATCAAGTTCTAGAGGATAGACCCTCTAGAGGCAGTAAATGCTCAACTATTTACTAAGTGTGTGACCTTGAGGAAGTTATGTCACCTCCTTTGTTACTCCCTGGGTTCTTCATCTGTAGAATGATGCCACTAACACCTACCTGTGTCACATGTATAGTGTATGCACAGGGTCTGACACAGTGCCTGGCAATAGTAGAGGTCCCCTATTTGTTTAACAGATTTTTTTTTTGTGCACTCAGAAATGGGACAGATACTGTTTCGGGCACTGAGGATACAGCAGTAAATGAATCAGACAGATCCTGCGCTCAGGGGGCTCACATTCTAGGGCAGGGGGGAGGTAAGTGTTGGTGGGGGAAAAGACAGGAAAGATAAAGCCAGATAAGAGCATAAAGATGAATGGGGTAGAAGTGACGGTGTTTTAGCTGTGGGGATCAGAGAAGACTCCCATAAGGTGAACAGGAGTAGGAGTCAAAGATATTCATTCCTCTATTCCTTTGCTCCTCTGCAGGGAGAAATCCTACTTCCCGTGGTTACTAGGGAGAATGCCTCACTCTAACTCATTTCTGTCTGGGTGGGAGCAGTGCCAACAGAAATAAGAGATGGGTTTCAGGAGGCTCTGGCCTTGATAGGCATATGTCATCCCACCCAGGGAGTGCAATGCAAGGTCTTGTTGGTTTCTTTATTCCATAATAGTTGATATGCAAACTAGATTAGGCACTGAGAAATGCTTCTGTGTGGCCGGGCGCGGTGGCTCATGCCTGTAATCCCAGCACTCTGGGAGGCTGAGGCGGGCAGATCACTTGAAGTCAGGAGTTCGAGACCAGACTGGCCAAGATGGCAAAACCCCGTCTCTACTAAAAATACAAAATTAGCTGGATGTGGTGGCACACACCTGTAATCCCAGCTACTCGAGAGGATGAGGCTTGAGAATCTCTTGAACCCGGGAGGCAGATATTGCAGTGAGCCAAGATGGTGCCACTGCATGACAGCCTGGGTGACAGAGCAAGACTCCGTCTCAAAGAAAAAGAGAAAAGAAAAAGAAAAAAAGAAATGCTTCTGTGTAATGGAACTTCTGTTTGGGGAGCAATAGGTAAAAATAAAACCCTAGGAAATCCCCAGGTCTCTCTCAATGGGTTTGAGGTAAGAGTTGGCAGGTTGGTTTCGCCTCTGCTTGCCTGTGGGCAGAAAACCAAATGAATCAAAAGGCAGCCAGAATGGAATAACTAGCACCTTAAGATGACACCAGGAAACCTTGAGGGTTTCGCAGGCCCTCAGGATCTAAGCAGACAGTATGACTAATTTGTCTGTGCCCTAGACTTAGCTGCCTGTCTTCCCACACTTGTGGCTTCTCCTGAAAGAGCAGGAATGGCTGTGTTGAGTTGTTGCCCTGCAAGGTTGGACTTGAATAAAATTCAAAACACTTCACATCTTTGGGACTTAATAGTTTTTCTGAAGTAAGCTCCATACAGTTTCTCCTGTATAGTCAATGGGAGGGAATAAGGAAGAATGGGATATGTCTCCCTCCAAGAACCCAGGCACATTGCGTAGCATTAATAGACCCAAACAAAAGGATTCCCCTTCTTTCTCCAGAATCCCTCTTCAGCTGCACAGCTTGCAGCCACGAGAAGGTGAGTCTCTGTTGTGGAGAGAGACACATTTGGCTGACTAGGGGTACTGAGAATTGTCAACCTATAAATAAAGCATTCAGTCAGAAATTGTTAAACTCAGAAAAGCAGCTGAGAAATTAGTAACGGTGTTACTACGTTAAGATTTAAAGAGCTGGCCAGGCACGGTGGCTCACACCTATAATCTCAGCACTTTGGGAGGCCAAGGCGAGTGGATCACCTGAGGTCAGGAGTTCGAGACCAGCCTGCCCAATGTGGTGAAACCCCGTCTCTACTAAAAATACAAAAATTAGCCAAGTGTGGTGGCACATGCCTGTAATCCCAACTATTCAGGAGGCTGAAGCAGGAGAATCGCTTGAGCCTGGGAAGCAGAGGTTGCAGTGAGCTGAGATTGTGCCACTGCACTCCAGCCTGGGTGACAGAGCAAGAGACCATCTCAAAAAAAAAAGAAAAAAAAAATTAAAGAGCAAAGCAAGGCATGTGCCCGTAGTGCCAGCTACTCTGGAGGCTGACATGGGAGGATGCTTTGAGCCCAAGAGTTTGAGACCAGCCTGGGCAATATAGCAAGACCCTATCTCTAAAACAAAATTAAATTTAAATTTAAAAATATTTATGGAGCTGAGGGTTTTTAGAAGTATTTTACCAACTTACAAATTCTTACAATTTAGCAGCTCCAACACAGGCAGAGGGCAGATACACAAGAATCACTGCCAGTCACGAGGCTGAGGAGAATTTCAACACTGGTATGCATCTGTTCCTGAGGCCAATCCCTTAGCAAGGAAATCAGACACTTCTTTCAGATGCCTAAAAGTATCAAACACAAATATTTATGCGTCCAGGTATTAAAATTCATCAAAGGACCTTTCAAGTCGTTATACTAGCTGCTGTTGTTCTGTTCAACTCTAAGTTTCAGGAGCTTAACAAGTGTGTCCCAGACCCAGCCAATTCCCTAGACCACCCAATGTACCCGCAGTGGCCAAATGTCCCCTCTTGGGGTGTGGCCAGTGAGATTCTCAACTAACTTTTCTTCTATGTCTTAATAACACAAGACCTTCTATCCCTCCTTTTTTTTTTTTTTTTTTTTTTGAGATGAATCTCACTTTGTCGCCCAGGCTGGAGTGCAGTGGTGTGATCTCGGCTCACTGCAACCTCTGCCTCCCAGGTTCAAGCCAGTCTCCTGCCTCAGCCTCCCGACTAGCTGGGATTACAGGTGTGCGCCATCATGCCTGGCTAATATTTGTATTTTTAGTAGAGACGGGGTTTCACCATGTTGGCTAGACTAGTCTCGAACTCCTGACCTTAGGTGATCTGCCTGCCTCAGCCTCCCAAAGTGCTGGGATTACAGGTGTGAGCCACTGTGCCCGGCCGTATTCTTCCATTTTTAAGATTTGAGGCCCTTCTCTTAATTTCAAAGGGAAATGACTAAGAGGTATAACTCAGGAAAGACGAGCTGAATGTTAAGGGACAAGAAACGTCAGACTCCAGAGTATCCACAATGCTTCCAGACTGATTCTAAGTCCAGTCACATTTCTGTTAAGAGTGATCTAACAAGAAGCCAACAAATTATCTAGTCTAGAATCAGGGCTTCAACTGGACAGACCATTCAATACATTGAATATATGTGTGTGTGTATATATATGTGTGTGTGTATATATATATATATATACACATATATATATATACTTTTTTTTTTTTTGAGACAGAGTCTCACTCTGTCACCCAGGCTGGAGTGCAATGGCACGATCTTGGCTCACTGCAACCTCCACCTCCAGGGTTCAAGCAATTCTCCTGCCTCAGCCTCCCAAGTAGCTGGGATTACAGGCATGCGCCACCAAGTCCGGCTCATTGCCTGGCTAATTTTGTATTTTTAATAGGGACAGGGTTTTGTCATGTTGGCCAGGCTTGTCTCAAACTCCTGACCTCAAGTCATCCTCCCGCCTCATCCTCCCAACGTGCTGAGATTATAGGTGTGAGCCACCATGCCCAGCCACATTGAGTATATTTTAATGTATATTTAATATATTCCTTTTCAGAACTTACCTAGATTTAGAAATTTTAAAAAGATGCTCTCAAAAGGCATATGAAGACTATCTCTGCTAATTTATACAGAGACAGTCTCTAGAAAGATGTAAACCACTAGTACCCAGGGTTGCCTCCGTTGAGAGGAACTGGGTGCCTGGGGAATGGAGGCGAAGAGAGTATGGAGTTTTTTCCATTTGTATGAACCTTTTGACTTTTGTACTGTGTGTATGTATTACCTACTCAAAAGTAAGTAATTTTTTTTTTCTTTGAGATGGAGTCTCGCTCTGTTGCCCAGGCTGGAGTGCAATGGCGTGATCTTGGCTCACTGCAACTTCCACCTCCCGGGTTAAAGAGATTCTTCTACCTCAGCCTCCCTAGTAGCTGGGATTATAGGAGTGTGCCACCACCATGACCAGCTAATTTTTGTATTTTTAGTACAGATGGGGTTTCACCATGTTGGCCAGGCTGGTCTTGAACTCCTGACCTCTGGTCATCCACCTGCCTCGGTCTCCCAAAATGCTGGGATTACAGGCTTCAACCACCGTGCCTAGCAAAAATAGGCAATTTTAAAATTATATGTGAAGAAAAATCTGTAAATGTTTTTGTCATAACCCCCCACCCCCAACCCACCACCACCATTTTTTTCCTGTAAAAATTTTTTCAAGGCCTGAGGAAAATGATGAATTAAACTTTTCCTGACAGGAAAGACAACATCTGAAAATTCTGCCTGATAGATAGAGAGAAGCATCCTGGCAAGAGACACGGAGCTGACAGACGAAGAGATGCACGTCTGACAGAATTGGGACTATTCACCCAAAGTGAGACAAAGTGAAATGCCAAGCACATTGAGAATCTCTTCCTTCTTACTGTCAACGGATTCACCTAATCAAAGCACTTTTAGTCACTGCATCCAATTTCCATCCTCATCCAACACATGGTGGGGTCTTTTTCTCGTTTCTTCTGAGTTGACACACACAAAACCCAAGAGTCCCACTTTTGGCGAGGAACGTGTTGCTGTCAGCTTGCATTTGTTACCGCACATTGGTTCCCCGTGTCCCAGTAATGACCCCCTGTAAAGGCCACTGGGCAAGAGAATTGCAAGATCGAGCGAGGCGGCGGGAATTACAGGAAAGGATTAACGGCAGAACAGCCTGTTGCGACAGCGAAAAACAGCCCGAGGACAGGGGCGTGCTCCCATCTGACAGGCGGAAGTGTGCCAGGGTTTATGTATTAGGTCACAGCAAGAAAGCTATTTTTGCTGTGCCCTCTGACCTTCTGTAGAAGGTGAGCCCCAAGATGCCTATGATACACACCAGACTTTTGCAGGCTGCCCTGACTCAAGAGGGAAGAGCAGATGCTGACTAGTGCAGGGTCCTGTAGAGTTTGGGAATCCACCATTCACAACAGGATGAAAGGATTTTCATGGGTGTTGCCATCTGCTGGGTATGTGTGTTGGCAGCGGGGAGTCATTTACTAAGCAGATGCAGCCTTTCTGTTCCTCCTTCCTCAAACTCCAATTTAAAAAATAGCTAGTCCGGGCACAATGGCTCATGCCTGTAATCCCAGCACTTTGGGAGGCCAAAATGGGAGGATCTCTTGAGCTCAGGAATTTGAGACCAGCCCGGGCAACATAACGAAATCCTGTCTCTACAAAAAATACAAAGATTAGTTGCGTGTGGTTGTGAGCACCTGTAGTCCCAGCTACTTGGGGGACTGAGGTGGAAGGATCACTTGAGCCCAAGAGGTTGAGGCTGCAGTGAGCTGTGACTGCACCACCGCTCTCCAGCCTGGGCAACAGAGTGAGACCCTGTCTCAAAAAAAAAAAAATAAAAAAAATCTAATGGCCAAGTAGGCTTTAGAATTCTAAAAAGCTAGCAACGAAAGGAAACATGGTGCTATTGGCAGAGATTTGAAGTAGCAGTGGTCTCCCACAAAAGTGCTATGATGTACAGAGACTTAGAGGAGTCGCAGTGTAACCCTGGTTAAAGAGATTGGGAAGGTTCCATGGAAGAGGGGCTGAGCATTGTTCAATTTGTTGAGTAAACCCAAAAAGCAGTGCACTGAGATCAGGCCAAGCTAGAGATATCTCTGTGGCAAACACTGAACACTTTTATCACCCCCTTACATTTGGTAGAAGATTGTTGGAATCACCACTCTCCACAAACAGTCAGAAAAACTGGAACCAGATGGCATCTCTAAAAAAATGTGGCCCACAGCCATAAATGTGTGACTTGCATTCTCTTTCAGAACAAGAAAAGATGATGTAGATACTGCTGGTTTGGACTGGCTCAGAGAGAAAAGAAACAAATAGATGGGAGTACGTGCCAAGGGTCACTGATGCTTCCAGAGGGCAGTGGCCTCGGCTGTCTTACTCAAGGCTGAATTCTTAGCCCCTACAAGACTCATGCCTGGCATGTAACAAGTGCACAGCCAGTTTTCCTCCAATGAATGAGGGGCTTTCTCAGAATAAAGTTTTTGTAATCAGAGACCAAGACAGCCACTGATTCTCTGCAGCCTTGAAGTCTGTCTTTTCTGAATATCCAGACAGAGGACAAGTCTTGATTATAACGATCATTAGCCTAGAGTACTGCCCAGTTCTGAACTCAAGGATAAGAATCCCCTCCAAGCTCCTGCCAGGCTGTCTCCACACTCTGACATCACATCCTGCCTCTTTGATTAGGTTTCACAGTGAATTTTGCCCCTCCCAAACACACTTTGTTAATCTTTTTTAGGTCTGGGAATTCAGCCAAAAATTCCTGAAGGATGAATTCCTTTTCCTCGGTGAGGTTGACATTTGAGCACACATCGCCCTCTTGTGTCTACGACACATTTGGCAACGTAGTTTCCAGCACCTGCTAATGCACACAGCAAATTGAAGCCTTGTTAACATCCCTTAAGCCTGCAGACCTCGGTACAAGGCGGAGGGAGAACAAACGCACCAATTTTCCCAGAATAGTCAAGAACATCCAGAAGAATCCAGAATTTGTGAAGATGGTACTGGTAACTACCCAACCCAGAGCTTTGAAAGTTAAAAAATGTATAAGGTACCATAAAATTCATATTCAAGAGCTCACAGTCAGAAAATGTTTACCTTCTAAAAGAGCTGGACATTTTCCATAAACCGAAAGTTGGACTATACAGTAGATACATGAAGATGTCCTCCTAGCATTTTCATATTTGACCTATTGACTTTTGAATCACCATTCATATCCTCTTTGATGTTGCCCATCCACACACCCACACCCACATAAGCCATGTGTGTAAATATGCCCATCTGCAGGTTTTCTGTTCTTAATGACAATTTCAGACTGCTCGGCTTGCTCCTACACCTTCTTATGGAGATACAAGAACTTTGGATCTCTGGCCCCCCTCAGTCCTCGCTCCTCCATCCCTGTAAGCAGGTGCAAGGCGTGTTTCTGGCACAGTCCACCAAACTCCTGAATCTGAAGCTCCCACAGTCACTGACCCAAGTGTGGCCTGGATGAGACTGGTGGCCCAAGCCTCTATTATGCTGTTTTTTTTGTTGTTGTTGTTATTTGTTTGTTTGTTTTGAAATGGAGTCTTGCTCTGTCACCCAGGCTGGAGGCCAGTGGCGCAATCTCGGCTCACTGCAGCCTCTGCCTCCAGGGTTCAAGCAATTCTCCTGCCTCAGCCTCCCTAGTAGCTGGGACTACAGGCGTGCGCCACCACACTCGGCTAATTTTTGTATTGTTTGTAGAGACGGGGTTTCACCATGTTGGCCAGGATGGTCTTGATCTCCTGACCTCATGATCCGCCCGCCTTGGCCTCCCAAAGTGCTGGGATTTCAGGCATGAGCCACCATGCCCAGCCTTATACTGGTTTTTACAGCAAAGAGACTAGAATAAAAGATACTTTCACATTGACACTATAAAAATCGTCCTTTGAACACTTAGTTATGTATTGTTCTGGGTTAGGTAGTATAGATAAAGACATACTTTGCCCAGTAGGAAGGGACTCCCTTCATCTACGTACATTTTATGCCTCTATCTCTCATACAGGTGGACCTTACCTTCCGAAAACTGCTATCAGGGCCTCTGCAGGAGGCCCTGGCTGTGATAAATGTGCATCTGTAGAGTGCACAACCTGAACATCCTTACCAAGCAGCCCTGACCAATATCTTCCTGCCTAAAGAGTGCCAATGCTGAGAGTATGCCTTTAAAACCCCATTTTGGCCATTTCTCAAGAAGTAAGTGAGACTTGTACTTCCCTATCTCCCCTTAAGGGGAGTCCCCAGTGCATTAGTGGTAGAGCTCTCCCTAAGGACTTTTGTGTGCGTCTCCACCCTCTGTTCTTCTAGGTGCATCCTGTTTTTAATGGGGCATAATCTCTTACCTCAAAAGAGCAAAGCTCCACTGGCAAACCTCTAGACCACATTAGTGATCAGCAAGTAAGGGGGACATTTGGTGCAGCATCACATTTCTGACATCCCTTCATGCTTTTTATGTCTGACTCTGTCATCTCTGCTAAAAGAAGCCTCTCTTTTTATTTCCTTTTTTTCTTCTAGTTTTTTTTTTTGTTTTTTTTTTTTTTTTGTAGACAGGGCCTAGTGGTCTTCCTAGGCTGGTCTCAAACTTCTGGACTCAAGGGATATTCCCACCTCAGCCTCCCAAACTGTTGGGATTACAGGCGTGAGCCATTGGGCCCGGTCCTCTTTTTTTTTTTTTTTTTTTTTCTGAGACGGAGTCTGGCTCTGCCGCCCAGGCTGGAGTGTGGTGGCGCAATCTCGGCTCACTGCAGGCTCCGCCTCCCTGGTTCACACCGTTCTCCTGCCTCACCCGCCCGAGTAGCTGGGACTACAGGCTCCCACCACCACGCCCGGCTAATTTTTTGTATTTTTAGTAGAGACGGGGTTTCACTGTGTTAGCCAGGATGGTCTTGATCTCCTGACCTCGTGATCCGCCCGCCTTGGCCTCCCAAAGTGCTAGGATTATAGGCATGAGCCACTGCGCCCGGCTCCGGCCCTCTTTTTTCTTCTCTTATTCCAATATCACACACCAAAGAAGACTCGGTCCAGCAGCAGGAAATAAATCTGACCCTTGCCTCTAAGGTCTTTCTTTGATCGCAGCAGTGTTCATCTTTGTCTAACTGTAGCATAGGAGGAATATGATTTGCTCTGACCTAAATTATTTTCATACATTTTTTTTCTGATTTCCCATTAAATTGAGGCTAAGGGTAAAGGTCAGGGCCCTCTTGGTTTCTTGGTTTTGGATTGTAAAAGAGATTAGATTAAAAACATAAAATCTAGGCCAGGTGCGGTGACTCACGCCTGTAATTCCAGCACTTTGGGAGGCCGAGGCGGGCAGATCACCAGGTCAGGAGATCAAGACCATCCTGGCTAACACGGTGAAACCCCATCTCTACTAAAAATACAAAAAATTAGCCGGGCGTGGTGGCGGGCGCCTGTAGTCCCAGCTGCTCGGGAGGCTGAGGCAGGAGAATGGCGTGAACCCGGGAGGCGGAGCTTGCAGTGAGCCGAGATTGCGCCACTGCACACCAGCCTGGGCGACAGAGCGAGACTCCTTATCAAAAAAACAAACAAACAAACAAAAAACCCATAAAATCTCACTGAGTTGTCTCTCCAGGCTAGTTCCTACATTGTGAAGCACCCAATTGGATCAGTGTGATTGGCGTTTCCGAGTGATTCCGAAGACACTTCCCTTTGTCTGGGGCATGAGAATGGGTTCTTCTTGGGTGGATAGAGAAGTCTAAACATAACCGGCCGTCACTTGCTTCCACTCTAGTCTGGATCCTGTCACAACACCAAAACTAAATCCAGTCCAAACTGACCTGCCCTCCACCCCCTTCCTGGGTTTCCTCCCACTACTCTGGCTCACCTCTTGTGACTCCAGAAGAGGCTCCTCCTCCTTGTTCGTTTTCTGGGTCCCAGGGCCAACCTTCCAACAGCCTATTTGACATCTCCATGTAGATGACTCACAGGTACTTCCAATTCTGTAGATGACTCACAGGCACTTCCAATTCAACCTGACTGAACCTTTTAAAAATATATATTTATTTCTTTATTTATTTTGAGATGGAGTTTTGCTCTTGTCACCCAGGCTGGAGTACAGTGGCACGGTCTCAGCTCACTGCAACCTCTGCCTTCCAGGTTCAAGCGATTCTCCTGCCTCAGCCTCCCAAGTAGCTGGGATTACAGGTGCCTGCCACCACGCCCGGCTAATTTTTGTAATTTTAGTAGAGACGGGGTTTCACCACTTTGGCCAGCCTGGTCTCGAACTCTTGACCTCAAGTGATTCGCCTGCCTCAGCCTCCCAAAGTGCTGGGATTACAGACGTGAGCCACCGTGCCCGGCTGACCTGATTGAACCTTAAGCTACAACCTTGCTTCAACCCAAACAACCCAGCAACCAAGCTGCTCCTCTAACCACCTGGTCACTCAGACCAGAACCTGGAGCAATTTTTTATTGTTCCCCTCCCTCACTTTCCTTATCCAATCAATTGTTAAGTCCTTTCTAAATATATGTCAAATCCATCACTTCTTTCTGAAACCACCTTTGCAAAATTAAGACTGAGACAGTGAAGGAGATCTAAGTTAACCAACTCCATCTTGCTTCTAACCTCCAAGCTGTCCTTGTTCATTCCTGGGCATAGGCTGAACTAACTTTGGGAGAAATTTAGTTTATAGCTTCAACAAAGATGGTAACAGCTCTTTCCCAAAACAGACCTCCTCCTTGTCCAGGGACTAGACTGCCTTGTGGGACTAACATTAGCCACAAGATTAGAAATTATGGTTTAGGAGTCATGAAGCTGGAGGCTAAACTGCTCCTAGGATCAGTTCTTGAAATATTTTGCAGACCTGTACTTGATGGATCAGCTGGCACCATCCAGATCAATAAACTGGCTCATCTGATCTGGACCCCCCACCTAGGAACTGACTCAGCGCAAGAAGACAGCTTCGACTCTCTATGATTTCATTCCTGACCAATCAGTACTCCTGGCTCACTGGCTTCCTCCCACCCACCAAGTTATCCTTAAAAATTCTGCTTCCCGAATGCTAGGGGAGACTGATTTGAGTAATAATAAAACTCTAATCTCCTGCTCAGCCGGCTTTGCGTGAATTACTGTTTATCTATTGCAATTCACCTGTCTTGATGAATTAGCTCTATCTAGGCAGCAGGCAAAGTAAACCCTGTGGGTGGTTTACATTTCCACCTCCATTGCCACATCTAGATCCAGCATCACCACCCCTCTGCCTATTATAGCGGCTTCCTCCCCGGTCTCCACATCTTCATGTTGATCCTTTTCCAACTCCCTTCCACACTGCAGCAAAGGAAGCCCTCACTCTCCCACTTAAAGCATAGTCACTCAATCCAGGGGAAAGTCCAGGGTTACTTGCAAGTCCTACATTGCTGGGCAAGACCTGCCTCTCTCATTCCCAAAGCCTCCTTGTAAGCAATTCCCCCTTCTGTCTTCACAGCCCACATGCTCTGGCTTTCTTCTGATTCTTGGACTTCCAGGACTCCCTCCTCCCTCAGCTCCACTGCACTTGTTCTAGGCTTTCCCTGGAATGTTCTTGTTCCCCTACCTTCATGGCCAGCTCCTATTCAGACTTCAACTCTTAGCCATGTTCTCCAAGCACACCTTCCCCATCCCACACACTAGGTCAAGACCCCTCTGCTATAAGCTTCTCCTTCACAACACCTCTCACCATTATAACCAGGATATAGGTTTTGTTCTTCATAACCACGACTGTCTTCCAAGAAGGGTGAAATCTATATAATTTTCGATTTTTTTTTTTTTTTTTTGGAAACAGAGTCTGGCTCTGTTGCCCAGGCTGGAGTGCAGTGGTGGCACAATCTCGGCTCACTGCAGCCTCCGCCTCCTGGGTTCAAGCAATTCTCCTGTGTCAGCCTCCCAAGTAGCTGAGATTACAGGCATGTGCCACCACGCCCAGCTAATTTTTGTATTTTTAGTGGAGATGGGGGTGTCACCATGTTGGCCAGGCTGGTCTCAAACTCCTGACCTCAAGTGATCCATCCACCTCAGCCTCTCAAAGTGCTGGGATTCCAGGTGTTAGCCACCGTGCCCGGCCTGAAGCCTATACAATTGAAGGAACTTTTGGCTGCTCAACATCTTGAGAAGTCTTATTGTGAAAATTTATGGGAAAACTAAAATGTTCTAGCAAATACAGCAGCAGAAAAACAACAACAGCAACAACAATACTGGAGTTCTTGGAGCAATCCCAGAATCAGGAGTGAAGCGGGGAGGTGGGCTGGGTGCTGTGGGATTGAAAGCTATAGAGAGGTCTCAAGTGGGGTGACTGGAAAGGACTTTGGAAGAACAGAGTTAACATTTAAAATAGAGAGTTCGGGCCGGGCATGGTGGCTCACGCTTGTAATCCCAGCACTTCGAGAGGCCGAGGCGGGTGGATCACCCGAGGTCAGGAGTTTGAGACCAGCCCGGCCAACATGGCGAAGCCCCGTCTCTACTAAAATACAAAAATTATCCGGGAGTGGTGGTGCATGCCTATAATCCCAGCTACTCGGAAGGTTGGGCTGAGGCAGGAGACTCGCTTGCTTGAACTGGGAGGCAGAGGTTGCAGTGAGCTGAGATCATGCTCCTGCACTCCAGCCTGGGTGACAGAGCAAGACTCATTCTAAAATAATAATAATAATAATAATAATAATAATAATAATAATAGTAATAAAATAGAGAGTTTTATTTACCCAGGACTCTGTAAGAGATCCACTTGTCTATATGAAAGACCTATTACTGGGTAAGTCAATTCATTAAACTTGAGGCCATGAAGAATTTTTCTTCCAAGGAACACGAACATGTTTGTCAAGAGAAATGTCTGTAGCAGCTGGCAAGATCAAGACAGAATCTGGAGTGGTGGATCTGCTCTATCTGATTGCCCCAGCTGCAAGGCTCCACCACAGCAGATATGGGGGCAAAGAGAAGCACCTAACAAGAAGTGAGAGAAAGAGCGGGGGGATGATGAGGAAGGAGCCAGGATGAAGAGGGAAGGCAGGCTGGGCTTCTGCCTGTGCTCCTTTTTCCTCAGAAAGAGCTGGACCCCAGGCTCAGAGCAAAAGCTGTGGATAGCACCTTGGAAATTCCCCAAAGTCAATCATTAGCTGACAATCCATACAATATTACCAAAGAGGTGTAATTAAAAGATATTTATAGGCCAGGCGCGGTGGCTATTTATAGGCCAGAACTTTGAGAGGCCAAGGTGGGTGGATCACCTGAAATCAGGAGTTCCAGACCAGTCTGGCCAACATGGTGAAACCCCATCTCTACTAAAAATACAAAAAATTAGCCGGGCGTGGTGGCGGGCGCCTGTAATCCCAGCTACTTGGAGGCTGAGGCAGGAGACTCCCTTAAGCTCGGGAGGTGGAGGTTGCAATGAGCTGAGATCATGCCACTGCACTCCAGCCTGGGCAACAGAGCAAGACTCCATGTCAAAAAAGAAAAAAAATAAAATAAAGAAGACATTTATAGCTAATCAATACCTTCCCAGGTACACCCAGACAGGATAAACTCTAGGCCCATGACAAGACGAACGACAGCATCGTTGAGGTGAGGCTTCCACCTCTCCCCTGCACCAAGGCTGGCAGCTGCTCCACTGGCTTCTGGATCTCTGTTTTCATCAGCTTTTGGAAATCCTCCCTGAATGATAACAGTAAATATTTGTTTAATTAAGAAATAAAGTTTTCATTCTAATCAATCAAGTAAGCCATAAAACAGTTTAAAGGAAGTTAAGCGTACAGAGCAGAGTTATAAACTTTTCCTGTAAAGGGTCAGGTTATAAATCTCAGACTTGGCAGCCATCTACCCACTATCTCTGATACATATTTTTCCTTTTCTTTCTCCTCTTTTTATTTTCTTTTTTCTTTTCTTTTCCTTCCTTCCCTTCTCTCCTTCCTTCCTTCCCTCTCTTTCTTTCTTCCTCTCTTTCTTTCTCTTTCTTTTTCTTTTCTTTTCTTTCTTCCTTTCTTTCTCTTTCTTTTCTTCCTTTCTTTTTCTTTTTCTTTTTTTCTCTCTCTCTCCCCCTCCCCCCTCCCTGCCTCCTTCTTCCCTCCCTCCTCCCTCCCTTCCTTCCTTCCTTCCTTCCTTCTTTCTTTCTTTTTTTTTGCACAGCCCTTTAACAACATAAAAACCATTCTGAGCTCAGGAACAGGTAAAAACCAGACAAAGGGCAGATTGACCTGTGGACTGTAGTTCACTGACCTGACCCCTGCTTTAGAATACAGAGAAATAGTGATATTAAGATGAGCTCACACTTTTTGAGTTCTTGTTATATGCCATGCTCTTAATTTCTGTGCCTACCAATAGTTTGTAATACTCTCTGCAGAAATATATAATAGCAGGCCTTGAGAGATAATCCTGTGGGCCTCTTAGGACCACCATAAGTGTATGTGAAAGTTTCATTCGTGGACCACCATTGAACAAAATCTCCTGAGAACATACAGGGAGGAACGCAAAATTCACTCTTCTGATGGCAGGTCTATTATGTTTTGTCCATCATTAAAATTCACTTATAAATATTTTTACTGCCTGTAGAAGTAGAGCAACCTCTCCTAGACCTGAGGGTTGAGAGGACATGATCTTTATTGTGTTTCTACTATGGGCCAGGCCCTGTTCCGAGGGACAAAAGCTGTGGGTGCAGGGACCACAGCTGTTGGTTCAAGAGCGCATGTGTGAGTCAGGGACCACCGTTGTTGTTTCAGGAGTGCGTCCCTGAGTGCAGGGACCAGAGCTGTTGGTTCAGGAACGCATCTGTGAAAGCAGGGACCACAGCTGTTGGTACGGGGCTGCTTCTATGTGTGTAATGTCTACAAATGTGAGTGCAGGGACCACAGTTGTGAGTGCGGAGTCTACAGCTGTGAGAGCAGGGACTACAGATGTGAGGGGTTTGCTATCACTGCGATTATATATAGTAAGATAAAACAGAAAATAAGCAAGTGAATACATATGCTTATTTCAGGTACTAACAAATGGTGAGAGATGATACAGTCTTAGTGAGTATCTGGACAAGGGGAAGGAGGATGGGACTGAAGACCTCTGGAAAGAATGGATATGATGATAAGGGTAGAGCTTCTGGAAGGTATGTGGCAAGAGCACTGAAGTAAAAAGAACAATTTTGAGTATTAGTCTATTCCCCCCATCCCCTTCCACCTCTCCCCTGCACCAGGAGCTAGAATTCTACCCCAGGGCCTAGAATCCTGGAATCTGAGCTTCTGATACCCCAGTGCTCTGGAGGCAGGGCACATTCTGCTCCTGAGACGTGGAGGTGTGTTAGGCGAGCAGGTACAGTGCAGATGGGTGTGTGGGCTTTGGCAAAGGCATGACTTGGCGTTTCCTGTGCTGGCCGTGTGGTTTCTCTGCTCCTCAGCAGAGAGTTCCTCCATTTTCCTGATGTTCCTGATTCCCTGGTGAGGCTAACAGCAACCATTGGTTCCAATCCTTTCATGTGTTTACATAACAGTCTCCAAATTAAATTCTTCTTTTCTTCAAAAACAGTTTCTAGAGGGGCATTTTTTTTCTGTTTCAATCCTGACTGATACAGCAAGTGCAAAGTCCTAAGGTGGGAATACTTTTTATTTTATTTATTTAGTTTTGAGACGGGGTCTTCCTCTGTCTCACATGCTGGAATGCAGAGGCACAATCATAGCTCACTGCAGCCTCCAACTCCTGGGCTCAAGCGATCCTCCCACCTCAGCCTCCCGAGTAGCTGGGACTGTAGGTGTGCCACCATGCCTGGCTAATATTCTTTATTTTTGTAGAGACAAGGTTTCACCAATGTTGCCCAGGCTGGTCTCAAACTCCTGGCTTCAAGCACTCCTTCCACCCTGGCCTCCCAAAGTGCTGGGATTACAGGTGTGAAACCCCCACTGTTGGCATGCCATACATTTATTGGAGCATGAGAAGGCTGGCCATGCCGGAGCAGGAAGAAAATGGTGAGTGAGTGGGAAAATTGAAAGCAGAGGTCAACGAAAGCCGCAGCTCCACCTATGACTGATGAAGGGCCACATAAGTCATCCTAAGGGGTCTGGATTTTATTCTGGAAGTTCTGGAAATTCACCGAGGGGCTTAAGGTGGGGAAGGGAATTGAACAGGAAATGGGAGAAATGAGCAAGACTGGAAAGATGAAACAGAACTAAGGAAGTATAAATAACTTATAATAAGGCCGGGCATGGTGGCTCATGCCTGTAATCCCAGCACTTTAAGAGGCCGAGGCGGGTGGATCACTTGAGGTCAGAAGTTCAAGACCAGCCTGGCCAACATGGTGAAACCCCGTCTCTACTAAAAGTACAAAAATTAGCTGGACGTGGTGGCACACACCTGTAATCCCAGCTACTTGGGAGGCTGAGGCAGAAGAATCGCTTGAACCCGGGAGGTAGAAGTTGCAGTGAGCCGAGATCACACCACTGCACTCCAGACTGGGTGATAGAGTGAGACTCCATCTCAAAATAATAATAATACATAATAATAAAATAATAAAGCTTACAATAACATGTTCTGGAAAAGAAAATAATGGCTAAAAGGTCAGCCAACACTTGAAGGGCTATTTGATTTCTTATGTTTACTAGATGTTTTCTATCAAATCTGAAGATAAAGGAGGACCAGCTTCAACCTATAGAAGCATTCAGCTTAGTCACATAGAAAAAAAAATTCCTAACTGCAGAAAGAGGTTAAATAATTCCTTTTCTTGAGACCCTGTCACCCAGCCTGGAGTGCAGTATTACAATCATGGCTCACTGAAGCTTTGAATTCCTGGGCTCAAGCAATCCTCCCACCTCACTTTCCTAAGTAGCTGGGGCTCCAGAAGCACATCACCACACTCAGCTGATTTTTTAATTTTTTGTAAAGACAGGGTCTCGCTCTGTTGCCCAGGCTGTTGAACTCCTGGCTTCAAGCAACCCTTTTGCTTCAGTCCTTGAGACTTTTAAGGATAAGATAGACAACGGTTGAGTGTCCCTAGCATTTGGATACACATGATTATGGATAATTCAGTCTCATTTCTATATTCACTGTATGAGAAACTGGCCTTGATTCTAATGCCATATGTTGATTACCCTCTATGTGTTCAGAAAGTCTAGTTTCCTCAAAACACACACATAATATGCAGTCTTCACGTTAAGAAAACATAAAGTTTGGAAATGATGTAACTTATAACTTTATCACAAGTACTTAAAACTTTGTCATAAGTACACTGTGAACTGCATTAACAATGATGAGGTTATTCATCTATTTCCAGTAATAGAGTATTAAATAATCATTTACTGAACACGTGATACATCTGTGGCAGGAATATGGGCAATGGAATCCATAGGCAGGAAATGATAAAGGGAACCAGGCAGCCACAACAGGCTATAACAGCAACCCCTCCCACTGACTCAGGTACCAAGCTGGCCAGGTCCAGGTATCAGCCTCAAGATAATCACAGTGATGTCACAGAAGCAGGATATGGGACATGATCTCCAATGCCCCTCACCTGTCAGCTGTGTGCCCAGAGGGAGGCTGGCCCCTTCCAATCTGTCCCCATCAGGGTATTGTTCTAATATGGTTTGGGTCTGTGTCCCCGCCCAAATTTCCTGTTGAATTGTAATCCGTAATGTTGGAGGCAGGGCCTGGAAGGAGGAGATCGGATCATGGGGGTGGTTTCTCATGAATGGTTTAGTGCCATCCCACTAGTGCTGTTCTTGTGACAGAGTTCTCAGGAGACCTGGCTGTTTAAAAGTCTCTCTTCCTTCTTCTCTGGCCATCTAAGATGAGCCTACTTACCCTTTGCCTTCTGCCATAATTGTAAGTTTCCTGAGGCTTCCCCAGAAGCTAAGCAGATGCCAGAATCATACTTTCTGTACTGCCTGCAGAACTGTGAGCCAATTAAACCTCTCTTCTTTATAAATTATCCAGTGTCTGTTATTTGTGTTTTTTCTTTATTTTTTAAAATTTTATTTTATTTTATTTTGAGACAGTTCTCACTCTGTCACCCAGGCTGGAGTGCAGTGGCACGATCTTGGCTCACTGTAACCTCGGCCTCCCAGGTTCAAGTGATTCTCCTGCCTCAGCCTCCCAAGTAGCTGGGATTACAGGCACATGCCACCATGCCCAGCTAATTTTTGTATTTTTAGTAGAGATGGGCTTTCACCATTTTGGCCAGGCTGGTCTCGAACTCCTGACCTCAGGTGATCCTCCCACCTCGGCCTCCCAAAGTGCTGGGATTATAGGCATGAGCCACCATGCCCGGCCTATCTTTTTTTTAAATAGGCAAGGAAGGCATTTCTTTGCAGCAGTGTGAGAATGGACTAATATATGGTCTCTCACCTGGAGTTGTGAAGGGTGGAGCCTGAAGAAGAGATAGAGGATTTTTGCCCGCAAAGCAAACTCAAAACTGGACCTCAGGTCCTGTGGCCCAATGGAGCAAGAGGCCAAGATACAGGAGACAGGGCTGAGAAACAAAAAGTGGAACAAGCAAAATAGAAAGTGGGCTGGCAAAATGCCACAGGTGCAGGCGGTGCCCTCTCTGGCTTTATGCAGGGGATGGACAGAGCCTGCTCCCTGGGATCACCAAGACCTGGCCTAAAACCTCAGCTCTAAGTCACCACTGGGGAAGCCTTGAGGAAAGCATTCAAACTCTTTGAGTATCAGAATCTTCATCTTCAAGAAGGAATACTGGAGGTCTTTATTATCCAAGGATCATTGGTACAGGTTTTAAAAAAAGAAAAACTTGAAGTGGCTTGAAAGAGGAACTACAGTTTGAGATTAAATAATTTAGGAGTGTTTTGGTTACAATCCTAGCTTTAGAAATGAAACTCAAAATTATAAATAAAAATTATTTTGTTTCATAGTTGAGAAAAACATAGGTTATCATTACAACAATGTGCTGATTTTTAGAACAAAGAAAAACTCAGATTTATTTACAGGGCACTGGCATATTTTTCCTGACAGCATTCTCACGCTGGAGGACTTCATCTGTTTTCCTAAGGGTCTCTCCTAATGCTTTCATATGCAAAGAATTCTCTTTCCATGATGTGGCATCCTCGTGTCAATACATTTCATGCAAGAACAGATAGGGAATGAACAAATATAATTGTTTTCAATTTTAATTTACTTTTAATTTTACATAGGTTTTAAAAATTTATAGAAATCATTTTTATTCCTGGAGATATGGTAGACTAGATATCTTAAAAAGCCTTCCGTCTCCACAAAACATTTAGGAATTCGGGATAAAATAGAACAAACGCCCCTTTAAGTGTAGAGCTGGCTCAGAATAAAGGCAGCTCCCAGAAGAGATGGAAAAGGGCCACAAGCTAGATGCTGCAGCTGCCTTGGGCCGGGCAAGGGCAGAACTGCCGCAGAGACATCTGCAGAAAGTGCCGAGCTGCAAAAGGCCCCCAGAGCTCCAAGGAAGGCTTGGAAAAAAATCCACCATGACAAAGTGAGATATTCAGTATGTCTGCTGCAGCTTGTGGTAGTGGGTATATGGTAAGTAAGTGGGAGATTTGGAGAAACATTGTTTGCTATGTATCTTTTCAGATACACACACACACACACACACACACACACACACACACACAGCCATATTCAAATGAGTTTATATGGTTCTGCAACTTCTTTTTTTTTCCTTTTCCTTTGTCTTTGAGATCTTTTGCACTATATGATTTGTCTCATTTTATAAAAAGCTGTATAATAGCATACATTATGGATATGATTTCATTTGAAATTACAAAAGAAACACTTTATACTTTCAATTTTCCTTACTTTGCTCACATTTATGGGTGATTTTCTGTTTCCTGCAATGAGCATGGAAGCTTCAAGGGGGAGGGATTTGTGTTGAGTTTTTTCAGTGAGATATCCCATATGCTTAGAAAAGTGCTTATCGTCTGGGCACGGTGGCTCAGGCCTGTAATCCCAGCACTTTGGGAGGGTGAGGTGGGTAGATCATTTGAGGTCAGGAGTTCGAGAGCAGCCTGGCCAACATGGTGAAACCCCGTCTCTACTACAAATATAAAAATTAGCCAGGCATGGTGGCACGTGCCTGGAGTCCCAGCTACTCTCCTCAGGAGGCTGAGGCAGGAGAATCGCTTGAACCTGGGAAGCAGAGGTTGCAGTAAGCCAAGATCACACCACTGCACTCCAGCATGGGCAACAGAGTGAGACTGTCTCCAAAAAAAAGAAAGAAAAGTGCTTATCACATAGTAGACTCTCAGTAAATATTTGCTGAATGAATTGAATTAATAAGCTATACTTGAACCCATCCCCCCACTGACTTGTAAGTTTGTGTGACTCTAAACAACACTGCAAACATTGTCATGCGCTGCCACATGCACAAAACTGCAGTCAAACATCCAAGTCTAAACAATGGTGGTCACTAGATGAAAAGCTGTATGGAAAATAACTTCTGCTGAGAAACAAGCAAGGCAATTTGCTAGTTGGTTCATGGTTTATTTATTGCAGATACATAATACATGATTATTAGAATTGCTGCTCAGATGTCTTCTAGGAAGTTTTAATATTGCTCTGCCGCTGAGAGTGTATGGGACTCCAAAACAGCCCCACATTCGCTTTCCTTTTGCTGTCGCCCTAGTTCATGTCCTTCCCAAAGAAGCATATTCCTTTTTCCTGTGGGACAAAGAAGGTAGAGAGGCCGGGAGCGGTGGCTCACGCCTGTAATCCCAGAACTTTGGGAGGCGGAGGCAGGTGGATCACTTGAGGTAAGGAGTTTGAGACCAGCTTGGCCAACAGGGCGAAACCTTGTCTCTACTAAAAATTCAAAAATTAGCTGGGCCTGGTGGCGAGCACCTGTAATCTCACCTACTCGGGAGGCTGAGGCAGGAGAATTGCTTGAACCCAGGAAGCGGAGGTTGCAGTGAGCCGAGATCATGCCACTGAACTCCAAACTCGGCGCAGAGAGACTCCATCTCAAAAAAAAAAGAAAAAAGTTAGAGAAAGTAAGCTCTTGGCTACTTCCCTTTTATTGCTTCAAGTTGAGCCTATGGGCAGAGCTGAGCATTTTGGAGAGATGGGAAATAATAAATGCCAAGATTCATGTGGAATTCAGATGGAAGTCAGCATCCTATGAATGAAAATAAATGTTTATTTTCAGTCAGGCAATGAAACGTGGAATGTGACATCAGATCAAAAGAATGACCACATAATGGAGACACAAGACCTGAAGGAGATTTCGTTTGTTTGTTTTTCTTAAGCCATGAAGTGAGAGGGACCTGCACAAGCCAAACACCTGGAGGGGGCTACTTTGCACCCGCTGTGCATTTTCCTAATTCACCATGGCTCCCCTTCCAATTTCACATTCAAGAACATTTCCCCAACAGTGTCCTACCTATAGCATCCCACGAACAACAGAAGGAATGACCAGGTATCTCATTTTAAAGAATGTGCTCTCTTTTATCTTAATATTGTTCTTCCTCAGGTGATTTGGGGAAGGACAATAATCAGTTCCCCACACCACACAACACCCCCCCTTTTTTTTTCAAGACAGTCTTGCTCTGTTGCCCAGGCTGGAGTGCAGCGGCATCATCTCGGCTCACTGGAACCCCCGCCTCCCGAGTTCAAGTGATTCTCATGCCTCAGTCTCCCAAGTAGCTGGGATTACAGGTGCCTGCTGTCATGCCCGGCTAATTTTTGTATTTTTAGTAGAGATGGGGTTTCACCATATTGGCCAGCCTGGTCTCGAACTCCTAACCTCAAGTGACCCGCCCCCTTCGGCCTCCCAAAATTCTGGGATTATAGGCGTGAGACACTGCGCCCAGCCTATTCCCTTTTTCTAAGGGCAGTGGCACCTCCTTCCAAAAGTTAGATTTGAAATGGTCCTACCCAGACCCTACCTCCTATCCAATGACTGAAGGGAAATAGTATCTCGGGGTTTCCCTCCTAGAAGGTGTGGTTTTGAGCATCATAACCGACTTCCCTGCAGGAAGAACAGCTCCCCTGCTCCATGGGCTATTGGGATTTCCTCTCCCCTGTCTAAGCCGTCAGTGATCCCAGTCCCCCGGGGATAAACACAAACACAAACATCTGAGAGCAGCTTTTGAGCCGCCTTCCTAACTGGCCCCATCTATCACAGGGCTCCTCCCTCCCCACTGTGCTCCAGGTCCACCATCACACCATTGTGTGTCCTGAGCATGCCCTGCTCTCTGAGCTGCTGGGTCATTGCATGCCTGGGCTCGGATGCCCTCCATTTTTGTTAGCACGTAGGCCTAGCCCTATCATTTGCAGGACTGAGATTTGAGTACAAAGGGAAGCCTACAGACGGTATGTTCAAATATTTAAAAGTGATAGATCATGTTACCGACTTTTAAATAAAATGTATTCTATCCTTCCGCCTTGTCAAATACGCCTTCATAACAACTAAACGAAAAACAATGTGTAGGCCCGGCACGGTGGTTCATGCCTGTAATCCTGTCCGTGGCACTCGAACCAGAGCAACTCCATTTTGAGTGAGGGCTGGAAAATGAGGCCGGAACTTGCTGGGCTGCATTCCCAGAAAGTTAGGCATTCTGAGCCTCTAGATGTTTATGGTTAAGGGAACAAATTAATAATGTTTACTCAACAGACCCAGACTTAGGAGTGTCTAGATATCCCAATATCTGGAGAACAAAAGCATTCCTAATTTTGCTTTAAAGATAATATTATAGATTCTTGCAAAATATAGTAATTAAGAAAATTAATCCTTTATCACAAACCCTTATAGCAGAGTACATCTCCCCATATACACCAGTATTGTACCTAGGGTGGGCGCGTACCTCCTCTTACTTTCAAGAACGTCCTACTCTGTCTATGGAGTAGCTGGTTCTTTCACCACTTTACTCTCTTAATAAACTTATTTTTACATTGCACTGCGGACTCGCCCTGAATTCTTTCTTGCGGGAGATCCAAGAACCTTCTCCTGGGGTCTAGATCGGGACCGCTTTCCTGTAACAATCCCAACACTTTGGGAGGCCAAGGCCGGTGGATCAGTTGAGGTCAGGAGCTCGAGACCAGCCTGGCCAACATGGCAAAAACTCGTCTTTACTAAAAATACGAAAGTTAGCCAGGCGTGGTGGTCAGCGCCTGTAATGCCAGCTACTCGGGAGGCTGAGACAAGAGAATCGTTTGAACCCGGAAATTGGAGGTTGCAGTGAGCCGAGATGGCACCATTGCATTCCAACCTGGGTGACAGAGCAAGTCTCTGTCTTAAAAAAAAAAGAAAAGAAAAGAAAAACAGTGTGTAAATCTGTGGTTTTGGGCAAAATATCAAAGACAGCTGAATTTAATCACTATTGTATTATGGCTAGATGTTCTGCTAATGGGGCAGGATGTTCAGATGAATAATAAAATAATAAAATAATACATAATTCAAAAATCATTTATTTGTTTCAGAATATTTTTCTTACTGTCATTTCAGCAAAATTCTTAAATATTTATAAATAATTTAAAAATAATCTGTATTCTACTGACAGTGATTTAAAAGATTAAAAACAAAATGTAACGGTATTCTAACTATAAAATTTCAATATATCCCATCCCTGTTTGAGACATCAGCGTTTACAGATAACCTTTGTTGAGTGTTTAGCATGTGGTAGGCACATACTAAAGTGTTTTCCTTGCATTAGTGTATCTAATCTGCATAATTATGAAATAGGTGCCATTGTTATCCCCATCTTATAGCTGAGGCAACTGAGGTTCAGGGATAAAGTAATAAAATTGCCTGGGGTCACGTCCCAAAAAATCTGAATAGATTTTTATTAAGAGAACAAAATAAAGGAAGTTAAAAGTAACAAAATTAAAAGTATTTTTCACATCCTTAAGAGTTAACTTTCTTTAAAAAAAGTCTTCAAAATTTTTTAAAATTCTTGAAATTTAAAGACATAATTAAAAGGCAAAATTCAAATTATAAAAAATGAACATCCAAGTTTTAAATAAAATTATTTAAAGGGAACTGCAATATTTATTGACCTTTAAACATGTAAGTGTATTTAAGAAAGTATATTATGAAAGTAAAATTATTAACAAGTCTAGTGTTTCATGTCCATTTATTGCCAACATAAAGAATCAGCCTATTTCATGCATGCTATATCGAGACCTACATGTAAACAAACCTAAGAAAAATATGAATTGTTTCATGGTGCAAACATTGCTCAGTGACGGCATGCAATTTTTGTAAATACCACACGAGCACGTCAGTACCTCCAACAATGGGGCAGAACGCAATGAGCAAGAAACTGGATTCTTGCCACTACTTACTGGAAATATTTTATTACACAAGAATATTGTTTAGTCATGCTGAGAAGAAGGATTTGACAAGTTAACCCATCTTTTCTCTTACTTAGGTATTTTCCAACAAATTCTTGTCACACTTTGAAGGAATCAATCCACAAACCTCTATGGCATGGAGAAGCTGGCAGCCCTTGTTTTGAGGTCGTGGGGCAAGAGACACGAAGAAGCAGGTCCCTGAGCAGTACCAGTCCCAGCTGCACATATTTAGGCTTCTGGGCTAAGCTCTGGGTCCTGAGTGGTGGGGGTGGATTAGGGCTTGCGTTTTTTACATAGATTTTTTTTTTTGTACTCTTGTGATATGTGGGATACTAAAGTGCACGTCCCAGGGCTGGGCCTAGATCTTGCCTAGATCTGAGGTTGGTACTGGGTGCATGAAAAACTCCTGTGATTATTATTATTATTATTATCATTATTATATTTGAGACAGAGTCTCATTCTGTCACCCAGGCTGGAGTGCAGTGGTGCGATCTCGGCTCACTGCAGTCTCCGCCTCCTGGGTTCAAGTGATTCTCCTGCCTCAGCCTCCTGAGTAGCTGGGACTACAAGCGTGCGTCACCATGCCCAGCTAAATTTTTGTATTTTTAGTAGAGACGGAGTTTCACCATGTTAGTCAGGATGGTCTCGATCTCCTGACTTTGTGATCCACCCGCCTTGGCCTCCCAAAGTGCTGGGATTACAGGCGTGAGCCACCGCACCTGTTCACTCCTGTGATTATTGAAGAATCACCAACGGTGGAGACCTCCTCTGTGAAGGAGGGCCCGTGGCACCTCGGCCACAGCTCTAAAATAGGGCTCAAGGCATGACATTGAAACTACTTGTTGCTCCTACTTGATTTTACTTGATTTTACTTGATGAGTCCTCTCTACTGACACCATGGGTTGCTGTGGTTGTGGAGGTTGTGGTGGCTGTGGTGGCTGCGGTGGTGGCTGTGGTGGTGGCTGTGGCAGATGCACCACCTGCAGGTGCTACCGGGTGGGCTGCTGCTCCAGCTGCTGCCCCTGCTGCCGTGGCTGCTGTGGAGGCTGCTGCAGCACTCCCGTGATCTGCTGCTGCCGCCGCACCTGCAGCTCGTGTGGCTACAGCTGTGGGAAGGGCTGTTGCCAGCAGAAGTGCTGCTGCCAGAAGCAATGCTGTTGCTAGGAGGGACCCCAGCCTCTGGGCAGGTGCCCTTTCTTGGGCTTGGATTTGTAGACTTTGTATACTTTCATCTCCTCTGGTTCACCTAAATATTGAGTAGTGGTGGCCAGGCGCCGTGGCTCACGCCTGTAATTCCAGCGTTCTAGGAGGCCGAGGCAGGTGGATCATTTGAGATCAGGAGTTCGAGACCAGCCTGGACAACATGATGAAACCCTGTCTCTACTAAAAATACTAAAATTGGCCAGGCCTGGTGGTGAATGCCTGTAGTCCCAGCTACTCTGGAGGCTGAGGCAGGAGAATCACTTGAACCCAGGAAGCGGAGGTTGCAATGAGCTGAGATCTCACCATTGCACTCCAGCCTGGGCAACAAGAGTGAAACTCCATCTCAAAGAAAAAAATACATATATATAATAAATATATATTTTATATATATATATATATATATATATATATAGAGAGAGAGAGAGAGAGAGAGAGAGAGAGAGAGAGAGCAAGAGAGAGCAGCATGTGATTTCATATAAATACACCTGATTAGAAGTCACAAGCCCAAATTCAAGTCCATGCTCTGCCACAGCAGTCAGCCACAAACAAGTCAGTCAGCCTCCCAGAGTCTTGCTTATTCACCTATAAACTAATAAGTTTGAACTAAGAATTAGTAAGGAGCTTTTCAGTTTTAACAACATGTAAATCTATTGAGATCTATTGAGTTCGCAGAACTAAACTCACAGGCTCTCCAGCCTCACGCTCTGAAGATTTCTCTTATGTATCTTATGCTTTTACATATATATACCTTTGCTATAGTGGGCATTAAAATTTGTTAACACGAAAAATCACCTTTAATCTCATATGATTCATCAGTTATAATCTGCACTGCAACAAAAACAGGCCGTAGCTTACCTGATGAAAGTTCAAAAGTTTACATTCATGAGCTCAGTGGAATGAAATAACGATTACTAATATATTCCATTCTTTCAAAACATTTACTAAATGTGGAAATTCTGTGCTTATTTACCTGCTTATATTCGTTGTATACTATATATTGGCTACAGCTTCTAGTGTTCCCTTATCTTCCTAAATATAATTTAATAAAACACTAGAAAAATATTGTATTTCACTGTGTTTGTTTTGATTTGTTTTTGTCTTTTTTGAGGGAGGGGTGAGAGTGATGAAGCTGATGTTTGGCAACACTTATTGCAAACTTTAGGAAGGTTGTAAGATGAAAGACAAGGGATATTCGGAATTTATTAGGGTAATATTAGCTACAACGAAGCTTTTCTTGTTGCTGTCAACTATCCTGGGCAGTTTTAGGTGGGCAGGAGGGGATGAGGATTCGGGCAGCTATTCTTCACTCAGTTATTTAGGGATCTAGGCTGAAGACAGCACTGGCATTTTCAAGATATGGCTTCTAAGATGGCTTAGTGCGTCCCCAGTCTATAGGTAGAAAAGAAAAGAACAGATAGCCCAACACTTCTTAAGCGCTGTGGCTTGACAGTGACACAGCTTGTCATTGGTTAGAAGTAACCACATGGTCCTGGCCAGGGTTGGTGGCTCATGCCTGTAATCCCAGCACTTTGGGAGGCGGAGGTGGGTGGATCACCTGAGGTCAGGAGTTCGAGCCCAGCTTGGCCAACCTGGAGAACCCCCATCTCTACTAAAAAATAAAAAGGAATTAGCTGGGCATGGTGGCACGTGCCTGCAACCCCAGCTACTCAGGAGGCTGAGGCAGGAGAATTGCTTGAACCCGGGAGGCAGAGGTTGCAGTGAGTCAAGATTGTGCCACTGCACTCCAGCCTGGGTGACAGAGTGAGACTCTGTCTCAAAAAAAAAAAAAAAAAAAAAAGGAAGTAATCACAGTAATCACATGGTCTTGTCCAGTCCATAGCTAGACTGACACTTCCCCAGCAACAACCTTGTCATATGAAAAGGAAAAGCATACATTTCTCATGGACAGTTAGCTGTGTCTACCATATAAAGCTCACGTTCTAGTAAAACTCCTAGCTGATTTGACTGCAGTGTGTTTAGAAGGGGATACCCTGAGGTAACTCTGGTGGGTGTTTAATTCCCATTTGTATCACATGAATTTCCCCTGGAAGTAGTGAAACTGGTCCCTGCAGTAGATCATTCTTCAAAGAAAAGTTTTTCTTTTTTTTTTTTCTTTTTGAGATAGCATCTCACTCTGTCACCCAGGTTGGAGTGCAGTAGTGTGATTACGGCTCACTGCAACTTCCGCTTCCCAGGCTCAAGCAATCCTCCCACCTCAGCCTCTTGAGTAGCTGGGACCACAGATGTGTGCTACCATGCTTGGCTTATTTTTTGTATTTTTTTGTAGAAACAGGGTCTCACCACATTGCCCAGGCTGGTCTCAAACTCCTGGGCTCAAGTGATTCACCTGTCTGGGCCTCCCAAAGTGCTGGGATTACAGGCGTGAGCCACCGTGCCAAACACAAGTTTTTCTAATACCATTAACACTGTTCTCATTTGAATTAACTAGGTAGTTTTGATTTGTTGTTTAAAATGTTGCATGTCATTCTAGAGTTACAAGCACAAACATGGTTCAGATTCTTATAAAAGGATCTAGATATTCTAGAGAAAGTTTCCTCCGTACCATTTAAATGAGATCATAGTGGTGGCTATGGTGAACTCTCTTGCTCAATAGCCATTTCCATGTCCCTCTAGTATTTGCTTTTTTTCCATATAGCAGAGGCTGAGATGATTAGAAATTACATGGCACAGAATTCTCTGCATCTGGGATCTGGATATTGCAAGAATTAGATCAACCCCTGAGGGGTATAAAAGGCAGAAATGAGGTGAAGGTCATTTTCCTCCACCTTTTATCTGTTGTTGCTGATAAGGAAGATTAGGGTGGAGGAGTTGAGTTTTCTGCACTGCAGCAATGTTCCTGGGTCCAGATAGCGTCATGCAAGTTAATAACCAGTTGCAGAGGCAGCTGTAGTCAGCTGGGCACCCACCACCCCACCCAACCAATTTTTGTATTAGCTGGGCGTGTTGGCAGGTGCCTATAATCCCAGCTACTTGAGAGGCTGAGGCAGGAGAATCACTTCAGCCCAGGAGGCGGAGGTAAATTCAGTGTTGTAGCATTCAATCACTAACCCGGGGTGTGCAGAGTGGTGATGACAACAGCGGCAATGGTTCCTGGACCGCAGCCGTACTGGGGTGTTTGTGAACTTAATCGTTCCAGAGGTGGCTTCTTGATGTCCCCGCCTTTTTTCTTGACAGAGTCTCGCTCTCGTTGCCCAGGCTGGAGTGCAGTGGCGTGATCTTGGCTCACTGCAACCTCCGCCTCCCAGGTTCAAGTGATTCTCCTGCCTCAGACTCCCAAGCAGCTGGGATTACAGGCGTCTGCAATCACACCCGGCCAATTTTTGTATTTTTAATAGAGACGGGGTTTCACCATGTTGGCCAGGCTGGTCTCAAACTCCTAACCTCAGGTGATCCACCCACCTTGGCCTCCCAAAGTGCTGGGATTACAGGCTTGAGCCACAGTGCCCAGCCTTCCCTGCCTTTTTGGCTACTGCAGGGACAGCGGCATCTCCCGGGCCAGTTCAGCAGTCGGGACCTGCGAAGCATTTCTGCAGATAAGTCTAGAGGCTGCTTTTCTAGCCCTTCCAGCAATTTTGTACACATGATTCTCCCATTACATCTCTTCCCAATTCCATAGCTAGAATTTCAGTTTTCTGCAACTAACTGACACTAGTCTATGAAACGCCCTTCTATCTTTTATACCAAATTCTAGCCACGCTCCAAAGCTGTGTGGAATCCTGGCTCCCAGCCCTTCTTGATGGAATCTTCCTTTTTCTGAACTCCAAGGCTTTTGCTGTTTTGGCACGCCATGTGACAAGTTATTTGCATACTTTTCCATCCTTGGTTTTAGCAACTTTTAGTTTTAGCTCTTTTGGTTGCAGAAAAATAGAAACCCACTAAAAACAATATGAAAGGATAATAATATAGAGGCATCTCATAGAAAACAAAGACAGAGTCTGCAGTCAGTTTTCATAGGGTAGAAATTAAGACGTAAAATGCCATTGAGAAACCAAGCAGTCACCCTTTCTCTACCACCCTCTAAAGCTGTGTGGTCTCCTACCTCCTCTTCCTGCATATTTCTCCTCTCTGTCTCTCCTCCTCCTTCTGTTTGTATAGATTGGTTTCTCTGTTTCTCCCAGCAGCGTTCATGATTTCATTGTATTGTATTGTATTTTTATTATTTTTATTTATTTTTCTTTTTCTACAGAAGGGTCTCACTCTGTCGTTCAGGCTGGAGTGCAGTGGCATGATCATAGCTCACTACAACCTCCAACTTCTGGGCTCAAGCAATCCTTCCGCCTCAGCCTCTTGAGTAGGTGGGGATTTAGGTATGTGCCACCATACCTGGCTAAATATTTTTGTGGACATGGGGTCTCCAGGCTGGTCTCAAACTCCTCACCTCAGATGATTCTCTCACCTCAACCTCCCAAATCACTGCCATTACAGGCATAAGCCACCGTGCCTGGCTGTTATTTTTATTTTTTGTAGGGATGGGGTCTTTCTATGTTGCCCTAGCTGGTCTTGAATTCCTGGCCCCAAGCACTCCTCCCACCTCAGCCTCCCAAGTAGCTGGGATTATAGGTGTGAGCCACCAAGCCTGGTTAAGCTCATGAATTTAAATATGGTAGAGACTTCTAGTTGCCTACCCAATACCCTTGGTCTCGTTCTCCCCAGTTTTAACTGGGCACAGATCACTTGGAATAAATACTACCTTTCCCATGCTGCTACATGGCTACATTCTAGGCAATGAGATGGCTCTTTGAAAGAAAGAGGGTGAGCCTTTCTCTTCTTTGATCCTTCTTGTTTTATTTATTTTTTCTTCTTCTCTTCCTTTATCCTTCTGAGTGGGGAGCAGATATAATTGTTGGAGCTATGGTTGCCACATTTTGAATGTGAGAATGAAGAGATCAGATGAAGAGATGCACTGAAAGGATCTCTGAGGAAGTGGAGCTCCCACTCCAACTCTTGAGTACTGTACTAGTCTGTTCTCATGCTGCTAATAAAGACATACCTGAGACTGGGTAATTTATAAAGGAAAGAGGTTTAATTGACTCACAGTTCCACAAGGCTGGGGAGGTCTCAGGAAACTTTCAATCATGGTGGAAGAGGAAGCAAACACATTCTTCTTCACATGGCAGCAGCAAGGAGAAGAATGAGCAAAAGGGGGAAAGCCCCTTATAAAACCATCAGATCTTGTGAGAACTCACTCACTATCAGGAGAACAGCAGCATAGGGGTAACCACCCCCAAGATTCAATTACCTCCCACCAGGTCCCTCCCACGACACGTGAGGATCATGGGAACTATAATTCAAGATGAAATTTGGGTGGGGACATGTCCAAACCACATCAAGTACTTATCATCTGACTTTGTGAATAACTTTCTATCTTAAGCCATTTTTATTTTAAATTTCTTTTTGTGTGCAACTAAGCTTAATCTTAACAGATACACATGCCCTCCCATTTCATGCATACTGGGGAATAACTAATTTCTCTTGGTTTCAATTCCAAGCTCCTAGAGAGATTGGAAGAGCATAGCTTCTGTATCTACCAGTATTCCGATCAACAATGGCCAGGGGAGCAAAGTTCCATAACACAAATGGAATACAGAGGATCTATGCATGTAAGTTACGGGGGGTTGTTTTTACAGAAACAGGCACGTGTGTTGGGCAGATACTAAAAAGTGGTCATCATTCTCCTCTTCAGTTATAAGCTAATTCTCTTTTCAGCTTTATACTGAAATATCTTCCCCTTCATCACATACAGATTAAATTTCTACATTTTTACAGAATTCTTCAGATACTTCCTTTTAGCCACAAATGTAAGGAGTACTAAACCCGAGTGGAACTATGTTATGCCCACTAGCAAAAGCATGCAGCTTACTCAGTTTTGGTCAAATGGCAAAGACTCTGGAAATCAGACACTTGATTCTCACAGTCAGGTGGAGTCCAACCGATCCAGTTCCCTACATATAAAATGATTCCCTAAACAGTTCTTCAATTCAACATCTTATGAAGACAGCAAAAAGATTTGAAATGGCACAACCCACATTCTAAGGTAAGTAACTACCACCTCCCACTCATTCAAGTCAGTAATAAATATATAATTTATGTATTATAATATATAGTTATAGAATGAGATAATTTATATGACTTAGTGGGAGGGTAAATTTTAGTTATTAATTTTTATAAAATAAAAAATATATTTTTTTAGAATATTATATAATTATAGTAGAAATCTCAACCATGCAGAAGTATATAAACCATACAATGGAAGTGTCTCCTGTCTCTCAACCCAGTTGTATTCTTTCAGTTATTCTCGGTGTTTTGTGTGTTGTGTTGATAGGTGGGTGTTTTTTGTTTTTGTTTTAAGATGGCGTCTCACTCTCTTGCCCAGGCTGGAGTTCAGTGGTGTGATCTTGGCTCACTGCAACTACTGCCTTCTGGGTTCAAGTGATTCTCCTGCCTCAGTCTCCTGAGTAGCTGGGATTACAAGCACCTGCCACCACACCCAGCTAATTTTTTTGTATTTTTAGTAGAGACAGGGTTTTGCCATATTGGCCAGGCTGGTCTCGAACTCCTGGGCTCAAGTGATCCTCCCACCTCGCCCTCCCAAAGTGCTGGGATTACAGGGGTGAGCCACCATGCCCAGCCAATAGGTGGGTTATTTTTAATCCTTTTATACAAATCCTTTCATACAAAGGATTTCACATTTCACTGAGGTCCAGTAACTGGACCCCCTAGTCTGGAGCTACTGTTTTGGTGTCCATTACCAGGGATGCCCCTTGTACCAGGCTGTGTGCGCCCCCCACACTGCTGCAGGGTGGAGCGCTGCTCTCTAAGCCTACTACGCCTGAGCTTTTGGCCCACACTGACTGCACCGCTGCATACATTATTTCACCATTCCCAACAGCACTCACTGAATCTATGCTCTGGGCTGAGCGGGGGATTACACAGAAGCAGAAGGAAGGCGCTGTAGAGATTAGAGCTGCCTAATGTCCCAATCTTTTCTCCTAGACATATTGGTTTGTATTTCCACCCACTTGAACTCATGCATAACTGAGTGACTTTTTTGGCCAATGAAATGTGAACAGAAGTGATGTGGGTCGCTTCTGGGCAGAAACATATAGATCCAGTATGTGGCTCACCACATTTTTGTACCCTGCCTCTGTGACTGTGGAAGCCTGGATCAAGAAGCTGCCTCTGCCAGTCTAGGTCTAGGTCTAAGTCTAGGTCTTTCAGTAACTACCATGACCCCATTTAGATCAGGATGGTCAGTCAGCATAAGCAAGAACTTTTGTATTGTTTTTGTTTTTTGAGATGGAGTCTCCCTCTGTCGCCCAGGCTGGGGTGCAGTGGTGCAATCTCAGCTCATGGCAACCTCCACCCCCCAGGTTCAAGTGATTCTCTGGCCTCAGCCTCCCAAGTAGCTGGGATCACAGGTATGTGCCACCACGCTTGGCTACTTTTTGTTTTTTTGGTACAGATGAGGGTTTTGCCATGTTGGCCAGACTGATCTCGAACTCCTGACCTCAGGTGATCCTCTCGCTTTGGCCTCCCAAAGCACTGAGATTACAGGCGTGAGCCACCGCAGCTGGCCAGAACTTTTGTATTTTAAAGCTTATGCCAACTGATAGTCTTTTCTCAAGGAGCTCACCAGCTAGTGGAGAGGCAATGTGGAACCACAGTCTAGAGATGTAAAGTACTGCACATGGCCAAGTAAGTGTTCAAGGGCTTAAATAAAATATGATAATCTCCTCATCCAATCTCTCTCCTATTGCTATCTTTCAGTCTGGTAGCATTAGCCAAAGCTCTCACATGTCTTAGGTGGGCTATCTCTAAATGGGTTAGTCTGCAACACTGGAATAATATGACATAAACATTTTCTTTTGTGTATGTGAGCATACGGCTTGAAATAAACTCTAATATTTGCAGCAGAGGAAATACCTTTCTCCACATCTCATACGTGTTCATTTTCTTGTTGAACAATTTCAAAATAAGAAACTTCCATAGCTGGTAATAATATCGATAGAACAGGAAAATATAGTTTAGCTGGATATTTTTGTTTTTACTTTTTAGAAGCCATACTAATAAAGGAGTATATTAAAGGAGCTTATCGTAAGCCTATCTTCTTACATAAATTTATCTCATAGATTTTTTTTTCTGCTTTCCTTCCTTCACCTCATCATAATATGGAATTATTTTCTCATTTCCCATCATAGTCATCATAATAATGTCCTACCCTATTGGACTCTGAACTATTTTCCACTATTCATTTTTTATTAGCGTTAAATTTTAACCAGAAGATTGGGATAAAAGGCAACATAGTACCATGCAAGCATAGCCACTTTGACAACGTTTCTGAGCCAGGGGTGACCATGACCTGCTGCGAAGGATGGACATCCTGCAATGGATTCAGCCTGCTGGTTCTACTGCTGTTAGGAGTAGTTCTCAATGCGATACCTCTAATTGTCAGCTTAGTTGAGGAAGACCAATTTTCTCAAAACCCCATCTCTTGCTTTGAGTGGTGGTTCCCAGGAATTATAGGAGCAGGTCTGATGGTGAGTGATATTTATTTGACTTGATGTGAAGAAGGGCCTGCCTATTTCACCAAAATCCTAAAAGCTGTCTTCCAGTCTTGCAGTTAACTATGTCTTGGCTTATGATAAAATTTGGAGCAGTAGTATGGCATTAATTTATATTGGTCATCAGTGAAGAATGGTAATTTAAATAAAGTACACTATGTGGTATAGGATAGAGAGCTGGGCAAAAAAATAAATTAATTAGTAGAAGTTGGCTGGGTTATTATCTCTCACATTTCTGTACAGGTAGGGCTGCTCTTTCAAGCTTTGTGGTTAGAGTTAGGGACCTTCTGAATTAATTCCTTCAACTTTCCATTGCTCCATACCAGTCTCTAAGTATTTACAGAAAATGCAATAGGAGTGACAGGTTGCTTAATAGGGATGAGTAGAAACATTCCCATGTATGATGACTAGCCTGGGTGATGGTAATTACGAGGCATGAATGCTGCATTGCCTGTACCTGAAGGGAGTTGGGCTAAGAGACATGGACTTAAAATCCTGGGTCTCTGGCCTCAAGGAATTTTTGACTCAGCTATTATATAGATCCTAGGACATCGAGCTTGTTGAATAGTTTGGTGATTGTTACTAGGTCTACCTCTGTTGAAATCTGCAGCAGAGCAGTGCAGGATGGAACTCCTAAATATAACTGACATGAATCACCCGAGGCACTTGCAATAGTTAGATTTACGGATTTTCTCCTGAGAATTCTGGGTGCAGTAGGCCTGGGTAGGACGCATTTGTATAGGGAAAACGGCTTTCAAATATGGCAGAATACCTCAGCTATGGTTCTGCCTCCCATATACCACTGCAAGCAAATCATTTATCCTATGGTTTTGTTTCCATATGTGTAAAATGGGGATGTGGATGTTGAAGTTGATAATTCAGCATCCAAGAGGCTTGTTTTTGTTTGTTATGCCACTAGGGGGTTTAGTTAGTGCCAAATAAATGAATGTGTGTGTGTGCCTGTGTGTGTGTGTGTGTAAGACAGAGAGAGAGAGAGAGAGTAAGCTGTAAGGACTGATATTATCAGTGTTTTAGAGATAATAAAACACGGAGGTGACTTTTTTTTAACTTTTTTTTTTAAGTTTTCAGTTCAGAGGTACATGTGCAGGTTTGTTACATAGGTAAACGTGTATCTTGGGGGCTGGTTGTACAGATTATTTCGTCATCCAGATATTAAGCCTACTACCCATTATTTATTTTGCCTGATCCTCTCCCTCCTCCCACCCTCCACTCTCCACCCTCCAACAGGCACCAGTGTGTGTTGTTCCCTTTTATGTGCTCATGTGTTCTCATCATTTACCTCCCGCTTACAAGTGAGAACATGCGGTTTTTGGTTTTCTGTTCATGCGTTAGTTTAAGGATAATGGCCTCCAGCTCCATCCATGTCCCTGCAAAGGTCATGATCTCATTCCTTTTTTATGGCTGTGGAGGTGATTTTTAAAGAAATTCAGGACATAGTTTTCTACTTGAATCACTGATTCTGAATTATGATCAGTTACTGCTGCTGGTATTATCCCCAGATTTACAAAAACACTCTTCCTTTACCATCACAAAGAATCTGTTCCTCTGCTTTAGGTAGAAAGATCTAATTAAAGAAAAAGCTTTTGGAAAGTTTTGGGCTATTTCTTCACACTGCCATGAATGCTCTCTTCCAGGCTGAGAGACAGAAAACACATTGCAACTCAACAGCATGAAGCAACTGTACATCCGTGTGTCTGTTTTCTTCCCTGTAGAAGGCTTCTCTCTGCTTGAGTAGTAGAAGCCTCTTTTGCATTTGCTTACACCAGAAGCCAGGAGCAGCTGGCTGAGCATGACTTAACGATAGCAATTTCCATGAAGCTCCTAGAAGTTCCTGAGTTAAGACAATCCACTTAGAATAACACATGCAGCTTTAGATATAAATTGGCTCTGCCACAAATCCCATGAGATTAAAAAAAATGTATTAGCATTAAAGGAGTCGGAGGTGGCGATGACACATACCTACATCTCCTGTATTCTTCATTTTAGGATGGTGGCGGGTGTGGCAGGGAGAGAAGAGAAAGAGAAAGGCAGAGACAGACAGAAGGACATAAGTGCTCATTTATTGGCCGTCTGCCAAAGGCCAGCTACTGGGTTCATACATTACCTTGTTATCTCATTTAGTCTCTATAATAATGTGTGCATTTATTATCACTTGAATTTTATAGGCCAGCAGATAGAAAGTTAGGAATGTTAACAAGGTCACCTAATGGATGTGAAATTCCAGATTTATCTGACGTCAAAACTCTGTTTTTCCACCAGTGCTAGTACCGTAGTCCTCAACACCTGTCTCAGGGCTGCCAGAGGTGAAAGATATAATCTATAAATTAATCCATAAAGTCAAGTGACCAGGAAACTGAGTCACAGAAAGATTATAGAAACTCGTGGAACAGTTTCAGAGAATCTGAACTTCCTCGTTCTACAGCTAAGTTTACTTTATCACCCTCAGTAAGTATTATCAAAGATATAAACACCAGACTATCTCTATTATTCTGTATTATAGAATGTCATTAAAGCATCAGACAACTCTTTGAAAAGTCCAATATGAACTTTATAGACAGAGGCTATGCCCACAAGCAAACAGGTGGGTGGTAAAAAGGGCTCAGACTACAGGTATATTTTCATGATCCTCAGATAGATAGAGAATGTGGAAGAAAGTGTTTTTCAAAGGAATTTATTAATATGTCCTTTATAATATCCATGAAAATACTCACTAGTTCAAAATACTGAGCTTTCAATATACTAGTAACTACACAAAAAAGTTAATAGAGAAGAAATCACTGCCTGTGATAAGCACTTTGGTCATAGTTCTTGAAATCTTTCCAGAATTACTGTAGTGTTTCAAATTAGTATTGTTACCAAAAATGGGATTTTGCAGGAAGTAGATAATTATACAAACTATGGAATTCATTATTGATTACATCATGAAATATATTCATTTTATGGCTTCATGACTTACTTAAAACGGAGGCGGACTTTTCATCTTCTAAAACTATGACTAAGTAAAAATGTGATGTACTTAATTATCTTTAACTTTAAATGGAAAAATCAATACAAATGTTATTTGTTCGAGTATTTTTAAAAAGATCTCAAAATGTTTCCTTGAAAACATATAAACAGAAAGGCCATTTTATTTTATATGAGGTTGTGAGCCTGATCTTAATCATGCTTATTCATTGAGTTCACTTATTAGATAATAGTAACTCATCAAAGTCAACTATTGAAGTCTTAATGGAGAACAAATTGTTGAAAGCTGGCCAGGCACGGTGGCTCATGTCTGTAATCCCAGCACTTTGGGAGGCCGAGGCGGGCGAATCACGAGGTCAGGAGATCAAGACCGTCCTGGCTAACACGGTGAAACGCCGTCTCTACTAAAAATATAAAAAATTAGCCAGGCTTGGTGGTGGGCTCCTGTTGTCCTAGCTACTCAGGAGGCTGCGGCAAGGGAATGGTGTGAACCCAGGAGGTGGAGCTCGCAGTAAGCTGAGATCGCGCCACTGTACTCCAGCCTAGGTGACAGAGCAAGACTCCATCTCAAAAGAAAAAAACAAATTGTTGAAAGTTAAACAGATGAGAAGACATTAGGCATGACAAACATTTGTAAAATATACTTTTGTGGGTTTTCTTTGGTTTTTTTTGGTCATTGTTTTTGAGACAAGGTCATGCTCTGTCACTCAAGCTAGAATGCAGTGCTGTGAGCACAACTCACTGCATCCTCAACCTCCTGGGATCAAGTGATCCTCCCACTTCAGCCTCCTCAGTAGCTGGGACTATAGGCATGCACCACTATTGCCCAGCTTATCTTAAATTTTTTTTTGGCCAGGTATGGTGGCTTATGCCTGTAATCCCAGCATCTTGAGAGGCTGAGGTGGGTAGATCACCTGAGGGCAGGAGTTCGAGACCAGCCTGGCCAACATGGAGAAACCCGTTTCTATCAAAAAATACAAAAATTAGCCAGGCATGGTGGTGCATGCCTGTAATCCCAGCTACTCGGGAGGCTGAGGCAGGAGAATCACTTGTACCCAGAGGCAGGAGTTGCAGAGAGCCGAGATTGTGCCACTGCACTCCAGCCTAGGTGACAGAGTGAGACTCTGTCTCAAAATTTTTTTTTTTTTTTTGTAGATAGGGTCTCACTATATTGCCCAGGTTGGGGTCAAACTCCTGGGTTCAAGCAAGCCTCCTGTCTTGGCCTCCCGAAGTGCCAGAATTACAGGCATGAGCCACCATGCCTGGCTGCAAAATATAGTTTTGATATTTGTAATGAGCTATGACTTTGTGTGTTACTCTCATGTTCAAGTTCTTAGAGGACTCCCAAAAGTCTGAATTTCATCACAGGATTTTTAATGGTCTGAAGTTTTTCCACACTTCATTTGTAAAATCATGTAACTTCTCAAACTAAATACAATTAGGGGGCTCTGTAAGAAAAAATCAACAATATTACTTTCCTTTTTAAAAACAAAAGACTAGCAAGACTTTTAATTTTACAAAAACTCAGGCATTCAAATATGCTTAGGAAATGAAGAGAAAGTGTGTTCTCATAATTACTCATTTTGGCAGGAGATTATCTGGAAAATTTATATATAATTCATACACACACACACACACACACCATTCACAGTTTTAGTGTCTGTCTAAAGAGCCCCTCCAATTTCCGGAGCTCTGAATGGGAAAGCGGTTGAAACCGCAGCGAGTTGTCAAATCACCAGTAACAGCATTACAAAGATGTGTTAATACGCCTTGAAGTCGGTGGGGTGGTGACTTATACACTGTAAGTAATTGTCCCTTTATAAAACCCCTTTGTAAGTGAATCATGAAAGGAAATATTTAGTAACTCTGAAATAAACTTATCTTCAAGAAAGTTACCAGAGTTCAGTTTGCATCAACAAGGAAAATAGAACAATTTATCCATTTAAGTTGTAATGTCAATCCACTTTTTTTTTTTTTTTTTTTTTTTTAGACAGGGTCTCACTTTGTCATCTAGGCTGGAGTACACTTGCACTTTCTTTTAAAAGAATCATTAATTTTCTAAATCTGTAGCTGGCAAACTGTAAATATTCAGCCAATATTTTCGGTTTATAAACCAGCCTCTTCCACATATTTTTTTTTTTTTTTTTTTGAGACGGAGTCTCGCTCTGTCACCAGGCTGGAGTGCAGTGGCGCGATCTCGGCTCACTGCAACCTCTGCCTCCCGCGTTCAAGCGAGTCCTCTGCCTCAGGCTCCCTGGTAGCTGGGACTACAGGCACGTGCCACCAAGCCCGGCTAATTTTTTGTATTTTAGTAGAGATGGGGTTTCACCATGTTGGCCAGGATGGTCTCGATCTCCTGATCTCGTGATCCGCCCACCTTGGCTTCCTGAAGTGCTGGGATTACAGACGTGAGCCACCGCGCCCGGCCTCTTCCACACAATTTAACTCTACTCTTGGTGCACAAAAGTAGCCATAGACAATATGTAAATACATGGATGTGACTGTGTTCCAATAAAACTTTATTTACAAGAAAGAGGTGGTGGGCCATAGTTTGCCAGTTCCCGTTCTAAATGATTTGTCCTGTAAGCTCAAAAGGCAGTACAGCTTATGTGTACAATAAAAGATGTTTAGTGCACGAATACTGATACCTATTTGGGAGCTAAAATTTCTTTTCCCTTTTCTTCTGGGCTTTCAGCTATGCGCCAAGGTGGCTAGGCAGCCATATACACATGTGGCCTCTAAATAAGGAGGGTGGTGGTGTTCAAGGCAATGTGTAAGCAAAGCTTGATAATAATACAAAGTGACATGGAGGCAGTACATCATCAGATGGAGTGAGGTTTGTTAGGAAAGCTGCCTTGTAAAGAGGCATAAACTTTAAACCCGTGCTAAAAGAATAAAGGCAGATGTGGCCTTGGATAAATGAATCAGAGTGGGAGTAACTGGAAGGACAATGAGATGGGCAAGGGTGAAGGCAGCAGGGAAGATGAGAATGAACAAACTCTAGGTAGGAATAGGGGAGAATTGTAAGACTTGAGTCAGTGTGGAATAGGGATTAAGAGTCCCGGCTGAGCACAGAGGCTCACCTGTAATCTCAATGCTTTAGGAGGCCGAGGCGATCACTTGAGCCCAGGAGTTCGAGACCAGCCTGGGCAACATGGCAAAATCCCCGTCTCTACAAAAAAATGCCCCCCAGAATAAATTAAAACTAACAGGGCGTGATGGCATGCATCTGTAGTCCCAACGACTCGGGAGGCTGAGGTGGGAGGATCACTTGAGCCCTGGGTGTTGAGGCTGCAGTGAACCGTGATCATGCCACCGCACTTCAGCCTGGGTGACAGAGTGAGACCCTGTCTCAAAAAAACAAAACAAAACAAAAAACTATGTGGGCTCTGCACCCCAAATGACTAGCTTTTTTTGTTGTTGTTGTTTGTTTTTTTGAGATAGAGTCTCGCTCTGTCGCCAGGCCGGAGTGCAGTCACATGATCTCAGCTAACTGCAACCTCTGTCTCCCAGGTTCAAGTAATTCTGCCTCAGCTTCCTGAGTAGCTGGGGCTACAGGTGTGCACCACCTCGCCCAGCTAATTTTTGTATTTTTAGTAGAGACGGGGTTTCCTCATGTTGGCCAGGCTGGTCTCGATCTCCTGACCTCGTGATCCACCCACCTCGGCCTCCTAAAGTGCTGGGATTACAGACATGAGCCACCGCGCCCAGCCAAATGACTAGTTTTGAATCCCAACCCTTCTACCAAGAAAGTAGAAGGACAATTTGAGTAATTTGTCCTTTCTATGCCTCAGTTTTCTCATTGGTAAAATGGGAATAATAATAGCACCTACCTCATAGGATTATTATGAGGATGGAATAAACTAAGGCGTGTAAAGTGCCTGTAACAGAGTCTGGCATTCGCCAGAGCTCGGGAAAATGTTAGAGAATGAGAGTAGAAGGAGAGAGAAAAACCACTCAAGGGCAGCTGTGCTGAGATGGCAAAAAAACCTACGCCTAAAATTTCTCAAGCGGAAGGAAATAATTACATTCCACCCTTCAATGATACAAAACTCCTTCCAGTAAGAATTTCTAGTCGTAGCTGCTGCCTAGATATACTAAAAATTGAAACCCAAGTCCTGAGAATATGGTGTTCTTTCTTACAGCTTTCCTTGGCAACGTGTATTTCCCTGAAGGCAGAATGCGATCTATAGATTTCTGAGCATCAATATATAAAGTGAGATCATTACATATCATGGATATAGGAAGAGAAAGGAGAACGTGGAACCAAAAATAATTCTCAAATATAAGTTTGGGGAAACCAGCAAGATAGCCGGGATCCTGGGAAAAGAAAGGCTAGTGGGAGTGGGTGGTGACAGAATGATTTGTTCCCAACTGCCAGGCAAACAAAACCATCAATTTCTTTTCTGCAGGTTTGCCAGAATAATCCATACAATTTCTGGGAAATCGGGCCAGGCGTAATGGCTCACATCTTTAGTTTTCTTGGCAGGAGGTTTTCTTGAGGCCAGGAGTTCAGGACCAGTCTGGGCAACAGAGTGAGATCTTGCTTCTACAAAAATATTTTTAAAATTAGCCAGGTGTGGTGGTCTACACCTGTGGTCCTAGCTACTCAGGAGGCTAAGGCAGGAGGATTATTTGAGCCCAGGAGTTCAAGGCTACAGTGAGCTATGCTCGTATCACTGCACTCTGGCCTGGGTAAGAGAGTGAGACCCCTACTCTTTAAACAAACAAACAACAGAGTTTGGATGATGCAGCCAATTCTTTCAGAAACATTTCTTCCAAAAATAATGTATAAATAAGTCATCCTAATCTATTTAAAATCCAATTCTCTGCAGATGACTCAGAGTGAACTAAGAATGTAGATAGAAGACTTCAAAACTCCTGTCTTGAATTCCCCTGTTCCCGCCGCCACTTTTAATCTTTCTGGTTGAAACTGGGATGACAAGGTTCACAAAACCACGGATATTGCCAAATTCCCTTTTTGTTCTTTGAGCCTTGATTTCCCACAACTGGTGGTAAACGGAAGGTGAAGATTACTATTTTTTCTTCTGATGAGAAGTTATAATACTCATCTTTCCTGTTGATGTCATTTCCAGGCCATTCCAGCAACAACAATGTCCTTGACAGCAAGAAAAAGAGCGTGCTGCAACAACAGAACTGGAGTAAGTATGAAGCAGTCGGCGTGGAAGCAGAAGTGCATGAACAGTTATTGCTACCTAAGCAAAGCCACACTGAGTCACTCGCATCTACCGAATCACAGTGGGGCTCCACTGACAGAGCCACAGCCTTAGAAACATGCTATTTTTATTTATTTATTTAGAGACAGGGTCTTGCTCTGTTGCTGAGACTGGAGTGCAGTGGTGCGATCTCGGTTCACTGAAACTTCTGCCTCCCGGGATCAAGCAATTCTCCTGCCTCAGCCTCCTGAATAGCTGGGACTACAGGTGCACACCATCACGCCCAGCTAATTTTTGTATTTTTAGTAGAGATGGGGGTTTCAACATGTTGGTCAGGCTGGTCTCAAACTCCTGACCTCGAGTGATCTGCTCGCCTCGGCCTCCCAAAGTGCTGGGATTACAGGTTTGAGCCACTGCGCCTGGCCTGAAACATGCTATTTAGGATGATTATATAGAAGTAGAAAAAGTGAGACGGGTTTTTTTGTCCCACAAACATTTAGAGTTGGCCTTCTGTCCCTTCCTCAGTCTTCCGTGGATTGTCCTTTCCTCAATCTAAAGGTTTTCAAAGAAAGGAGATTGGTAAGTCACGCCCACAGCTGCAATCAATTTCATAATACTCGGGTGTGATATTTTTGTGGCGTATATAAAATACTCAGGGAAAATGTACTCAGTTCTCTCATGCAATGACAGACTGGTTTGCTAGGATTAGAATGACAATTGCCTTTATCCAGTTAAATTAAAGGAGCTGCCAGGTTTTTTTCCCCCAAAACATTTAATGCCTACCCACTATGTATAAAGTCGTAACGAAGTTAAAAGTAAATTAAGATTCATTAACCGGAGTGTCACTCTGCTCAGAACACTTTCAGAGATGCTGTTTCATTTAATTCTCTCAAAACCCTTAAGTGGGAAAAAGTAAGAAGTGTGTTTGATTGACGAAGGAATGGACGCTCAGAGAAAGTAAATAATTTGCCAGTGTAGCACACTAGTAAGTGGATTTTTATCCAAACCCACTGGAGCACCCCACAATTCATGATCTTTATACCATGAACATGGCTATTAAGCAACATAAGGACTCTCACAATTCCCTGTGGAAGGGGTAGATTGACAGCAAGCAGTCACAGTAAATCTGCTTGGCTGAGCTTGAGCTTTCAGAGCAATGGTTCTCAGATGGATGGGAACATTAGGCTGGGCACGGTGGCTCACAGCACTTTGGGAGGCTGAGGTGGGAGGATCACTTGAGGTCTAGAATTCAAGACCAGCCTGGCCAACATGGTGAAACCCCGTCTCTACTAAAAATACAAAAATTAGCTGGGCACGGTGGCCCATGCCTGTAATCCCAGATACTCAGAAGGTTGATGCAGGAGAATCTCTTGAACCCAGGAGGCAAAGGTTTCAGTGAGCCGAGATCACATCACTGCACTTCAGCCTGGGCAACAGATGAGTAAGACTCTCTCAAAAAAAAAAAAAAAAAAGACAGATGGGGATATTAGAATTATCTAAAGAGATTTAAAAAAATACCAGTGCCTGGGTGGCCGCCAGAGATTCTGCATCAGTATTTTTCAAAAGCACTCAAGATAATTTGGCCAGGGGTTAGAACCACTACTTAAAAAAAACAAACCAGATATTTCTATCCATAATGGAAGATTCATATTTTTAAAAATTACCCTTTTTCTGACATTTGATATTTATCTAGGATTACAATAATTATGCTAATTAGTTCTAGTCTATTTTTGTCTGAATACATTTTAGGTATTCAATAAACACTAATTTTCAGTTTCCCTTCCCTGTCACTTTTCTTTGTAAACGATAATAATTTGGAATTTGACTTTGTATCTTTTCTATGTGGTGTTCACAACATTCTTGACATCCTGAGACATTTCTGAATTCCTGAAATCAAAAATATCAAAACACTTATATAGGCTTTTCCGATAGGTGTATCCTCTAAGAACTGGTTTTTATGTCGTATCTGGTGTCTTTGAGGCCTAGATAAGACCAAAACATGAGACAAGTGGCAAAGGCAACATCTTGGGAGGAAGGGAAAGGGTTGACCAAGGCTTGTCCCCTATTTTAACTGTTCTTTGCTTCTTCCCTTTTTCCAGTTCTTATTTTTGCTTCTGAATACAAAATGGTTTTGCTGAATCATTTAAGTGAATCCCCTTTAGGGGAAATACACATGCCTGGAATCACTTTCTAAAGCCAGGCCTTTTGTAGGGATGAGAACTCAAAGATAATATGGCTGGGTGCGGTGGCTCACGCCTGCAATCCCAGCACTTTGGGAGGCTGAGGTGGGCGGATCACTTGAGTTCAGGAGTTTGAAACCAGCCTGGCCAATATGGTGAAACCCTGTCTCTACTAAAAATACAAAAAATAAAAATAAAAAAATTAGCCAGGTGTAGTGGCGGGCATCTGTAATCCCAGCTACTTGGGAGGCTGAGGCAGGAGAATTTCTTGAACCCAGGAGGCAGAGGTTACAGTGAGCCCAGATAGCGCCACTGCACTCTATCCTGGGAAACAAAGAAAGGCTCCGTCTCAAAAACAAAAAATTATATATATATATATATATAAATAATAGATGGCGGCCAGGCGTGGTGGCTCACGCCTGTAATCCCAGCACTTTGGGAGGCTGAGGCGGGCGGATCACAAGGTCAGGAGATGGAGACCATCCTGGTTAACAGGGTGAAACCCCATCTCTACTAAAAATACAAAAAATTAGCCGGGCGTGGTGGCGGGTGCCTGTAGTCCCAGCTACTCAGGAGGCTGAGGCAGGAGAATGGCGTGAACCCGGGAGGCGGAGCTTGCAGTGAGCCGAGATCATGCCACTGCACTCCAGCCTGGGCGACACAGCGAGACTCCGTCTCCAAAAAAAAAAAAAAAAAAAAATAGATGGTTAAAAATAAACACCATGGCACTTCTTGATGAGTACATTTAAGTAACTGCACAAGTCACAGTAGCATGGAAGAATCAGGATTTGAAGTAGACTCCAAATCCATCATTCTGAACTTTTGGCTGGAAGAAGAATAGTGATTAAAGTGTTTCCCAGCTGTGAGAGCCTGACAAGTTTTGTCCATCTCCATGATACACAGTTTTCTCATCTATAAAATGGAAATAATAATAGTATCTACCTCTTGGGATTATGAAAAGAATTAAATGAGATGATATATGTAGAGCACAACATCCCTCAACACAACTCTATAGGTAGCCACCTTATTCTGCACTCATAAAAGGCAGGTCTCAAGAACACAACACACAGACCCTGTGGGAGCTGCATTATCCCAGCAAAGAAAAAGGAAAAGCATTCCCTCGCTTCATTTCTGCTGATTTTGAAATAATCATCAGTGACTAACAACTTCACTGAAACAATACAAAAGTTTCCTTCTTTTTTTTTTCTTTTAGAGATGGGCTCTTACTACGTTGCCCAGGCTAGTCTCGAACTCCTGGGCTCAAGCAATCTACCCTCCTTGGCCTCCCAAAGTGCTGGGACTACAGGCATGAGCCACTGTGCCTGGCCTAAGAGCTTATTTTTGGAAAAACAAACACGAACTTTCATTCAGTTTCCTATGCCAAATTCCATGCCTTCTTCTGCTCTCATGACTGACTCACGAAATAAAGATGTGTACAATCTTTCTAACACAGTGGCTCTCAACCGGCGGGTTATTTTACCCACCCACCTCCACCCCAAGAGGATATTTGGCAATGCCTGGAGACATTTTTGGTTGTCAGAACCGGGCTGGAGGTGGCAAGGCGTCGGGGGATGATATTGGCATCTAGTGGGTAGAGATGAGTGATGTTGCTAAATATCCTACACTGCACAGGAAAGGCCCCACAGCGAAGTGTGCAAATGTCATTGGTGCTGAGGTTGGGAAGTCCTGTTCTAACTCTATGCTGTTGACTGATCACTGTGGGATGCTGGCCACTGGCCACTTAAAGCATCAGGGCCAAATTCACTTAAAGCATCAGGGCCAAACGCTTGCGAGCCAAGAGACCAGACATGAAGATAAACGTAGTTAAGATCCAGTCAAGATTCTATGAAGTAGGAAGTACATAAAACAGGGAGGAACTAGATCTCAGTGGTCAGAAGAAACAGATGAGACTCAGGAATATGAAAGTTGAGATTTTCCAGAGACAGTGACAAGCCAAACCATCTTTTTTTTTTTTTTTTTTTTTTTTTTTTTTTTTTTTTTTTGACAGAGTCTTGCTCTGTCACCCAGCAGGAGTGCAATGGCACGATCTCGGATGACTGCCTCCCGGGTTCAAGCGATTCTCCTGCCTTAGCCTCCCAAGTAGCTGGGATCACAGGCATCCACCACCAAGCCTGGCTAAGTTTTTGTATTTTTAGTAGAGAGGGGGTTTTGCCATGTTGGCCAGGCTGGTCTTGAACTCCTGACCTCAGGTGATCCACCCACCTTGGCCTCCCACAGTGCTGAGATTACAGGTGTGAGCCACCATGCCCAGCCCCAACCATCTTTTATTGAGTGTAATCAAATAGCAGAGACTGCCCTCTGCCTTTTTGTATCATTCACACCTAATAAACTGTGATCTTAAGATCCAGGATTTTAGGGCGACTGGATTTAAAAAAGACTGTATACGCTCCTGAAGCTTGAAACAGATCAAGAACATGTCATAACATGTGCAAATGGCTCTATTTTATTTTTCAGATGTTTCTTTCATCACTTTTCAGTGTGATCACAGTCATTGGTGCTCTGTATTGCATGCTGATATCCATCCAGGCTCTCTTAAAAGGTCCTCTCATGTGTAATTCTCCAAGCAACAGTAATGCCAATTGTGAATTTTCATTGAAAAACATCAGGTAAGTAACTTGATTTTCACAGGCTTACTGTCTCACACAGTTGAACTAGTTTGATTAGATTAATGCAGTACTGGAACAATGCCATGTTTTTATTTGATGCAACTGCCGGGACAAACGGATTCTTAGGAATTTTAGTACATTAACGCCAGTTAGCACAACTCCACATCAAAATGGAGGAATCATTAGATTTACAATGCTCTAAAAGGACTTTTAGATATTGTCTAAAAGGACTAGTTGATCTCAAATGGCTTATGCTTGTCTTTCAAAAATCTACAGTTACATATGTGTATGTATATTAAAAAATTATGCAAATATACACCAGAAACTTAACTTTCATCCTTGGAGAATGGAAATAGGGGATTCCCTTTATGAGAGTGAAGAGAACATTTACTTTCTACACTTCTGAACTAATTAAATTTGTCAACCATGAGCAAATATTACATTTACAATTTAAAAAATTTAATAAAAACACAATAAATAAAATGCAGAGCCTTGCCTGTAGGCTTAAATGGAAGAGCAACCAATGGATTCATACAGATATGCTATAAATATACTGTATGCATGGGAATGAATCCAAATTTTAAGTCATGTAATAACAAGTAATACTGGAGAGTTACATGTACTTAATAAGTGGCTCATTTTAGTCTTTTAAGTACATCATTCTGTGACTGAATCTAGACACAATTTGTAAAAACTGGAAGAAAAAAACTATCTAATCCATTACCTCTCTGTATAGCCTGCTCAGTTTAGCAAATAACCAGAATTTACTTTTGTAGTTACATACAAAAAATTTTTTCTCCTTTTCCCTTACCTTGCTACATTAAAAAAGAAAGTCCCTCAAATTTTGTGTAGCATATTTGTTTTGAACCAAAACCCAAGGAAGGCCAGGCACAGCGGCTCACGCCTGTAATCCCAGCACTTTGGGAGACCAAGGCAGGTGGATCGCTTGAGGTCAGGAGTTTGAGATCAGCCTGGTCAACATGGTGAAACTGCATCACTACTGAAAATACAAAAATGAGCCAGGCGTGGTGGCACGCGCCTCTAGTCCCAGCTACTCAGGAGGCTGAGGCGGGAGAATTGCTGGAACCCAGGAGGCGGAGGTTGCAGTGAGCCAAGATCAAGCCACTGCACTCCAGTCTGGGTGACAGAGTGAGACTGTGTCTCAAAAACAAAGCCAAGGAAAGTCTCCTTGCTAATAGACTTGAAGTAAAGGGTTAAAGATTTCTACCACAGATGCTATGCACATTAAATCCCCAGGGAATGACAACAGCCCACAATGTACCAGGCACCAGGCTACGCTCTGCAGACAACAGCGCTCAGATATTCTCAGCCTAGTTGCGGAGATGGGCTAGGCTAGCAAAGTTACAAGAGAGTGATCCTTGGCTTGCTACACATTTCACAAAACACTCATATTCCATGTGCTGAAAATACTGTTGTTTTCCCAGGTTGAATGTCAGTTGCTGATATCCAGCAATGCAAACTCCCTAAGAACATTCCATTTTACTCTACAGTAAACAAACAAAAAATCATCTTGAGATAGATGTATTAGGGCTAAAAGTTTCTCATTTTCCACAGCCCCGTTAAGAACAGGCACATCACTTTAATCAGACATATTTAATCAGTAAAAACTGTACATCTGGTTGAAGAACGGACGCCACGCTGTAGTTCTGCACTAAGAACTGAGCTCATTTAATGGGGGTGGCGGGGGGTAGGGGAGGCTCCTTAGTTTTTATATCTAGCAAGTAGAAGAGTATCTGAATAAATAAAATAAATAGGTTGAACCACGAAAAACTGTTGACATTCAACTATTTCTGACATCCCAAAACAGCAGTTTCATACCGTTCAACCTAAGAGAAGATGTACCATAGAGATGCTTGTTAAATGATGGGCTATATAAGTAATAAAAGTTTTGTAACTAGTAGAGTATATGGACACATGCTCAGAAACCCTGATCTCTGTCATTTCTGGGCACGATATTTCAAAAGTACATTCGTTTCACTCATTCTTTTATGTGCACAATGCTACTTTCCTTTGGTCAGGGATATTTCTGAATATCTGATTTTTATCTTTTGTTTTTCAGTGACATTCATCCAGAATCCTTCAACTTGCAGTGGTTTTTCAATGACTCTTGTGCACCTCCTACTGGTTTCAATAAACCCACCAGTAACGACACCATGGCGAGTGGCTGGAGAGCATCTAGTTTCCACTTCGATTCTGAAGAAAACAAACATAGGCTTATCCACTTCTCAGTATTTTTAGGTCTATTGCTTGTTGGAATTCTGGAGGTCCTGTTTGGGCTCAGTCAGATAGTCATCGGTTTCCTTGGCTGTCTGTGTGGAGTCTCTAAGCGAAGAAGTCAAATTGTGTAGTTTAATGGGAATAAAATGTAAGTATCAGTAGTTTGAATTAATTTGAGAAGTACACTTGTTTTCAAAGTCATCTTTGAGATGATTTAAAAAATCAACCCTTCACGTAGAAAGCACGTTGTAAATGCATAACACTCTCATATCAGTGGTTGATTTGGGAAAGGTGGAGAGAATTTTCAATTAGTTTTGTGTTGTACTATTCAAATTTTTTACCTCTTCACTGTGTGTAGAGAAAGGAGAAGGGAAGGAGGATGAGAAGGAACGGAAGTCATCCTGAAAATAAAAGTACAGGACTTTTTTTTTTTTTTTTTGAGACAGGGTCTCAAAAAAGGCTGGAGTACAGTAGTACAGTGGTGCTATCTCAGCTTACTGCAGCCTCAACCTCCTGGGCTCAGGTGATTCTCCCATCTCAGCCTCCCTAGTAGCTGGGACTACAGGTGCGTGCCACTATGCCAAGCTAATTTTTGTATTTTTAGTAGAGATGGGGGTTTTCCATATTGCCCAGGCTGGTCCCGAACTCATGGACTCAAGTGATCTGCCTGCCTCAGCCTCCTAAAGTGCTGCGATTACAGGCATGAGCCATCGCGCCTAAAGGACAGGACCTTTTTATTGTATTTCTTTAAAGAATAAATACATAACCTGAATGCAATCAAGTCTTTAGATCTAATTCTCAGCTTGCAGGGAACACTAGGACAAATCCAAAAAGTGGGTCAGCGGGCACAGAATGGCCCAATTTTCAACAGGAAAATGTTATAAAAGAAAAATATTTTTGAGGGAACTGTTATAGATTAAGAGAATAGAGGCATGTTTCAGCTAAACACATGTAAACTTTGTCAGAGATAATTGGGAGGAGTATGTAGAAGAATCGGATTATTGTTAATTTTGGTAGGTCTGATAATGGTTTTATAGTATAAAGGCTGAGTACCCCTTATCCAAAATGATTAAGATCAGAAGTGTTTTGGCTTTCACATTTTTTTGGATTTTGGAATTTTGCCTATAATAATGAGACATCTTGGGGATGGGATGCAAGTCTAACCACAAAATTCATTTATGTCTCATACACACTTTGAACACCTGGCCTGAAGGTAATTTCACACAATATTTTAAATAACTTTGTGCATGAAACACAATTTTGACTGCATTTTGACTGCAACTCATCACATGAGGTCAGGTATGGAATTTTCCACTTGTGGTGTTACGTTACTGGCTCAAAAAGTTTTGGATCTCGGAGCATTCTGGATTTTGAATTTTTGGATTAGTGATGCTCAACCTGTATACAGAAATGTCCTCATTTTTAAAAAAAGAAATGCATATTTATATGTTTTAAAATTACTTCAACCAAAAGCAACGGGGAGATGTTTACTGTTATATTTAGGTGACAGGTACATGGCAATTCATTATACCCTCCTATTTTCCTATGTTTACATTATTCATTAATTAAAAAACAATACCTAGAAAAACCCAAGACTTTCAAAAGCTATTTTCTATATGTGCCAATCTTTAAAAAACAGGATAACAAGGGTATTTATCACATTAAAATGTTGTAAAACAGCAAAGCTAAAAATCTAAAATTTTCTGAATGTTATTTCTATATTTCAATTGTTTATGTTCATTGGGCTTAAGGTTCCAGAAATAATTTGCAGTACCTACATTATAGCTGCCTAAATAAATTTAGTAACATCAAGAGCTTATAAGCCTTTTTTCTGAACATTTACTATATAAAAACATTCTTCCTACACCCCTACAAATACTTACTTGTCCTTAAGGCCTAGCTTAAGTATCTCCTACTTGAGGAAGCCTTCCCAGTGCTCATGATCCAATAAACCAAGTCAGCACTTACCCAAGCCTCTATTATCATTCCTGTCATAATGTAACATACATGTGTTTGTACGTCCATCACTATAGTATTCAGGAGCACAGGAACCACGTTCATCAGCCCTCACCTCTTCAGGTCCTTAGCAACGCCTCTCATTTCCCCACCTCCAGCCCCATTCCTACCCCCACCTGCCTTATCTCTGGCAGCACTCTTTATCCTTGACTTCAGCACAAATACCACTTTTTCTGAGAGGCTATTCCTAAACGTCTAATGAAAACTAGGTTTCCCTTTACTCTTTTACCATGCTTTCATTTACAGCATTTATCACAATGATGATTGCATTTTCCTTTGTGCTTGCTTCTTAAATTTCACTGTCCCCCATTAGACTATAAGCTCCAGGGGTACAGGAACATGTTTATTCCCTCCTGGTATAAAGAGTACTTAGTACAGTGCCTGGTACAAAGCAGAAACATTGCATTTAGTTGAATGAATTAATGAATCCTATCTTCAGTACTCAGCTTTTAGCGAAGACTCGATACTTACTCAATGAACTGTCAAACTGCTAATGGTCATGTAATTAAAACAAAAATAAGACAGCTCACTGTACTCTAGTGAACAAGGGTCAGCAATGGTGCTTACAAATTTTCTCATCACCCCCCAAAATATTTATGCCATGTACTTTCCCCAAAATGTGACTTCATTAATTCAGCCAGTGACCAGAGTATCCTTACATCAATGAGTAAATATAAAAACTTTATTGGAATAGCATGTTAGCAGCAGTGAACAGGGCATGGCACAGAAGGTTTCCAAAACAAGTTTAGCATGAAGGATGCCATATGCTGTTGCCAACAACTAGAACACGGTGACTAAAGACACAGTTCTGAATGTCCAGCACAACCTCTGGCCTGCAACTATGTTCAGTGATGATGATAAACAAGGTGGTGACTTGGAAGGAATCCCTATGTCAAGTGAGAAAAAAAAATGATGTCTGACCTCCTTATATATGTAAAAAATATACCTTCAGAGTCCGTCAGTAAGCTGGAAGAAGTGGATGTTGAAGTTTTTAACATCGATGATGGGTCTCCAGTTGTTCATCAACCCATGGTGAAATAGCTGAACGGTTCTGAATCAAAGGTGATCCTAATAGTGAAGACATTAACATTGCAGAAAAAGTGCCTACAGATTATATGGTGAAAATACGTGATGGGCTTCTTGAAGGACTAGAGCAGTGTGTATTCAAAACAGAACAAGAAATCACGTCAGTTTATAAAAGCAAAGAGAGGTTTCTCAGACAAAAACATTGTTCATGAGGTAGATGACTCTGGAAGAAATACTTTAAAAAGCCACTGAGAAGAATGCCTCGTCTCCACAGGATCCACTTCCTAGCCTCTCAACTGCTTCTCATGTTTCTTCTCACTGAAAAAAATAGTGTCCAGTAATCTTTACTCCAACAGTACCGCCAGTGGGGACAGGAAACTTGCCGTGGCTGTTCTTGGTTGTGGCTGTTGTCTAACAGCTGGTGCAGTATCTGGTGATGCCCCTGTGCTGCTTAGTTACTTGAACGCAGTTTTTTCACTGTATTAATAGTGTGTCATTTTTTAATGTTAAGTATTTATGTGTGAAAAAGTGTTAAGAAAAAATGACTGTTTATTGGCAGCATATACACTCAGAGTCAGGAATGATAGTGATGGCAAAAAACCCGACTGTCCACATGCGTGGCTGAGATATCACTATGACATCTTTGCTTTTTGCTTTCTGATGGTTCAGCATACACAAACTTTGTTTCATACACAAAATTTGAAATATTGTATAAAATTATCTTTAGGTTATGTGTAGAGGGTATGTATGAAATATAAATGAATTTCATGTTTAGACTTGGGTCCCATCCTCAAGATATCTCATTATGTATATGTAAATACTTGAAAATCTGAAAAACTCTGAAATTCAAAATACTTCTGGTCCAAAGAATTTTGGATAAGGGCTGGGCAATCACTATAGTTAAGGAGCTGGAAACACACATTCATGCAGGAAGGAAGGAAAAAGGAAAGCTCTCTTGAAAATATACTACTTCCATGATGTTATCCTTCAAAGTGTAAACAACCTGCACATACTTCAACCATAATTACTAGAAGTGGGGAGAAGGGTGCACTTTCAGTAGTGCAACAATATATTTGCTATACTTAGTTGTATGATACGACTTTGGCTCCTGACTGTATCCATTTCTCCCTCTATCATCTGCACCTGGAATATTTTCTTGTTCTTTCTCTGCTTGTTGAAAGGCTCAGCTCAAATATCTGGTTATACTAACCAGGAACTAATTTGTTCTTCTCAACTCCAAAATATATTTCAACAGTAATTAACAATTTTTAGGGGAAGTACACAGGTGTTTAATAGAGATCCTAACTTTGGAGTTAGAGAGATTCAAGCTTTTCTACTTCTAGATATGTGACAAGGTCAGGTAAGGCAGGTTTCTTGGTTGTCCCCTTTTGCACTGTAAACAGAGTTTTCATTCACCGTCTGTTGGGGTCTTAGCTTCATTCACGAGTCTCCTGTTACAGCTGGTGCCTGCCTGAGGTAGGGAAGTCGATCTTCTACCCCTTGCACAATCATTAAGGGAGAAAGCTCCAAGTGTCCATTCTTTGGTAAGAATCATGAGGGAAAAAAAGGGCTTCCGCACTTCTCTCTCAGTATTCCTGCTTTTATTTCATTTTTTGACCTTTGTGGAATCCTTTTCATGTCTGTTTATCAAAAGATACTAACCTTATCCATCATTTTTCTTCATTTTTGTGATTTCAATTTGGAGGATAACCACAGAAATTACCTTCTGGTATACATAAATCTAGAATTAATATAGTTGCATCATTACCAAAAGTCAGAAAACTTCTAAGTACAGAGAAGAATCTTTGTCTTGATATTATTTTAGAGGGATAAGAAGCAAGAACGGAAATGCTAAATCTAACTCTATCCAAGGAATTTCCTCAACTGCCTTTCCCCAAACTCCCTGCCTTGGAAGAAAGATACCAAAGATGTGTGGAGAATGTTGCACCTAACTGAATTCTACCCATTTCTGAACCGAAAATGGGGAAATATAAGTTTTGAGAGCTAAAACTGTCTAGCACTTGGCTTCACTTGGTTTAATTCTTTTGAGATTTACTTTTAAATTTTTAGTTTTTTTTTGAGACGGAGTTTGGCTCTGTCACTCAGGCTGGAGTACAGTGGCATGATCTCAGCTTACTGCAACCTCTGCCTTCTGGGTTCAAGTGATTCTTCTGCCTCAGCCTCCTGAGTAGCTGGGATTACAGCTATTGCCACCATGCCTGCCACCACACCTGGCTAATTTTTGTATTTTTGGTAGAGATGGGGTTTCACTGTATTGGCCAGGCTGGTCTCGAACTCCTGACTTCAAGTGATCCACCCGCCTAGGCCTCCCAAAGTATTAGGATTACGGGCGTGAGCCACCACACCCAGCCTTGAGATTTAAATTCACCTATATATAATTAGCAAATAAATACTGCCATGAAAAAAGTATATACAACTCTGGCTGGGCGCAGTGGCTGTAATCCCAGCACTTTGGGAGGCTGAGGCAGGCAGACCACCTGAGGTCAGGAGTTCGAGACCAGCCTGGCCAACATGGCGAAACCCTGTATCTACTAAAAATACAAAAATTAGTTGGGTGTGGTGGCCAGCGCCTGTAATCCCAGCTACTCTGGAGGCTGAGGCAGAAGGATCACTTGAACCTGGGAGGTGGAGGTTGCAGTGAGCTGAGATCATGCCACGGGACTCCAGCATCAGCAACAGAGCGAGACTCCATCTCAAAAAAAAAAAAGTATACACAACTCAAGGTATTTAAACCTGAACCACTTTATAGATATTATAAATTAGAAAACCACCTACAATGCAACCAACAGCCACCACCACCAGGATGAAGGTCTGAAAGGAAGCACAGCAGGTTCTTGCTACCTACCAGGTCATTAATTGTATTACTTGCTCTGAGACGGGAAGACTCATAAGGTAATATGATACAAAATGTAGCTGATTGCACAAATGATGAAATAAAATCCTTCAACAGACAAATACTTCTTTGGTTGACAGTTTATTAAATACACTACATTTGTACCTTATTCTGTCGTTTTTTAAATTGTTCACGCATGAACTGAGTAAAAACGTACTTTATAGAAAACCAAGTGCAAAACTAAAATGAAAGAATGCACATATTGCACACATATGAAACTGCTGCAATGTTAGAAATTAATCTGTACAAGTACCTAATGAAGAAGGTTATGAAATATTAGGTGGTTCGAGTTTCTTAAATCTGGCACCAGACCATGACTTTGAAAGTGTTAATGTTGAAGTGTCGATGCAAAAATGTCTATTAACAAAACTGCTTAACACTGTTTGAGAAACAGGACAAAATAATTGTTTTTCTTTCACAGACACTTTTCTGAATCAATTCTCTACAGACTCTCTCCCATTCAGAATCAGTTGGGTGGACTGATGAGGCAAAAAATAAATTCCTTTTAAAAAACAAAACTGGAGCCTATTTACAAAACATGCAAAGGGAGAATTTTAAGCAGGTGTTACTGCAGAACTGCTCAGACGTGAATACAGCTGAGTGACAGAATATACCTTTACTTCTACAAATATAGGTCCTTCCTCCAGACTTTCTGGAAGAAATACATTTTCAGGGTGTGGACTATAAAATGGCATACAATGCAGAGACAGAAACAAAGAAGTTTGCAAATCTTTTATATTTCCAGCTGTTGAGACAGTATTTTTGAGGGCTGATGTTACCTCTAGCGGCGAAACCAGAGCCAGCTATTAAGCAGCCAGAAAGCTACAGTAATTGAATACATGACCATTTCTCTTTTAGCACGTTCTTTGTTCTCCTCTTCCAGAAGTTGTAGACGTCTATTTAGTTTGATTATCTAAGTGAAAAACAAACACACAAAAAATATAATATAGAGGCTTTAATGAATAGGGCAATCAGATTCTTATAAAGTAAGTAGTATAATAATTTGTCAACAAAAGTATTATTACAAACATGGAAAGTTTCATTTGGAGCAAAATAAACACAACTACACATAGAAAAACATGTCATTCATGACAGCTTAAATTCACTTAAACATCCTTTCCCTTTCCCTTCTTCAGATTTCTGAGTTAGGAAGGGTGTATTTCCTTCCTAACTTGATTACATAGTGAGGTGAGGAAGCGGTTACCTACTGTTATTCTGGCAGAAAAGACTCAGTATGCATTTTGGCAGGCTTACCACAGCAGAAAGAATACGGGACTCCTTCCCCTTTCTATGCCTCTCCTATGAACTTGTCACTCAACCTCAGTTGTTCATCTTGAACCTGGCATAACCGCCTTCTCTGTCCACCTCTGAGTTACTGAGACAATCCAATAAAATAATCTACTGTAGGGGGCCTTGGGATATGGCACCCAAACCCTTCAGGCCTGAAGGCTAATTCCCCAGCTGCTGGAAATGCTGCTGGCTGACAGTACCATCCTTGCTGTTAGCCCTTACTGTGAAAATCCCAGGGCTGAACAACCACCTGCTAAAGCTTGTGTTCTCCTACTGATCTTCACCTAAAAATATCTTATTTAATCCAATTTCCCTCTATATCTATTTGGTATAGACGCAATGAGAAAACCAACTATGCCTTCTTCACATGTGTGTATGTCTGTGTGATACTCGAGGCTGTGGGAGTACATATTAAAAAATATGCATGTGCAACTGCAGTTCTAAGAAAGGATTTATTACAGAATACAGGAAATACGTATGCAGGGATGCTGTGCAAGCTGCAAGGAGCGGTTTCCAAAATGGAGTTATTAAACACAGTAACAAAGGTTCCAAAGTAATTGTTCCACATTTCAAAAGCCAAACAAGCAACTGATGGCTGTACTGGTTTGCTAAAGATTCTTTGTTACTGGCCAGAATTACATTAATCTATCTTGGTAATACTGTTTTACGGTGATCAAAACATGTAAATGGTAGTTTAATATATCTTTAATCAAAATGAGAAAATCAATGATGGCTTACTAGTTTGATAGTCCCACAGGAGAGAAAATAATAAAATGTTGAGAACTATCACTTTAAAATATTGTATGAATATAACTGAGAAATATATCTTATTTGGTACACTAAATACCTGTCGTCTTAGTGAAGCTGCATCTACAACAGTCAGGTCATCTGACGTTCCTTCAATGGTTGTATCTATATTTGAAATGCCATACCTGCAGATAAGAGATAGAAATACAAATGAATAGTAAAGTAGAACTCAGAGTAAATGGCACGCCACATCATGCTTTGTGTAATGCTCAAAGTAGTATTCAGAAAATTGGTACTTAATAATATGAATTACTAAAATATTTTACTACCTGAATTTGTACTAATAAAGGAAAGAAAAAAGCTTAAAATGACAACTGTCTACAATATTGAAAAAGGGCACTAAAAACTGGAGAATGGGAAAAAAATCCTGACTAAAGAAACACATAGAAAATTCTCAAGCCAGAAGGATTGGCGATGCTAAAAAGGGTCCCTGGCTGAAAAGGTTTGAGAGCTGCCACTTAGGATAGAACAAAATATAATTCTTACACAAACTTATGTCCATATGTAAGCCCATAGGCACAGACTCACTAGCAGGGAACACAAAGTAGACTAACTCTAAAAAAAGAAAGACTCATCACCTCTTCTCACTGCCTCTTGTCTTGCCATTTTTATTCTTTACTTCTTGTCTTTTTATTTTTTTGAGACAGAGTTTCACTTTTGTTGCCCAGGCTGGAGTGCAATGGCACAATCTCGGCTCATTGCAACCTCCACCTCTGGGGTTCAAGTGATTCTCCTACCTCAGCCTCCCAAGTAGCTGGAATTACAGGCACCTGCCACCATGCCCGGCTAATTTTTGTACTTTTAGTAGAGATGGGGTTTCACCATTTTGGCCAGGCTGGTCTCAAAGTCCTGACCTCAGGTGATCCACCCACCTCAGCCTCCTAAATTGCTGGGATTACAGGCCTGAGCAACCACGCCTGGCCTATTCTTTACTTATTTCCAATTACTTATGCTCTACTGTGTTCTCCCGCAGAAACAATTATAAAATCTCCTGAATACATCTTACCACTACATTTAGCTCCAGAATTGGCCCAATAATGAATAAAATGCTGTGTATAAAATAATACTGAAAAACCATTAAGACAAAATCCAGAGAAAGCATATTAAAAAAGTACTTTTTGTTCCAATGTAGTTACTTCTAAAGCGGCACTAATTTCTAGGTGAATGACACTAAACCTCTGAAAAACAAAGACAAACGCCATTCCTCTTCTTTGCCTGGATTTCCACATTTTAAAATTTAGTTTAATTAATAGCTTCATTGAGATACAACTTATATAACCACATAATTCACCTCACATGTATTTTATACCCTAAATGGTTATTTTAGTAAAATGGCATAGTAAATTTTCTAAATGAGCAGAATATAAATAAACTAAATTAAAAGTTATTCCTGTGTAGTCCAGAGAATTGGCAAATGGATCATCTATTCTAATACCTATCCCAGCAAGTCCCCACTACAAAAAGTACATACCCACAAAAAGGGATATGAAGCAGAATTATACTTTTCATCCAGACATGTTAAAGACAAGTCTACTCAGAAAATCCTTTTGTTTTAAATATTGTTAAAAGTAATAAAAATACTTTAATAAAGTATGCAAAAAACCTTAAACAATAGATGGTGTGTACTGACTCTAGATAATCTACAACCATCTCCAAATATTCCTTCTATGGCTAAATTATCCTGCTTTCTCATTAACTGTCTCCTTATTTCATGAGAACACAGTAAACAACCTGGAGCAGTTAGGGTAATTATACCAGTTAGAGAAGTAAACTTCTAAGTTAGTAGATGCTGGAACTATGGGTTTACAAATGATTAGTGGAAAAAATAAAGGTAGAAGATTCCCTTTTCCTTCACTTCATCCTCAAAATAAAACTCTTCTCTTTCTCTGAGGCCACATAACAGAGGAATAATTAGGAAAAAAATCAAACAGAAGCAATTGTTAAAGGGATCTGAACTGAACATACAGAATGAAGTACAAATGAAAGCGATTACTCACAATTTATATCCTGAATTAACTAAGGTTTAGATATCTGAAATCTCGATTTGCAAAGAAATATAAGGATATGACAAAAGATTTTACCTATATACTTCAATTTAAAACAAAAATATGTTACTTTACATTGTGTTTTAAACAAAAACCGTATTTATTAGAACTAAAAAACTCTAATGCTAAGTTAGACCACTGGCTGAAAATACTCTGACAGAAAGATAAAAGATCACAAACTTAGAGAAAAATATAAGGGAAAACGACAATGAACTGAACTAAGATTGTAAAAAGAAACAAGTCAGCAGAGTGGTAAGGGATTACCACAGGCACGCTTTTCAATTCCTCCACCATGAATTCAATTTTAATGAGCAGCTAATGCTTCCCTTTTCTCTTGCTTCAATGAATGCACCAACTTCTAAGCACAGAAACGATGCTGCCAGTTTTAAATCTACTGCTACCGACAATATATTTCTGCTTAAATAAAACTGACTGAAAAAATTATACAGTAATAGCATCTGTGAATACCAACAAGTTTTTGATTTTTTCCAGACTATAGGAAAACTAAATGGGGATTTTGGCACTTAAGAACTGCATGTATTTGTATGTGCCATTCTGCCAGCCTCTGTGCGTGTCAGGAAGAAAGGAACGCTCAACCTACGCGTGTCTGAAAGTGTAAAAAGGGCAAAAATAAGAGAGAAGGCCTTAAATCAACAGATGATAAAAATGCTTAAAACTAAATTTCCTTTCTAAATATGTACCTTCCCAAACTGTGGAGTTGTTAATGCTGATTTCTCCCAATTTAAGATGAAGCCTTACAAACAAAGACAGGTTTGTTCACACACTAAAAGTAACATTCCAGATAATTAACAACTTAAAAGGAAATGCTGGGCACAATTCAGGCAACCATTAAAATGATGTACATAAAATAAGATTTAAGACTTTTTTCTGTTTTAGCATGTAAATTATTATAAACCACCTATAAACTATTAACACTACACTTAAATAAAATAGCTGTTCACATCATACCATAATTATTAAACATTTTCCCTCATACTAATTGGCCAAATGTCATGACTGATTATTCACTGTTCTTAGAGAGAAGCAAGATGTACTCATCGAGGAAAGCTGTAGAAACAAGTTCAGCTACAAACACAGGCATGGCTACGACATGCAACATGCCCTGCAACACACAAATTCCGCCAAGCATTTACCCTGGTAATTACGAAGTCTCAAAATTTACCTGACGTTGTCATGATGAGGATTAGAAGTGGCGGCAGCAGACCCACCACGCAACACAGGTCTAAGGCAGGTTTTTGCGGGAGAAGGCACAAGACAGAATCAGGAAACAGAGAAGTAATAAAATAAAAGCAAAAACAAGACAAATAAATGTCAAATAGGATTATATTGTATATTTCAATACAATATAATATCTCTCAACTACTTTAAAAAATCCTTGTCTCATGTGTCCTCCATTTTATCATTTTCATAAACTCAACATTACTATTGATCAAAGAAACAAAGGGAATCTATATTTACACGACAAAACAGCACCAACATATAAAATAATTTTCTTGGTGCTTTACTTTATGAAATTTAAGACAGAGGACAACTCTGCTTAAAAAGTGTAATTCCTTTCTTCCAGTTGGAAAAAAAAAATCACTAGCACCTTTAAAAGCATATCAGGACCTGGTTAGCTGCACCGGTATGACCACAGTTGCTCATCTGATATCAACAGCTCTATCTCAAAAACCGTATTCATAAATTTCAAGAAACTCCATTTCCCACACTTCCTTCCCTCCCACCTCATTAATTTTGAGTAGTGCCTGATGTCTCGTTGCAGCTGTGTCTCATTCAAACTCTCAGCTCTCCAGAGTGAAAATGCAAGCCTCCACTCTGAAGCTGAGATCAGGAGACGTGCTAGAGCACATTACAGGAAGGGCAATCCACAATTTGAGTCTGATCTTGAGACAGCCAGGAGTGACATACAGGGCTGCTGGAAATGAAGACTAAGGTGCAATGGGAAACTTGGTGGGGATTTCCACTCATTCTCAGTATATACTTTGGCGCTAGAGGACAGTTAGCTTTCTACTTTGATAAGCAGTAACCTTTCCAATACGTTTTATCTTTTAAAATCAGAAAACAAAAGCTTCTAAGTGTTCACTGGTCAATTCCCCCTAAAACAATCAGCAATATTTACTAAGCAGAGAAAGGAGACTGGAGTGTTGGATCCATATAAAGATTTGAAGAATTATTAAATCCTATTTTGGATATCTCATTCTCTAAGTAACTGATCTGGTTTTGCCTGAATTTAAGTATCAAGACAATAATTATATAATGGTAAATGTTTAATACCAAATGCACTAATTTTTTCTGTAAGTTGGCACAGCTGTGGAATTTTGACTACAATACAAATTATTTTCTGATAATTCAATTCATGTAAGAAAATTCTAATGTTTAACTTCTACATGTCTTAAAGGTACTACCAGTGCTTAAAGAAATTTCTGGAGCCTAGATGATAAGGGATTCAGAGACTTTTTGGGGGAACATGTTTGACTTTTATTTTACTGGCTAAAAAACATGGAGAAATCACATATGCTTAAGACAGGTCTTTAACTCATCTCATCCTACTAACATATTTACTCTGTGGCATTAGGAAACCTGTTATTTAACTACAATCTTAAATTGCACTAACATGAAAATGGTTAACTAGATGAAGCCATCACTGTGTGCTTCCTAAAGCTTTTTAAAATGCACACAGTATGTTCAAATGGGTCTGTCATATTCAACCTATTCCACCACAGAGATTTCCCTTTTATAACGCAGAGCCAGAAAATAATACAGTTACCTTTCACAACGTATTTCATTTTGTCTTCTCACACTGGCAATTGACACATATATTGTAAAAGTAAATTAGACAGGTATGTGGCAAAGTTAGAAACTTCATTCAAGTACCATTTTCTACGATAAGTATGATTTAATACATAAAATCTTCTCAACAGTATGTTTTGTAGAGTGGCAAAAGGGAAAGAAATCCAAGGCTACCACCAAGCTCCGCCATTAACTTGCGTACTGACATTTTTTGAGTAAATACACTCTGACGTAACAGAATATGTGTTTCTTTGCTATAAAAATGTAATCTGCTACAGAAAATAAAGTTTAATTGGGGATCAGGAATTATACACTTTTTTAAAGAGAAAAATTATAAATAACAAACGCTGTATCCACTGCAACTCTGGATTTCTAGGTCTTCCAAGCTGTATATTTATAGGGATACTTGCCAAAAATATAAATTATTCATACATTGGTTTCTTATTCTATGCACTCAAAGCTGGTACAATCTGTTAAGGAAAAACTGCATAAAAATAATCAAGCCCCTCGTAAAAATGAGAGCTAAGCATGACTCATCTATCAATATTTAAATAAGGTTCTTACACAGGAACTAAGTTTCTTTTTGAAGATGCGAATATTTTACATTGTAAAATGAGATACATAGCTCTAACAGATACAGGGAGAGACCGGCATTTTCTAACCAGTTAAGGACCAAATCATAATAGTATTTTAATTTCTGCTGCACCTGAGCAAATGACACACCTGGTGCTTTGGTAAATTTTCAGTGTATCAGTTCTCCAAATGCGTAACACTCACCTGTGTAAATAAACTTTTCTAACATGTACCTAGGATTTAACTTGGTTTTCACGTTGAGTTTGGTTTAGATCATCTACATTCTTGTAAGAAAAAAATATATGGTACACAAACCTTTTGACAGCGTCCTTTAAAATGTAAACTGAACACAGTTCTTATGTCAAGGAATTGTGAATCTGCATTACTTCATAGTGATAAAGCAAGCAGAAAGCTTTTTTCTTTTTCTGCCAAATAGTTCTAGTTTAAATTAACTACACCTAATGTGATGGCATATGACCAAAGATAAGGTATTGCATTAGCATAATAGCCAAGAGTAATAAAATAGAAAAGAAAAAATGATCTACAGAGCAAGGAACATAGAAGCACTTAAAATTTTATAAGCAGTATTATTTTATAATCATGCAAGTAGAACATTATCCAAATTTCACATTCCTATTTCTTATATCTGAAAAGTCATGCCAGATACTTCTCACAAAGGAAATAAAAACTGATTTGGCACTTAAAATTCTGATAAAATCTTGCTCAACACTGAGATCCTAAGTGAATACAACTTTAAAAAATCCTTTCAATACTGAAAGCGTCAATAAGACTGATGAGAATCTAACCCTCCAAGCTCCAAGGTAACAACTAATGCTACAGATCTAGGAGAAAAGCATTATTAATATAACTCCTTCATGAACTTTTAAAAACTTACTGAAATGAATGAGAAAAGAGAATTCCTTCCCAGAAAAGGGATTTTAGAGTTATCAATTCATCACAATGTAAAAAAGTGAAATAAAATTTCACTGAAAGTCCAAAAATATTTTTCATTATTAAAAAAATACAAAGTTTATACTAATACGATTTTTGATTTTATACATTTGACTCTGAGGCACAATTTTTTTTCCATTATGGAGGAAAAAATCCATATTTTTATAAGTTCCACATTATTGCAATGAACTGTGTATATGCTGGTGAGGGGGAATTGGGACAAATAATTTTTTTTCTTTTTTTACTTTTTGGGACATATAATTTTAATGTACTGTGACTCTGCCATCTAGCTATTATTACTTTTTATACAAGATTTGGAAATATCTCTCTCATTCAGATATTTTAAATGTAATAGCATTTGATATGATATACTCGCACCTAATAATCTGGTCTCCACTAAGGACTTATTGTAATTAAAAAGTTAAACAAGTTAGCTGATGGACAATAAATCTGTTTTAAGGAGGGAAGAGAAAACAGGCCCTTGTAAATATTAGCTCTTAAGTGCCAGCTACTTTATATGCAATATCGTTTGAAAGATCTCCTACCATACTAAATAAAGAATTGGAGGCCATTATCCCTATATTATAATTAAAGGTGGGGGAGGGGAGAAGATCCTCACAAGAATTCACAAAGCTAGATATTATTACCCTTCCTCTCTATTTCTCAACAGATGAGAAAAGTGAGGCCAAAAGAAGCTAAGCAATTTGTTCAAGGCCATCATGCAGCTATGTAGTGGGGTGGATCCGGGTTAATTCTAACTGACTCCCTGAATCCATGCTTTTTGTTCTGAACCTTGCTGCTTCTTACAGCTTCCCAATAGTCCAAGAATGGCTTTGAAGCTTCAAAAAGCATAAAAGGGAGTCTAAACCCTTGGGGAAAAACAAACAAAACAGATCTATACATATACATGTATATATAATTCCCCTCCCCACACCCTCATGCCATGAGCTTTCTTTTTAAGCTCTTCTTAGTGCAGCTTTCAGTCCTTGGGCCCAAATGCATAGCACTAGGTCAACTCTGGGAAGGCTCAGAAAGGCCCTGGATTCAACAATGATAAGTAGCATGGACAGGTGCTTACGAAGTATGGTGACATACCCAGGGCCTGTGTGAGGACTACAAGCACTCAACAAGAAAAAGTTTGTCCAGTGCAAGTCAGAAGTCATATTCGTTCCTAAGGTAAGAAACAGGATTTATTAGAAGGGATAGCTTAATTTATTGTGAAATTCTTCAAAATGCAAAAAGTAACAATTAAATAATCATGAAAATTCAAACCCTGACTACCAGAAGCCACTAGATAAATGTTCAGAGTTGAAATGAAATTGACTCTATCTTTCCCACACTATGCCAAAAAAGCTCCCTGAATTTCCTTTAAAACATTATGTAGTAATAAAGCAAGGACAAAAAGTACTTGAGATAACTGCAAAAAAATTATTTGTATGAATAAGTCTAAGTATACTACTGATGATTTTACCTGGAGATGTTCAAAAGTGAGATAAATTATCAACACTGAAAAATATCAGTATTATCAAAAAGATGATAGCACCTGGAATTTTCAAAACAAGCCTAGAAATCCGTAGCTGAGAGGAAAGGAAAAAAGTGTCCTGGCAGCTGCGCTGACATCACCTCCTCAGATTTGCTTTATTAATCCAATCATATCAGCAGCATAAATGATTAAATCAAAAGACTAACGAGGACTAGTAAACTTCAGTCTAACACTCAATCCAATGGGACGGGGCCCCTTGGCATATCCCTAAGTGGAATCAAGTACTTAGAGTAGGCTAGAAAAGCCTTTGAAAAAAATCACTACACTTTCTATGTATACTCTCCCTGACAGAAGGAAAGCTAATGTAATCTTGTGAAATGTGAATTTTGGACAATAATTTCAAATTAAAAGAAAGTAAAGCAAGCTGTTTCAAATCATTGCATCTTAGAAAGAGGCTAGAAGGTAAAAACAGAAAAGAAAGACACCACAGTCCACTAAACAAGAGGCCAAAAAATATGCAATAAAGCTGTCAAGAGTCACGGATGGCCAATCACCTGCGATTTTCATCCAGCACATCCAAGATCTGCTGGTATGCCCTACGAGTAGAAGACTGGATAAGCGACAAAATGCCACGAGCAGAGGAAAGATTAGCTCCATCTTCAGGTAACATATGGGGAGGACAGACCCGAGCCTGTTGTGGCGATGGTGTCACACTGTTTACACAAGCACAGCAAATGAAGAGAAAAACACTCAAGTCAGATTTTTATAAAACTTCAGCTGAGCAGTCTTTATCTTAATTTTCTTAGTGTTCTTGCCCCTTTCCCACCCTTCACTCTCCCCACAAGAAAACAGTCAAAGAATAAATATTTTGAATTGTTTCCAAAAACTAGCTACAAGGCAGCACTTATAACTTTGTAACCCTAAACATCAAAATAAATAAACTGAATATGAAAGAACTGTAGAGAGGGAAGAGAACTACAGCAATGAATGTGTTCAACCCCTCCCATGGAGAAGCAGCATTCTTTACTTCGTGTTTATATTCCAATTCAATAAACCAACTTCTAAGAAACAACACTGCTGTCGACTTATGGATGATTAGAAGAGTAGGACAGGGAATTCTCACATACAGATGTCAAAGTTTAAACACATGAATCAAAAGTGTGATTCCATAAAAACACCATTTCAAACACTTCGTAAAGCCAATGAAGTTGAAGTTTATGACGAATAAATGACACTGATTTAAGGATGAATTAGTCTTAGAAAATGGTAACAAAGCATTTTGATTGTTTAATTATAGTAAGCATATGTTCTCTAGTTAAATGACTAAAGCATAAAAATATTCCCAAATCTGTGAATACAGCAAAAGAAGGCAAGGACACTTCTTAAATTATCAATGGCTGATAACCATTTCTGGGCTTCTTAGTGACAATAATCTTAATCGTTCTTTCATGTGTGGGCTGAGATTCACAATTTCATTTGACTCCCCTGCCAGTGCTTTCTGAAAGCTGAATGAACCAATTCTTATGGTTCTAACCTAAACTCTTAAGATCTGTGTCAGTATTTTCAGGGAGCTGTTTAACATTACAGTATGATTATCTATTGTGAGGTATTTAACTGACATACAGACTACGACAGTGGAATGAGGGCTCAACATTCTCAACGTCAAGGCAAAACTAACATCAGGCTAAATGTCATCCAATGTGTATTACATCTGAAAGAATAAAAACAAAGCAGATGGTAAACAATTGAAAAAAGAAAATCTCTTATTTTGACTGTGTAATCTTTTCTAACAGCATGTATTTGTTTGGAAACTACAAAATAAGTGGGATAATTTTTGACAGGATAGTTATAGTCATCTGATATTATTCCCAGAGTCCCAGAAAATTAAAAAACAAAATCTCCTCCACAGCTTTATGAATAACTTTGAATGGCTTGGTGATCCAAAGACAGAAGTACCATAATATGAAAACCATGTTTTTCAAAGATTACTTAAAAGATCTAAGCCAAATCTTAACGTATAAAGCAACTATCTATCAAGCCTGATTCACTATAGGATTTAGGTCAAATTTGGTGTCAAGATAAACTCAAATTTTCAGATGCAGTCTCATGACCAGTGACCTTAAATGTCCGTCCAGAGACTGGCAATCTCTGGGAATACATATAAGCCAACATTATCTACTGATCCATGGTAATTGGCAAAACCCATACCAGGCATTCCAGAAGGGTAAAAACAAATAAACAAACAAACAAACAAATAAAAAAAACATCCTATTTGTGAAACAAAACTATATGTTAGTCTTACACTCAGAATTCTCTTTAGGCAGCACTGGGAAAACCTGAAGCTCTTACTGCTTGTGAGAATTAAAAAATGGTCAGTTCTACATCAACATAAACAAACAATCCATCTTACACTCTTCTTGATAGAGCAGCCAGCGTTAACTGCCTAAATTCACTCAAGCAAGTTTTAAAGGACAAATCCGTACTTTGCCTTTGCATTTGGGGGTTTAAATTGAACACTTTGTGTATCATTCTGTACTGATAAATAAACCAGCTATATACTAACATATTAAAGGCTACAATAATCAATATTTAGAATTATAATCTTGGGGCAACAGTATGAATGAACTAAACTCAAATCCATGAAAAAAACTTAATGGATGTTGGCCCATTAAAAATTAAAATAAAAGAAGGGTTACTTCCTCTAAGAGAAATCCTTTTGCCAGAAACAAACAATAATGAATTGTTTATTTAAACTGTAAAAGTACAAGTATTTTCTGTCCATATATAGGAAATGAGGAGGTCATCTTATAAAATAGTCAAACATAAACTTACTTCAGACTAACTGCAAAGAGTTCCTAAGATGGAATGCAGAAGGTTGGATTCTAAAACAATCTATAAGATCTCTCTCAATTCTAAGATTTTACGATCACATGAAATTGGAATACAATGAGAAAAAACCTTACATGATCCTCAGTTATAATTTAACATGAAAAATACTTATGTAGAAAGATAAAAGATGAAATTAAGTTTTTATCAATACTAGTAAAGATATTTATTTCCTCAAAAACCAGCATCAAAAACATAACTTGAGGTTCTAGTTGTTTCTCAAAAGAAATTAACATTTCAAAGATTAGTAAAAAAATTAGCTTTTCATTCATGTGTATGGCAATCCTCCATAAACAAAAAACGAAATCGGGAGTATTTTTTTTTTTTAATTGATGACTACTTTTGCCAGTGTTGTATAGATTAAATGTCCTTGTTTGGTAACATTTAATTCCATCCACAGATGAAATAAATCACCATTAAGACTGCCAAAACTACATTAGTAATTAGAGGCAATAAATAATTTAGCAATTGTCTTTCCTTTTTAAAACTTTAAGCAGTCTTGTTGGTATTTTTTACAAATAAATGTAAAAACAAAAAAGAATAAGCTCCATTTTAGCAATCAGTTTGACAGGAGCTAAAATGTACTCCACAGCTATCAACTGTGGAGGGAAACAGCGCTTTCATCTCCGTCCACTCATGGACCCAACCAAGGTTTAATGACTTCCTGTTTCTGTAGTTTTGACAAGTGAACTATTGTGGAAAATAAAAAAGTAAACATACTGCAAAGGCACTGAGAAGATTAAGTAAATGGCATTATATATATATTAGTAATTTAATAAAAATGCAATTTGATAAACTGATTCCAGTGATATTATAAAATAGCAAAGTCTCAACATTACCTTTTTAAAAGAAAAGATTAGAAAATTTTGAAGAAAGCACTGATGTTTACCATGCTTCATTAGTAATAGCTCTACCTCATGCTTACATGAAATCTTATCACATAAGAGTTACATAAACAACACCAGGGCTGGGCACAGTGGCTCATGCCTATAATCCCAGCACTTTGGGAGGCCAAGGTGGGCAGAGCACTTGAGGTCAGGAGTTCAAGACCAGCCTGGCCAATATGATGAAACCCTGTCTCTACTAAAAATACAAAAGTTAGCCGGGCATGGTGGCATGTGCCTGCAGTCTCAACTACTTGGGAGACTGGGGCAGGAGAATCGCTTGAACCCGGGAGGTGGAGGTTGCAGTGAACTGAGATCACGCCATTGCACTCCAGCCTGGAAGTCACAGTGAGACTCCGTCTCAAAAGAAAAAAACAAAACAACCAAAAAAACACCAGCCAATTGTCAGAATTAAAATTTAAATAAAAATTTACTTGGCATAACTATATCATTATTAAAAGTAAGTTCAAAATCAAGTACCTCTTTGAGTTTTCATAGGAATAATGTTTCCCAACCTGTGAATTTAACCTCTTCGGTGAGGTATCACTCTTCCAAAAAATAGGGTAAAACAATAAAGAGAAAAAATTTTCACTAAAACACAAATATATTAATTTCTCTTGGAATTGTAAATACAGAGGAAATTTTAATATATTGCCACTATCTATGGCAACTGAATAGTTCCTGGAAGCATAATAATAGAACCAGAATAAGAGGAAAACTGTTGGCTTTCGGTGCAGTTTCTTCTGTTGCTTAAGAAGTGTATTAGCTATTGAATACCTGTATTATATACCAAAACGTTGTGCTCCATGAGTGAGTCATTCTCATACCTTATTTTGTCACATGGAAAGAGTGGGTTTAATAATAGCAAAAAAGTGCTTCCAAGCATCGTTTTCATCTATGGGATTATAAAATAAATGACAAACCACACTTATGCTCCATTCTCCTTCAGAAACAAGATAGAAGAAGAAAAGACAGTGCGCTGAAATTAAAAAAAAAAAAATTGGGATCACTGCACCAGGTGACGTTGAATCTGTTGAGAACTATTATACCAACCAAAGCAAAATAAACAAAAAAGGATGCTTGGTCCTTATGTGCATATTATATTTCAGGTTCCTTTCACCAACACATGCAAAATCATATACAACTTCCTTAGATGGTCTAGTTTTTTTTTTTCCTTAATAAAGCATATAATGACAGTTTGAGAAATCCTGAAACAGAGGTACTAAAAAGCCAAACAGGAAGATAATTAGGATAGCATACGTCAATTACCTGGTGAATAGATTAGTATTAACATAATCCTTCAAAATCAAAACAACTACTTGTCAAAAGCAGAGCAGATAAAATCTTACGTGTACTCCGGTGCAGAAATCGGTGCCTGGAACCTTGAAATTTTATTTCTTGGGGCAGAATCTGATCTGTGCCACCTTAAATAATAATTATGCTTCTTTTACATATTCAGCTTTTATAACACAAAGAAAAAGCTAGATCTGATTTTACTGTTTAGAATTCACTTTTGCGCTAATAGCTGACCACAATCTTATTGCCTCTTCGAAGTAATTAAGAAAACAAAGGCTAGTGCTCCTGCTCTCATACCCGTTCGCACTTTTATTCTTAAAGCCATGGAATAAAATAAAGTGGAGACAGGCAAAGTTTCATGCACTATGACGCACAACAATTTCATGTTACAAAGAAAACACTAAAGTAGGTAAAGATAGTAAGAGTTTAATAATTATTTTAATAGAGGTATTATATCAATTGTTTTTTCCTCACTACGTTAACAACACTGAATAATATGTTCATTATACAAAATTCTAAAGTTAGTAAGATGTAGATTCTTAAAGATAAATTGTAAATTATAAAATTAACAACAGTAGGAAAAGAAAGGGCAAAGTTACATTATTAACAAAATACATACATAACATGGTAATATACTTTACAACCATAATGAAAAATATGGTTAAGCAATGTTAAGTGTTTCACTGTGAAAATGTATAAAGATTCATTACTTTTACTATCAAAAATGAGATTTTCAGTTTTACTAAAAATTTAGAAAATGTCATTAAAGCAACTTAAAGAAAAAAAAAGAAAATCAAGTATTAGTTAACACTGTAAATCTTTTCTGTTATGAGGAACTTATGTTATTGAGTAAATACAAAAACATCTATATCATCTACTCTAAATTATACTTCACTGGACTGGTTTTCGTACATAATAAAGGGGTTTCCTTTCTCTTCAGCTGAATGCAGCTATAAATAATATATACTTCGGGAGAAAAAATAAGAGTGGTGCTATATTACAATAATCTTGTTTTTATTAATATAAAATGTCAAAGTAGCTAAGAACCTAAATAGTAAGCCACATCTTTATAAAGTGGAAAAGCTTACTAGAAATCTTTGTTGCCTTAGGATAATGTTACAAAAAGAAAATAATTAAAGCTCTTGAGTGTATGTTTAATCACTCTAAAGCAGATCAAGAAGCCACCTTAGCCATAAATGATACAGCCTCTTTACCGTTTGTGTAATACATTTGGAAATAGTCTAGAAAAAATGGATTTCATGGGCCTGCTGACATCACTGCTAACCAGATACCTTTAGGGAAAACACAATCAAAAAATTTTATATTACTAATGGTTGAATCTTGCATAAGCATTCCCTGAAGGAGATATATATTCATTTTAACCTGCTCTCTTCCTACACAGCCTTTCAGAATAATTTTAACTACCTTAGGAGATATTTCAATATTCTATAAGAAATCAGAGCAGTTTTAGTTCTCCTTTCACCTAACACAAGAGAATGGAATTTCAGTAAGGCAAGCAAATAATTTATATAGAAATTAGAACTTCCTTGTTCTTTCAAAGCAAGGATTTGAAAAAAAAAAAACCTCTCTCTACCTTTAATATCAATGACCCTAACCCCAACAAAACCCCTTCTGTACCCCTATACTCTTTAGAGAGGTCCAAACTAGAGATTAATATGCTGTAATATAAATCACTGTATTGTCCTCTAGTTATTTTGTAAATAAAATTAAATGCTTTGCTTCTATTTAGATTTGCTAGCTCTCAGAAGAGATGTATCATCTCCTGATTCTTTCAGTTTCCACAGACGCTTACATGATACTTGCCATCACATGTGGTTCATGAGTTTACGAAAATTGGCCAAAACATTAATGAGGAAGAAATATTAATTTATATTTAAAAAGCCACTACTGACAATGACTTTCTGATTAAAATTCTGACCAGTTTTCGAAGAACATTTTGTTTGTAAAAATCCATTAATTTTAATAAAAAAGTAAAAAAGCACTGACATTAATAATCTTGTGGTAGCTTTAAGATCAGAATTTGATAATACAACCAAATGAAAAAGAAAGGTTTAAACAAATAGTCTTTTAAACAACATACTTGTATGTTCTGAAAATGAAAAGGACCAAAAAATTCAATGAATCGTAAGGGAGAAAGCTAAAAAATACTTTTGGAAAGAAAAAAATTCTATTTGTCTTGCTACACTGTTTAACATAGCTCATTAGAAGCAAAGCTGGAAAGGACCAGTTCACCATCTTATGACAACTTAATTAGCAAATCATACTACACAGGAAAGGATAAGGTGACTGAAAAATTCTCAGGACCAACAAAATGGCCAGATTTTAAGATTACAAAAAGTATTACAAAAATATAAAATTGATGTAAAACAAATTTTAAAAACTACATGAAGTAATTATTTAGAAAAACATGGGTACAGAAAATATCCTGAGAAAACTTACAAACGAGATAAAATGCTAGTGCTTCTACTCACAGAGAATCATTTCTGACCAGCTGTCCATTTTGGCGAACAGCATTTTCACTCATAGACCGCTCTCTTTTTAGTCTGCCAACTGCTCGGATCTGTTAAGGCACAAAGAGAGGGAAGGAAATAGAAATATTCTTAGTAGGCTAGTAGCTGCTTAGCATCAAAAGAACCTCGATACAAGGCTACTCAAAAAACTTACAACGAACTAAGAAAAGGCAACCAAGAATTGCTGCCAGGCAGTGTATTACTGACAGACTTGCTTTAAAAACAAAACAAGACACACACACACACACACCCTACTTACTATAATGCAGATAAACAGGAATGTCTATTTACTTTAAGAACGCTACTCTAGTTTCTTTTTAAGTATCAATTTTACTTGGTACAATTATTATTTGTTTAACCTTATGGTATATACTTATTTATAAGAACAATTTATAAAAGTGTTTACAGGCACATATAGGAAATGGAGAGCATCTGTATTATAAATAAACCTTCCTGGCTTCTACGGTTGTAACAAATTAAGATTTGGTTGAATATTTGAAAACTAGACTAAAAATGTATCTAGCTTAATGGTTTTGGCATTCCAGAATGGCTGCAATCTCTAATCCCACATGCTCTTCTTATGAAATGTATCTTTGACCTTCTTCATTAAGAGACAGGATCTGTTTCTTTCCCCTGAAATTCAGAGGGCTGGTGACTCCTATAGAAATGATGCAAAGTGACTTCTGAGGCTAGGTCATAACAGTACAGCTTCTGCCTTTCTTTCCCCAGGTTGCTCATATTTGGAAGAATGGCACCATGACACAAGGAAGGCCAAGTAGCCACACAGTGAGGCCATGTGTAAGTGCACCTGCCAACAACCCTAATGGAGGTCCCAGACAACAGCTAGTACCAAGTGACATGTGAGTGAGCAAACCTTCAGATAACTGCAGATCCAGCTGTTGAGTTATCCTTTGCCTTTGAGACTTCCTAGCTTAGGCCCCAGACATTGAAGAACAGAAACAAGCTTTTCCCTTCACGGCAACTGCAAATACCTAACCCACAGAATGCTTGAGCAAAACATAGGCTTGTTTGTTTTAAGCCACTAAGTTTAAGATGATTTGTTACACAGAAATGGATAACTAGAACAGTGATAATCATTAACTTTTCTGCTTATTTGAAAATACCTTTTTTTTTTTTTTTGAGATAGGATCTTGCTCTGTCATCCAGGCTGGAGTGCAGTGGCATGCTCATGGCTCGTTGCAGCCTCAGCCTCCTGGGCTCAAGTGATCCTTCCATTTTAGCCTCTGAAGTAGCTGGGACTATAGGCACACACCACCGCACCTGGCTAATTTTTGTATTTTGTAGAGATGGGGGTTTTGCCATGTTCCCCAGGCTGGTCTCGAACTCCTGAGCTCAAGTGTTCTGCCCACCTTGGCCTCCCAAAGTGTTGGGATTACAGGTGTGAGCCACTGAGCCCAACAAAAATACTAAAAAAAACAAAACAAACAAAAAACCCCCCACTAAAATAGCCATGGCAACATTATGGTTTTTTTTTTTGTTTTTTTTTGAGACAGAGTCTTGTTCTGTCGCCCAGGCTGCAATGCAGTGGCACAATCTCGGCTTGACTCACTGCAAACTCTGCCTCCCGGGTTCAAGCAATTCTCCTGCCTCGGCATCCTGAGTAGCTGGGATTACAGGTGTGTGCCACCACACCTTGCTCATTTTTGTATTTTCAGTGGAGACGGTGTTTCACCATGTTGGCCAGGCTGGTCTCGAACTCCTAATCTCATGATTTGGCTGCCTCAGCCTCCCAAAGTGCTGGGATTACAGGCGTGAGCCACTGCGCCCGGCCGACATTATGGTTTTTAAAAAATTAAACTTTATAGTAAAAAAACAAATAGTGTGTGAATTAAGGACTTGAAAATTAAGATTTTCAAAATATCAATCAATATTTATTGATGTTTTTGGTTGGGCACGGTGGCTCACACCTGTAATCCCAGGTGGATGTTTTTCTTTTCTTTTTTTTTTTTTTGAGACAGAGTGTCACTCTGTTCCCCCAGGCTGGAGTGCAATGGTGCTATTTCAGCTCACTGCAACCTACACCTCCTGGGTTCAAGCAATTCTCATGCCTCACCCTCCCGAGTAGCTGGGATTACAGGTGCATGCCATCTCGCCCAGATAATTTTTGTTATTTTTAGTAGAGATAGGGTTTCACCATGTTGGCCAGGCTGGTCTTGAACTCCTAACCTCAAGTAATCCACCCACCTTGGCCTCCCAAAGTACTGGGATTACAGGTGTGAGCCACCATGCCCGGCCTGGATGTTTGTTTTGTTTCAATCTGAGATTTTTTTTTTTTTCCAGATAGGGTCTCATTGTGTTGCCCAGGATGGAGTACAGTGGCACAATCTTGGCTTATGCAATCTCTGCCTCCCGGGTTCAAGAGATTTTCATGCCTTAGCCTCCTGAGTAGCTGAGATTACAGGTACACACCATGACCAGCTAATTTTTGTATTTTTTGGTAGAGATGGGGTTTCACCATGTTGGCCAGGCTTGGTGATCTCTTGACCTCAAGAGATCCACCCACTTCGGCTTCCCAAAGTGCTGGGATTACAAATGTGAGCCACTGTGCCTGGCCTCAATGCAGAATTTTAAAATGTCTTTCAGAATCATCCTTCAGTGGTTATGCACTTAGTTTTATTCATCCCGGAGGCTGAGAAATAGTTTCCTAAGTTCAAGCAGCTTCCTGGAAGTTGGGTCACAGTGTCTAGTGCTACATAGTTATATAACATGTAGCACTAGACACTTTGCATGCTTGCATACAATTCTCCTTTAATATGCTTACACCCCAAGTTAAATTTGATTGTTCATAAATTCCTGGGCAAGTAAATGTCCTCTAGGTTTTTTGATGGCTGATTCTCTCAATCTGTTCAAAGCCCACCTCTTCTTCAGGAATCTACTCAGAGCCTTCGTGTTTTTCCTCTATACTCACCCCCATTTTCTGTGGGACTTTTATGCAGAAGGGGGAAAGGTACAAATTATCAATGTAGACTGAACAGTTGGGATAAATATCTTCCCTCCCCAACATGTGCATTGTCCAAAATTTAAAATCACGAATCATGGGGAGAACAGTTAAGCCAGTGACTGCGGGTTTTGGGAAGGACACATAGCCCAATTTGTCAGGAGTGACGAGACCATGCTTGTGCTAAGAGGGCCATAAAACTGTAGCTGTACAAAGAACGCAAGTGTCCATCTCTGAATTTTCCATGCATGAATGTGTAAACATATATACAATTCAGCTTTTCCTCTTCTCTCCAGACTTTTGCTCCATTCTGCTCATTGCAGTCCCAGCTCCTCTTTCCAGAAGTGATGAGGAAGGAAAAAGAGCTCAAGAAACCATCACCAAAGTGTGATCAGACCCATATTCATGAAGTTCTTGATTTTCTAAGCTTCCACAGGACCCTTTTAAATATTCACTGAGTCCCTGGGAGCCCTTCTGCATTTGTTTTAGGATATGTCATATAGCTATGGTTTTTTGCTTCACATCCTTAGCGTTGTCATATCAATTGAACTGGGCACCAATAACCATCTGCTACTTCTTTACGGTAGAATTACAGGTCTAGGGCCTTCTGCTAGACATTCATGGCTTTTGTGTCATCCTTCAGATTCTAAGGCTGCTGCTTTCTAAGTATAATCTGTGTTAAGGGTGGATCTAGCTAGATATTTCTTCTACTCCTCCAGCTCTGGCTGTACACTTTGGATATAACTGCTGTAGAATTTGGCATCCTGTGGAGGATGCCATTTGATGGCTTCTGTATAAAGCTGGCATGGCTTGGAGATAGTTCCATTTCTGAAACCACTCAATGCCTTTACTCTTCTCCTCCAAAATCAGGTCAGATTTTATATATGCCAACTGATTTTGCTCTTTCCAGATTAATTCCTAACTATTGACGATTCTTGTGTATATCTGGGGTTCAGTGCTCTTCCAAAGATTTATTATAGAAATGAATAGTATTCTCGTATTTCTCCTCTTTGAAGTAAGAGATGCCAACTTGGGCAAAAGCTTTTACTCTCTATCTTTAGACCAGTCTGTTTTTTCTTCCAACTTCAATGGCCTTCTCACAAAGCTCTTAGGGTTTATTGTAGCTGATTTTTTCAAAGCATATCACGGCTTGATTGATAGGATTTAACGGCAGAGTCCACATCTTTGACTTAGTCACACTGTTCAAGGTTGTGTCAAATCTTCTTACAGGCAGCATTTTCCAACTCTTTCTTTACAGTTCTTCTTTCTTGTTCTCTGGAAGATCCTTCCCCACTGGCTCCAGTTCGGATTCCTTTTTGAGAAGAGCTGGTAATGTCAGTGTTACAGCTTCTTTCTCCTCATTCACACTGCCTAGTCTACTGTAGGAACACTGAAAACTGTCATGACTTGGGCATTTTGTATTTCATGCCCAGATCACATGGTTTATTGAACAGTTGCTTTGTTAGTTCCCAGCAGACAGAATCACCAAGCAATGGTCTTATCTTAGAGCTGATTTCCAAATATTGGTGGAGATTAGGCATATTGAAAGTGTTTGTCAACTTCCTCTCTTCCAGCCAAGCCTCACATTTTTAAACTGTCTTTGAGCTAAGGGATTATTTATGTTATGTTTTAAGCCCTCCTCAAGGGCTCACCTGGATTCTTTAAGCCAGTTTAAGAACTCAAGTACAACTGCTTTCTACAAATTTATCCCTTGCATCAATCAGGCTTTCAGACAACAATTTTATAGGCTTCCTCATAAGCCTTCTCCTTTCTTGAGATAGGTCAGTGGTTTTCAGTAGGGGGTGATCTTGCCCTGTAGAGAACATTTGGCAATGTCTGGAGGTATTTTCTTTTTTATTTTAAAACACACATAACATACACAATTTTAACCATGTTGAAGTGTACAATTCAGCGGCATTTAGTACACTCACAACGTTGTGTAATCATTACCACTATCTAATTCCGGAATATTTTCATCAGCCCAAAAGGAAACCCCATACTGATTAAGCAGTCACTCTCAAGTCCCCTCTCCTCTAACCCCCTGACAACCACTGCTCTGTATCCTGTCTTCATTCATTTGGCCACTCTGGATATTTCATGTAAGTAGAAAAATGCAATATATGGCCTTTGTTGTCTGGCTTCTTAAACTTTACATGTTTTCAAGGTTCATCCATGTTGTGGCATGTATCAGTACCTTTTTTTTTTTTTTTTGAGAGACAGAGTCTGGCTCTGTTGCCCAGACCGGAGTACAGTGGCACAATCTCGGTTCACTGCTACCTCCACCCCGGGGTTCAAGTGATTCTCCTGCCTCCCCCTCCAGAGTAGCTGGGATTACAGGCGTCCACACCACCATGCCCAGCTAATTTTTGTATTTTCAGTAGAGACAGGGTCTCACCATGTTGGCCAGGCTGGTCTTGAACTCCTGACCTCAAGTGATCTGCCCACCTCAGCCTCCCAAAGTGCTGGGATTGCAGGCATGAGCCACCGCACCCAGCCAGTACCTCATTTTTTTATGGCTGAATAAGAGTTACTATATGGCTAGATGATGTTTTGCTTATCCATTCATCAGCTGATGGATATTTTACTTGCTTCCACCTTTTTGCTATTACAGACATTTTTGGATATCATGACTTGGAAGACGGTAATGGCATCTTGTAGATAGAGATCACAAATGTTGCAAACATTCTACAGTGCAAAAAGGTGGCTCTCACCACAACAAGGAATTTTCCAGTCCAAAATGCCAACAGTGCTGAGGTAGAGCACTATTGCTCTACCTCATTCTAGCATCCACTGCAGAATGATACAGAGCAAATGTTCTGGGGATCTCACTTTATCGATTCTGAGTTAACACCTGAATGAATCATCAATGTTATCAGTACTCAGGCCCTTACTGCTTCTCTATTTCAGTCAATTTCTAGAAGCTACTAGAACCCTGGCTCCCTTACCCCTTCCTCCCTTGCTCACTGCAGTTGAGTGCTTCTTGAAGGCTACTGGACCCTTCTATAAGCTTGTATAAACTTGAAGTCCAAACCATCATCTTTGCTTTCAATAAGCAGCTGGTATTAATCTCAGAAACTCGTCTTTCATTTCAGGATCTGGCTCCTGCCACAGGATTTTAAGTCTCTCCTAACAATAACATTTATATATATTGAGCTTTTAACACGAATTAGAACATGCATGATTACATTTAATTCTCATAACAATCTCATGCACTTGGCATTATTCTTATCTTTATTTCAGAGATACGCCCTAGAACTGTTAAATAACTTGCCCAAAGTTATGTGGTTAGTAAATGGCAAAGTAGGTCTTCAAAATTAGTTCTAATTCTCACACAAACTTTTTTACCCCAGTGTTATACACTCTGAACATCTATCACATTTGACTAAATATCACAATTAATGCAGGAATGAACCCCGTAGAGTCTTAAAGCCTGGGTCTACTGAGGGAAATCCCGGCAAACTTTCTTCACTCACTCTTAAAATAATCAATCAGGGAATTGCTTGGGTTGCTTTCAATTAGGAGAAGCAGAAAGACCAACAGAAAAACCCGAAGAATACAATAAGGAGCATTTCTTTCCTGGCAAAATCGTCACTGTAAGACAATTATTTTCACAGGTATAATTCCCAAGGAACTTTGGGGAGTTAGAAAGCTGGGCCTTAAACTGGGAGCACACTGGATACTTTTGTTTTATGTAACCATCTTGGTAACTTTCATTATTTTCTGCTATTAAAGAATTTTGTATCTTCTGCATGCGTTGATGTCTTTCCCTCACTCATATCATTGTCCTGCTGAAACCAGACAGACAGCAAACTTTTTGAATGCAGGAACTATGTCTCATTAATTCCTATACTGCATATAGTATCTCAGAGATAAAAGTTAAAAAATGTTTGTTAAATAATACAATTCTGCAAGTATGTTAGTGCCTTTCTGTCATGTAAAGGCTCAGATTTAGTGCTTTTCACCAAATACCTAGAATATCCAAACTAACTGTGAGCATATTACCTCAATTATGTCAGCAGAAACTTACAATCTAAGAACCTAATCCTAGAAAATTGCATTGCCCTAGACAGTATGGGTGCTTTACCCTCTTTGGAAAGTATTACATGCAAAATGAAACCAGACACAAGCAGTACCATTATTAATAAAAACATATGTTTGCACATTGTCTCATACTAGCTTCATGACAACATGTTAGAAGTTCAAAAGCTATATGAAAAAGATGTAACCCCAGCAATCATCACGGCAAAGCAGCTTCAAAGGTTAGCTGTAAGTCAATGACAAAGGCAGGATTCGAACTCTGTTACTAACACCTTGTTAGTCTACACTGCTACATTTAGGTCAACTGGCACATTAACGTGATGCAGTAGAGTAGCTCAGTAGAAACTTTTAATCAAGTAGCGAGAATGGGTAGTGTCAAGCGAAAAAGGGTTTTCTTTGCCCTGTTTGCTAGACTGATTTTATAACAAAGTGATACATTTACTTCTTATTGCTAAACTTCCCAACATTTTCTTATTATTTAACAAGTAACACCTACCCATAAAGGCTCTTTCTTCAAACCACAGGAACTTAATAATACTTACCACAAAACTTACATTTTTCCTAAAACATAATATTCAAATTTTAAAAATAGCATAATAACTTATTTGGCACATTTGTAAATTAGAATTATTAGTAATGTTCCATATGGAAAGCTTTCATGACATATTGCTAAAGATATGATAAAGCCTCTTTGCTCTTCTCTTTTACCTTTGTCTACATTATTTCAAATTCCGGTGATACTAAAGTTCTACTTACTTCTTCATTTTGAGGGGTTGTAGGAGGTCTTTCTAAATCCAGAAAATCTAGTGGTCTTTCACTCAGCGTAAGTACACGAGGTGGTGTTTTCAGTGCCAGGGGTTTAAAGGGAGTTGACTGAATAAGGTCAAGATCTGCTGGTCTTGAAAATGAAACATCTTCATTATTTCCTAGGAGTTTTCAAGAAAAGAGACAAAGAAGAGAAAAGCGGGAGGTTTTTTAAAAAGACAGTGATTTTTGTTAAAATGTATTTACCTTCTTCTGCTTTTGAATTATACCACCCAATAAGCATTAGTTTCTTTCAAAATATGCTTCCAGGCCGGGCGCGGTGGCTCACGCCTGTAATCCCAGCACTTTGGGAGGCCGAGGCGGGCGGATCACGAGGTCAAGAGATCGAGACCATCCCGGCTAAAACGGTGAAACCCCGTCTCTACTAAAAATACAAAAAAATTAGCCGGGCGTAGTGGCGGGCGCCTGTAGTCCCAGCTACTTGGGAGGCTGAGGCAGGAGAATGGCGTGAACCCGGGAGGCGGAGCTTGCAGTGAGCCGAGATCCCGCCACTGCACTCCAGCCTGGGCGACAGAGCGAGACTCCGTCTCAAAAAAAAAAAAAAAAAAAAAAAAAAAAAATGCTTCCAGCGTATTGACATTTCACTAATATTTATCACTGTCATACAGAAATAAGAAATTATGCAATGTACAATATATAACCAAAAAACTGATATCTAGAATATTTAAAACTCTTACAACAGCCAATTTTTTAAACTGACACAACATTTGAATAGATACTTCACAACAAATATATATAAATGGACAAAAAGCACATGAGCAGATGTTCAAAATTATTAATAATCAGGGAAATAGAATTAACATCGCAAGATGGCACTACACGCCCACTCAAACAGCTAAAATTAAAAAGACTGACAATACAAAATGTTGGCAAGGATGTGGAGCAACTGTAACTTATTCATCACTGATGGAATGCAACATAGTACAAGAATTTGGAAAACAGTTTAGCAGTTTTTCAAAGTTGAAAATAACTTGTATATAATCCAGCAATTTCACTCCTAAAGATATGAAACCATATGTCCTCACAAAGACTTGAACCTGAATATTCACAGTGGCTTTAATCCTAACAGCTTCAAACAAAAAGCAATCAACGAATGAAGATGAAGGAAAAACAAATTATGGTGTATCCAAACTGAAATATTACCCAGCAATAAAACTGAATGAACAACTGATATATGCAACAACAGAAGAATCTCAAAAACATTACACTGAACAAAAGAAGACAGATAAGAGTATATACTCTATGATTCCATTTACATGAAACTCTAGGAAAGACAAATCTATTCTCTGGCTATAGAAAGGAGATCATGGTTGCCTAGAGTTGAGGGGTAGGGACTGAGTGAGAAAGAGGCACAAAGGAACCTTGCAGAGTAACAAAAATGGTCTCTATTTGGACTGTGGTGGTGGTTATATGGGTGTTCACTTTTGTCAAAACTCATCAAGTACACACTTAAAAATGTATACATTTTATGTGTGTAAAACCTCAATAATTAGTTGAATTACTAAAAAATACTGTTTGCAATTCAGACTATAATAATGAATAGAAATTTCAAAAGTATAAAGTTGCATTTTCCAACTCCTTTTCTAAATAACATTTAGAAAAACTCAAAAGTTTTCATAGAAACATATAAAACAAAGATTTAACAGGCAACCTTCTAAGTAAAGGTGAAATACCTGCTACAACAATCCTCTCCGGAACTTGCATTATCACACTAGCATTTGGAACTCCTTCTTGGAATCCTTGTTCCAGGTCAGCGTTTGGCGGTGCTACTTTTAACTTTTCTGGGACCCTCATTCGCTGACTAATGCCTTCAGTATATTCCATTTCGTACTGAATTCGACTAATTTCTGCCATCTCAGCAGCAGTGGGAGAAGGAAATGCTGCCCTGCTCACCCTGTGGGAGAAAAATTTAAAGACAGGGCTGACTGTTAAAATGTCAGTCTCCTCTACGCAGTGAAGTTAGAAGACAATACCTTATAGAAAGAGCGAAAGGAAACTTCTCATTTGCAAGTACTGAACACATACAAAGCAAAAATAAAAGATGAAAGAAAATGTCTTCCTCAACAAAATGCCTTCTTAATTATCAGCTGAAATTGTACCTTGAGGATATTGCTTAGGAGCAAATTTTTTAAATTATTATAGAATTACAACACAAATGTGTACACACACATACACACATACTCTCTGCGTAAACATGCATGCTGCTTGTAACTAAAAAAATGCCTGCAATAAAATTTAAACTTAAAATTTCCTCATCAATTTGAGGGAAAGCTGCTTGGACTTTAAAAATATAAAATTAAAAATTACTGTCATGCATGAAAAAATAAAACCTTTAAATGACAAATGCATCTGTTATTCAAAACCTTTAAATGACAGATGCATAACATTAACTCTGAATTTACTAAAAAAGAAGATGCAACTCCCTGAAAATCACATCATACAAACTAAAACTTCTCCTAATGACTGAGATGCAATGAATACCAAATTTAGAATTTGTAATAATAAATCCTCATGTTTGTATTCATTTTTGGAGGGACTGAAAGTTTTACACTATTAATCTGTATTTAATATCATATTTACATGTGTTTTTTTTTTTAATGCAGTAGAAAGAATGTTGCCGCCAATACAAAAGCTGATAAAAATGTAAAAGAGCATGGTTAGCCTACGGCAGTAAGCTTTAAAGCCATTGTCTCTCAAACCTATAATACCAGCTCAACTGAATAAAATTTCACTGACCTTCCTAGTGATGTGTCACTGCTTGTTCCTTTACTCATTTAAATACAGTAAATACAGGTCTATAATAGCTATTAAAATACTGCTACCCTGCAGTTCAGTTTACTTTACACAACAATTCCCCTACACATTTGAACTTTTTTTGGAGGTGTACATAACAACACGGACACTGCTTTTCCAGCTGTAAAAAAGAAAGAATAAAAATCAGTATTTCAACAATTCATTTCATAAGAAAACTATGAATAAAAGTAAATATCTACGTAAAATGACTTTTGGATTTGAACATGGCTTAGGGCTTGATTTGAGAAACCAATTGTTAAATCTATCCTAAGAAGAGTTTTTCTATACCTCAAAAATCATAAAGACAGTTGTAAGCACAGTCACTGTCTTATGATTTTGCAAACAGGATACAGAGAAGCTGTATCAAATGTATATACAAATGTGAAGTCAGATTCGAAGAAAACAATACTGCCATAAAACTCCTCTAATCATTATACTCCAAAGGGGAAAAATCCTTTTTTAAGACTAAGCCCAAATGAATAAATCATGAAGGGAATACAAAGGGTAAAAAGTAAATGTAACTGAGGCAGCCTACATATTTGACGTCTAATGGTTTCTTTAAATAAAAATAAACTTCAAAATTTAGGGTAAACTTCAAATGGAAATTACACTAAATTTTCAGCAAAGACACTATATATAAATTAAAGACATAAAAAGTTAAAGACAGTATACATGACTTTACCATGGCTAAGGTATTTCCTAAACTCCATGCTGGAGATATAGCCCCACCCTAAGCCCCCGCCTCACTGAGATGCCTAGGAGAGCTCTTAGAGGTTGCTCAGGACGCTCAGCCCCAGCAACTGGTTTGACTATGACTGCTAACTCACATCTTTTATTCTTTATCAAAAAATCTCTGGGGACATAGATCTTTAAGGATTTGGCATGCAGACGATTTAAAGACTAAGAAAGTAAGCCAAAAGGGACCATTTTTACTCACAAATGTGTAACAACTACTGCTTGCTATTTGGCACTATCTGCTTCTGTGCTTCATATTAAATCCTTTAACTTGCTTCAATGTGCATGTGCTGGATTGAGAGCCACTTTTGTCCCTGGGGAAGAAAAACAGGGGCTAATTGAGAAACTAGATGAAACCACTATTAGGGATTCATTACTGGAAATTCTCCAAATAGTAACAGTCACAAAGATGCACAACCTGACATCAAGAGACCAGTAAGAAAATAAAGAAAGAAAAAAATTAAGCTTACCACCAATCTTAGTTCCACAGATGGGGTCCTACAACTATTCATTAGTTAAGGCAATATAAAAGACTAGCTCTGTCATTGTTTCTGATTTGTATTTAGAAAAATGTGGCAGATGAAAAATACGTAAGTTTAAATGAATCTAATACTTACGTATATATATGCATATAGGTACACATATATGTTAAAGAAGAACAAATGAATTGGTTTTTTTTTTTTTTTTTTTTTTTTTGTCACCCGGGCTAGATTGCAATGGAGCTTCCTGAATAGCTGGGACTACAGGCATATGCCACCACACCCAGCTAATTTTTGTATTTTTTGTTGAGACAGGGTCTTATTATGTTGTTCAGGCTGATCTCAAACTCCTAGGCTCAAGAAATCCTCTGGCCTTCGTCTCCTAAAGTGCTGGGACTACAGGTGTGAGCCACCGTGCCCGGCCTGTTTAAATTTTCATTCACTTACGATGTTAAAATTTTGAACTAGTAATGCATGTACTCGGTACAAAGTACGCAAGCTATACAGAGAAAAGGAAGTGTCCCACTTTCAATCCTATCCTTAACCACCCAGGTTCCCACAGGCAACCTTTATAATCAATTTTTGTGCATCATTCCAGATGAGATGCTCTTCTAATACTTGCGTGTATCTCAAGCATAGCAAAAGCTCATATTCAGAACTAACACTGAAAAAAGCTACCTCAAAAAGATTATAGCCTTTGGCCATTATAAATTGAAGTTTTATAATAATAAACGAGAACCAAGTGGCTAGAACCTCAGTATCTCCTTGAAATGTGCTTTCTCTGCATTCCATTCATTGCATTTCAGTCTTACGAACTTTCTAGTAGTACATCTCATAGGTCTCACTACTATATTCCATTCTATAGCAACATCTTTTCTTACGAGAATATCTGAGTTTGTAAAAAACTAGTGACTTAGAAAATAAAGGTGGATGCTGAAATGCCAACTTCTGGAAAAAGCCAAGTTCTCCTGTAGCTGAACTACTTACATTTAAAAAGTAACTGGATTTCTACTAAGATTTAACACTGTATTATCCCAATTATTGGGTTTTCTGCTTAAAACCAATCAAAATCTGATTTTTTTTCTCCCTCGTTAGACTGTGGCATTTCTGATAATATCTTTTGGCAATAAATAAACGTCTCATTTGGTGTTGATATGTTAATTCCAGAAGTTTTGTACCTTAGAATCCAGTAGGCAACCAGTACGTGATTCTGTTACATAACAAACGAGGCAAAATCTCTCTTAGAATCACAGATGATTTCATATTTCTACTTTCTAAGCCCAGTGGTTCCCAAACACCAGTAACTAACTTGCCAACTTCATGGGTTTTTTTTTTCCCATATTCACAGAGTACATTAACTTTTTGCTACAGTTAATTTTTTTAACTCGACTTTTTAAAATCAAAAAAGTATTGTAAAAGAAAATTTTGTATCACTACCTTAAACCATGGCTGTACATATATAAATACAGATTGCAAAAACATCCTATTACAAAAAAATCCTCATCCACGTACCGCCTAGAGTCAAGTCACATGCCACTAGCGGAAAGTGTACCAATTTTGGGACACAATGATTCCAGCCCAACTTTCTCATTTTCTGTATTAGAACACTGGAACCCAGAAAGCCTCGGAAGTCACCGAAACAACTTGAGTCAAACTGACTGTGGTTGCAAATGTTTATGTACTTTTCAAAAACAAACATACAAACAAACAAAAACAAACCAAAAAAAACCCTCCAGTTGTTTATTACCTACTGCGTGGACCTAGTTCACACAGATGGGCCACTCTGCACACCCTGTTTCAGTTCTTTTTCAAAGAAACTATATTTAAAAAGTCACTGCAAACTTTTAAAACTATATATTAATGAACTTTAAAATAAGGTTATGAACCCACAGAAAAGTTTCAATACCAGAAGAGAGGAGAGCGAAGACTAAACTTTGCAATTCTGAAAGGAGGCAGCTCTATCAGACAGGAAGGGAGAGAACACAATTTCCTTTTGGAAAAAATGGCAAAACCAATATACAAGCCTTTGAAACCAAAAGATAGAAGGTCCCCCAAGCAATTTAATTGCATGGGAAAAGACTACTAAGTATAACTAAATCGTCCTAATTTTCCTAAGGGTTTTTCTTTTGGGCTCTCATTAGCCAACGGAATTGAGGCAGAAAAAATGTTTTTCACGCAGGGAGACAAAACATTTGTGATCATCTTAAGTCTCTCGGTGGATGAGAGGCCTGAATACAAATGGTTCTATATTTGGGCAGAAGGGCCAGAAACCTTTTTTTTTTTTTTCCCCTTTAATGTTCTCCAATGAAAACATGTCACTTTTGAAAGGGTGCTCTTCCCTCGAGAATGCCCTTTGCTTCTAACTTTGTGGGAGGTAGACAGGGGTGTTCTTTTACGATAGTAATAGTAGCACACGTCCTGCAGAGGAAGGTCAGAAGCTCGGCGGAACAGGAACCGCAGCTTTCCTCCGGCTTCCCAGCTCCTGGAAGGAAACCCGAGAGCAACTGCCTGCAGCCACATCTGCGAGCAGGGATGCTCACAGACGGACAGGGTGGCCCGCAGCCACCCGCGATGCCACAACCTGGGCTTCCAACAAGGCCCTTCTTTTCCAAAATGTACTTGCCACAAAACAACACAAAAACCTCCTTTTAAACAAGGCAGGTTTAAGGTCAGCCTGTAAGGTGTCAGGGCCTTGGCAGGGAAGGATGAGTGAAGACCTGCAAAGCCCGGCGTTCACGCTCACGGGACTCCCGCTGCTTCCCAAACCCCTATTTTCCAGTCGGAAAAGTCCGGGTTAATACACAAAAGGAGACGCCGAACCACACAAGGTGAAGAGGTTCGCCCAAAAACACCTGCAGAAGACGCTCCTCTCCCTCGCTCTCCTCGGGGACTCAAGGTCCCGGGGAGGAGGAAAGACCAGGGTTGAAGGCAAGAGGCCCGGGGACGGGACTCGGGTCAGGGAGACACTACCGGGGGGGCCGGGGCCACCGCGGGTCCCTGTTGGCCGGAGGGTCTCGGCGGCGGCGATAGGCCTGGCAGCCAGCTCGGGCGGCAGGTCGCGGGTCGGGAAGACGTCAACACTCACCCCTGGGCCCACAGGAGGGTCCCGGCGAGGACCCCCGCCCTCTGGCTCCCGGGGCGCTCGAGTGGGCGCTCTCAGAGGTGGTTGGCTGAGAGCACGGAGGCGCCCAGGGACAGCACCGGCGGAGCGGCCCGCAGAGGGCCAGGGCAGAAGCGCGAAAGGCGCGGGCTGGCCCCTTCTGGGAGCCGTAGCGGAAGAGTGTTCGTGGTCATGTGACGCGGAAAAGGGCGGACGCGTGGCCCACGCACTGGAACGGCTCCACGGTAAGCGATGCGCAGACATCTTTGTTGTGGGCGAAACGAGGTGACCGCAGGTGACTCCTCTTGCGGTTAAGTTTAATTCACACTTCGGCTTTATTAGATTTTGTAATCTTTAAGAACTTGGTGTTTGCAAGGTAAACCTTTGGTAGCCAATTAAAACAACTTTTTCAGGACCATCTGGCATGAAAATTTCTATGCTGTGAGGCTTAGGAATTCTCATATGTAAATCAGCTCCGCCAGTGATTCCATGAGTTCCAATTTGATACTTCTTAAGCCCTCGGTTGATCAGACCTTGTCTTCCATGAGAATTCCGGGAGAGGGGAAGTTAAGTTTCACAGTAGTTGGCGGCATCGTTTAGCTTTGGGAGAGCACTCTCTGCTTCTGAACACCCAACCACAGACTCTTCCCCCCAGGAAGCCCTTGCTTAGAGCGGGGGAAAAATGGTACAGTGCTTGTCAGTATGGGAATGTACTGAGGCCAAATAATGTGATATTTTATATGCCTTGGTTTTCACAAACACCTAAAGGTGTACACATGACTTATGTACTCCCCTACGATCTAATTGATATTCTAGAGATGTTACCATTCTTCAAAATGATTTGGGAAGCCCTCTGAATTGCGTTCTTGGGCTTCTTAACACTGGTGTAGGGAAAGTGAAAATATTTCCTCTCCCCTCTTGGGGTCTTGGCTGGGCCTAAGAATTAAACTGATGAGGAAAAGAGTCAAACTCTAAAATATTTGAAGAGATTTATTCTGAGCCAAATGTGAGTGACCATGGCCCGTGACAGAGCCCTCAGGAGGTCCTGAGAACATGTGTCCAAGGTGGTTGGGGCGCAGCTTGGTTTTATGTATTTTAGGGAGGCATGAGACATCAATCAAATAAATTTAAGAACTACATTGGTTTGGTTCAGAAAGGTGGGACAACTCAAAGCAGGGGCTTCCAAGGCTGTAGGTAAATTTAAACATTTTCTGGTTGACAGTTGAAGACCTGGGACCCATAGAAAGGAAATGTTGAGGTTAAAATAAAAGATTGTGGAGACCAAGGTTCTTTTGAAGTCTTATAGTGGCTGCCCTTAGAGACAATGGATGACAAATGTTTCCTATTCAGATCTTTAAAAGGTGCTAGATTCTTACGTAATCTCTTTAGGATTGGGAGGACCTGGAAGAAAATGATCTAGCTATGTTAATAGAAATTCTATGTAGATGCAGATTTTCCCCCAACAAAGGACAGCTTTGCAGAGCCGTTTCAAGATATGTCAAAAACTAAAAAAAATGTTTTGCGGTAAAATATTTTGATTTTGTTTCTTGTCTCGTTATGCCAGTGTCAGATTGGAAAGTAAGTCACAATATATAGGGTTAAATAAAACCCATCTGATGAGAATTTATGGATTGTAGGGCATGAATCCCTAGGCCCCTTAGATAGGAATTTGAGCAAGATTAAAAAAAAAATCAGAGCTTAGTCTCCACTGACGTAAAATAGAGACATAAAACATAACAGGAGGAAAGCATACAAATTTTATTTAGTAATTTTTACATTTACATTGGAGCCTTCCCTAGAAAAATGGAGACCCAAATTAACAGTTGGACCCTAAGTGCTTTTGAGTCTCCATTTTTCTAGGGAAGGCTAAAAAGAGTAGTAAATTGTGAAAATGTGAGAAAACAAACAGATTTGGGTTAGTGCAGTTAATGCAGAAGTGACTAAGAAGATAAAGGTTGTTGTAACAAAGTGGAAATGAAAATCGGTAAGTTTGTGCAGATACAGCTCAGCTTTGACTCCATGTCTCTGGTGTTGAGAACATCTCCCTTCCTCCTTATACAGGGAGGGCACCTTTCATACGGAAGTTTTATCTCCTGCTTTCAGGAAGGAAAAAGGAAAGCCACAGTGCTCTTTTTGCATTTTTTTTTTAAGTGCCTTTGACTCGAAAATAATCTTTATGCCAAAGTGCCATATTTTGGGTTGGCATATCCTACTATTGACAGAGCAGAAGCACTGCCATTTTAAAGTGCCCCTTGATCAAAAACCACCTAAATCCAACCCAGAGGGCATCAGCCTAATGGCTGTCAGCATGACCACAAACCACAAATGACACCTCCGACCAGAAACATTCTAACTCTAAGATAAACCCCTCTCCCACCAGACACATGCCAGCCCCAAGATAACCTTCCCTCTGACCGAGCGATGTCAGCCCCAAGATAACCTTCCCTCTGACCGGAGCGATGTCAGCCCCAAGATAACCCCTCCCCTCCAACCAGAGACATTCCAACCCTGTAATAAACTTCTCCTCCAAGCAGAAATATTCCAAGCCTGTGATAAGCTCTCTCACCCTAAACCCTTAAATACTCTTAGTCTGTAAGAGAGAGTGCTCCTGACCAAAATTGGCCAGAAGCCCCTCTCAGGTTTATTCTCTAAAATAAACCTATCCTTGATTGTTGAGCCACTTTTTGTGTTTCTCTCTTCTTTCTTTAACTCTTAACAACTACCCTACAGAGACAAATAAGCCTTTAAGAATAGATTGATTTTTAGGAATAATAAGTCATTCCAAGTCAATCTTTTGTGGGAAGATAGAGATCAAGTTGGGAGATCATGCATTAGGTTGGTTCTGAGGACTAAGCTCTGATTTTTTTATCTTGCTCAAATTCCTATCTAAGGGGTTTGGGGAGTCATGTTCTCCAAACCATAAATGCACATCAGATGGGTTTTATTTAACCGTGTATATCATGACTTACTTTCCAATCTGACTCTGGCATAATAAGGAAGAAAATAAAAATATTTTACCCAAAAATATCTTTCCTTGCCCTACCTTGAAATTGTCCTGCAAAGTCTCTTATGGGAAAAATCCACATTCTGTAGAGAATCTGCTTTCCCCTTTGTTTTCCTTCCTTCTGTGTCCGGAATTGGTGGGTTCTTGGTCTCGCCGACTTCAAGAATGAAGCTGCGAATACTTGCGGTGAGTCTTACAGTTCTTAAAGATGGTGTGTCATGTGTCCGGAGTTTGTTTCTTCAGATGTTCAGATGTGTCCGGAGTTTCTTCCTTCTGGTGGGCTCATGGTCTTGCTGGCTTCAGGAGTGGAGCTGCAGACCTTTGCGGTGACTGTTACAGCTCTTAAAGGCAGCACATCTGGAGTTGTTCATTCCTCCTGTCCAGAGTTATTTGTCCCTCCTGGTGGGTTTGTGGTCTTGCTGGCTTCAGGAGTGAAGCTGCAGACCTTCGCGGTGAGTGTTACAGCTCATAAAGGCAGCGTGGACCCAAAGAGTGAGCAGCAGCAAGATTTATTGCAAAGAGCAAAAGAACAAAGCTTCTACAACATGAAAGGGGACCCCAGCAGGTTGCTGCTGCTGGCCCAGTCAGCCTGCTTTTATTCCTTTATCTGGCCCCCACCCACATCCTGCTGATTGGTCCATTTTACAGAGAGCTGATTGGTCCATTTTACAGAAAGCTGATTGGTCCATTTTGACAGGGTGCTGATTGGTGCATTTACAATCCCTGAGCTAGACACAGAGTGCTGATTGGTGCATTTACAATCCTCCAGCTAGACATAAAAGTTCTCCAAGTCCCCACCAGATTACTAGACACAGAGCACTGATTGTTGCGTTTACAAACATTTAGCTAGACAGAGAGTGCTGATTGATGCATTTACAATCCTCTAGCTAGACATAAAAGTTCTCCAAGTCCCCACTAGATTAGCTAGACACAGAGCACTGATTGGTATGTTTACAAACCTTTAGCTAGAGACAGAGTGCTGATTGATGCATCTACAATCGTCTAGCTAGACATAAAAGTTCTCCAAGTCCCCACTGGATTAGCTAGACACAGAGCACTGATTGGTGCGTTTACAAACCTTTAGCTACACACAGAGCACTGATTGGTGTGTTTACAAACCTTGAGCTAGACACAGAGTGCTGATTGGTGCATTTACAATCCTCTAGCTAGACGTAAAAGTTCTCCAAGTCCCCACCAGATTAGCTAGATACAGAGTGCTGATTGGTGCATCCACAAACCCCGACCTAGACACAGAGTGCTGATTGGTGCATATACAATCTTCCAGCTAGACATAAAAGTTCTCCAAGACCCCACCTGACTCTAGAGTCCAGTTGGCTTTGCCTAGTGGATCCTGTGCTGGGGCTGTGGGCAGAGCTGCCCTCCAGTCCCGTGCTGCGCACATGCACACCTCAGCTCTTGTGCGGTCGATGGGACCAGGCGCCGTGGAGCAGGGGGCGGTGCCCATCAGGGAGGCTCAGGCTGTGAGGGAGCCCATGGTGGGGGTGGCTCGGGCATGGTGAGCTGCAGGTCCTGAGCCCTGCCCCGTGGGGAGGTGGCTGAGGCCCGGTGAGAATCCAAGCGTGGCGCAGGTGGGCTGGTAGTGCTGGGGGACCCGGCGCACCCTCTGCAGCTGCTGGCCTGAGTGCTAAGCCCCTCACTGCCTGGGGCCAGCGGTGCTGGCCGGCCACTTTGAGCGTGGGGCCTGCCAAGCCCGCACCCACACGGAACGCGTGCTGGCCTGCGAGCACTGCACACAGCCCTGGTTCCTGCCTGCGCCTCTCCCCCCACACCTCCCTGCAAGCTGAGAGAGCCGGCTCTGGCCTCGACCAGCCCAAAGAGGGGCTCCCACAGTGCAGCGGCAGGCTGAAGGGCTCTTCAAGCATGGCCTGAGCGGACGCCGAGGCCGAGGAGGAGCTGAGAGTGAGCGAGGGCTGCTAACACGTTGTCACCTCTCACTTCCTTTCCAGATCTAGGAGATAATCAGCTAAGAGCCAGGCACCCATTTAGTTCCGATAAGAAACAAAATTTTACAACCTACTGTCTCTCTAAAGTCCTGCTGAGAGCTTCCTCTGCACAATAAAACTGGGTCTCCACAGTCCTTTATCTTAACCTGAACAGTTCCTTTCTGTGGGTCCCAGGTCTTCAGATAAACTCAACCAATTGTCAACCAGAAAATGTTTAAATTTACCTATAGCCCAGAAGCCCCTACTTTGAATTGTCCCGCCTTTCTGAACCAAACCAGTATATTTCTTAAATGTATTTGATTGATGTCTCATGCCTCCTTAAAATATGTAAAGCCAAGCTGCTCCCCGACCACCTTGGGCACATGTTCTCAGGACCTCCTGAAGGCTGTGTCACGGGCCATGGTCACTCATATTTGGCTCAGAATAAATCTCTAAAAATATTTTATGGAGTTTGACTTTTTTCATCAACAGTGCAAAGGTAATTGCAGTTTGCCATTACTGTCAATGGGAAAAACCACAATTACTTTTGCACCAATCTATAATCGTAACCTTTAAAACCTTTAGAAATGATGTTCCTCCTGCTTCACTAACCTTTCCACTTCTTAATTACTTACAATTTGGCTTTTAATCCTGTACTCCCCTCAAAGAAAAACATTTTGAAATAACTTTCAAATAAAGATTGTGATCCAATTACCAAACACGATGTCTTCTTCCATAAACCTCATTGTCCTTTATCTTCCTGCATCATTTGTTTTTTGTTAAATTAAATGAGACAGTGTGTCTCAAAGTACCTAACACTGTCTAGTAGACGATTCTCAGAGCAAAGGCATTTTCTCTTCCTTATGTGGGAACTCTACTCCCTCATTTTGTGTAATATATATTTATATTTAGTATATTCATTGTAATATATATTTCTTTTTGCAACATTAATGTGGAGATTCCTGTCTTATGATTTAATCCATCATTGACTATTTTTGCAACCATGGTTGCCTCAAATCTTTTGTTGGAAAGGGTGATATATAAATCTAAGTTATCTCATCCATCTAGTCTTACCCTGTTGCACTGGTTCTAGCCAGTTCTACTTAAGTGTCCCATTGGAGCTTTGATCCCAGCAGGGTTTCCAACTCAGATTTTTTCCACTCTTCTCGCTCCAGATACCATCTTCTGAATTCCTTTTTTTCAGTTAATGGCCAAGTTATCTCCCCAGTCATCAGGGTTCAAAGTACCAAAGTTATCTTTCACTGTCACCCAAGTCCCATGTGATGGTCAAATTTAGGTGTCAACTTGACTGTATTAAAGGGTACCCGGATAGTTGGTAAAGCTTTATTTCTGGGTATGCCTGTGAGGGTGTTGCTGGAAGAGACTGACATTTTAATCAGGGGGTTGAGTAAGGAAGATCTGCCCTTACCAATGTGGGCAGGCACCATCCAATCAGCTGAGGGCCCGTGTAGAACGAAAAGGCAGAGGCAAGACAAATTTGCTCTTTCTCTTCTGGAGCTGGGACACTTCTCTTGCCCTTGAACATGAGATATCCAGATTCTCCAGTCTTTGAACTCTAGGACTTGCACAAGTGGTGCCCACCTTCTCAGGCCTTCAAATTTGAACTCAGCCATGCTACCAGTTTTCCTGGTTCTCCAGCTTGTGGATAACATATTGTGGGAAGTTTCAGCCTCCTCAATTGCATAAGCTAGTATCCCTTCTCATAGATCTATCTATCTTTCTTTCCACACATACCTTTTTTTTTTCGAGACAGAGTTTCACTTTTGTCACCCAGGCTGGAGTGCAACAGAGTGATCGCCTCTGCCTCGTGGGTTCAAGCAATTCTCCTGCCTCAGCCTCCTGAGTAGCTGGGATTACAGGCACCCACCACCACACCCAGCTAATTTTGTGTGTGTGTGTGTGTATGTGTGTGTGTGTGTGTATTTTTAATAGAGATGGGGTTTCGCCATGTTGGCCAGCCTGGTCTTGGACTCCTGACCTCAGGTGATCCACCCGCATTGGCCTCCCAAAGTGCTGGGATCACAGGCGTGAGCCACCACACCCGGCCACACCATCCTTTCTTTTTTTTTTTTTTAATTCAACTTTTATTTTAGATTCAAGGGGTAAATGTGCAGGTTTGTTACATGGGTATATTGTGTGATGCTGAGGTTTAGGGTATGAATGTTCTTGTCACTCAGATAGTGAGCATAGGACCCACTAGGTAGTTTCTCAGCACTTGCCCCCATCCCTCTCGCCCACGTCTAGTAGTTCCTAGTGTCTGTTGTTGCCATCTTTATGTCCATGTGTACCCAATGCTTAGCTCCCACTTCTAAGTGAGAACATGTGGTGTTTGGTTTTCTGCATTTGTGTTAATTCACTTAGGATAATGGTCCACCTGCATCAATGTTGCTGCAAAGGACATCATTTCTTCCTTTTTTATGGCTGTGTAGTATTCCATGGTGTGTATGTACCACAGTTTCTTTAATCCACCATTGATGGGCACTTTGGTTGATTCCCTTTCTTTGCTATTGTGAATAGTGCTGTGATGAACATATGTCTTCTTGGTAAAATGGTTTATTTTCCCTAGTATCCTTCATCCTTTAGATTGTCCCTCTTCAATGCCAGCTTTCTGCTTTATCCATTCTTTTCCTACTCCTAGATGATCACCCATCATCTGGGCTGTTATCCTTTTAACTGGCCTCCTCATCCCTAGTATTTTTATTTCTCCAATTCCTAGACATTGGGTCTACGTAGAACCGATGTTTATAAATTGTGGCATCTCAAATATGAAGCCCCAGTTTCAAAGAAAATTGATGATTTATAGTTATCTTCCAATTCAAAAGTTCATAACTGCAATCCAGTAATTTTTTTAAAATTTTGAAACTATGAAATAGCCTAGCAAGTACCATATATTAAATATTGGATCTTCCAGGTTATTGGTTATATGGTAATTCCACTCTTTTGCTCACAATCTTCACTGAATCTCTAGTAGCAATCAATGAAGTACAAGTTCAACCTGGTATTCTAAACCCTGCCCAACATGGTCTTAACCTCCTGCCATGCTTCTTTATTTACCACTCTGTATGTATATAAATATATATCATATATTCTTGGCCATTAATTGTTCCCTGAGATTGCCTCATCTTTTCCTAACTACTTAGCTTCATCCATGCTATTTCTGCCACGTGGAATGCCACCCTGCTTCTGACCATCTTCTGCTTCTTGAAATCCTAACTGCCCTTAAAGGACCACTGAAAATATCCCCTCTTTTTATGAATTCTTTCCTGAGGCCTCCAACTTTTGAACCAGTATTTGTTGTCCCTTAGAGCACTTAATCATGTTCTGTCTAGTATTAAAGTTATCCATGTATTTGTCTTATTTTCCCCTACCAGATTGTAAACTCTATGCTTGAGACCAAGGTCTGTGTCTCACTCATCTAAGTATATGCTGTGGAGCCAAACATATTGTAGGTCTACAACAAGCCAAGCATGTTGTAGGTCTTGGATATAAAATAATGAGACCTAGCTCCTTGTTTGGCTCAAAAATTGGAATTGAAGATATTATAATTCCAAAGCAATCATTCTAAAAAGGTTTTGAGCAGTCAGTATTTTTAGAAAAAGCATGGAGTCTGCAAAATCCTAGGAAGGATCATATTTATCTAAATATTTAAGTTTAGCCTGGTTGTTAAAAACCAATTACATTTTCCTCTGTGTTTGCTTATCTGTTAATTTCTAATAGGTAGAGCTGGGATTAGGGTGAGATGAGTTAGATGCCAATGGCACAAACTGAAGGAGGCAATCACTTTTTTGTCAGTCTCCTGCCAATAGATTACTAAGAATCCATTAGGGCTTAATCAAAATTTTTCTTTCCAAACGAGCTTATAAATAGAGAATGTGCTCAAACACAGCATTCATTCTTTGACTTACTCGAAGTAAAAGTAAGTTCATTGAAAGGGATTAGTACTTTTTTACTCAAAGTCTTTTCAAATTAGATTTTTTTTGGCCCACCTATGACAATAGGTGACAGTGTTTCTGAAGTATTTATGCGAGCAACAATTTTCTTGGTCTTCTTAGAATTATTACCTCGGATCACTATTCATTCCATTTCTTCCCTTGATTATATCATTATTGCCATTTAATGCAGCCTGAAAGTTCCTTCTCTATGATATTTCATATTTTGCATGTATATGTATTTTAAGACAGAGTCTCTGTTGCCCAGGCTGGAGTGCAGTGGCGCGACCTTGGCTCACTGCAGCCTTTGCCTCCCGGGTTCAAGCGATTCCTCTGCCTCAGCCTCCCAAGTAGCTGGGATTACAGTGTCTGCCACCATGCCCAGCTAATTTTTGTATTTTTAGTAGAGATGGGGTTTCACCATATTGGCCAGGCTGGTCTTGAACTCATGACCTCAAGTGACCCATTCACCTAGGCCTCCCAAAGTGCTGGGATTACAGCCACAAGCCACCATGCCCAGCCTATATTTTGCATCTTAAAAACCTTTTTCTTTACCAACTCTCCACATCTGAAATTTTATGAATTGTTTTCCTTGAATAAGGAGTATTTGTATTATAAATGGGAAACATGTATCAAAATATATGACCCATAATTTCTGTAATCTATATGCTTTTTTTACTGATTTGTAAAGACTCCTTTAATACCTCAATAGAAAAATAAGCAAAGATATGATTAGGCCCTTCACAGGAAAACAGGCAGTCATCAAAATACTTCTTTGATTAAAAAAAAAACACTAATTAAAAGTGACAAATATTCTGCCTCACTGCAATGAGATAGGCAAAGATGTAAAATAACAGCAATAGTCTGTATTGGTAAATTAATAGGGAAATGAGTGTTTTCATTACATGGTTGACGCAGCTGAAAATTCTAGCAACCTTTCTGGAGAGCATTTTTGTATATAAAAAGATTATGTGAGACCTTTGACTCTATAGTGTTCCTTCTAGAGATTTATCTTGAAGAAATAATTGGACAAACTTGTGGTGACATAGGTACAATATGTCTATAATATAACTAAATTAAATGTCTGTCAATTGGGGATTTATTATCTTAGGTTATAAACCCATGCAATGAACTGTGGTGCAAATGATGATTAATTCTTGTCTGTTGGTGTGAAAATGTGCCCACTATGTATTAAGTTTTTAAAAACCTGGTGACAAAAAAGGCCGGGTGTGGTGGCTCACGCCTGTAATCCCAGCACTTTGGGAGGCCGAGGCGGGTGGATCACAAGGTCAGGAGATTGAGACCATCCTGGCTAACACAGTGAAACCCCGTCTCTACTGAAAATACAAAAAGTTAGCGAGGCATGGTGGTGGGCGCCTGTAGTCCCAGCTACTTGGGAGGCTGAGGCAGGAGAATGGCGTGAACCCGGGAAGCAGAGGTTGCAGTGAGCCAAGATCATGCCACTGCACTCCAGCCTGGGCGACAAAGTGAGACTCTGTCTCAAAAAAAAAAAAAAATCCTGGTGACAAAATAGCATACTTTTATCTCATTTTTGTTTAAAAATAGATTTATCACTTATCTTGGATGGGAGTGAGGATTAGATCATGGCCATTTTTATATTCTTCTTCATAACTTCTGTATTGTCTATTCTTTTTACAGTGAACATCTGTTATTCTTACAATCCAAAAAAAATTTATTTCCATTTTGAAAAAAAAGGACCAGCTCCAATTTAACAAATGTTTATTCTTAGGCAATATAATAAAATAATATTTTAGATATAATTACAGAAATATTAGTACATTAAAATATTATAATCTTGTCAGGATATAACAATATAAAATATTCAATATATTTTAAATATATTTCATTTGGTTATAGAGTAAATATTAAATTAAGTTTAGTCGCAGTAAGTTACATTTGATACATAGAGAATCTTTGTAAGTTAGCCATCAAGTTCAAATGTAAGCATTTTAATACTTTCATAAATAAGTTACTTAATAATGTTTATCTTGCTGAAAGACTTCTGAGAAATCTGTTATTTTAGCACGCTGTGAAATTCCAAAGTTGAAGCCCCAATTTTAAAGAAACAGTTTACATTTTATCTGTAATATTAAATCTTCATAATTGTATAAGCTACTCATAAGCTAAGTTATCTGGAAAATAATGCACATGAGCTATAATTTACTGCTAAGTAAAGTCTTAGAAGTGCAACTGAACAGCTGTTCATATGGCTTCATTGGAATTTCAGGTTTTAGCATCACTTGTCTTCCTCAGAAGTTAAATACTGGTAAGAGGGCATGAGAAGATGGAGGCCTGAGTGGAGGCCAGTGGTTTGACATTAGCACCAGTCTAGGGCTTTTACTTATGAGTAAAAGTAGATAACCTTAGAGTCACCTGTGAGTTTGAACTTTAAAAAGAGGCACGGATGGAGCAGTTGTAGCCAGCCGTACTTGGTAACTGCCTGCGGAGTTGTTGCTTGGGTATTTGTCTAGAACAGGTTTTCTCAGTATTTAGAGTACATCAGAATCATGTGGTGGGCTTGGTAAAACATAGATATTTCGGGCCCTCCCCCAAGAGTTTCTGATTGTGTAGGTCTGGAGTGGTCCCTAGAATCTGCATCTGTGACAAGTTCCCAGATGATGCTGATACTGCTCTTCCAGAGACCACACTTTGAGAACTACTGGCCTACAGAGGGTTTGTAGAGATTAGCTAGCTCTATATGCCGCTATAGTACACTTGGGACAATAAGACATTTTTAAAGCAGAAAAATTTGTTTGTTAAGTGAATCTAAATAAGTGAAATGCTGCACATCTTAGTTTAGATGTAAAAATGGCTTGACAGCAAACACGTGAGCAGTGAAGGATGTAAACCATGTGAGCCATGGCCATAGTCTGTGCTGTCCTCTGGGTCATGTTTTTCACTTACAAAGCAATTGAGATTGAAGCAGTAGCCTGAATTTAAATATCAGCACCACCAACTCCACCTAGGTAGATCAAAAAGCATCTTCAAAGCTTTGTCTCTTTGTGTCTGGACTCTAAGACTCATCAAATAGTGTTATCATCAAGTATAACACTAGTTTAATGTTTTGTAGATGTTGGTTTTTCTGCTATTATTCAGACCTTATCTTCTCTTAGCTTTTCTAAGAGAAACTAGAAGCCCTGAGTTTCCCTAGGCATAGACCTTATTTTTAACCTTTACTTGGGCCTGCTGAATTATCATGATGAAATATAACAGCAGTGAAAAGGAAGAAAAAACTAGAGGGGAGGGAAGCTACTTGTATATGTGAGATTATTAACAGAGCAATGAGTTACTTTTTCTGGGATATTAGATCAGAAACAAGTCTTTTTTTTCTCTTAGCATCTCTGTAGGTTAGTACAGTGCCTGGGACATGCTTGGTGCTGAATAAGATGATAGTTAAGTTGAATTAAGTAACCTTGGGAATGTATCAACACATTGAAAAGCAGGTTTTAAGACATACAGCGGCCAAGTTATACAGTTTGATACATTAAGATTTTTAAACAATGGACTCTTTCAGTATGGTTTGTAAGAACAACATATAACATAAAAAGTGTTGCTTTTTTTTTTTTTTACAAAGGAAGAATTAGAGAAGTAACAAAGGAATAAATCTGTAAAACCTAGAGTGATGACATATTCAGAGCAATGAGAAAATAGATTCCGAGTCTGATAAACCAACAAATGCCTTAAGTTCTTTCATGGATTATTGAACTGCTCCCTTACATAAGGTATGCACCGACATTTATGGAATGAGGATAAAGTGCACATTTCATAAGTAGTATTCTTGTTATTTGTGTGGGTATGCTGGTAAAACAGAAGTTAAAGTTATACATATTTCATAGTATGTATATAACAATATCATTTTAAAACTAATTCACTAAGGGGGAAAATTTTATATGCTTGGAATACAAGCAGATTTTAGAGCTACAGTGAAATGAATTCAATAAACAAACAAAAATCTTTAAAAACCAACAAAACAAAACAAAACCATACAGTATTTCCAAGGGTATTATGGTTCCATCAGGGAATCCCCCTTTTGCCGTTAGTAATGGGCATGTTTGAAACAGTCCTGGAAAATCCATGAACCTCAGTTCAGTTCTGTGTTCCATCAGGCCTTACGGTCCTCAGCAGGTCTGAAAATCCAGTTCTATACACAATGCTCCAGGATACCACATGCCCCCTTCTCTTCCCCTACCCAGGGTCTGAAGTTTCAGGAAGGGTTGGCGGGGCAATCAAACACTGATTTAGCCTCCCTGAGTCTTAAAGACAGAAAGAAGACAAATGTGGGAATCCAGCGGGCCAAATATTTCATAACTTGCAGCATTCAAACTTCATACAATCACCGTAGTGACAGTGCCTTGGATGTAAGTGGAATAGGTTTTTGGTGATATTTTGTGAATAGTTGCTGCTTTGCCACAGAGAACTTTGAAACAGCACAGATTAGAGACCCAGATCACAGAACTGACTTGAAAGAATTGCTTTGTTTTGTGGGGAAACAAATTGAAACTTTGTACTAAGTCATCATGGAGCAATATTGTTTGGTTAAAGAAAAATACCTAAATAACAGCATGTTCTGTCATTACTTTGTTCTTTAGGATGAAAAATAGCAGTTCTGCTGTCTTTTTTAGCTTCAGTGTCTTTTCTTCATGCACACCTGACAGCGACTTATTATTTTTTCTAATTCCCCAGCTTTCACAGTTGATGGAATAGGCTTTCTGAAATAAAAACAAACCAAAAAAATTCATTTATTTATGCATAAAAGGGAATTTTTGCTGAGTTTGTTTTATTAATGAATATTTTTGCTATTTTGAAATTTATTACAGGGTCGGGCGTGGTGGCTCACGCCTGTAATCCCAGCAATTTGGGAGGCTGAGGTGGGAGGATAAATTGAGGTCAGGAGTTTCAGACCAGCGGCCAACATGGTGAAACCCAATCTCTACTAAAAATACAAAAATGAGATGGGTGTCGTGGCATACGCCTGTAATCCCAGCTACTCGGGAGGCTGAGGCAGGAGAATCACTTAAACCTGGGAAGTGGAGGTTCTAGTGAGCCCAGGTCGCGCCACTGCACTCCAGCCTGGGCAACAGAGCGAGACTCCATCTCAAGAAAAAAAAAAAAAAGGAGAGAAATTTATTATATTAATGGACTATTTCTCTTTATGGAAGAAGTATATTTCTGAAAAGGTATATATGGTGGCATTTTATAATTTTAGTCATATTTCAGCAGCATTAAAGAAACATAGGCCTTGATGAAAACTTATAGATCATCTTTTTGGTAATAAAAACTACTCCCACCCTTTAAATTATCCACATTATTCACAAGTCTTTCAATACAGTAAATTCAGATGAGAGATCGTTTTGTGATTGTATCAAGTAATTTACTATAAATTCATATACAAATATTAAATGTGTTTAGTGATGACAAAACCCATATTTTGTCTTTATTGGCACAGTAGTACAAAATCATGGCTACTCGTTGACCCAAGAACACAGGCAACCTTTGAATAGTTCTGCAATTGAGTCATCAGATTAAGCTTGATGGTGAATAGTTACCTGAACATTCTTTCTGGGTTTAATGAAGCCAGCCAGAAACTGTAGGAATTTGAATAGTAGTTGCACGTTCCTCTTCCATGACATTCTAGAAATGGGCTGGCTCGGAATTCTTCCAGGCAGGAGCCAGGGGAGGCCAGTGCTTGCCCGGTGCCCTCAGAACCTGCACTTGTGAACTACCACAATTTTAAAAATCTGAATAAACACTCTGTCCATTGGGGTTCAAATTTTCAATTCTCTACTTTTTTTTTTGAATGAATGGGCAACTGTGAGTAAAGAAAGGGGAGGAATGATCATGAGCGATGCTACAGATTAGAAATAACCACCTATGTGGCCAGGCGCAGTGACTCACACCTGTAATCCCAGCTCGCTCTTTGGGAGGCCTAGGTGGGCAGATCACTTGAGGTCAGGAGTTTGAGGCCAGCCTGGCCAACATAGTGAAATCATGTCTGTACTAAAAATACAAAAAGTAGCCGGCATGGTGGCATGTGCCTGTAGTCCAAGCTACTCAGGAGGCTGAGGCAAGAGAATTGCTTGAACCCTGGAGGCAGAGATTGCAGTGAGCCAGAAGGCAGAGATTGTAGTGAGCCAGGAGGTGGAGATTGCAGTGAGCCAAGATTGCACCACTGCACTCCAGCCTGGGCGACAGAGGGAGATTCTGTCTCAAGAGACAAAGAAAAAGAAAAAAGAAAGAACCACCTGCGTGCAGCTATGACAGTCATCACAGTCACACATGGCCAATCCATAAACTTCTTCACTAGCATTTACATCTGAAAGCTTTTTCTTTAAAAGACTATTTTTCTTTGCTTTTATCTCCATATGAATGTCAAAAGGGGCACAGATTTTGGAGCAGATAGACCTGGGTTCAGATCCTAGCTTTTCCACTAAATAGTTGTAAGACCCTGGGGAAAGTACTTCATTCTTATTTGTAAAACTGTAAATGATAGAAATTACCTATGAGCGTTTTCATAAAAATTACAGAGAATGTATGTAAAGCAGTTATCTTATAAAAAATAGGCATTCCAGGCTGGGTGCAGTGACTCATGCCTGTAATCCCAGCACTTTGGGAGGCTGAGTTGGGCAGATCACTGGAGGTCAGGAGTTTGAGACCAGCCTGGGCAATATGGTGAAACCCAGTCTCTACTAAAAAAACAAAACAAACAAAAAACCAAAAATACAAAAATTAGCTGGGCATGGTAGCACAGACCTGCAATCTCAGCTACTCAGCAGGCCGAGGCAGGAGAATCACTTGAACCTGGGAGGCGGAGGTTGCAGTGAGCCAAAATCACTCCACTGCACTCCAGCCTGGGTGACAGAGCGAGAATCTGTCTCAAAAGATAAAAAAAATAATAAAAAGAGACATTCCATTATCAATAAAACGCAGCTACTATTCACCTAAATTTCATAATAGAATTTGTAGGTAATCTCCTCCTGAGAAGTCTTTTTTAGTACTCCATTATTTACCAAAAGTAAAAAAAAAAAGTCTGTTTGTAGATTTTCAAGGAAATGTCTATGGCATGTTGCACACACGGACAGCAGGCAGCATCGACCCTGGGAATCACATTTTACCCAGCACAATGTAACATTCTACAGGTAGTCTTTACCCTAAACCTCCTGTTCCTTTTCTCCTCACCATGATGAATGAAAATCCTTTCCAGAGAGAAATCCAGCCGTGAGGACATGGAGGAATGTCAGTGGTTTGGCTGTGAACGGCTATGGCGATCGCAGGACCTTCACAAACAGTGCATCTGTAACATGAAACAAAGACTATGGCGGCATTGCCACTTTCTGCACTGTCATGTGCTGCCTTTCATTCCATTACAAGGGAAGTGATTCACTTGGTCCCATTGTAAAACTAGGGGATTGGATTTTTACCTGCTTATATAAGGCTCAAGGGCTCTGCCAGTAATGGGAGCCATGTTCATTGGCATCAGAGCTGGTGTTGACAGCCAGTATGAATAATCATTTCGAGATGCAAAATTACATACATCATTGACATTGCAGAATAAGAATGGCATTGTGGTAAATCGCTGCAGGCAGCTGCCAAGAGTTCCTAATGAAACATCAGACTGAGTATCACTTTCAGTAAGTTAAAGTTATTTTCAGCATCGTTACTAGAGAGAAGCTAATTTAAATGTAACCTGCAGCAAAAGCTGGACAAAGACAACACAAAAGAGTTATCTGCAAAATGTAGTATTGAAAAGTTTTCATACTGATAGAAATCAAAGATCCAATAGGCAAACAAATCTTCTTTCTCCCACCTTTAATACTTCCGGTGGCTCTTTCTAATCGATTTAGAACATGGGGGCTAGCATAGATCAGTTGGGATAGTGTTTTTGCTTCAAAGTATTCCCACTTATTCATATGTACATAATAGCTAATAACCAAATAAAGGTTTAGAAAAGCAGTTATTTGTGAGATTGAAAAGCAAATGGGTGGGCTGGGCATGGTGGCTCACGCCTGTAATCCCAGCACTTTGGGAGGCTGAGGAGGGAGGATTGCTTGAGTTCAAGAGTTTGAGAGAAACCTTGACAGCATAGCCAGACCTCATCTCTACTGAAAATCAAAAAAATTAGCTTGGTATAGTGGTGTGTGCCTGTAGTCCCAGCCATTTGGGAGTCTGAGGTGGGAGGATGGCTTGAGCCTAGGATGTGGAGGCTGCAGTGAGCCATGATTGCACCACTGCACTCCAGCCTGGGTGATGAAAGTGAGACCCTGTGTGAAAAAGAAAAAAGAAAAAGAAAAAGCACCAAAAAGATAAATGCAGACAGGTGGTTTAGGGAGTTTTAGGGGCAAATTGTTTGCACTGAATGGGAGGAGCTAGGCTAGCATTCCTGAGCTAGGCTCCTTCCACCATTTTACATTCCAGAATGAAAATTAGACAGGCCAGTGTTTTATTTGCTCTCTTTAAAATGTATCAGGAGACACTCAAGGTTATTTACACTTAACTTCAGAGGGAAGCATCCTAGGCTATAAAGATTTACAATCTGCATGTGGAACAGCACAACTGGCAACTGGGACTGGGACATTACCAAGGTCTTGTCCGTGGGCTCGTTGATTTCCTTGTACAAAAAGAAAAGAAAACCCACTGTAGAGTGGCACTGTCCCCTCTGGACATGAAGGAATTGCTGTGGTTTGACTGTGTCGGGTGAAGACAAAGCCTCTCGTTGTCCAGGTTGCAGGTGATCCACTGTCTCCACGTTTTCCTTTCAAACCTGGCAATCCATCTGATCCAGCTGGTCCTTCAAAAAACACATTCTAAATGTTGCAACATACACAAAAATCTTAAACTCGTTTTTTCAAAGTACTAATTTAAATATATTTTATATATGTTGAGCCCATAAATTGAAAGCAATCCTAGAGAAGAGTGGCTTATAAAAATGGCCAAACAGTATTATTAAATGTTAAGCAGTTTATCACACAGTGCCTCTTCTTATCAATGTTTGTGTATATTTGATGCGTTTTTTGAGATCAGGTCTTTATCTTTGAATTCCTCTGTGAGGCCTGGCACAGTGGCCTGCCTGCATCTGGTAGGTCTTATGTATGTTTTTTATGAATAAATGAATGAATCCTCCTACAATGTGATGGGGGAAAAATCAAATATCTACAACTTAGTCTATTCGAGTAGATAACAAAAATTACTTATGGTTTTGATAAATTCACAAATTATTGCAACATTGTCTACAATAAACAATTGCAGAAAACATTGAAAGCTCTTTTTAAAGGTTCAAACTTCAAGGAAGTTTTGATCAATTTGTAAGTCAAGTAAGAAGAGAAGGCTTTTTTTTTCACTGTAATAAGGGTTAGTTTATTTATATGAGTTAAAAACAAAGTAAATCGTTTCTGTACATTTTTCTCTCTGTGGAGAAAAACTTTCTATACTTTGGAGTATGGATTTGGACAAGGCTAATCCACACTTGTCGTGTTCTAGATGAGAACCAGTGAGCTATCCTCTCTTCCATTCCTCTTTAACTTCCTTCTCCTTTCTTTCATTGAACGGCTATTATTTATGGTATTGGCATTGGCTACCACTTCCTCACTCCCATCCATTTCTGCTGCCACTGTACGCTGACTCCCTCCCCAACCAGACTTGGGCCATGGTTCTCTAGGGTCCTAAGGAATCACAGAGAAAACAGCGATGGTTAGACTTTGGGCCTACATCATCACAGGAATTAGTTTTGTTGCCCCTGGGACATCCGTGCCCCTGGGAGTCAGGCAGGGTCACAGTTTAGTCCTGACTCGGAAGTCAGGACTTTCCTCAGAAATTTGTAAAAGCCCCAATATTATGCATTTTTTCAATTTTCTCTGAATTCTGCCCACTCTTGTCTCCTCCAGGGACCTTGAGTGGTTTTTTGAAATTAAAAATAGGCCACATCCAAATTCTCCGGTCTGATGTCTTACTTGAAAAATCCAAGTTGCCATGGTTTTAATATATTGGGGAGACACATTTTTCTCTTTTCCTAACCCCTGCCCTCATTCAGAGGGAGCTATAGTTGGCCCCAAACAAAAGATGTCTCCTCATCTCTGCACAGGAATTGGGAAGTGATTAGCTGAGCAGGGCAGGAACTGGAAGTGAGCTTTTATACAAATGTGTGATATCCAATGCATTTCTGTATCTCCAAGAAAGGGGCCAGGGCTATCAGTTTATGCCAGTGCAGTTTGACTCTTAGATCCCTTTGTCATTCTTGTGAGGCCTCCATAGCATTGAACTGTCTACTTGCTAATTAGTTCTCTACAAAATTTATATTGCAGTGCCCTTGCTCTTGCTGTTGCCCCATTCTTAGGGCATTAAAGCCTTGGTCATTAAAATTTTTAAATTAATAGAATTCTTAATAAGAATGGTTTATCACTTCAAAAACCACACTTTAAGGAAAGTTGAATGATTAATAGCACTCTACTGTGCACCTATGACAATATTAAATCACATGTAGTTATGCAATTAGTATTATATTAACATCATATTTGAATTTTTAAAAATTTAAGTCTATAGTCTTTACCATTTTAATATAGTAGATCTGAGCATGATATATGTCAGTAAATTCAGAAAGCACATTTAGAATTTTTTCTTGCTTTAACAAAGTCAGCAATCCTAAAAATAGAAGATTTGGATATCGAGGTAGTTTCCAGAAGAGTGCTTTGAAACATCTGCAGAAGGTAGATGTTGATCCAGGTATCAAACTGACACATACAGCATATGTTCAGAATAAAACACTATACTTAAGAGTTCCCTTTTCAGGACACGCATGAATTGTTGAATTCTATTCAAGAATGGCTTTTTTTTTTTTTTTTGAGACAGAGTCTGTCACCCAGGTTGGAGTGCGGTGGTGTGATCTTGGCTCCCTGCAACCTCCACCTCCCAGGTTCAAGCGATTCTCCTGCCTCAGCCTCCCAAGTAGCTGCGATTACAGGCACCCACCACCATGAAGAATGGCATTTTTAAAAGATGGCTTTCTTAAAAAAGGATACTCAGTTGCTCTTCTACTCATACCAAGGTAATATTTTTCTAGCTACATACTTATGTACTGCTCCTATAAATAATTATTAACTAACAACTCCTATAAGTTATTAAAAACAGGTATTGGCCTTTTTGAAAGAACACCCATAGGACTTATTAGTTCTATTTGTCCTCAGGCTAAACTGTGCATCAGTTTGGAGCCCATCTGACCAGCTAAGAGGTCGGAAAAATACTGTGTTCCAATAATTCTTGATTCTCATCTTCCAAATGAACATTTGATCCTTGGCCTTTGGTCTGATCTGAACAACATAAACTCAAAGGCCTAGATAACTCATATAGTCACCCACTCGAACAAGACTTCTCTGTATGTCGAAATAGCACTTCTTCGGTGAGGAAACAAGCTGGGGGTTTACCTGGCTCTCCTTTAGAACCTTTGTTGCCTTTTTCTCCAGCTGGTCCAGGAGTTCCTGGTTTTCCATCCTTGCCTGGCTTACCTCTTGGCCCACAGGGTCCTAGGCAAAAACCAACATTGTATTGCATTTTATCATATAGGATGAAAAGTAAGGTGGCCAACCATCCCGTTAACCCAGGACTTTCTCAGTTTCAGGAATGAAAGTCCTGCATCCTGGGAAGATCCTCAGTCCTGGGCAAGCTAGGATGATTAGTCACCTAACTTGTTAGCCCCACTTCCCAGAAAATAAGACTCTCGAAAATGAACTATGAGGATACTAAATGCAGCAGTTTAAAATTGTGCTGCAATTTTTATTTATGTTCTTCCAGAATTCACTATGTCCCTGAATTGATCAAACAAATAAGTAATATCTTTATCTCCCAGGTGATTCAGACAAACTTAAGGCATAATCATTCCATTCAGAAGCCTATTACGATATGCTGTGCATATGTAGAGGGGTTAGTTCAATTTCCAAACACCAGTATTTTGAAAAGATTTCTAAATCATTTTTTCCTAATACTTTGCTGTACCAAATGTTAGAAAAGTATAAATTCACAGAACTCAGGTATATTCAGACAATCATTTAGAAATAGAGCCCCGAGACTGACAGTTGTCAGAGGAGATAGACATACCTTTACCTTAATAAAAAATAATAAAAAAAACATGCTGCCCTAAAGTGTATTTGTTCAAGTTATACTATGAACAACTGCTTTCAATAGATTCCAAGGTCTTTTATTTGCTGGTCAAGGGTAAAATGAGCTCAATCCTAAGACTGATTGTGAAAACCACTATCATGTTCAACATTTTCTGTGAAGTTGTATCAGCTGTTTCCAAAGCAGTTTACAGGTATTTTGGTTCAACCACTTCCTAGTGATCCAAGTCAATGCTGCCAGTCCCACACCTAGGTTTCCAGGTGGCCCTGGTGGCCCAGGTTCTCCCTGCATCCCTGGTTCTCCAGGTGTGCCAGGTGGCCCTGGGCTTCCTGGAAGGGAGATAATCTTAAGTGTGCCAGGGTCTCCACGTACACCTGTTGACATAAACATAAGAAGAAGATGATGGCCTCACGGATGTGTTACCTTTCTTCATTGACAGCAATAGTAAGGACGTTTATTTACCAGGTGGTCCTTTTGGCCCAATTGGTCCTGGAGGTCCAATGGATCCTAGAAATCCAGGATTACCCTTTTCTCCTAAAAACAAACAAAGACACAGTGTGATTCCACTTAGATCAATGGGTTTCCTAGTTCTTCAGGTTGATGATTGACTCTAAGGACAAATACTAGAAGTGTGCCTGGAGGCTCTGTCCTATGGGTTCTGTCACAAGGGCTACAATTTCATTTTGTTCACATAGGTTTTGGCATGTCACTGGGACCCAGTAGGTCATGCTTAATGAGTCTGTAAAGAAATATATTCCAGAAGTAGGCATTAAGAACTTGTATTTTAACATTGAAGGGGAAGGGTCCCTAAGAGTCCACTTTTTGAGTTCAGAAACCAATTTGATATTTACGGTAACATACAAAGTCACATTAAAACCTGTTCTACCATGTGGTGAATTATATTGCTTGGTTGTCATAGTTACCTACTTTCTCAGCTTATTACTCTAGCTTTACTAATAGCCTAGAGTTAGTTACGTTAGGAGTTCTTTTCAGCACATAGAGAATATTTGCTTTGATGTGAACTAATAAAGTGGTAAGACTTCTCTTCCAATCACAGTCTTTTACACAAATAAAAGAAGGTTACCGAGAGCCATTGATCTGAAGAAATACTCTATTTCAAAGAATCTTGAAATAGTGTAGTGGAGCCTTCCTACTTCACTCGTATTGAGGTCCTATTTGTACTAACCCCAGCTGTCTGTACTTCAGCAAACACTTGTGTGCCCTAAAATATGAATTGAGGTTATGGTATTTGCATATAAAGAGCAATGCACAAAAACAGTACCTTTCACGCCTGGAAACCCCTGGAATCCAGGATCACCTCTGGGTCCTGGAAGACCTGGAGTACCTGGTGCTCCCTATATTTCAAATAAAGGGAGCAGAACCAAAACAAATTTTTAAAATCACTCAATTCACAGCAGTTTTTTAAAAATGCAAATAGGGTATAATATTATGTTGGGTGAGAATAAGCTGAAGTTAGCAGACATCATTTTTATCTTTCAATCAAGGCTATAACTCCTCTGGCCACTTAGAACCTTTCCTTAGGACTATCGTTTTAAAAGTAAAACAAAAGCTTCCCTTAAGCCCAACAGCAAACATACCTTCTAATGTTGGTGTATGTTGTTTTAGTATTGGATTCAACTGGATATTCTGTGTCCTAAATGGAGTAGCCCAGTACTGCCAGAATGATTTTTTTTTTTTTTTTTTTTTTTTTTTTTGGAGAAAGAGTCTCGTTTTGTCCTCCAGACTGGAGTGCAGTGGCATGATCTTGGCTTGCTGCAACCTCTGCTTCCCACATTCAAGTAATTGTCATGCCTCAGCCTCCCAAGTAGCTGGGATTATAGGCATGCACCACCACACCTGGCTAATTTTTGTATTTTGAGTAGAGACAGGGTTTCGCCATGTTGGCCCAGCTGGTCTCGACCTCCTGACCTCAAATGATCTGCCCACCTCGGCCTCCCAAAGTGCTGGGATTATAGTAGTGAGCTACCATGCCTGGCCCAGAATGAAAATTATAATCTGTATTTATAATTGCTGCAAAGACAACAAAACCGTTGTTGAGTTACAGCACCTAAGCTTCATTCTCACTAAGCTAGCAGAGCCATAAATTACACTTGATCATGATGGTAGGAGAAGTAATGTCTAGGGATGGGAGTGTACAGGAGTTGTCAAGAGAGAGTATTTGACAGGCATATTTGACAAGGATGCAATAATCTAAGCAGGAACGAGGTGCTCTCTTCTTGTGAGGCTCACATGAACTGGTCTTATAGCCAGGAGATGCTCAAGCAAAGCCATAGAAGGAGGGAGGAGGGAGCAGGGCTTCTGGAAAGAGCTATTTGTCAAAATGTATGCTAAATCTACTTTCATACTGTCCATGTGAATTGAGATAATGCTATTACCTGAGAATAATGTGCTTTGAAGGTCATGAAAAGTGCCAAGGATAAAACTGGCCTTGAACCAGCTATCTTTGGAGCAAGAAGACCAAAGAAGGAACCATCTGATTGCTTGGATAAAGTGTTGTTAAAAAAGGAGAGAGACAAAACAGAACCATCTGGTCAAGGACTTGCTGGCTTCTGATGTCTGCCTGTTCTCTTGAGGCTAAGGTAACTATGAAAAAGGGCATGTTGCCAGGGTTATCCCTGGCAGCAGGAGGGAGCTGTTAAAGGCCCCAGGCCAGTTGAGACATCCATCAAGAAATATCTTTCAACTGTAAGTATAGAAGCCTATGAATGACCACGAAATCACCAGAGGAGTTAAGTAAGATCATGTTTCCAAACCAAGCTTTATATATCCCAGTGTCCTTTGGAAGGTCTTCAGATGTAATCATGGATCAAATTGGCAACTTTCAAAGAATCATGGAGAACATGAGAGACACCTACAGACTGAAGATGGGCAAATATGTCATTTTTCAAAAAAACTTTTAAAGTTAGATTCTGGAAATCAAATACCAAGAGTACTTAAGAGCGATTCCTAACAATGAGCTATGGCAAAGCACCTCATTACGCATCACTGATGAGGTTAGTAGAGGACAAAATGAGTTATACCATAGATGTTCTGTATTTACATATGAATTGTCAATGTATTTACACTGACAATTTACATGGTAGAGAGAGCTGTGCCATGTGCCATGGTAGCTCTCTCTACTATATTTTTGTGGACAAAATGGCTGCTGCATAGAGCAACAAGGATAGATTTAAAGCTTGGTGAATAGCCACATCAAAAGGCAGTTCATTAAGGGATTAATTCCAGCTGGTAGAGAGCAAACTCTGGGCACAAAGAGCTGCTTTGTTAAGTGTTTCTTGGATCAGCAAGTGATGTCCTCCTCCCTCTTCTTAGTCTAGAAAACCAGACCTCCGTTACCTGACTCCTGCTTAGCCCTCCAGACTCCTCCCAAGGTGTCCTCATTCCCACCTCAGCTCCAGTAATAGAGTTGTGTGTGTGTCACTCACACACACCCATTGTCATTTTGCTCAGAAAGCTCCTTTCCTCCACCCGACCCATACCCCGGCTTTTCCTATTTTCTTGGATAACTCCTATGCGTCTTTCAAGACTCAGGCCAGGCATCAATCTCCTTGGGGAGGGACCTTTCCTGAACACCTTCCCTCTACAGTCTGGATTAAATACCCTTCCTCTGTGTCCCCACAGCCCCCTGCATTCTTCCTACCACACAGTGTGAAAATGGCCGTCTCTGTGTCTATCACCCTCACTTTATTGTGGGCTCCTCTAGGGCAAGGGACTGTAGCTTTTTGTTTTTCTATCCATTGGTACAGAGTAGACACTCAGTTATGATCCCTGAGTCACATTCATCTATTCAACATCTGTCTCCAAGGATTTGATGTAAACAGAGGGGTCAACTTGTCTAATACGCTGCTAAGAGAAAGCTAGGGACGACGGCTGTGGTGTTGAGAGAGAGAATATGAATTGAGAGATTGCAGGCTTGGGGCACAGGCCTAAATGAATAAGATGATGTCTAAGATTGATAAATGTAAAAGTTCTACACTTAAGTCCCAAATAAACATCAGCAACAACAAGCTAGGCAAGAAATAATGGAGAAAACTTAGTAGCAGTTCATGAGGAAAAGGCCCATGGGCTTTAGTTGATTACAGGCACAATGTGGAGACAGGTAGGTCAGCCCAATGGCCCAAGTGGAATTTTAGGTCTGATTCCTAAAATGGTGATGTTCCGGACAGTAGACCCTTCTGTCCTTTAGCCACTCACTGGGGTATTGACTTCTTACTTCTGGAGGGCGTTCATTCCAGAGGCTATATTTTTTAGGGCGATTGAAACTAGGGTGTATTCAGTATAGAGGCAAGGCTGATAAATAGTTAAACTGAATTTGAAAGAACCAAGTATTTATCCAGGAATAAAATAATTGGAAAGAAATGGCAGTTATTTAGAAACATTGGCAGGCATTTGGGGGGCAGAAAATAAATAGGCATTTACAGGGGAATGCAGAAATCTTCAGAAGCCTGTAAGTAGAGGGAAAAGTGACAATGTCATTTAGAGTGATTCTGAACTCCCAGCTGCTTTTTGAAGATTCCGTCACTGGACTTGTTCAGGGTCTAAATAAGCAAGGATCTGGAATGCTGTAGAGGTGAGTCCCATACAGACCAAAGTTTTGGAGGCCTCTTAGAGGCCAAATCATTCCAACTCTGAAGATTTTTTGATTTTCAGAAACTTCTGGACTGTGTTCCCTTAGGCACACTGCACAGATGCATCAAAAATTGTAAATTTTTGCTGCCTCCAGGCCCATCTGATCTGGCAATTAATTTATAAGAGTATAATAGTACTCTTGTACTAACGATAAGTCAATGTTAATGATATGGTTTGGCTGTGTCCCCACCCAAATCTCATCTTGAATTGTAGTTCCTATAATCCCCACATGTCCTGGGAAGGACCCAGTGGGAGGTAATTGAATCATGGGGGTGGTTTCCCCCATGCCATTCTCATGGTAGTGAGTGAGTTCTCATGAGATCTGATGGTTTTGTTTGTTTGTTTGTTTTGACGGAGTCTCACTCTGTCACCCAGGCTGGAGTGCAGTGGCGCTATCTCGGCTCACTGCAAGCTCCGCCTCCCGGGTTCACGCCATTCTCCTGCCTCAGCCTCCTGAGTAGCTGGGACTACAGGCGCCTGCCTCCACGCCCAGCTAATTTTTTGTATTTTTAGTAGAGACGGGGTTTCACCATGTTAGCCAGGATGGTCTCGATCTCCTGACCTCGTGATCCGCCCGCCTCGGCCTCCCAAAGTGCTGGGATTACAGGCGTGAGCCACCATGCCCGGCCGATCTGATGGTTTTATAAGGGGCTTCCCCTTTTGCTTGGCACTCATTCTCTCTCCTGTTGCAGTGTGAAGAGGTGCCTTCTGCCATGATTATAAGTTTCTTGAGGTCTCCCCAGCCATGTAGAATTGTGAGTCAATTAAACCTCTTTTATAAATTACCCAGTCTCGGGTATGTCTTTATTAACATCATGAGAATGGACTAATACAGTTAACATCAACAATATATGATATAATATACAATATAAGAATAATTATAAGTTGATATTGAATTAATAATGAGTCAAAATAATTATCCATACTCACCAGACGACCTGGTGGTCCCATGTCTCCTGCAGTTCCAGGTGGACCTTTTGGGCCAGGGTGGCCCATAGACCCTTTGTCTCCTTTTATGCCTATTACATGACTCCCTGGAGGTCCAGGGGGACCAGGCGCACCTGAATTCATGAAAAGTCTGTCAGTATTGCCAGCCAGGGAGCTTGGAAGGTTCTATTTATCAGTGATTGTTTCTAATGAAGTATAAACCCTTCACTTAGCATTGCCACAAACATTCTTTCCCCTGGAGCATGTGATGGGATTGTGGTAAAGACAGGAGAAGATGATGCCAGCGAAGCACCTGGCACCCACCAGCAGGATCTGCTTCTCCCCAGTGAGGGTCTGTTACAGCAGGGTCTGTGCCTGCTTCCCTAGAGCCTAGCCCAGCTCTAGGGATTCAACAAATAGAGTTGAATGAATGCATCACTGTCTTTTAGGCTAATTATTTTTTTTTGATACAGTTTTGTTCTGTTGCCCAGGCTGCAGTGCAGTGGCGCAATCTCAGCTCACTGCAGCCTCTGCCTCCCAGGTTTAAGAGGTTCTCCCATCTCAGCCTCCTGAGTTGCCGGTATTACAGGCATGCACCACCAAGCAAGACTGGCTAATTTTTGTATTTTTAGTAGAGACAGGGTTTCACCATGTTGGCCAGGCTAGTCTTGAACTCCTGACCTCAAGTGATCCGTCTGCCTTGGCCTACCAAAGTGCTGGGATTACGGGTGTGAGCCACTGCGTCCAGCCAGGCTCGTTAATTTATTAACTATGCATCCCTCAAACAGGCTACCTTGCCTTGACAACTGCTGGGTATGGGAACCACAGGTAGTGGGGGAATGGAGATGACCACAGGGAAAGAAGAAGCAACAAGGTAACATGAGGAGGAGGTTGAAAACTTTTGAGGTCAAACATGATTTTTGTTATTTTATGCTGTTTAAAAGTAAACCCTTTACCTGGGCTTCCTCTTGAGCCTGGTGGACCACGATTTCCTGTCTGGCCAGGGATAATTGCACCGGGCAGACCTGGTGGCCCTGGGAATCCTTCTATGCCTGTGGGTCCTCGAGGTCCAGCATCTCCCATGGCCCCTTTTCTGCCCGGGAGGCCAGGAAAACCTGGGGCTCCCCTGTCTCCTTTGGCTCCTGCAAAGAAGAAGGCTTAATAAGTTTCTTTAATGCCCATATGCTTGGGTTAGAGTTCTTGACTATCTTTAATAATGTAGGTACTTTGCTTAAAAGTGTTCAGATTCAGAATATATGTTTCTAAAATATATATTTTATAATATATTGCTGGTAAATGCAATATAGAGCTACAAAAACTGAGTTGAGACTCAGTCTGTCTCCAACTAGCTGTCTGATCTTGGCAAAGTCACTTCAGATTTACCTACTATTACAAATTTTGATTTTCTTATTTTAAAAAATGAAGGTAATACCTGTTCTAGCTAATTCTTTCAGATCAAGTGAGATAACATACAGACATAAAAGCATGGTGTAAGCTCTAAAGTGTTATATAAATATAAGCCAGTTATTATCAGCTGATTAACTTAGTCATGTTGACATTGTTGAGTCACTGATAATTCATTAGAGCATAAGAAGCTAAACTGCGTAGCACTGATGTGTGCATTTGAAGTATTATCCAGCTAAATCCAGACAAAGGAGCAACAAAATTGCAGTCTTTATTCTGTCCTTTAGTTAACTTCCCCACACATTCCCCATAATAGGAATACTAGTGGCAGGAGGTTTGGATTTACCAAAGACCCTCCAAAAAGGTCACAGGTTAATACTAATATTTTTCATCTTAGAAAACCTTCAAGAAATTGTGCTTTGACATTCATGAATGAAAAATATTGTATGAATTGCAAATAATGTCTCCCTCTGCTCTCCCATCTCTGTGTTATTCTAGCAGCAGTAAATGGCATGAAAACGGAAGATAGATGTGCAGAAGGAGAGGGAGAAGGAGAGGGAGGCTAATAGCTCAGGGGAGGGCTTGGGGAGTTATTATATAGTAAAGACTTACAATGAAAATAAAATTGATGAATATTGACGATCTAGCCCTATGTCTATTCACATCCTTTAGCTTTTTAATGCCTGTAATTTATGCTTTTAAAAGAAAGTGCTTAGATGACTTCAGTTCACTCCAAGCTTTGTAATACTGTATTTGCATGGCAATGACCTGAAGTACCAAGATGGCTTGGATTATATATTTCATGTTCATTAAAATGATTACATGCTCTGCAATATGATTTCTTTTTAGGATTTGGGAGAATAAACTAATTAAAAGGATTCATACCTTCCAAGTCTCAATGAACTCTTCTCCATATTTAGTTATCCTAGAGGGATTGAGGTGCATAATCATTCACTTACATAATTAGGCTATTTGTTAGTTTTAAGGCTTTTAAACCTAAGGTATGACCGTTTTATACCAAATTTTATTTCCAGTTAAAAGCTAGTGTTCTCATTCCAAATGGTTAAACTGTGAGTTACCCTGGGAACATGAAGAGCAACTCTCCTTTTGACCAAAATTCTAAAGCTACACTGTGGAACAGGAAGAGCCTTCATCCTCATTGGGAAAGGAGAGGTCTGAGAGATGTGGGAAGACTGAGCTCAACCGAAAGAACAATCAAACCAGTAAGAAACAAATGGGAGAGAACAGCTCTTGTCTACTTTTACACTTTAACTGTTTTGTCAAGAGGTGGTTCCTGCCCAACTGAGTTTCTCATTGGCATCCAGCTGCTCTTTGCTGGTTTGCGTGAACATCAATAACTAGAGCCCTTCAGTGTGTTAGGCCTCTTTGCTAATGAAATGCTCCCATTCATAGGACGCGTGGCTGAGACGGGTCAATGAAATGTGCAAACAATCTGATGTTTCTCCTGGAAGGTTTGACTAGAAAATGGAAAAGAGTTAAAAGAAGCTGTTTATCTTGTAAAGCACTGACATGAGAAATCCAGATCTGTGGCCTGCCAAACAAAAAACTTGTAAATACTCTGAATGACATGTTCAGTAAACTGCCATGTCTGAGATGTTGAGAGACTCTCTGGGTCGCCTTTAATAAACAATAGCATGGACCGCAAGCTGGATCTGGGGGTTGGAGTCAGACCTATGAAGATACAGGTGGGAAAGGATTCGGATTACTCCTGTGTCTCAGAACAGCAGGGACAGATGCTTACTGAGAACCCATCAGTTCCACCTTCACCTTTTAGGAGGTGGTATCTTTAAACCATGCTAACAACAGCAAGACATATACAGAAGAATCCTTTTTACTTTTCAAGACTTTCTTAGTAGGAAATTCCAAAATTGAATCACAGTTTCTAATTCATTCCATTTGTTGTGATGGTAATAATTAAACATTTTAAATTGAAGACCAAGATGATAAATATCCTGTATTACTATTGGAACATCTTTAATTCACTAGGTTAAGCTTACTTTATATTTCAAGCATATTCAACTGCTTTCTCTCCTTGAAAATGTGTACATTAGGACAGGGAAGAAGAACTGCTTACCTTGAGCACCAGGGTTCCCTCTTGGGCCTGGAGGGGCCCTCAATAAACCTGAAAGAGATAATCTTGGCATGTTAATAATTGGTCAATTTCATTACATTATATGTCTATGAGAAAAGTTTAGTACACACCGAAAACATGTTAAAGATAATCAGTTCTATCAGAGAAAAATCTTTAGAGCAGCAAAGGATTACACTGTTACTAATGATTCTATCCAAAATAAAACTAACGGATCAAAGATAATGAGCAAGTTGTACCCGTTTCTCCCTTTTCTCCGGCTGGACCAGGAATTCCATCACGTCCTTGGTCACCTCTTATACCCATTGGTCCAGGAGATCCTGGAAATCCTGGAAGACCTGAAAAAAAAAAAAAAAACCCAAAAACCCCAAACTATGGTATACAAAAAGAGGATTTATTTCTTGCCAGTGGCCTAATGGGAATACCAGGGAGATGTGTGGAATTGTGTTAAACAGGCTGTTTTTCAGAACTGTAGCTATGTGAAGCTATGTTCCCAGGGAAAACCACATACAGATTACTATTATCATGAGGATTATCAGTTTGGAATAGGTTGCCAAATATTTGAATTAAATAGATAGAAATATCTAACCCCATTTTTTTTGCATTTTTGTCTGGATACTGAGTAACTAGGAGCTACCTTCTATAGAGTAGTAGGTTTACAGAAATCCAAACCTCAGGAGAAAATGTGTCTCCCACATGAAAAGGAAAAAGAGAAAGTACAAAAATGAAACCTGGAGGGCCTCTGATTCCTGGAGGGCCCAGGAGGCCTTTGATTCCTTTAAAACCCAAATCACCATGAGGACCTGGCTTTCCTGGAAATGAAGAGAGGGGAAGGAAGAAAAAAGATCACCAAAAGATAAATGATTACAACAGTGACTGAAACGGTCTGTTTTTATAGTCAACCATGCTCACGCTGGCCTTAAGGAAGCTCTCTTGTTGCAAGGTCACCCCATGATTTTGTCCAGGCTGCAATTTTCCTGGAGAACCAGTGCAGAGATGTGTCTAATCACTTTCAAAGATGTGTGTACACCAACCACAAGCACCACTCAATATGCGATTTTATTTTAATTGCGAGTTAAATGCAAATTTATTGAAACTTTCTGTATTTGAACAGGTAGTTTATTGTATTTAAGTAAGACCTGAATCTGCAACCCGATAGTTTCACAGTTGTTTTTAATAAAACAAAACCCTAAACCTGAATTGTAAGCTAATAAGCCAGAAAGCCAAAATTCAATCCAGAAATGGGTTCGAAAAAGAGTCACAGCACAGTGTTGTAGTTTGAATTGTGTTGTCCCCAAATTCATATGCTGAAGTCCTAACCTTCAGTACTTCGGAACATGACTCTGTATTTGGGGATAGGGCTGGTAAACAGGTAATTAAATTAAAATGAGGTCAGTAGGGTGGGCCCTAATCCAATGTGAGTGGTGTCTTTATAAGAAAAGAAGATTCAGACACTTGGAAAACACTGGAAGAAGATAGCCATCCACAAGCCAAGAACAGGGGCCCCACAAGAAACCAACGCTGCCGACAGCTTGATCACAGACTCGGAGCTGCTGGAACTGTGAGAAAATAAACATCTGTAGTTTAAGCCACCTAATCACTTCTCAGCCTTTTGGCTAACATCAAGTGTAGTTTAAGCCACCTAGTCTGTGGAATTCACTATGGAAGCCTGGACAAACTAATACAAACATTATGATTGTATAACGGCTAACATTTTGTATCCTTGGGCTGAATTTGTTGAGGCAGTTCTTCAAAAGTGTTTTTTATAGGAACATATTTTTGTATTTCAGTCCAAATGGGCTGATTAGTAAAATTGGGCTCTCTTAATGAATTCTCTTAGTGTGTTAGAATTTGAAGTTCAAAGTTGAATAAAAGCAACTGCAGCATAAAAGTATAAATAGCTTTCTGTTTACCACAATGATTTCAGGAGGGCTATACTCTGAGTAATGCTTCCAGCTTTTAGAATTGTAAACTCAAGCCTTACCTGGGAGGCCAGGACTTCCAGGACTTCCAGGGGCTCCCTCAGGTCCAGCAGGCCCCAAATGTCCAGGTGGGCCAGGTTGCCCCATTTCTCCTTTCTTTCCCATATCACCCGGCAGTCCTGGATCCCCCTTAAATGTAGTCAAATACCTTTAAAATTCTCATATAAGCAGGATATGTGGTAAGAATTCAGCATAAACTTTATTCACTAATTTTTTCATTCATTCATCAATTCATATTAGTATCTGCTATCTGCCAGCACTGTGATAGGTGCTGGGAATAAGACGGCCACATGGTTTATGGGGCCCAGTGCAAAATGAAAATGCAGTTTCCCTTAAAACTTTTTAAAGTGAATTTCAAGACAGCAACAGCATAGCGTCAGACCAAGTGTGGAGGCCCTTCTTAGCACAGGATTTCTGTGACTGCACTGGTAGCATACCCAGGAAGCCAGCTTTTACCAGGATATAATGGTAACCTATATAGATTTATGACATACACAGTCCCTGCCTTCATGGAGCTTCAGAGACCAGTAAGGAGATAGATATTAAATAATCACACAAATATATAGTTACAAATTGTGATGAGTAGCTGGGAGTAAGAAAGAAATAGACTAAATAAAGATGTATCCTACAAATGCTATGCATGCACATATGTCAATCACATGTTTTAAAAACCTTCCAATGATTTAGTGTTCATTAAATCTTCACTTCAGTTTTACGACAAACCCGAACATATAGGTTTGATAAAGATTTACAAAATTTCTATGGTAGCCAATTAAAATATACTACTCTGTTACTCTCATTTTGCTGACATGATAAAACCAGCTCATTTTGTGTTCAATGCACAGTTCTAAAAATTTATTCTGGTGGTTACCTGTGAAAACTTTAAATCTAAATGAAACTATCAGTTAATTGAGTGTGAAGTCAAATAGGATTTTTCGTTGAGCAAATATCTCAGTGGAAGCAATCTCAGGTTTTCTGAGGACTTAATCTAAATATAAAGAACAAAGACATTTGTCTGTGCTCCAAGTAGTAAACAGTTGCTTTCTTGGGTCTGTGTAGTGTCTAAATTTTTTTCTTGTTTTAGCAGTTACTACTGGAGACTATAGCTGGTGGAAATATTTAGGAAAGGTGGTATTTTATTGTCTCCAAAAAGAGGGAGAAGGTTCCCTAAGTAATACTTTTTATATATTGGAGTCATACATATACTGTTGAAAATCTAAAAATCTAAATCTGAAAAATAGACTCTACCCTACAAAAACATTTTCAAACATTTTGCATTTAGTTTCAAGAGGTTGCTGGGCTTCTTGGGATCCCATAGATTTTCCCAGTGGTCCATGGAATCCCACGTTAGCAACTTCTGCTTATAGGAACTTCTATTAATCATTCTCTAGTGGTCTATCTCTGGCTTTTAGTGTGAGAGCTGTACTCAGATAATTGGGAAGAGAATAAACCTAAGAAAGCAGCCAAGCCCTATTGAAACATCTGGTTGCTGCTTTGTATAATACAGTAGTAAGGGCTTTAACATCCAACCTCAATTTGACAAAGCACAAACACTGAAAACATTGAAACAAGATTAAGCATTTCCATTCCATTACACAGAAAAAGTTCTAAAACAAGAAAGATAAATGTATCTATCTTAGGATTTTGTTCGCTTTCTAATGATGCTGTAAAGTTATTTTATTTTGTATCTTTTGTTAGTCTTTGTAAGACAAGTGTTTTTTTTTTTGTTTTTTTTTTTTGTTTTTTTTTTTTTTTTTGAGACGGAGTCTCGCTGTGTCTCCCAGGTTGGAGTGCAGTGGCGCGATCTCGGCTCACTGCAAGCTCCGCCTCCCAGGTTCATGCCATTCTCCTGCCTCAGCCTCCCAAGTAGCTGGGACTACAGGCGCCCGCCAAAACGCCCGGCTAATTTTTTGTATTTTTAGTAGAAACGGGGTTTCACCATGTTAGCCAAGATGGTCTCGATCTCCTGACCTCGTGATCCGCCCGTCTCGGCCTCCCAAAGTGCTAGGATTACAGGCGTGAGCCACCGCGCCCGGCCGACAAGTGTTTTTTATTAGAAGGTTTGGAAATTTATTTTTATAAGTCTGAGATGAGTACAGCAGAAATGGGCCACTTTGTATCACAAGAAAAAACCCACTGTCCTATCTGATTGTATGGGCCTGTAATCACTGCCTTCTTCTGGCAGCACACCTAAATTGCAGAGACAGTGTGAGAAATTCCTTGGTGACTGAAAGAGGCTCTCAGAAGTTGACAGCTCTGTGACAGACAAGCATCCTCTGTTGTGGAGATAGGATTTTAAAAATCCAAATAACTGTCTGAAAGTATAGTAACAGTTTCAATTTTCTCTGCCCACACCGAATCTGGGTACTTGTTGATATTTTTCAAGGCACTCACTCCACCACTAAAATGTAAATATTTCAGTGGCCTATATACCGTTGGTCCCGGTGGTCCTGGCCTTGTACCTTCTGAATAACCTGGCTCTCCCTTATCTCCCTGGAGACCATGAATACCTGGGAGGCCTGGTCTTCCTGCTCGACCTGGGAATCCCAAAGTTCCCCTTTTTCCTTTAGAACCTGAAATTAGGGGGAAAACATAGAGTAAAATAGATAAACATGAGGATCTTGAAGTTTTCTACTTTTCAGTTTTACATAAGCTTTCTCCCAAGAATGGCTTTTTCAGAATTGCAACTGCATCAGGTAGTTACAATAGATGATTATTATATAATATCAATATTTATTTTGTTCTCACCCATTTTCTGGTTGCACACTGTGTATTTGTCTAATAGGAAATCTGTTTTTTTTGTTGTTGTTGGTTTTTTTTGAGATGGAGTCTCACTCTGTCGCCCATGCTGGAGTGCAGCAGCGTGACCTCAGCTCACTGCAACCTCCACCTCTCGGGTTCAAGCGATTCTCCTGCCTCAGCCTCCCGAGTAGCTGGGACTACAGGCATGTGCCACCACACCCAGCTATTTTTTTTGTATCTTTAGTAGAGATGGGGTTTCGCCATGTTGGCCAGGCTGCTCTCAAACTCCTGACCTCAGGTGATCTGCTTGCCTCAGCCTCCCAAAGTGCTGGGATTACAGGCATGAGCCACCGTGCCCGGCCCCGCAAATCTAGTTTTTTAATATAAGCTTTCTACCAAGTGGAAAACCAAAACAGTACACAACACAGAAAATCTGGAGTCCTCACCCATCATGAGCTTGTGGGCTCATAACAGGACCTTATGCATTACCTGGCATGCCCATGTTCCCCATGCTTCCTGGTATACCACGCAGTCCTGGTTCTCCAGGATTCCCAGTGCTGCCCAAATCTCCTCTGGGGCCTTGAGAACAAATAAGTAGTTATTGCCCTGCACAGTTCCTGGACATAGTATGTGTTTAATAAATACTTGTTGCTTGCATGCATGAATGAATGCAGAACAGCCAGACCGGCTGGTTTGGGCACTTGTCTAGCTGTCCTTTTTCCTTCAAATAAGAGGGAACTAGGGACCTGGAACATGGAAAACTAAAGAAAGTTAGATTCTCGTTAGCAGACCTGGGTTTCAAACACTAAAATCATCCTAGGACCAACACCAGCGGGAAAAAAGTGGGCTCCTGCAAACATATGGTAATACATTTCCAACTGCATCCTGAAGTGTTATTGCCATGTCATATATTTTGTTACTGAGATGGTTGTAGGAATGGTGGGATACTTTAATTATTTAAAAATTATTTTGTAAACTCAGTTACTTGTTTTAAAAAAGAAAGATGCAAACCTGAAAACTTCTAAAGCATTCTCTAATTTTCATCTCTGATATGTGATATAGTGATACATTATAATTTATAATACATATCAGCAATTTCAGAATGAAATTTTGAGGACAAAATGGAACTATTTGTAGGTTAATGTATGTTAGTTAATGACACGCCAACTATCAACACCTTCTTTTAGTTAATTTAGTAGCAAATTTCTGCTGGAACACTATCAGAACAGAATTGATATTTAAACCCAGTAAGCCTAGAAACAACTTTTATTACTTTAGATGTAGGAAAGTGTAAAATGTGATATTTTTCTATTTGAGAATCAGCTGTACCTGGTGGTCCTGCTGGTCCGGGTAGTCCTTTGAGGCCCTTTAAACCTGGCATCCCTGGAACGCCTCTGTTTCCTTTCTCACCTGGATTTCCTGCGAATCCTGAAGTTAGAAACCAGGTATTAACAAGAAAATTAGCCAGGTGTGGTGGCAGGTGCCTGTAATCCCAGCTACGTGGGAGGCTGAGGCAGGAAAATCACTTGAACCTGGGAGACAGAGGTTGAAGTGAGCTGAGATCGTGCCACTGCACTCCAGCGTGGGCGACAGAACGAGACTCCATCTCAAAAAAAAAAAAAAAAACCCAAAACAAAAAACCAGGCATCAAAAATTCATGTTAAAATTTTGTCAGACCCATCCACATCCTGGTTTAAACCGATGGCATATTACTGTAGTACAGCATATAGCATATATGTTAAGAGCATGGGCGGATTTGGGCTTCTGTCTCTTAAAGAAGAGGATTAAATGAAATAATATGTGTCAAGCATTAGCACAGTGCCTGGCATAAGTTATTCCTCAATGAACACTAGCAATGATCTTAATATGTACTCTTTAAAACAACATTTTAAGAATTAGCAGCCTAAATACCTCTTCATTTTTTAATAGTAAAGACAAAGTGTTATCCACTACAGTATTCTCATCTAGATGATTCTATTCTCAATCCATGTATTAAAATTATAATTTATAAAGTATTAGGTAAGTCAAAGGCCAGAATCACAGTGTCAATCAGTTAATAACACTTGGATTTGAATCCAGTTCTGCCCAGCTGGAAAGCTCATAAACGTCCCAGGAAACCATTCCACTTTCCCTAAAACATGACTTTGATCATACTCTTCTCCTGTTCATAAATAGTCATTGGGCCAGGTGCAGTGGCTCACGCCTGTAATCCCAGCACTTTGGGAGGCTGAGGTGGGCAGAACATTTGAGGTCAGGAGTTCGAGACCAGCCTGGCCAACATGGTGAAACCCTGTCTCTACTAAAAAATATAAAAAGTAGCTGGCTTGGTGGCACACACCTGTAATCCCAGCTACTTGGGAGGCTGAGGCAAGAGAATCACTTGAACCTAGGAGGCGGAGGTTGCAGTGAGCCGAGATCACACCATTTACAGTCCAGCCGGGGTGACAGAGCGAGACTCCGTCTCAAAATAAATAAATAAATAGTCACTGAATCTCTATTACTTACAGAGTAAATTGCAAACTCTTTCGGCAGCATGAAGCATTCTGCAATCTGTCTATAGCCTGCCTTTGTGCTTTTTCTCAAGCAGATTCACTTCCCTTGGCTCTTTTCCTGCATATGTACTTATTCATTCACATATGGATGGAGCATCTAATTAATAAATAGGTCTTGTGCTGAGCACCAGAGAGATAAATCATCATGTTCTCTTTCCCCAGGTTTTTAGTGTTTAACTGGGGAGACAGGCAAGTAAACAAATAATTATCATCCAGGAAGATAAACTCTATACTAGAGTTGGGCACAATATACTACAGGGAAGAATTTCTGAAAGAGGTGGTATTTTTTAGCTCAGTCTTGAAGACCAAATGAAAACTAATTGGGTGAAGAAGGTCTGGAATGAGACAGGATTCCCAGAGAGTAAAATAGCATGTAGAAAGGAGTGATGAGTATCAGGGAGTTAGATTGTTTTGTTTTACAACTTTCATTTTTTCCTTTTATGTCATTGATTGCAATCTAAAAAGATATATACTGTTTAGTCTGTTTGTTTACTTCAGTGTTTTAGGAGTTGGCAAAATACAGCTTTCAGGCTGAATCTGGCTTGGTTTTGTATGGCTTTAGGGTTAAAGACGGGTTTTACATTTTTTTTTTTTTTGAGACGGAGTCTTGCTTTCTCGCCATGCTGGAGTGCAGTGGCACAATCTCAGCTCACTGCAACCTCCGCCTTCCGGGTTCAAGTGATTCTCCTACCTCAGCCTCCCAAGTAGCTGGGATTACAGGCGTGTGCCACCACGCCCGCTAATTTTTGTATTTTTAGTAGAGTTGGGGTTTCACTATGTTGGCCAGGATGGTCTCGATCTCTTGACCTCATGATCCACCCGCCTCGGCCTCCCAAAGGGCTGGGATTACAGGCGTGAGCCACCACGCCTGGCGGTTTTTACATTTTTAAAAGGTTGTTAAAAACAAAAGCAAAGAAGAATATGCAACAGGGACCATATGTGAGCCACAAAGCGTAAGATACTTACTACCTAGCCTAAATGGAAAATGTTTATGGACCCATTATGTGTCTTTCCCCCACTAAACCGTAACTTTCATCATGACTAGGAAACTAAAGTCTGCTTTGTTCACCTCTGTATAATCAAGGCATAGCAAAATGCCTAGTCCATAGGTATTATTAAGTAAAAGGTAATTATTGAGTACATAAATGTCATGTGGCTGGAGAGACAGGCCAAGTGCAAGTGGTGAATAAACTTGTATGTCAGTCCAAGAAGTTTCACTTCTCAAAGCACAGGGAGCCTTGGAAAGATTTTAAGCCAAGAATTTTATTTGTTCATCTGAATCTTATTCAACATTTAAGTCCTCTTTTATGGAGGTTTCACTGACTATCTTAGTTGCTGTATTTTCTACTTCCCTCAACTCCTACAGAGCTCTGGCAGCACAGTGAGGAGGCCAAGAGTGAGGCCCATCTCTGCCATTTCCTATCAGAGTGTCATTGGGCAAGTAACTTGACCTCCCTATTTCCCCGTATGTAAAATGGGATGATTGCAATAGTAGTACCTACTCCTAGGGTTATGTATTTATTTATTTTTTGAGACAGAGCCTCACTCTGTTGCCCAGGTTGGAGTGCAGTGGCACAATCTCAGCTCATTGCAACCTCTGCCTCTCAGGTTCAAGCGATTCTCATGCCTCAGCCTCCTGACTAGCTGGAATTACAGGCTCCCCACCCCGCCCACCCTGGCTAATTTTTGTATATTTAGTAGAGATGGGGTTTTGCCATGTTGGCCAGGCTGGTCTCGAACTCCTGACCTCAGGTGATCCACCCGCCTTGGCCTCCCAAAATACTGGGATTACAGCCGTGAGCCACTGTGCCCAGCCTACTCCTAGGGTTATTGTGAGGATTAAATGAGTCAATAGTTGTAAAACTTGGAACAGTACCTGCACATGGTAAATGCTACTTAGGTCGTTGTTAAATAATATAGCATGCTAATTTGCACCTCGCGTCTTTATTATCTTTTTCTACATATGCCTAAGTCTGCCACGCAGCCTCCTTGTGGAGAGGATAGTGACTTGTTATTGTGCTTCTCTGTATATTCAATATCTCTTCCACATTTGAAGTGAATAGCTTTAAGTCAGAAATTCAGATTTAGAAAAATAAATGGATCATATTGAAATTAGGGAGGCCTAGATACAGGTTATTTTTTTGTTGTTCTTCAATCTGTGTCCCTTGGTTATGCATTTGAAAAGCCTAAAGAAAACATACAGAACAGCCTCGATGCATACTGTACTTAGGGTGAGTAAAAGAGTTTTGTTGGAAGTATAGAAATAGCCCCATATCATGTGTCCTTCTGTACTTTACAAAAGGAATTCTTCAATTGCAAATTAGTACTCACTGCGCATTTATACTGTGAGCGCCAAATTTCTGCTTATGTAGGCAGAGATATGCTATTCATATTTTTTCCAAAATGTTTCTAACACTACTTAAATAATCTAAAATAGTCTAGTGAAGTGGTGTCTATGCAGACAGTTTATGAGGACTGGAGATTGGTGCCAGTATTTTTTTTTTTCATATCTTGGCTTAGACTAGTCCTAGCAGAGTTTTATAAAAGTCGCATTACTTTCTTTTTCATTGCTAAAAATGAAATGCAATATTCTTTTTGTACCAGAACTAAAGTGTCTCTTCAACACCAGGTTAGATGAGGACTATGTACATAGAAGGCCTTTACTTCCTAACTTGCCAGTTAGTCAGCCTTTATATTGTAGTCTACAGCACCCTGTGCAAATTTTTTTTTTTTTTTTTTTTTTTTTTTAGGTTTGGCAGTACATGTGAAGGTTTGTTACATCCTCATGTGCCATGCATATAAATATTTGTTGAACACAGTCTCATTTCTCAAAAGTCATTTCAAATATCTCAAAACTTAACATGGTTTTGCAACTGCAAACACATTTTTCTTTTTTCCTTTCTTGCCATGATACATTTTTCTTTTATTCCTTTCCTGCTATGAGAGTCTGATCTGCAAATGTAATATTTTACCCAGCAGTTCTCTGTTTTTCTAAAGTTGCTTGGGATTACATTTGGTCAAGAAGACTGCAAGGGAGGGCTTCTGAAAATTTGGTTTTATATTGGTCGTATTGATCATATCATGAAAACTGCCATAAAAAGGGCCCAAATAACTTGAAATAATGTGAATGGGTTTGAATTTTAGCCTAGTAGCCACATCTAACAACAGTCTTTCTAAAGGGTTAAATTTTCATTGAAGCATTTCTTTTTAGTAATTATTCTCCAAAGGATTTTGAACAGGAGAAGAAGTTTTTAGATAGAATCAGAAAATATTATTCTGGTAGTCTACAGAATAAAGTTGAATTTGAGATGGAGGTTTCAACATCAGCCAGAAAAGTTTTTTAATGTGGAATTTTTTTAAGGGTTTAATTTTCCCCATACTTGGCAAAGAGGGAGTTTTGAGGCTTATAATTTAAAAACTGACTGCTGATGATTTAAATATAGCAAATTAAAATGCAGAATTAACTTAGAAATAAAAATGTTACACATCGAGGAGGCAACATGTCGTGGAAGGTGACTCAGTTCTAAGGCCTGCTCAGCCACCAACCGGCTGTGTGATGGGCAGGTAACTAAACACTGGCCCTCACTGTCCTTATTTGTCAACCAAACGGATTTGCCTGGATAATTTATTAGCCTGAGAATCAGCTCTGATGTCCTGATTCCAAACAAGCAATTCTTTACCTTTGAGACCTGGTTCTCCTTTGTCCCCTATTACGTGGGATATCTCTGAAGGCCCGGGATTTCCTTTATCTCCTTGTTCCCCCTTGGCTCCTGGGGTTCCTCTCTGGCCCTTTACTCCTGGAATTCCAGGGCTCCCTAACAGACAGGAGTAACAACATCAGGTCCTTAATTCTTCAGGTAGTTCATAGGGATTAAAAAGTTGGCAGTGCTTACTATAAAACAGAACAAATCAAACAAAAAAGGCTAACAGTGCTGAGAACTTGATAAATAGTTTCCCCAGGCAGGCAGCCTCATAAGGGTAGTGGTGTAAGCCTACAGAAAACAGGATTCCATTCAAATGGAGAAAAGGAACATAGAAAACAGCAAAATCAAATACTGTTGCTCTCTCAGAACTATTTTTCCCTCCAATGAAACATAACTTTTTTTGCTGCAAAATAAATGAACATTGTTTATGCTTCCTGCTATTTAGAAAGACACTCTATCACTTACCCCTCTGCCCTGGTGTGCCTGGGTTCCCAGGGGGCCCTGGAGGGCCAATGGCTCCAGGAAAGCCCATCATCCCAATCACTCCATCTTCACCTATGGAAACAAATTAACACAAAGCAGCACGTGTTGTACAGAGTGAGAAAAGCAAAATATTCCATATACTAAAATAAATTATACTTAGAAGCAGAGATTGGGAGTTGAAAAAATGGCCTCTGTACATAGTACAATTACTGTATTAGTCTAGGAGATGGGTCGGTAAGTGGTCTTTTAAACTCACCTATGTGGAAGTGATTGGTAGCAAATCATATTCATGGATGAGGATAGCATATGTGGAAGTTTTGGAGCATTCCATCCTCCCAGCCCCTGACCAGTCACTTTCTATTCTATCCCTTCACTTTATTTTCTTCATAACACTTGTCTCAAATTGAACTTAGATTTTAAATATTTCTATTATTGATCCTCTACTATGAGAAGGGGAGACTTGTCCACTGACTGATGTGTCTCTAGGGCCTAGAAGAATGCTGGCATGTGATAGTAGCCCAATAACATGAATGAAAGGATAATGTGTCGATTAAGTTGTTTTAGGCTCTTTTCCAGAGGGGAGATCGGTGAGGTCCTTATGCCATGAGGGAACAGAATATTCTCCCCAAACATATAAACAATAAACATAGCCATGAAATTAAAACAATTATACAGAAATATGATGAACAACAACAACAAATCAGATAACTTATAAAAATGGACAAGTTTCTAGAGAAACAGAATACCAAAACTGACTCCAGAAGAAATAGAAAACCTGAATATACCTATAAGAAATGAAGAGATTGAATTAGTCATTTAGAGACTTCCCAAAAAGAAATGCCCAGACCCAGATAACTTCACTGGTGAATTCTACCAAATGTTTAAAGAGCGTCGATTCTTCACAAACTGTTCCAGAAAATACAAGAGGAGGAAACACTTCCCAGCTTGTTCCATCAGACCAGCATTACTCTGACACCAACACCAAAGACATCACAAGAACGCTACAGACCAATATCCCTTCTCAATATAAATGCAAAAATTCTCAACAAAATACTAGCAAGTATATTATAGTAGTCGTATATAAAAAGGATTACACAGCAAAAATAGCCACATTCTGGGTAATTGTTCATCCTGCCGCCACCGTTTCCCTGCACCATGGCCCCTGGTTTCTTACAAATAATTTAGAAGGAAAACCTTATATTAAGTAAAAGCATAGAGTAAAAAGCGTATGCCTATGTACAGTTGACAGAGCCACCTTAAGAAGAAGAAGAAATAAGAAGAAAAATAGAAACACACAAAAGGATACCTGGTGGCCCTAAAATTCCCGGATTTCCTGGATATCCTCTTTGACCCAGTGGTCCCATTTCACCTTGATGACCTGGAATTCCTGGTGATCCAGTTTCTCCAGGAAATCCTGATCTATCCAAGCCTGGAATTCCTGGGTCTCCCTTTGGCCCCGTTTTACCTCTTCTGCCTGTGTACGAATAAATGAATGAATTAATTAACCCACAAATGCTTTCCCCTACTAACTTCAGAAATATATATATATATATATATATATATTTTTAAGATGGAATCTCCCTCTGTCTTCTAGGCTGGATTGCAGTGGGGCGATTTCGGCTCACTGTACCCTCCGCCTCCCTGGTTCAAGTGATTCTCCTGCGTCAGCCTCCCAAATAGCTGGGACTACAGGCGTGCACCATAATGCATAGCTAAGTTTTGTATTTTTAATAGAGATGGGGTTTTGCCATGTTGGCCAGGCTGGTCTCAAACTCCTGACCTCAAATGATCCGCCCACCTCGGCCTCCCATAGTGCTGGGATTACAGGCATGAGCCACTGCACCCGGCCACTTTAGAAATATTTTATGGCTGTAAATATTTAGCTTTGTGATTTGGGGTAACTGCACACTTACGCATGCGTGCGCATGTGTGTGTGTATGTATTTAATGTCCCCTCTGTAAAATTTCTGAGCTCCCTTCTGGCTCTAACATTCTCTGCTCCAATGATTTATGCAGTAATACAAGTGTAGTCTTTATATCTATTTTCTAGTCCTGCAGACACATTCTGGGACTGCACCTTATGAGTGCTGCTCACTCTGTTTCCTGCAGAAGACATACAGAGCCGTTCGCATAGAGGTAAGCCACTGGATGCCTCTGGAAAAAATAATAATGCCACTGTAACAGTTAAGGTCTTGGTCAAAAATTTATTTGTGAACATATAAGCAGTATGATAGACCACAGACATTAACTGATTTCTAAATACATTTTTCCAGGAACAGTTCATCAGATCTGATGAGGAGAGGATCCAAAAACAAAGTTTTCCATCATCTGGAACATCTAGCCTGCATCATTTAGATTTATTTTCATGTTTTTTCTTTTATATTGTATGTAAAACAATCAACTACATATTTTAGTTTATAAGTTTTTAAACTGGTATCATTGCATACATTTACCCTATTTTAATAATAAGGATAAACTTACCACTTTAATATATTTATGAAAATATTAAAGGTAAAATGTTTTCTGAGAATTTAATATGTATATAAATATATGTAAACACACACCAATCTCTGTCTTCAGCATTCATATTTTTCTTGCATAAAAGACACAAAGCAACTCACTATATTAACTTCAAGTTTCTTCCTTTATAGGTGGTACACACTACTGTGTGCAACAAACCCATAACAGCAAGGTTTACACTTCTGAAGTATTTCTCATTGAACAGTGGTCAGGACTTGTGGCTGGACAGTTCCCATGTTAAGCAGCAAAGCACAGAGCAGGAGTCTCATGTCTCCTGCCCTTCTGGTGGCCAGTTTTGAGGCCCTCCTCCTACCTTGTTGCCCTTTCAATCCATTTAAGCCTGGAAGTCCTTGGGCTCCCCTGGGACCCTCTATGCACCTTCCTGGGGGTCCTTGTTCTCCAGGTGGTCCAGGCTGCCCTGGATCTCCTGCAAAAGAAAGCACAAGTATATACCCAGGTGCTAGAACTTAAGGTCTTGGTATTGCTGTACCAGTCATTCTTCTGTTAACTTTTTTTCCACCTAAATCAGATCTATATTTACTGCCATTAATATGCCTTTTCTAGAGGGCACTCATTAAAAAAGAAGGAAGGAAGAAGGAAAGAAGGAAGAAAGGTAGGGCAGGAACATTGGATGGGAGAATTCTTCATGCCTAGAACACCTTCACATTCAGTTTGCTGCATTTTAGCAGAGCTCACAGTGGAGAAAAGTAATGACACTTGCTATTGTACCTCGTGGTCCATCAAGCCCTTCATTTCCTGGAGTTCCAGGGAGACCTGGAAGTCCAGGGAGTCCAATTTCTCCATGTTCCCCAGAATTGCCTCTTTCTCCTGGAAAACCTGGTGTTCCTGGTCCTCCAGGCATGGCTACTGCTGGTTCTCCCTACAGCATAGAAATTGTGTTATTACTATATAGTGCTTCCAAATCTTCACTGATATTGACTCTCTGTTATGGAGGCTCTAAGTCCCTGTTGCACAGCCACTACCATGTCATCAACTTTCCTTTTTGAGCTCTAGTTGCTGACTTTTCTGTAAGATTATGTTTAATAATACTTCAGGATATGTAGCCTCCACTTTTTCAGAAGACTGTGGGATTGTCTATAAAGAGAAAAATCTAGATGTTTTTACTTTTGATAGTTTTTCTTATAGCTAACCACATTTCTTTCTAGAGTTGTCCCATTTTAAATACTCTGATTATTTATGAAACCATTAAAGATGATATCACGATGAAATCTGCATTCTGACACCTTATGTTTTCCTTTCTAAAATGGAAGATGATCCAGAGAAACATTTAAAAAATTTAATATCTTCATCATCTACAAATATATTGATCATTTCTACATCTAGAGTGCTCTGCCAGATAAGTGCATACAAACTGGCCAGTTAATGGTCACCCACCCTCTCTTCTGTGATAGCTTGAATTTTTGCATACCTTGGCTCCTGGGAGGCCTGGCTTTCCAGGTAACCCAGGCTCTCCCATTTTTCCAGGACAACCCAGTGATCCTTTTGTACCTGGAAAACCTTGGTCTCCTACAGAGAAAAAACAATAAACATTGTTGTAGGATTAGTCTTATTGAAATATTCTGAGCAGTAACTCTCTTATCTCTCAACCAGCTAGAGATGCTTTTATGAAAATTTAAATGATAATAAAACCAACTGATAAATTAGCAATTTTTTAAAAGTTCCAAATCAAATTACATTGGTTCCTATTTGAAAAAATAACTTTCTCTATTTTGTTGTTTAGTAGGGCCATGATTTTGATTCAGCAATTCTTCAAACCACTGATGCTGGTTGACCATTTGACTTTGTTTTTGAAGTATTTTTTACATACAGTGTACAGGTAAGTGGATTTTTATATATGGATATATTCATGTAAGCATGACCTAGATTAAGATACAAAGCTTTTGGCTGGGCATGATGGCTCACACCTATAATCCCAGCACTTTGGGAGGCCAAGGTGGGTGGATCACTTGAGACTGGGAGTTCGAGACCAGCCTGACCAACATGGAGATGGAGAAACCCCATCTCTACTAAAAATACAAAAACAACAACAACAAAAAAAACAACAACAAAAAAACTAGCCAGGCATGGTGGCACATGTCTGTAATCCCAGCTACTCGGGAGGCTGAGGCAGGAGAATCGCTTGAACCCAGGAGGCAGAGGTTGTGTTGAGCTGAGATAGTGCCAATTACACTCCAGCCTGGGCAACAAAAGCGAAACTTTGTCTCAAAAAAAAAAAAAAAGATATAGAACGTTTTCAGCACCCCAGGTAGCCTTTCTCAACAGGGGTTGCTTAAGAGAATTAAGTCTTAATGCCCTATAGCATCCATTGCATGCAAGGGATTAACTTCTTATGCATTTATAGTAGGTGACTTGAGAAAGGGGTCAACACACTTTCTGTGATCTCTGGTTCAGAAGAGGAAGCCACGGTGAAGCAAGGCTGCATTCAGGGAGTTCCTTCATACCCTAATTTGACCAATATTTAATTTGCAGTTAGTTCATGGGATTCATTAGATTCAATTGTGAAATTGTAAATCTCCACTTTCAAGGAGCTCTTGGGCTAGTTCTGGTTCCCACAGTCAACAGTCTTCTTCCAGAGAGTCAATACCTAGAGTTACAAAGTAGGGATGTAATTTATTAATGCAGGGTCCAAGAAGAATGAAGTACAAATGTGAGGCAGACTCCCTTACTTCACAGATCATTAGGAAGAAAACCAAGAAATTGGACTCAAAGCCATTCTTAAGACTCCAGGAGAAATGAGATTATGTTTTCCATTTCAAATACTCATAAATTGAAATCAATATTCTCATATTTGGGCAAAATTAATGTATAATAAACACTGATGACATACTAATCCAAGAGCTGAAACACCAAAACAAGGATGCTATTTTTGACAAACATTTTAAAGAATATTGTAACAAACATGAAATTGTCATAAAACTTGCAGTTCTATGTGAGAATCCAGGGACTCAGGTTACTCATATGCCATCCTGGACAGGACTTTCATGTACTTGTCAGTGGGCAGGCTTATGTCATTGTGTGAGCTCTCAGCGTCTAGATTTTTTTGGAGTGTTTCCTCTTTGAGGGGAAACAGCATTTTTTTCCCTAAAGGAAAATAATTTCCATAATTTATTTTGGAGTTTATGGGAAAATCAGCCATTTGTGATTTAATAGTTCCTTTCTTATTAAAAAAAAAAGAAATGTATACATGTGAAATGTGCAGGCATTTACTGAGAAGTATCAAAAATGTCTTTAAAATCTGACAATCAAGATTCACTATTACCATTTTGGTGAGTTTCCTTCTAGTTGTTTTCTCTGTGTTTTAAAAAATTCAATTAATTCACCTAACATTATTATAAGATTTTTTTCCATTTGTGGCTCTTGGAAAACATTTTTTTTTTTGAGACAGAGTCTTGTGCCTCAGCCTCCTGAGTAGCTGGGATTACAGCCACATGCCACCACACCCGGCTAATGTTTGTATTTTTAATAGAGACGGGGTTTCACCATGTTGGCCAGGCTGGTATCGAACTCCTGACCTCAAGTGATCTGCCTGCCTTGGCCTCCCAAAGTGCTGGGATTACAGGCATTAGCCACTGCGCCTGGCCAGAAAACATTTTAAAGAGTATTATGGATATTTCCTATTTTACTCATTTTATATCTTATATCCTATTTATATCTTCATATTGTATTTTACTCATTTTATTTATACATATGAACATCTTCTAAATATCCACAACAAACTTTATGTTTGAAAAAATTTTAAATTTACCCTTAGGTCCAGGAGGCCCAGGAAATCCAATTCCTGGAATTCCTGGTTCACCATCAGGCCCTGGAAGACCAGGATCTCCACATTTCCCCAGGGATCCAGGGATACCTTAGAAACAAATACACATATGCATCTCCACATCAGCAACTTTCCTTCATCTTATTTTAAAAGAAAATGTCTAAGTTCTCTGTGTCGTCCTATCCCTTTTGCACATTGTTTTTTTTTTTTTTTTTTCCTGTTGATGGAGTTTCGGTCTGTCGCCCAGGCTGGAGTGCAGTGGCGCTATCTCAGCTCATTGCAAGCTCCGCCTCCTGGGTTCACGCCATTCTCCCGCCTCAGCCTCCCGAGTAGCTGGGACCACAGGTGCCCGCCACCACGCCCGGCTAATTTTTTGTATTTTTAGTAGAGACGAGGTTTCACCATGTTAGCCAGACTGGTCTCGAACTCCTGACCTCGTGATCCGCCTGCGTCGGCCTCCCAAAGTGCTGGGATTACAGGCGTGAGCCACCGTGCCCGGCCAAGAAAAAATTTTTAACACAACCCCAATCATATGCTCCCCCTCCCTGTCCCTATCCAATGGACTAATCTTTAGGAACTGCAAAGAATTTTGTCAATATAATTTAATTCCTAACAGGAAATATTCTAGATGTCTTGAACTATGTAAGTCTCCCTCCATGCATGCAAAACTCAGTTTTAGATCACGTTGGCAAAGACAATCAGTTTTCAAATGAAGATGCTATGGAAAATATCCTGATGAATTGCCAGTGGGCAAACATCACTTGCTCCCCCACCAAAACTCCAGAACGGTTTTTCTGCTCTAAAATTCCTCTTAAGTAGTTACATAGGTTCTCCTCGGGAACCTTTATATTAGAAGCACCAGTGAGAATAATTTGGATAACCTCAGAGAACTATAGCAAGTCCCCAGCCTGCTTGCTTATCAGGTAAGACACTGCCCTGTGCTCTCTTTTGGAGCCAATGAATACATTTTTTTCCTTATAATGGGGACAGTATTTTTCCAAGAGAGTCAGGGTGTTGTGTGTGTCTGATGCCATGTACCAGATTTGGCAGAGGATACTTACCAGGTGGACCTTGGGGGCCAGGATGGCCAGGGGGCCCTGGAGGTCCTGGTGGGCCTGGAACTGGTGTTGAAACACTGAGCTCTCCCCTAGGGCCTTAAGGAAATTTGTGGTCATAAGATTGGGGTATATATTGAAGCTTGTCTTAGACGATAGCGGAAAATACGATTATAAAGGGTTTATAAACATATCCCCAAAAAATAAAAAATAACCTCTGTTTTCACAGACTTCAAAACTAGCTTAAGGACGACCAGCCCATAGAAACTTTCTTATTGAATCAACAAATATTTATAAGTGTAGACAATCGTCTAAACTTTGTTTTAACCTGTTTCCTGTTTACTCTGAGATAACTCACAGATGACGGTCCTAACTTTACCCTCTTACATTAGGATTAGAGACAAATTCTGTTTAGAAATAACTCCAAGAACAGTTATTGTATTTTATTTCACATTGAAAATCAGATTTGCTTCAGCCTCAAAGAATGTGTTTATGTAAAATTAAATGAGCGCTGGCAGCGAGCTGCAATTTTTTTTTTTTTCTAAAAGGGAAATTAATAGCCCAACATGCTGGTCTATTGAAAAGAGCCTATTCCAAAAAATTGATAATATGGAATTAAGTTTAAACGTTGGTGAATACTGATAGGATACTTATTTATTGGGTGGCTAGTTTCCACAGGAAGGCTATTGAACAAAACAGTAAGTTTTGATATGGGCAAGGCTGACATTGGTTTGTAAACCTGGACACTTTTCTTAACCTCTCTGATAAGTTCCTCATCTGTCGCGGGGGAAAGAATGCCTACCTAGCAGATAAGGACACGAGATAATATTCTGACCACAGTGGCAAACATTAAAAACATGTTTAGTGATAAGTGTTGTCCATATAGTCATTTATTTATAGAAAAAAATAGGTTTACAGTATGTGATGGGACAATTTTGGTAATAATATATTTTATGACAATGGAATCCTTTAGTAAAGATTCACACTTAGAAATCACAGAAGAGGCTGGGTGTGGTGGTTCACACCTGTAATCCCAGAACTTTGGGAGACCAAGGCGGGTGGATCACTTGAGGTCAGGAGTTCAAGACCAGCCTGGCCAACATAGTAAAACCCCGTCTCTACTAAAAATACAAAAATTAATCAGGCCTGGTGGTGTGCGCCTGTAATCCCAGCTACTCAGGAGGCTGAGGCACGAGATTCCCTTGAATCCAGGAGGTATAGGTTGCAGTGAGCCGAGATCACGCCACTGCACTGCAGCCTGGGTGGCAGAGCAAGACTCCATCTCAAACAACAACAACAACAACAACAACAACAGAGCATTTGGTGATGGATTAGAACAGGGCTAAATAAACTTTTGCTGTAAAGGGCCAGATAGTAAGAAATTTAGGCTTCGTGATTGAAATCTACCCAACTACTCAATTCTGCCATTGTAGCATAAAAGCAGCCAGAGACAGTACATACAGGAGTGCAGCTGTGTTCCAAGAAACTTTATTTATGGATACTCTAATTTGAATTTCATGTAATTTTCATGCATCACAAAATATCATTAAACATTTTTTTCAATCATTTGAAAATGTGAAAACCATTCTTAGCTTGAGGATCATACAAAATCAGGCAGTGGGCTGGTCTTGGACTGTGGTCCACCACCGTTTGCTAGTACCTGGATTAGAACAGCAGCCTCCTTCGGCCAGGCATGGTGGCTCATGCCTGTAATCCTAGCACTTTGGGAGGCCGAGGCAGGTGGATCACCTGAGGTCAGGAGTTCAAGACCAGCCTGGCCAACATGGTGAAACCCCATCTCTACTAAAAATATAAAAATTCGCCTGGCATGGTGGCAGGTGCCTGCAATCCCAGCTACTTGGGAGGATGAGACAGGAGAGTAACTTGAATTTGGGAGGCGGAGGTTGCAGTGAGCCAAGATTGCGCCATTGCTCTCCAGCCTGGGCGACAGAGCAAGATTCCATCTCAGACAAAAAAAAAAAAAGCAGCTCCAAAGTAAGGTGCAGATAAACATAAATATTTATTTGTTTATTTAATATATAGAGAAAGTCATAAAATAAGATTTACATACATGTGTGGACAGAAATGATGCATACATTTATAACATATAATGTAAGGTTGTGCACTCAAAAAGTTTTACTGATGAGGGAAGACACTACAAAATGATTTAGAGGTTTACTGGGTCTTACCCTTTAAAGTGATTTTTAAAATTTATTTATTTATTTATTTATTTATTTATTTATTTTTGAGACAGTATCTCAATCTGTTGCCCAGGCTGGAGTGCAGTAGCACGATCTTGGCTCACTGCAACCTCCACCTTCCAGGTTCAAGCGATTCTCCTACCTCAGCCTTCCAAGTAGCTGGGACTGTGGGTATGTGCCACCATGCTCAGCTAATTTTTGTATTTTTAGTAGAGATGGGGGTTCGCTATGTTGACCCGGCTGGTCTTGAACTCCTGACCTCAAGTGATCTGCCCACCTTGGCCTCCCAAAGTGCTGAGATTACAGGTGTGAGTCACTGTGCCCAGCCTAAGGTGATTTTAGAAGTAAAACATGACCATGTTGGCATTATTTGCTCAAAACTATCAGTAGCATGCTATTCTGACCTTCAGCCACACTCCTGAATCCAGAACTACGGCCAGTATATGTATATCCCAAAAGTTACCTGGACTTTTAAACTATTATCAGACCATTTTCCTTCATTTGTCTTAGATATTTTAAAGTTTTATTTGTAACCTGCCTATGGAGTTATGGATCAAAATCAACAAATTTGTGGCTGCGCACAGTGGCTCACGCCTGTAATCCTAGCACTTTGGGAGGCTGAAGCAAGGATTGTTTGGGGTTGGGAGTAGGAGACCAGCCTGGACAACACAGCAACATCCTGTCTCTACAAAAAATAAAAATAAAATATATATTAGCTGGTCGTGGTGACACGTGCCTGTAGCCCCAGCTACTCAGGAGACCAGGCAGGAGGATCTATTAAGCCCAGAAGTTTGAGGATGCAGTAAACTATAATTATGCCACTGCACTCCAGCCTGGGCAACACAGTGAGACCCTGTCTCTAGAAAACCACAAAAAACAAATTTGCAATAACGCTTAGGATCTATTCATTTCATATATATATATGTATGTATGTAATAGATATAGAATATTCTAGGAAATTTCAGTTGAATTGCCCAGTAATGGAGAAAAAATGAGTTTTCTCTAACATACCCTACATATTCTTTCCTGGTATCTGTGAGTTGACATATTCTATTCGTTAGAAGCAAGTTTCTATATTTTCCTTAGTCTTGGAGAAGCTTCGTTAGCTCTAGAAACCATCAACCCACTCCATCGGAAAACAGGACTGGAAAGAAAACTAACCAACCGGCTTCTCCGGGTGGTCCGGGGGCTCCAGGAACTCCTTGCGTGCCCTGGAGACCAGGTTCTCCTTGGGGTCCGTAGCCAGGTGGTCCAGCTGGTCCTGCAGGTCCTGGGGACCCAGGGGAGCCAGGATCCCCTGGAGGACCTTGGTCCCCTTTCTCACCACTCAGAGCCTGTGACAACAGGAATGTGTTTGAATCGTGCTTCATTCCAGTATATTCTTACAACAGGTTAATCATCCTCCAAATATGAATACCAGTTAGGCTGTCATTGAGATCTTGAATTAAAAGCATTTGGCATTTGATGAGAATTATTACTAAAGTAAGAGCACTGCAGGTTTCTTCCGTTTTGTGTCCTTTGGAGTTTAGCAACATTTTTTGAACTTGGAACTGTCTTGAGTCCCACTTGAGATATCTTACAATGATGGGTCTCCCATATGGTAATAGCCACTAAAACTATGTTCAAATTGACCAATAGTTCAAATGACTTTAGTGGTGATATTCATGATAATGTTACATTTCTGAAATAAAATGAGCACAGCAAACCTTTATTTCTGGTTTCACCAGGTATTTTCATGACAAAGGGGATTTCCCACTTCCATTTTCTCTCATAAACTGTCTAGTTTTTAAATCTTCATATGCTATAACCTTGAAAATGATTTGTAGATTTAAAAGAAATTGAATTTGACAAAATAATTTAAGCCCTCTTCCTTCCCAACATGGCCCTCTGAAATAAATTTGACTCAATTTTTCATTGTTCAATATCATCAGATGGCTAAGTGGTCTGTCTCCTTTTTTAATGACAGGGTGTAAGACTCAACAAATCACCACCTTGATTTTTCTCTCATTTACTTTATGGAGCATCTTTACCAGAACTTATAAAGAAAAATCAGTGAGATGCAAGTAGGGACATCATACAAATTCTCTTAATATTAGACCATCAGAATTCTGGCACTGTCACTTTATAAGCATAACTACCACAAAGTGAACAACCTGGGACTTGGCCAAGGCAGGGTCTGAGAACTGCTGGCACCATAGATGCTGCCAGCCAAAAAGGGTTTTGTAGTCAGAAGCATTTAGGAAAGACCAGATAGCTTATCTTCATGTGGAAGACTCACAGTTCATATTCTGATATTAAAGGGTCTGTAAATGAATCTTTAAATTTGTTTACCAAGTTTCTCCAAACCTCTTTGAGGTAAGATCTGTTTTATTGGCTAACACAGATTAGCCCTGGGAGAAACTGGTATTTCATAGAATAGTTTGGGCAGCATCCCTTGCAAACCTCTTGTAAATACATTATGATGACAGGTGCTCACCCTCTCACTCTGTGACATTTTAAAATAAATCTTAGGTCTGGGTGCAGTAGCTCACACCTGTAATCCCAGCACTTTGGGAGGCTAAGGTGGGTGGATCACCTGAGGTCAGGAGTTCGAGACCAGCCTGGCCAACATGGTGAAACCCCGTCTCTACTGAAAATACAAAATTAGCTGGGTGTGGTGGCACATGCCTGTAATCCCAGCTACTCAGGAGGCTGAGGTGGGAGAATCACTTGAACCCAGGAGATGGAGGTTGCAGTGAGCTGAGATTGCACCATTGCACTCCAGCCTGGGCAACAAGAGCAAAACTCCCTCTCAAAAAAAAAAAAAAAAAAAAAAAAAAAATCTTGGTAGGTATTACCTCAATTAAATATGTGAGAAACTCTCTCATGAAAAGGGATTAAATTTCCATAAAATTAAATGAATGACAAAACATTTAATCTCTTTATTTGACTACCATACCCCTAAATATGCTGTCTTCTTATGCATTTATTTTTATTTAAAAATATGGACATCGCCCCAAAATATTTACTAAACTTTCTACTATACATCATTTTCTGAACTTTTCCATAGACTCATTTGATACAAATATGGAACTGTAATTTGTGTATGAGATGGGGTCATTATCAATGTAGAATTTTGATTGGTTGAAATCACTGAATGCTACCTATTTATTCTGTCAAAATACTATAACTATTTGCTTGGGTTATTCCTGCTAATTTGAAGATGTTTCATTCTGCAGTTAGAGTGATGAACTGTGCTGAGCGGCCAACCATTTTTGGAAAAGAAATCACTTTATCTCTTAACTTCAGAGTACTTCATTTATAGGGAGGGTAAAGTTGCTAAATACCAACCAGTTCGCCTTTAGGTCCTGGTAATCCTTTCACTCCCGGAGTTCCAGGAATTCCATCCAAGCCCTTTCTCCCAGGTTGGCCTCTGAGCCCCGGGTCACCTGGGACACCCACTTGCCCCTCAGGCTGAAGTGTTTCACCTTTTTCTCCTTTAAGTCCTGGGTCACCCTGGGCACCTGGGAAACCCTAGGGTAGTACACAAATGAATCTGTATTGTATTTTGTTAGAATTCTTCTTCTGTCAATCTTAAAAACAGTGTGGACAAGAACTTTTCAATTTTAACATGAATTTTTTCAACACACTCTTTGGTCCACAACTATTATTACAAGCATTTTGTTTGTTTTGCTTTGTTGTTAACTTCCAAAACTGAAAAATAATTCAGTTAGATAGTATAATTCAAAGCAATACAGACAATAATATAATTTAATACCATAGAACAATCACCATAATACAGGTTATGTTTGAATATTGGTAAATTTTAACAAGCCTCTTTGAATAGTTTGATCTAAGTATATTTATCTATAACTTTTTGATTCACTATGACAGTCAAGATTCTAATTTTTAACGGACTTATTGAGGTATAATTTACATACCATAAAATTTCTCCTTTATAAGAGTACAATTCAATGATTTTTAGTAAATTTATAGAATTATGCCACAATCACCACAATCACGTTCAAACATCTCCATCACTCTCCCAAATTCCCTCAAACCTATTTGCAATGAACCTCTGTTCCCACTCTCAGCCCTAGGCAACCACTAATCTGCTTTCTGTTTCTGATACCATTTCAAACTGTTTATAAATTCATTGACTCATTCACTTAATCAGTCACAGATTTATTCATTTAATCAACAGGTATCTATTAAGTGCCTACTGTTTGCAAGGCACCAAACTGGTAAGTGTGTTGCAACCATATTTCTAGAGTGTGCAATTTGTCAAATTGAAGCTAAAGATTTAAAAACATGAAATCTTACTGGAAATCCTGGAAGACCTGTATTTCCTGGGGACCCTGGGCTTCCTTTCAAGCCAGCTGCGCCTTGTCTTCCTGCAAATCAACGAATTATTAACTAACTCCTCATTGAACGCCAACTCTAAGTAGACAGGGTAATACAATGTATGAAGAAAATAGAGTGTTTCCTTGTGGGGAAAGAAAGACAACTTCTATCATAAAACATAAATGCAATAAGAGAATGGGAGTAAATAACAGAACAAGAGATCATGTAAAAAGTAACTCAGATCTTAGCTTCTTAAAATTTTATCTTCATAATTTTAAGAATATATCTTTATTTTTTCTGAGTATATATTACTTTTAAAAGTAATATATGCTCATTATAAGAAAATTATGCAGAAAGAAGAGACTAAAAATCACCTATAAATCTACCAGAAGATAATATTTGCCAAAGTTTAATGTAAATTAATGATACATTTTTTATATCCATAAGTGCATAGGACTCGTAGACACACTATTTTGGATTTATAGTATACATATGTCAATAAGTATGAATTTATAGCTTCATTTTAAATGGCTGCATGCTGCCTATTGTGTTGGCGAGCCATCATTTATTTAGCTAAATGCTGTTTTTAGACATTTAGACATTAGGTAGACATTTTTCAACTTTTAGCTGTTGTGAACAATGCTTTGAAAAATGTCTCTGGGTATTTAGCTCTCCAAATTTATCCAATTATTTCCTTTATAATAAATTTTTAAAAGTGTAATAGCAGAGCCAAATAGTCTCAAACTTTTCTAAGGTTTTGAATGTCTCTTGCCAAATTGCATTTTATTGTACAATTTTATACTTCCCATAGGTATTTAAATATCTCTATCAAGATGATCCCTTTAAATGACCTTCTGGGTGGGTCTCTGGTCAGTTAATCAACACATATTTATTCAGATTCTATTTTTTGCAAGATCTTGAGCTGGGGTGTATCTTTTTATAGTGATCCAAACCATTTTACTGCTTACATATCTTCTTTGAGCTGCACCTGGATAGGCCAAATGTAGAGAAACTATGGAAAATGCAACAATGCAATAAGTGGTCAGCATCAGTGAGCTGCTCACCTGCTCCCCTTGAGCCAAAGAGGAGACTCAAGGAGAGTATAGGAAAATAATGATTTTTTATCTTTTATTATTTTTCCTCCTTATTTCCCTCCTTCATTTCCTTCCTTTTGGTTTTTGTTTTAATAGAACATTTCCGCTGGATATTTGGATACTGAACAGGAGTAACAAGAGGAACAGCTCCTACCTCCCCCCTGCCCCTTCCCTCACAAGCCTGTGAGTCAGGGCAGGGGCAGCCACTGAAAGTAGCAGAGGCCTTCATAAAGGAGAAGTGAGTGGGATCTGAGGGGACAAAGGATCCCTGCCCAAGTGCATGTCATCCAGTGGCTGACCACAGTGTTCACGGCTGCCGCCATTAGTCTTTCATCTTTGGATTGAGACCCAGTCTCCCAGAAGACCCTATGCCAATGCAAATGGCTACTGGACAGTGATAATGTATAATGTTCCCTATCCAGGTTGTCAGGTAGACCTTTGGATTAACTCCCCAAAAGCAGCCCCCTAGGAGACAGGCGACAGCACCGCAGTCAGGGGATGCAGGCGTGGAGGGTAAGAGCACGCGTCTAGATTTCAGTTCAGTCTCTACCATGTTATTAGCTATGCCACCTGATGCCTCAGCTTCCTCATCTGTCCAATGCGGTTAATTATAGCACCAGCCTCTCGGGCTGATGTGAGAGATAAAGGAATGGAGGCACATAAGACCCTTAGAACAGCGCCCAACACACAGGCCAAGGGCTCTGTAACTTCACCTCTCAATGGTCAATGATACATAATTTGATGACATTGTCTGAAGACCAAGGTGCTGGTGGCAGAGTCAGGACTGTGGGTGGTAGCGAGGGAGAGAGAGGCCCTGTGTAGTCAGGGGAGTGGCCCGAGGGGCAGAGGAACCCAGTCAGTAAACAGAGACGTTTTGTACTTCAAAGTTTTGCCCATAGGCAGTTCTGTGACTGAAGACGGGGAGGTCGAAAGCAGAGGTGGTGACAGCCGGGAGTAACCGTGTGGTGTGGAGAGTCCTGGCCTGGCACACAGTTGTCAAGAGAAGGCTTGTGACTCATCCTTTATTTAAGCCTCAGGACACTGGCTATAAAATGTTGTGTTTTTTTTTTTTTCCTTTCAAAATTTGACTTAGTGGCTAATATTTTTTTAAAAAAACACCATGAGATTTTAAATAAAAATTCCAATTCCTTTCTTCTCATGAAAACTTGGAAGATTTATTAATGCAGGGCCTGACATGTTGCACAGTAACAATGGGCTGCAGCCAAGTGCCCGCTGGCCCGTTCAAATGTACCCTCAGTTTGTTTATTGCATTTCTGCAACTCTCTTGTCCCCAGCACGGAGGATGTTGCAATTTTTTAAAGAGCATTTGCATCCTTAAGAAGAAAGTGAAATACCACATTTTTCTATGACTCTTTTAAAAGTAGGAACATGAAAAAATGGACTGAGTAGGGTTGTGTCTTTTGAGAAAAAAAGGGAGAGAGCATATTTCTTTATGGAAGAGAAAGAGGGTGTGTGTTTCATGCAGCTGCTTCACTGCCTTCAGTTAACTGCTGTTCTCTTGTAGGACTCTGTGTTCACAATTCCTGCCTAACACAATACTTTGCTAGGGGTCAGCAACTAAAATGGAATAGGGAAAAATACCAGCTTTTCTTGGATTTTGGCTGACTTTATGTTAATAGAATATATGTTTTTGAAACTCTCCCTCCAAGTTCATCTAAACCACGTTGTGACATCCACCAATCCAATGCCTTTATTTTCTTCCAGTGTATTGACCCTTTTGTGCTTGCAAAAACACTTGCATGCAAATTGTTTGTACCTGGGATTCCTTTTACACCATGTAACCCTGGCAATCCTGGGAGACCGGGAGGCCCTGGGATATAAGGGCACTGTGTACACAGGAGGCCTGGTTCTCCTGCAATGAGAGCATACTAGCATTACTTAAAAAGCTACATTGAGTCCTCAGAAAGAACAAATATTTTCCAACCACACTATCATTTATTACATTTAAACATTTTTATGTAGTGAAAATTATCTAGGACGTTATACATATTAATTTAAAAATTCATTTATTATAGATCTGCTTACTTTAATGTTCTGAGCTATACAGTTCTTCTGAAAGGGGAAATTCCAAAAGTCTAACATAAAACATCTATTTCAGTGTTTCTTTCCTTGCATGCAGGCAAAAACTCACATTTTAGGGATATCCAACAATTTATTGCATGGGTGCCAAATAAATTATTGATTTACAGATAAATGAATACTTTTAGCTAATGGAAAATAAGTCATCACTGACTGGTAGCTATTTGGGATCATTGTTATCTCAGGGGGAAAAATCAGTGATAATAATGACGATGAAAAAGGCTTATCCTAATACAACATTATTGATTGAACCAACCTTTGGGCCCATCAACTCCTGGGATTCCTGGAGACCCTAGATAGCCTGGCAGTCCGTGATCTCCAGGTGGACCCTTGCGAAAAACGATGTCACCTATAAAAATACAGCACCAAAGACAATTTTTTATTTGTGTTTTTTTCAATTAGCAAGTATTGTAATATATGTATTATTTAAAATGCATCTCTCTCATCTTTGTATTGGAAGCCTAGTCTTTAGAAGTTTATCTGCAACTGAGAAAGCATGGTGACCAGCTCTTCCCTTCATATTACATAGATGTGGTATTTTTAAGGTAGTTGATCTTTGAAAGCTCATTGTATAATTTTTTTTTTTGGTCACAGAATCAACCTATTTTATCTTACTTAGTTGTTTCCAATTATTCCAAGTTGATATGGTTTGGCTGTGTCCCAAATCTCATCTTGAATTGTAGTTCTATAATCCCCATGTGTCATGAAAGGGACCTGGTGGGAGGTAATTTAATCATGGGGGCAGTTACCCTCATGCTGTTCTTGTAATAGTGAATGAGTGCTTATGAGATCTGATGGTTTTATAATGGGCTTTTCCCCATTTTGCTCAGCACTTCTCCATGTTGCCATCATGTGAAGAAGGACATGTTTGCTTCTGCTTCTGCCACGAGTGTAAGTTTACTGAGGACTCCCCAGCCGTGCTGAACTGTGAGTCAATTAAACCTCTTTAAATTACCCAGTCTCGGATATGCCTTTATTAGCAGCATGAGAATGGACTAATACACAGACAATCCCTTTAGCATCTTGAGGCAAAGGATCAACTCTTATTCTGGATATTTTTGGATACATTGTATTTTCCTGATATACTGTAGATGCTTAATATATATTGAGTAAAAGAAAAATGGATTCTGACTCAGGGTATCATCTGTTTTCTCTTTGTTGCTTGTCCACATCAATTGAGTTGTCATCCTTAAAGCAGGTCTCTAAGAAAGCTCTTCTCAGCTTCCACATTATCTGCTACTGTAATGTTGCAATGAACAGCTCCTTCTCTTAAACTGGTTAATTGTGTTCAGTAATCTAATTTTTGGCTTTGCCATTTCAATTACAGGTTGAAGGCAATGGTGATGAAAGTAAATATTTAAAAACACTACCATAGCTGTCCCAAATTTCAGAAAAACAAGGTACCACTGGAACCATTTAATTTTGTTGGAACACAGAATGACCATCTTGTGATCAGTTTTCTGCATCTTTAAAATACCTGGAAGGTCATCTTTAAATAGTACAATCTGATAAAAGTTTAATACTTAGTGTAGACTTATATGAATACTTCTACATTCATACATTTTTGTATACTTATACATTTTCATACTCAATTAATGCTTAATTCAAAAAATATCTGAGTACCTGCAGTGTTCCCCATGCTACATACTGGGCTTAAACAGCCAAAAAGACACAGTCTTTGACCTCAAAATACTTTGATTCTTGTAAGAAAAACTGACAAAGACAAAGAGAAGGCAATGTGAAAACTTCTACAGTTGGGATAACCTTGGAGGTTACAGGATGTGGACTCACTGAAAGCTTTCTGCTGGACTTGAACTTGAAGCTGAAGTCTGAAGGACAGATGGGTGTTGCTTAGCGAAGGGAAAGTAGGAAGCAAAGACCCCTGGACAGAGTGTAGCAGGCACAGAGGGAGCATGACACCTTCGGGAGAGAGCCGCAAGCACCTGGGCCCAGATCCCAGCTTTAGCTTCATTAGCCCTGTGAACTCTGTATGTCAGCCTTGACATAGAAAAAAAGAGGATACTAAACCTCCATCTTAAAAGAGACTTGGAAGAAGCTGGGATTATAGGCACACCACCACACCTGGCCCCAGAAAAGGTATGTTAAAATATAAAGTGTGATCTATATGTTTGTGAGGACCTATTGTACCTATGAGCCAACACAGAATGCTAAGTGGCTCTCTAGAGGGATGCGAAGGAAAGGCTCCCTGTGTCAGGACCTCTGAGCACCACTTCAAGTCCATTGGGCCACATCTCTGTCATCTCTGACCCCTTTACCTCATAGCATGTTGCCTTACACCCATGCGGCACACCTCTGGCCTACTGTCCTGGGGCTTCCCTGCTGATGCCAAGGCATGGGACTTCCTGGGAACCATGCAGACACAGCCTGGAAGTGGGAGGATGGGAGGTGGGGGGCGGCTCCTCTCTTGGGGGGAAATCTTTGACCCATGGGAACTAGGAGCAAATGGATAAATTCTTGCCTCTTTCTCCCCTGGCACAGATAGTCTCCAGGGCTGAACAGGCAGTTGCAATTGGTCAAGGCCAACTTGATAGCCACCCATCCTTCCCCACATCACTCTCTTTGTCCCTGCCTCCTACTCTGCTCTCTGGGAAACTCGGGCTAAGACTTTGCTGCATTTGTTAACTAGTCATTGCATCAGTTTCTTTCACAGACAGTTAGTGAAATGAAGACCATTGGAAAGGTAACTCATAAAAACCACACAGACTGATGGCTAAGCTGTGAGGAGGGTTTGTTGCCCGTGGTTTGCACACATCTGTCATTTGGCACTGTGCACAAAAGGGGTCCCCTTCCACATCTTTACCTGGCGGTCCTGGAGGTCCCGGTGATCCTGGAAGACCTGGTGAACCAGCACAACCTGGGGACCCAGGAGTCCCCATGGCATCCTTTCCTGGGCGGCCTCGTTCCCCTTTACTTCCTTTCAGGCCTGGCCATCCAGGGGCTCCTCTGAGGCCAGGCCTTGATGATCCTTGGAGAAAATAATCATTTCTTGTATTTTACATTTTTTCCTGATTAATACGAATTTATTTTTTAATTGCAAGAGTGATTTAATTTTATTTATAAAAATTGCACAATGGAGAGGTACATAACACATATAAAATAAAAAAGTGAATATCCTTGCTTTTTTCATCTGTGGCCTTGTTAAATAACCACAGTACAGTGAAGTGCAGAACATTCCATTCCCACAAGAAAATTTATTACAAGAAACTGAAACAGAGTTTGGGATGCACTATAGTCTTTTTATTTAAAAGGAAGTGAGGAATACTTCCATATATGCTACTTTGTAGATTTTTTTTATTAGAGACTAGAGGATGCCCCCAGTGCGCAAAATGAGAAAGAGAGAAAGTTGTTAAGTGGACTTTATTCCTGCCAGTGTCTTAGACATAAAAGGCTGTGATGGGGGATAGTCATCTCCTGGGAAAGGAGCCGTGCCTGGTGGCACGAACCCCACCCTAATCTTAAAGTGGTGAGGATGTGAGGAGGGGACAGTCTCAAATCTCTGTCCCACAAACAGTTTAACTATTAAGAAGAGAGATGCCACCAGCAAAGGACTGAGAAACCAGCCGGGGTAATATCTGATTATGTCCTATTATTTGAACACAAAGATAAAATCTTCTGATTGACATCCATTTCAGAGTTTTGTATTTTTTTAATCATATTTTACTTTGGCATATTAGATTTGTACTAATTTATGGGATACATGTAAGATTTTGTTACATGTATCAAATGTGTAGTGTAATGATCATGTCAGGGTATTTTTGAGTATCTTTGACCCAAGTATTTATCATTTCTGTGTTGAGTACATTTCATGTCCTCTCTTCCAGTTAATTTGAAATATACAATACATTGTTGTTAACTATAGTCACCCTACTGTGCTATCAAACATTAGAATTTATTCCTTCTATCTAGCTGTATGCTTGTACCCATTAACCAATCTCTCTTCACCCCTAACTCCATCAAAAAAACTCTTAGAGCCGATAAACAAATTCAGTAAAATTGCAGGACATGAAATCAACATACAAAAATCAGTAGCATTTTTTATGCACCAATAATGGAATAGCCAAAAAAGAAATCAAGAAGGCAATCCCATTTGCGGTAGCCACACACACACAATAAAATACCTAGGAATACATTTAACCAACAAGGTGAAAGATCCCTGCAAGAAAAACTATAAAACACTGGTGAAAGAAATTGAAGAGCACACAAACAAATGGAAAGACATCCCATGCTCATGGATCAGAAGAACTAATCTAGTTAAAATGACCATACTACCCAAAGCAATCTACAGATTCAGTGCAATTCCTATCAAGATACCAATGCCATTTTTCACAGAAACAGAAAAAACTATCCTAAAATTCTTCTGGAATTAGAGCTTTGTAGTTTTCCTCTCATCGGCTTATTAAAGGAGCCTGTTTTTTTGTTTGTTTGTTTGTTTGTTTTGTTTTTTTTACTTAGGGGCCTGGCAGGGGGAAGGAGGTCTTCCTTAATGTCAGAGCTCTAAAATATCTTTTTGCCCCATTCTAACTGTAAGAGATATCTACTATTAACAGTTTGAGGTATATCTTTCCATGCATATTCAGGTACATATAATATTTATCCATTTCTGTATCTATTTTTTTAATAGTGAAATTATAGTATACTTATAGTTCTGCAGTCTGCTTTATTTTGATTAATTTTCAAAATTATGAAGTAGTATAATATACAACATCATATAGAGAAAAATATGATCAGTGGCAGGGCACATGCCCAGTAGTTTATCAAATTTTGCTCTTTTTTCTTAGTTTTGTTTTCGTTAAAAAGAACACACTACAGTTATACTTGATGAGTCCCTGTGGACCATCCCTGATCCAACTCTTTTTCCTCTCTCAAAAGGTAAACACTCTAATGAGTCAGAGACGAAAGTTTAGAACTTTACAGAAAAAGTGTAATGTAGGTATCCTTATGCAACTCATGATATGTTATGAAAACTGTCATTTTCAAGCAACCTCATTACCATGACATTGTTTTCTATTTCTGTACCTCCTCTGAGTTTCAAGGTCCCTGCTCATACTCCAAAAGTCACTGTAAAAATCCCGGACAATAAAGCTTTTGCAAATAGTTAAAACTGCTGAGAAGAGAAAAAGAGCATTTCTGTATCAGTTTGTATCAGCTCCACTCCTTCTTCCACTATAAATTGCAAAGATGACAATTTAAGAAGCTGAGAACACTGTTTTATTTTATTTTGAGATAGAGTCTCACTGTTGCCCAGGCTGGAGTGCAGTGGTGCCATCTCAGCTCAGTGCAACCTCCGCATCCCAGGTTTAAGTGATTCTGCTGCCTCAGCCTCCCGACTAGCTGGAATTACAGGCGTACGCCACCACGCCCAGCTAATTTTTTTGTATTTTTAGTAGAGACGGGGTTTTGCCATGTTTGCCAGGCTGGTCTCGAACTCCTGACCTCAGGTGATCCACCTGCCGTGGTCTCCCAAAATGCTGGGATTACAGGCGTGAGCCATTGAACCCAGCCTGGAAACACTTCTAGATCAGTTAATGAAACATTTGTCTTATGTAAATAATGTAAACTTAATAGAGGACAGCTTATTTTCCTTTGTAATAGCATTTCTATTTGTACCCCAAGAAACATGGACATACCAGGACTTCCAGGAACTCCGGGGGGACCACTGGGACCTGGGAATATATAACATTAATTAATTGCTTAGAAAGATATAAATGCTGTCCCATCCACTTTTGGAATCTTGGGTGACAATATACTGATAGTTAATAATACAGAGTTTTCATACTTTTTTCCTACTCTCACCTAGACAAATATCAGAAATTTTCACTTATTTAGACAAGAGAAAACTAATCTTGGAAGTCTAACACTCAAAAGTAAATCATGCTGCCTTATCATTTTCACATAATTCAGCCTAGATTTACTAAGAGCCTGCTCTGTGTTTAGCACTTTGCTGGAAGTGTAGACACCAGAAAATCAAACAGTGCTGGAACATCCAGGATAGCAGTTTGTCTTGGTGTTCCATCTTAGATTGCTTCCATCTGTAATATTCTGGGGGTTATAATTCCTTTATATATACATGTGAGTGATTTACAGTAAGTGTACCAGATTTTTAAGAAAATCTATATCAATGTCTGTATTCATCTGTCCTTTTATTTAAATACACTGGGAAATTTTATTCTTTTAAGTAGAATTTCCTTTGAAATCTTCTTCATAGCAATAATTTGTCTAGATCAGTGGCTCCCAATCCTGGCTGCACATTGGACTAGTCCAGGGAGTTTTTACAATCTTCTAGTGTCCAGAGCCCTCCTCCAGACAATGAAATCAGAATCACAGGGTGGGACCTTGACGAGGCCATTATAGAAGTTCCCAGGGTTTTCAATATGTAGCCAGAGATGAGAGGGATTGGCCCAGAACTTTTGGATTTCTCCAAAGTGATACAGCATAAGTACATGTGACAATAATTCACGGCATCAAGGACAGATCATTGCTTCAAGCATCAGGAAACCAGGGTTTCAGTTCCCCCTTGCACATCTCTGTGTGAGTTTGTTCGCGGTCTCCATTTTTCCCTTCGTAATCCCATTGAGATTGCCAATGCCTTGCACTCCCTCCTCCTGCCCTCCAGCAAATGTTTCCATGACAGATTTGAACTTTATGTTTTGCTACATAAAGATAATTTAATTACCTTCCTGGTATACAACCTATGAAATAAAAATATGAAGAGCAGGAGACATCAAAAAATAACACCTTTATGAAAATGAAGAGATCTCTGTTCCCTTTCCTCACCCATGTCAATTCCATAAGCACATGCTATTTATTACCTTGAAAGAAAGCCAGAAATATGTTCAGCAAATGCTTTAGGAAGAAATTTATTCTTACCTTGTGGGCCACGAGCTCCTCTGGGCCCTGGTGGGCCTGGAGTGCCTTCATCTCCCTTTTCCTGGTATGTGTCATAATATTCTGTCTTAGAGGAGAAAGAAACAAATACAGAGAAAGGATAGCTATTTATGGACAGCTCACCAAACATCATTACTTCAGTTTCTTCATTTTGGCCCAAAGATGGCTTCCTTATTTTCCTGAATTCATAGGTTTACATGTTAGCAGGTATATGATAGTCATGTAAATGTAGGTGGAAAAATTTAAATAAGTAGACCTTTGTGGTATCACAGTATCAGATATTTTATGGGCTTTCAATTAGAAATACATTTTATGATGTGACTCAGTTTACACACCCACATTTATATGTACACATTCATACATACCTATGTATGTGTGTATATGTATAGAAAAATTAAAGTTTCACAAAATAATGACTTATTATTACAACATATGATCAACCCTGATACTTTTTATTCTATTCTACTTCACTTTTCAAAATTGCTGGTCCTGGTGGACTGAACTTATTTCCATTTTGGAAGTGTATGGAACCCACACATCAAAAAATACTGTATTTATTGTTTCTTTAAATTCCAGGGAATCCTTGACCTGCAAGAATCGAGGAATATTGTTTCTGACATGCTCAGTGGACCTACTGCTGGTGTTCTTAACCATTTCCTTCCTAAGTGGAACTTCTTTTGAGGTTAGTAGAAGCTGCAAACAGAATTATATGGAATTGAATATAAGAAAATATACAGTGAAGAGTGCTAAGAATTCCTCTGAAATGTAATGAAAAGGTAGATTTCATTTAGCATTCAGTATATTTATCTTGAAGGAAAAAAGGTGGAAATATCAAAGGTTTGAAAAAAAAAAAACCTCTTTGCTTTTTCATATGCTAGATGGATCAATTACTTTGTTGACTTATTTAACAAGAGTCTTGTGGTTAAGCAATATATATAAAATCACAAAAGTATTATATTAATAATATAACATAATAATGTCCACCATGAAATCTGTAATGATATGCGTGCACCTACCAAGTGTTGGGCACAGTGCTAAGTGATTTCACAAAATACTTATTTAATCTTCCTGGCAACTCCACTAAAGTATTTAGGAACTGCTATAGTTTGAATGTGCTCCCTCCAAAATTCAGGTGTTATCAATGTGATAGAAGTAAGAGGTAGGGTCTGTAGGAGGTGATTAGGCCATGAGTGTTTCTCTCTCATTAATGGGATTAAGGCCCTATTAAAAGAGGCTTTGAGCAGCCTCAGGTCAGCTTGCCCTTCTGCTTTCTGCCATGTGAGGATGCAGCCAAAAAAGCCCTCACCAGACCAAGGGTCAGCATCTTGATTTTGGACTTCCCAGCCTCTAGAACTGTGAAAATAAATTTCTGTTCTTTACAAATTACTCAGTCTCAGGTATTCTATTGTAGCAGCAAAGAACAGACTAAGACAGGGGCTCTATGCATCCAGTGTAAAGATGCAGATTTCCAGGCCCCACTCCAATTCCTGAGTTACATTACTGAGCATGGGGGTCTGAGAACTGCATTTTTAACAGGACACCCCTTCCCCTCATGACCCTTTTGCCACCATGTGCCGTTTTGTTTAACCTGCATGACCATTCACGACAGCCTTGCTTGGCGCACTGAATGTGAGAACCACTGTTTTTTGAGGTAGGAGATGAATGGACACCAGCACTCAGAGTCCGGGTCCCCTTTCTCCTTTTCGTCAGCTGCAGAGTCACAGAATATAAAATGTGGCTGCTCTGCAGTTAGGAGCTGACATCAAATACATGTCCACTGGGAAGGGGAGCACTGCCTGCTACACAGAGCTTGGGCCGGAATGATTGCTTTTTGCTGACCATGTATTAAACACGTTGTCATAACCCGGGCCCAGGTGGAGGGAGGAGAAGTTGACTTCTTCATCCCTTGTTGTCTCACTGTCCTCTACCCTGAAGGGGCAGGATCACCTTGGGCCTGGGCTGCTTAGACAAAGCTTTTCTTCTCTTCCATAGCCCATCATGGGCATCACTAGTGCCTTCCAGGGACCAAATAGAAATATTTACCCGTGGTCAAAGGGACACATAGTGACCAGCTATTTTCTGCCCTGGTTTGACAACAAGGTAAATGTTATAATCTCTCTCACACAGTTAATGAGAGACACTGATTCAAAATTTCCTTGCTACTTTAAAGAACTTGATCAAACATAGCATTGATATTGTCTTTAATCACACTTACTGGACCACGAAATCCTGGAGGGCCAATGTCCCCTTTCTGTCCCTACAGTGAAAGACATTTACAAATTGTGAATATGGTCACCCAAAGTATTTACATATAAAAAGCAAGATGTACAGTTAAAATGAACAATATATTGATATGTAGATGTCATGTACAAACCAAATTAAAGTTAAAGAGACACTGACTTTAAATTATTTTCCTGGAGAGCGCGTATCTGGGTAAGGAATCCCATCTACAAGGTTGTACAGAAGTAGTTATTGCCCTGGTGGTTCTCCAGGTTTCTTTCACAACACCATCTGCAATGCTTGTTCATGTTCATTGCATGTTCCTGTGTTCTCACCCAGGTCAGAGGCACAGGAATATCAGTCTGTGGGGTGTATGCATTTCCAAGTGTCCCAGCTGTAACCAACCCCCTTTCCTTCAAGAAGTCATTTCAGAATTCTACTGGAAGTGATACTATTAAAGGGTAAATCTTGACTCTGCACATATACCTACATATATAGCCATGTGCCACATGACAATGTTTGGGTCAGTGATGGACTGTGTATATGATAGTGGTCTCATAAAATTATAATATCACATTTTTACTACATATTTTCTATGTTTAGATACACAAATACCCACCTTTGTGTTACAATTGCCTACATTATTCAGTACAGTAACATGCTGTGCAGGTTTGTAGTCCAGGAGCAACAGTCTCTGCCATCTAGGTTTGTGTGAGTACACTCTATGATGTTCACACAATGACAGAATCACCTAATGATGCATTTCTCAGGACATAACCCTATCTTGAAGCAACACATGACTACACATGATTTGAAAATATTTGTAACATATTGTCAGAAGGGCAGAATACAGTTCACAACTAATTGATCATGACCTTTCAATGTATCATGACTCAGATTAAGACTCATGAACTCTAGCCTATGCTTGATCTCAAATAACCACAAACTTCCTACAATTGTAGGATTTTTTCAACCTCTTCCTCATGGGAAGCTGCACTCTCACTGGTCCTAAGTCAGACAGCTTCAAGTACACAGTACAAGTTTAATACCTTTTCCTCAAGAACACCCTTCAAATGTTTAAGTAAAGTTGCCACATCTCTCTTTTCTTCTTAACAGACCTAGTAGGGTATTTGAATGAAGTCTGTTATTGTAATCCCTTGTACTTAGGTCCAGGGTTGGAGGTAAAAGTAAAAGCACAGGCAAAACCCAACCTATTAAAATAGGCTATTAGGGAGAGGATTACCTTAATGCCATCTTCACCCATTAACCCAGGGAAACCCCTGTTGCCCTTGACTCCCTAAAGAAAAGAACAAAAAGAAATGGGTCAGAAGACACAGGAGCCAACTTCTTCTGGGGGAGCAGGTGCAATTTGAACTCCTCTGAAACAAAAGAATGTGCTCAGATGATCTCTCTTCACAGTGGGGATGTAAAACTATGATTCCCAAATGCAGTTTTTAAAAGCTGTAAGCTTTTTGTTTGTTTATAACTATTTAGTGATTTTAAAAAATCCTTCTTCAGCTAGTAGGACTGACATTTTTACTACCTCCATAGGCCAAATCAACTCTATACCTCACTTCCAGGGAAGCCAGGAACACCATCTTTTCCGGGTTTTCCCTACAGCAAAAACAAATCAAAAACATGAAATGTAATAAATATGGCTAACTTTACAAATACGGAAATCTTAAGTGATATGATCATCTCCTCTTGACCTCAGGCATGAAAAGCCTGAGTAAAGATCTTCACCCAGGTGTTAGAAGGAAAAACTATTAACCACAGAATACACAATGGCCCTCTCTTTCCAGGGAAAGCAGAAGCCAGTCAGAATGGGAAACTGGAGAAAGTCAGAGAAGGAAGGAAGGACATTAACAGCCAAACTTAAATTAGAGCTGATGCTGTTCATTCTAAACTTGGAAGGGAAAAAAAAAACACACACACACTGGGCAGAGAAGTAAATAAGGAAGCCTAGAAAAAGGAAGGTGTTTACAGTCCATTTATTTATTTATTTGAAATATTGGTAATTCCTTGGACCCCAGGTCTGCCTATATTTAAATATATGTATAAAAGATATAGTGTGGTATCTCAACCGGCAGTTTGGATTGACTTTTATGGTATTTGCCCTTCCTGATAAAATTTAAAAATCATGTTCATTGAATATTTTTTCTCAGGCCAAAAAATACATTCTTTGCTTATGTATAAGTTTTGTAGATTTTACTTTTCCAAATGTATAACTTTTAGAGATTTAACACAATATATGGATTTAAATCTTTCCAAAATGGATCTGGGTGGGGTAGTGGGGGCCCCTGCTGCTTCCGTTTTTCCAGCTGCCCACTTCTGGTCACAGATTGCCCTATTTCCTTTGTGGGGGCTGCTCTTCCCTCCCTCTGGGTGGTTCTGATGGCACTGTCAGTCTCAGTAGCCCACTGCCCCACTGGCCTGGCCAATTATAGTACCCTTTTCTCTTGGTCACTGCCTTTTATCCAGAGTGAGACCAGATATGACCAAGCTGGGCCAATGAGATGAATTCCCTGGGATTTTATAAATGGACACAGGGAGAAATATGCTCTCTTTCTCCTCTAATGCCATTAGCCTGAAGTTGTCTGCTGCAGGGTAGCTCTTTCTCCCCATCTCCCCTGACATGGAAGATCATCTGCCAGAGGAGAGAATGAGGCTGATATGCAGAGAGAAGCAGAAGTGAGATGGAGAGGGAGTCCTGCCCTTATGTTTTCAGGCTCTGAAGTCCTTGAACCCTGTTTTAGCCTTGAACGTCTTAGATACTTGAGTAAGTAAATCCTGCCTCCCAAATCTTAAAGAACAGAAATTTTTAGCTTGAGCTAGTTTGAGTTGGGCATCTTGTTCCTGTAACCTAAAGAGTCCCAAGTCCTGACTAATCAAAACTGCACATGACACCGAATTTCCAAATTTACCTGCAGGCCAGGGTCTCCAGGAGCACCCTTTTCAGATCCATATGATTCTCCAGGCAGTCCCTGTATTAATTAGAGCCATGTCAAATTTTATGAATTACTGATTTTTTTACTTACATTGATTTTTATTAATTTGTCCCTTTTGGTTATTCTGCCATTTAAAAACATGTTTCAGTGCTGAGCCATCTAAGAGAGAAATCTTATTGATGAATAGTAATTAAAAAACAGATGCTAAAAAAGCTGATGCTGAAGATAAGTCATAGGATGGGTGGCATTGGGTGCATGTACAGCAGTGCAAGGATTTCAGCTAGGAGTGGCCGTAAAATAACTCTAGTGTATTCATGATCTCTGCGGTCAAATGTTATTGTATTTTAGCCAATATTAAGACTTAAAAGCAATAGCTGCTCTGCCTGTGGAGTAGCCATTCTTTTATTCCTTTACTTTCTTTAAAAAAAAAAACAACTTAAGACAAAACACACATCAAAGTAAATACTAAGGCTCTACTTTATGTGTTATGGGGACAATATAACTTTAAATAACCTACTGAGGGTCCAGGAGGTCCAGGCTCGCCCATTGCTCCCTTGTCTCCCTTTTCCCCCTTGAGGTCCTGCCAAAGAAACAGTTCAACATTGTTACAAATGGATGAAATGAGATTTCACTGATTCAACAGTGGGACAAATCCTCTATCTGTTCAATAAACTGGGTTTACAAACTATGAATGTGCCTCGTGTTAACACAACCCAATACACCTTCCATTTCTCACATTTCAAATTTTATACCTGCGAACTCACTGAAACTACCTGCAAGCTTTTTTTTAAGTATCTTTTTTTTGTTGTTTTTTTTTTTAAATGAAGTCTCACTCTGTTGCCCAAGCTGGAGCCTCAGATCTTCCCCATGTAATATTTCCAGGATTTATGAGTAAAGGACGGGAAGGAATCAATCCTGGAGGTTCTGGCTGGCTGAGGGAGCTGGGCTGAGCTGGACTTAGATAACAAGAGCTTGTAAAAGAGGTGCAGGGTCACAAGGACTTCATCCTAGACACGGGAAGGCACAACACTAATCATAAAATCGCAGAGTTACCGTTCTGTTATCTGGGCCAGTTAGGGTCACAATAACTGTTCCTGGTGGTCCCGGGGGTCCTGTTAACCCTTTCACACCCTAAAGACAAAAACACTCAGGAGTGAGAAAATAAACAACAGCATCAACATTTCAATGTTACTACGTTTGAAAGGTCTACTTTTCCCCTTTAGTGCTTATACGGGAAGATAGAACAAATGAAGGCCCATCAATTTCAGCTTGGCCCGTAAGTAAACGGTATAGGCTGATATGCTCTGGGACATAAAATATCTCGCCTGCTAATAAAACATAGTATTTAAATTACCCGCTCTCCTTTATGTCCTATCACTCTTTCACCCATGTGACCCTGTAAGAAAACACAAAACCAAATTATTTTCTAAAAATAAATATGAATAAATAGTCTAAACCCATCAAAGTTCCAATATTTGTAAGGGAGCATTTATATTTTAACTTTCATTTTAGAATGATACATATTTTAGCTATTTCTTAGAGAAGAGCATTGATATGTTTCTTTTAAAGGAGGAGCTCTTAAGGTGCAGAAAGCTTAAGGGATTTACCTAACATGGCAAATGCTGACATGCAGTGGTGTGGGGGAGGGAAAGGAGCCCAGCTCAGAGCATATTTTTCTGGCTCTGCATTAGCTAGTTTTAATCCCACTGGCCGGCTACTTAACTTCCTGATGCTCTTGTTTTCTTGTTTTAAAAATAAGAATGGGTAGCTGCATTTCAGGATTCTGAAATTCAATACTTAATAGAGAATCTAAGAATAGAATTCCAGCTACCGACTTCACTAGTAATTTAGTGACATGAGTCTAATGCGAATAGTTTCTTCACTAATGATGGCTGATCCATCATTTCAACTCATATCTGCTTGCTTTTTCACCACTGAGTATGCAGATCTTCCCCTTGTTAGACCAAAGCTAGATCAAAACACTTTAAACCTCAGCTCTGCCATGTACTGTCTATTGGAAAATTCACTTAACCAGAACCTATCCATCTCTCAGGGTGCGTGCATGCATGAGTGTGTGTGTGTGTGTGTGTGTGTGTGTGTGTGTGCATTTGTGTGTATCAATGAGATAATAAATATGAAAGTATCTTGGAAAATACCTCATATAAAAGGCTACCCAAGCCGGGCATAGTGGCTCATGCCTGTAATTCCAGCACTTTGGGAGGCTGAGGCGGGCGGATCACCTGAGGTCGGGAGTTTGAGACCAGCCTGGCCAACATGGTAAGACCCTGTCTCTACCAAAAATACAAAAGCATTAGCTGGGAGTGGTGATGCACACCTGTAATTCCACTTAGTCGGGAGGCTGAGGCAGGAGAATTGCTTGAACCCGGGAGATGGAGGTTGCAGTGAGCCGAGATCGCACCACTACACTCCAGCCTGGGCAACAGAGTGAGACTCCATCTCAAAAAAAAAAAAAAAAAAAGAAAGAAAGAATAAAATAAAAGGCTACCTGATAGTAGGAGATACTGTGTTTAGGACCAATTTCCTGTTGGGGCTCAGCCTCACTCAACATTTTTATAGTTAAACTAACAATTGCACTTCTGTTTTTTTTTTTTTTTTTTTTTTTGAGATGGTGCCTCTTTCTGTCACCCAGGCTGGAGTGCAGTGGTGCTATCTTGGCTCACTGCAAACTCCAACTCCCAGGTTCAAGCGATTTTCCTGCCTCAGCCCCCTGAGTAGCTGGGATTACAGGCATGCACCACCATGCCCGGCTAATTTTTGTATTTTTAGTAGAGATGGGATTTCATCACATTGGCCAGGCTGGCCTCGAACTCCTGACCTCAAGTGATCCACCCACCTTGGCCTCCCAAAGTGCTGGGCTTACAGGTGTGAACCAATGCGCCTGGGCTGGTCTTAACAGAAATGCATGCAAGACCCTGTGTAATGAGCACACAAATAGTCATCTTTTACTTACTAGCATAAGACCAGGTTGGCTTTGTGAAGCAGCACACTACAAAAACTCAGAGGATAATGTGCTGTGTGAGATGATCAGAAATGGAAAACCTGTGGATTAAGAATCCTTGCCTTTTTTCGTGATAAGTAGCTTCTTATAAATTGAATTAAGATTCTTTGTATCAGGGATCAAGGTACTGAAATGCAAGGAGAAAAGAGGTGAGAGCAGCTAGCCATGCTCTTCCCTGCTAGGGATCCTTGTGAGTTCCAGAGAGGTGCCTAACAGTGACCCACATGAAGAAGCAGACCAGGTTTGGCTTTGAGATTGAGTAGGGTGTGCTAGCTGTTACATCATATGAACTGTAGTCTACCTTAGGTCCTCTAGGTCCCATGGCTCCTGGAAAGCCCTAGAAAAATCCACAAATGAAAATCACAGCAGGAAATGCATCCAACCAGAAAAATTCTTTTAATAACTTTTTAATAATAAATAATGAATCTATTAGTTGACAGAGTCTGTAGCAAGGATGACTTGATACTCACAAAGAATCCCGGAGGACCAGGTGGGCCAACAGGCCCAGGAAAACCTGGAGGGCCTGGCAAACCCTTGAAATTGAGAGAAGAATAAGAGTAAGTTTAAATTTACTTCTCACTTAATAACAATGTCCATTAATTAAATGCATTAAAATATTTTAATAAAATCAGAAGAGCATAACACCTCCCCTTTCAGTGGCTGCAGCTAATGATAACAAACATCAAAAAGTGTTGCCATGTGTAACAGGCTGGCAGGACCAACTGGACGATAACATTTCTAAAATGACCAAAGTAGTTGCTTTACTTCAGACGTTTCAAAATTTTGCTTTTCTCTTTCTTCCCACCTCTTTTCTTCTCCCTTTTCCTTTCTCTCTCATTTTGGCCAAGCATGCTCCTACGTTAGGGCCTGCCACCTGCTCTCCCTCTGCCTAGAATCCCCTTTTCCCAGGTATCAGTATAACTCACTCCCTTTTCCTTTTCTTGTCTTTATGCAATTGTCATCCTTTCCATAAAGCCTTCCTGCTTATCCAAAGTTGTAACCCACCTTCCAACCCAGACACTTCCTATCCTGCTTTCGTGCATTATTTTTACTTTTAGCATTTATTACTCACACACCATAGAGTTACTCATTTACACGCTTTTGTTTCCCCCATGAGAATGTAAGCTCTATGAAGGCAATATATATATATATTTTAAGAGACTGGGTCTTGCTGTGTTGCCCAGGCTGGCCTATAACTAGGCTCAAGAGACCTTCCTGTCTCAGCTTTCCCAAGTAGCTGGGACTACAGGCACATGCCACCATGCCTGGTTCATACAATTTTTAAATATCTATCTATCTATCTATCTATCTATCTATCTATCTATCTATCTATCATCTTTTATCTATCTACCTATTTTTTTGAGACAGAGTCTCATTCTGTCCTCAGGCTGGAGTGCAGTGGTACGATCTCTGCTCACTGCAGCCTCTGCCTCCCGGGTTCAAGTGATTCTCCTGCCTCAGCCTCCCAAGTAGCTGGAACTACAGGCGCACGCCACCACACCTGGCTAATTTTTGTGTCTTTAGTAGAGATGGAGTTTCAGCGTGTTGGCCAGGCTGGTCTCAAACTCCTGACCTCAAGTGATCCTCCTGCCTTGGCCTCCCAAAGTGCTGGGATTACAGGTGTGAGCACTGTGCCCAGCCTTAAATCTATATTTTGGCTGATTTATGCCCTACTGTATTCCTAGAGCCTAGAAATAGCCCCTAGCACATAATTGGCAGGTAAAAAATATTTCTTGTGTAATCAAATGTACCATCATTATATCTTCAGCATCATCACAATGACTAATACATATACGATAATCAATACACATTTAAAGAATGTATCAATATCTCAGATTACTATTATCTCTTCTTCCTGGATCCCCTGCCTTCAGCATCTGGACTCTTAAATGTTTTCTAAGCAAAAAAGCGAGAGCCATCATATCTTGCATCTCTTTTCAGAAGCCTATAATGGCTCCTAATTGCATCATTCTGCATTTTTTGCAGCTCCTAATCTAACTTCACATCCTCAGTTAGGATAGCGCACCATACAGGATTTCAACAGCCTCACCTCAAACTCACTTAGGCAAATATCCCATCTCTACCCAGGAATTTTTACATATAATTCTGAACTAAGTTAAAATAATTCTGGTTAATTGGCTGGGCGTGTTGGCTTATGCCTGTAATCCCAGCACTTTGGGAGGCTGAAGTTGGTGGATCACCTGAGGTCGGGAGCTCGAGACCAGCCTGGCCAACATGGTGAAACCCCATCTCTACTAAAAATACAAAAATTAGCAGGGCATGGTGGCCCATGCGTGTAGTCCCAGCTACTCAGGAGGCTGAGGCAGGAGAATTGCTTGAATCCGGGAGGTGGTGGTTGCAGTGACCCAAGATTGCACCACTGCACTCCAGCCTGGGCGACAGAGCCAGACTCCTTCTCAAAAAAAAAAAAAAAAAAAAAAATATATATATATATATATACTAGCTAATTTTGGTTATATATAATTATAACCTGAAAGTTAGCACTTGTGGTTTAGGTCTATGAAAGGGTCTTTTTGAATCACAAAGGAAAGCACACACAGCCCCAAAGGCAGTTGTGTCTCTTTGTATCCCTTTTGGATCATACTCAGGCTACGTACATATAAATCAGAAAAGCAAACACTTCAACTGGAGAGAGTTGCATTTAAACAAAAACCTTTCTTTTCTTTATTATCTCAACTTCAACTGGAGAGAGTTGCATTTAAATAAAAACCTTTTATTTATCATTATGCAAATTTTAAAATAGGGCTGTTATTTAAAATTACAGATTTAAATGATACTCAATGTGTGATACAAAGCTACCCTTATTTTCAACAAATACAAATTAAGTGGTACATAACTATTCCTGTTAGATTCAGGCAAGCTTGGTGACTGAGAGTGAAGAAGAGGACGAAAAACATACTCAAATCATCTTTGCATATCAGCATCATGTAGTTTTCCAGAATAGGGTGAAAGCTTTAGAATGAAATGAGGCCAGACATGTAAATAGAATAAATAGGAATTTCTATTTAAAATCTTCTTAAGAGAGTGAGAGGGACTTATGGGGGAAAAGAGAGACGAAGTAAAGAGAGGCGAAAAGAGAGAGAGAGAGTGAAAAACTGAGAATAATAGGGACCTTCTCTGAAGTGCTGTACCTGGGGTCCTGGAGCCCCTGGCAACCCGGGGTCGCCTTTTGCATCAAGTTCTATATCTTCTTCTTTAGCAGGAGCACCCTTGAAAATGAAGAAGTTCATCAAACATCATCAATGTTATATTTTCAAAACCCCTTCAAGTGCTTATTCAAAGTTATATTTCTTCAAAGATAAAAATGCTTTTCAAGTTATGTACTCAGAGAAATGATTTATGATTTTGTAATTATTCCATTATGAAGAATTCAAAGCATTTTCATATTTTCTAAAATCAAAAATTTACAGTGGGCCCAGTACAGTGGCACATGCCTGTAATCCCAGCACTTTGGGAGATCAAAACGGGCAGATCACCCGAGGTCAGGAGTTCAAGACCAGCCTGGCCAACATGGCAAAACCCCATTTCTACTAAAAATACAAGAATTAGCTGGGCGTGGTGGCATGCACTTGTAATCCCAGTTACTTGGGAGACTGAGACAGAAGAAACGCTTGAGCCCAGGAGGTGGAGGTTGCAGTGAGCTGAGATCGTGCCACTGTACTCCAGCCTGGGCAACAGAGCAAGACTCCATCTCAAAAAAATAAAAAATTTACAGTGGAAAGAAGAAAGACGCAGGGGTAATAAAACATTTCCCAAGATACCAAAAATAGTGACAATCCCTGCCCTAGAATGTGGGGCCCTGAGCATGAGGTCAGTTTTCTTCTCCAAGACCCTATTTCTTTCAACAGTGATACAAAACCTGTATCCTTAAGACTCTTTATGACAAGAGCCAGAAGGAGCTATTTAATAGGAATAAATATCATGTCCCGATTATTATTGTTTCTGAATGATTAAGGTCTGGATTATGAAATCTTATTTGTAATGACTTAAGTCTCATTATTTAATAGACGTCCTTTTCATATGTACAGTTAGAGATTTTCAGTGACAGCATTCCACCAATGACTTACCTTTTGTCCTTTCAAACCAGCAGCACCCTAGGAAAAAAGCAACCTATGAACAACTAGAGGAATATCAAACGCACACACTCCTACTCGGTCTGCTCTGCCCTCTCTGCTATTGTGTATCCTCTCCCCACTGTACACCTCCCACGGCCTTACAAAGCAAAGTCTTCCCTTAATCTTTTACTTCCCACCATATTGTCCTGTCTCTCCTTCGTCTCACCTGTGAACTTCCCATTTTGTTCATTTCCCACCCATTCCTCAGTTCCAAATCTGCCCCCTGCTCCATCCTGCCGTGGAATTGTCCCTTGCTAAGGTCAGACATGATATTGATGTTGCTAAAACCAATGCCAACATGTCAGTACTCCTCTGACTGGACTTTGCAGCAGCATCCAGCAGCTGTCTGCCACTCCCTTCTACTACAATAGGTGTTTCCTGGGCCTCCATAATACACCTCTGCTGGTTTTCTTTCTCCCACCAGGGCTGCTCCTCCTTTACAGGATCATTCTCCTTGATCTCAACATCACTGCTGGAGCTAAGTCTCAGTTCTAAGCCCCTTTTCTCCTCACTCTGACTCCTTGAGTCACCACCAGCTGGAACCTCTTCTCTGAGTGAATCCAAGTACCTCTCATGCATCTCCACTTGGATGTCTCAAAAGTAAAACAAAGCCTCAACCTCTAATCCTACACTCATAATGCATGTATTCATCCATTCCCTAACTATTAGTTGAATGTCTACTATGGCTACCCCAGACTTCCCTAAAGTCATGACGGATTTGTGTATATGGCCATATGGAGTAGACCACTGTTATTTATACTTTATGTCTTTGTTGGGGAATTAGGCATGCAAACCTACCGGGATCCCTGGGTAGCCCAGTGTCCCTGGGAGTCCTGGAAACCCCTGCTCACCCTAAAAGACATACAAAGTTTCTTATTATTCTTAGTTGTTCTAGAAGAGCCTATTCAGATATTTTTCCTGTTTCTCGCTTCCAACCTTGCAATGGTAAATCTAGACAAAGTAACCCGAATTCCTTATGGCTACTGGGTCATGAGGCTGAAGACCAAAAAACCATTATCTTAATTAAAAACAGGATTAGAATACTGTTTCTCAAATTGTGCATAAATGGCAAAGTCTAATTGCGCCAAGAACTTTTTAATTGCTGTTTCCTTCAAACTTGAGTAATTAGTTCATTCATGGCCACCATTCTGGAGAAAAGGAGAGCTCAGTTCGAAAACAAAAGGAGGTGAGTGAACAGTGAAAAGCTCAGTCATTCCTTCCCCAAAACTAATTCTGCACTCAAAGCTTTGGTTTCTGATTTATACACACAGCCTCAGATGAAAACAACCAGTTGAGCTCCAAGTTTTCTTTCTGTGGGAGAACTTTCCTTAAAAGACAATTAGAAAGCAAGGAATGCGAAGAAAGAAAATGGGAAGTTTCCTGCCTCCAAATTATGCTGTTGGTTCTGGCCTAAAGGAATGTTTTCAAGGGAAGCCTGTCTGCCTTTCATTGCCATTTCACCTTGATTTAATCATTCAGCAAAGCATTTATTAATCATCTTCTGTGTGAAAAGTACTTACCTTAGAACCACTGCATCCTGGTACACCGACAAGTCCGTAAGGCCCGGTATTGCCTGGGGTGCCCTGGAAGAAGAACAAGTCTCAATGAGGAGGGTCATCCCAAGAAACAGCACTGAACCCAAGGGAAAAGATGCACTGATTTAAATAGCTCTTGAAATATAAATGATTGTTTAAATGGTTAAGTAGTAAATGTACATTGTGGTTTTACATATAATTTCAGTAGCAACAAACTAAACAGGCTGACTGATATGAAGACTTATCAAATGAGATGTGGATATTTCAAATAAAGCAAACGCCTTTTATCCATAAAATAAAAGAGTCCTTTAACATGCTGTTTTAAGCTGGGGAGAAAGGAAGGGAAAAAGAAGAGGAAAGTGTGCACAGATGAAACTATTTTATTATTCTGTGCTATTAAATACAATCATTTCATTCTACCCTATCCTATCCTATTCTATCAGCTTGTAACATATAGTTTCCTTCAGCACCTGTGGGGGTTAGTTCCAGGACCCCTATGAATACCAAAATCCATAGATACTCAAGTCTCTTATATAGAATGGTACCGTATTTGCACATGACTTATACATATCCTCCTGTATGCTTAAAGTCATTTCTAGATTACTTATAATACCTAATACAATGTGAATTCTATGTAAATAGTTGTTATAGTGTAATGGTTTTTAGGTTTGTACAATTTTTATTGTTTTTTTTTAAATATTTTTGATCTACAGTTGGTTGGTTGAATCCATGGATGTGGAATCACTGGATATGGAGGGCCGACTTACCATATAATTTACTAATTATCCTACCCTATCCTATCCTGTCCTGCTTGTATTTCAGGAAGTACATTTTGACTCATATGTCATATAAATCCACACACTAGTATAATATACCATCCTAAGGTGCTATTTTCTTCATGTAACAAATGCATCAGAACACATTTTCTTGCACGACTGTTTTAACATCTTTATTAAAATGAGCTTACTTTTAAATTTTCTAGCTACGGATTTTTCCCATTACTTACTGGAAGTCCAGGAGAACCAGAAAATCCTGGCAATCCACTTATTCCCTGAAGACATAGGAAAAAGGAGGGGGTGGCAAAAAAAAAAAACTTTAAAAATGTTCAATCTATAAACATAAATTTATTTACCATTGCGATAATCTTTTTCCTCCACTATAACTGGGAATAGCTCGAAACGATTGGGAAAACAAATACTAAAGGTTTAACAAACTTTTGTAAATCTCACATTTATGTAACTCTTAAAAAGATATCATTAAGATTATTTTTGGCTTTTTTGGATCGATTCCTAAGGTACAATTTGCATGCAATGAAGTGCTCCAATCTTTTGAGAACAGCTTAATTGAACAGCTTAACAAAGGTTGACCTATGTGCAGTTTTATATACCATCATCTCATCAGACACAGAGCATCTTTATCACTCCAGAGGTTCCTTCATGGCCTTTCTTGGTCAGTTTAACACTTGCCCCTAATGTGGTAACCACTCCTTTGACATCTACCATTACAGATTAGTATTACCTGTTCTTGAACTTCATCTATGGAACCATACACAGTGTACTCCTTTCTGACATTTGTATAACTCTTACTGTGAAAAGCTGATCTTTTAACGATCAGGGTGGACTGGTTGGACTACTAACCCTTACACCTTTGGAACCCGTGAGTCCTGGAAGTCCTGGAAAGCCCTAGATTCAAGTGAAAAAAGAAAAAGTAAACACTCTGAAAATTATTTGGCACTAAGAAACCCATACATCAAACCCAGTCTCAGTCACATGCCAAGCTGTTTTGCCCTTCTGATTATTTCATTGTTAATAAGATTCAATTGCTTGCTTATTTCATTGGAACTTGATAATTGTTTATCAGAAAAGACAAAAATTCATTCAAACCCTTGCTACTCAAAGTGGGGTTTGGGGCCTGCAGCATTAGCATTACCTGGAAGCTTATCAGAAATGTAGAATCTTAGATCTGCCTCACCTCCCAGACTATTGACCGAGAATCTGCATGTTTAACATGATTCTTTAGTGATTCTTGTGCACATTAAAGTCTGTGCAAAAGTCCTAATTAGCCTCACAGCTGCTGAGGTCTGATAAAAATGAATGACACAACTACAGTTGTGGATGAGAATGCCAGCCAGTATTTCTGTGCACAAGAAACACTCTATTAACAAAATGTGCCTGACATGCACAAGGAAATATATAGCCAAGTAAGGACTGCCTGAACCAGAGATAAACTTGCTTTGGGCATGTAATGCATTCAGTTTCGACGTCCTATTTCTTGGAGAATAAGCTTAAATGGTGACTGTTTCAGCTAGGCCACGTGGTGTGAAAGTTTCATTGTCCAAAAGCCATTTTCATCATTCCAGAGAGTTTCAGTATGTTTTGATTTTTAATTTTATTGTTATTATTTGAGAAAAGGGTTGTTACAGAATCCTCTGAGATTGCACTGTCAAGGCCAAAGTCAGTCTCTCCCATCTATGGCGGAATTCCGGGGTGCATGGCTGTGTTCAAGGCCATTCCCCTTCCCACAGAATTCTATTCACGTGATGCCGAAAGCAGAAGGTTTTACTTGCAGGTTTTACTTTCTCATTGTAAACTTTTTTCATGCAGAAAACATTTAAAATTAAGATAGGAATCTTGTAAATCTAAAACATCTTTTTGGTCAGGTTTTAATATTCTCTAATTGTCTGCCTTTGATTGTATTATCTTTTGTAGCTATTCATACATATCTGTAAGCCTTACATGCTTTAAAATATCAATCTATGACAACATGGTACTCAGGTTTTCTGGATTAATCTTCTGGAATGCCTGCACTCATGTAACCCATACTAAGTGCCATGTGTTTGTGACTATTTTAATGAATTTCAGCATCTCTAAAGAAATGCTGAAGAGAATTAAACAGAGTAGGCTACAGATAACAATTTTTTTAAAAACGGAATTGGCATTAGGCTGATCTAAGTCCAGGGTTGAAGTGGCAAACTCGTTCTACCAATAGAAATGGAAGAAAACCTGGGTCCATGCCTTAGAGGAAGTCAGTGTTCAGTTTCTGCCCAGAATCTGGATGACTTTTTCAAAATTAGGATCGGAAGAAGGAGAAATGGACAAAAAGAACACATACATGGATATGGTAGACAGGGAAATGGCAGGATTACTGGAAAACAGCAAGATTTTGCATTTTACATGTAAGCTGTGGGTGTGGTTTCAAGAGTTTGATTCTGGCATCATATATGTGACATAAGAAACACATATTTGTTCTGTGCCTTTGGTTCCTGACACAGAGCTCCTAAAACCCTTCTAATATTCTGAGTGATAGGGGAGTAAAGACCATCTTTTGTTCTAATATTTGGTGTTTGACCTCACTTGGAATATCCTGGGTGATAGAAGTGTCTTTTGTTCTAAGGAGGCAACTCTTGGTGGGCTCCCAGATGGGGGCTGGTCATCAGAAAGACCAAGTCTTGATTAGAAGCTTGAAACTTTGAGCTCCAGCTGCACCCTTCAGTGAGGAAAGCGGAGCTGGAGATTGAGTTTATAATTGATCCTGCCCACATGATGACACCTCCATAAGAATCCCTGAAGCATGGTGTTCAGAGAGCTTCTGGGTGGGTGAACGTTCACGTTCCAGGACGGTAATGCACCTTAACTCCATGGCGACAGAAGCTCCTGCACTTGGGACCCTTCTGGACCTTCTCCTGTGTATCTCTTCATCTCTCATTCATATCCCTTATAATAAACTGATAAATGTTCCCATGAGTTCTATGAGACTCTTTAGCAAATTATCAAAGCAGAGGAGGAGGTCATGGGAACCCCTGATTTATTTGTAGCCAAGTTGGACGGCATTATGGGTAACTGAGGACCCACTACTTATGACTAGTCCTGAAACAGGGACAGTCTTGTGGGACTGAGCCCTTACCCTATGGGGTCTGCACTAACCCCAGGTATTTAATGTCATAACTGAATTGAGGGGTACCCAGTTGGCATCCAGAGAGTTGGAGAATTGTTTGGTTTGAGGAAAATCCCACACACAGTGTCAAACCAGGTTTGAACTCTGATTTTGCTTCCTGTGAGCTGCGTGACCCAGGAAAAATTACTCAAGTGCTCTGTGTCCGTTTTCTCATCCATGTAGTGGAGGTAATGATGGGAACTACATTGTAAATCACCACAGTCATGATTTGTGGGATTGATGTGAGGAGTAAATGAGATCCAGGGAGAAATAGATGGCCCAATGCCTGGCACAGAGTACATATGCAGTAGGTTGGCTTTGGCTTTGATTATCATTTACATATTTCATACATTATTTTAATACATATATATATATACACACACGTATATATTTTTTTAATGGAGTCTCGCTCTATTACCCAGGCTGGAGTGCAGTAGCATGATCATGGCTCACTGCAGCCTCCGCCTCCAGGGCTCAAGCAATCCTCCTACCTCAGCCTCCTGAGTAGCTGAGACCACAGGCATATGCCACCACACCTGGCTAATTTTTGTATTTTTGGTAGAAACTGGGTCTCCTTATGTTGCCCAGGTTGACCTCAAACTCGTGGGCTCAAGTGATCCTCCTGCCTCAGCCTCCCAGAGCAATGGGATTACAGGCATGAGCCACTGTGTCTGGCCTCTAATACATATTCTAATATATTATGAAATTTGTAAAAGACCTGTATAGATCAATTATAATCATTTTTCATAGCTTATTAGTTGGTTTATAGCTTGCTGGAGGTCAGTAGTCAGGGGAATGAATGTGTGGGTGCGTGAGAAGCCAGGCTTAAGTCTAGCTAATGTCCACAGCAGGAAAGAGTACTCAGCAAATCCAGTGGTTATTCAGTTATTTAGTAAATCCTCTATGGTATTTATTTAAACAAAGCCCTTTGCTGTATCACAGACTTTAGGATAAGAATGTGTGATGAGTGTGAAGGGTCATAGACTCGGGATGTTTAAGGGACCAGAAGGAAAAGAGAAACCCACAAAGGAAGGGAAGGATAGAGAGACAGGAGAAATACAGAAAGAAAGACAGACAAGTGTTTCAAGGAGAGGAGAGCGATCCACACAATTTGAAACTAAGCAGAGGGGTTCAGGTCAGATTAAGACACAAAAGTATGTATTGGCATTGGCCACTTGAAGGTCATTGGTGATCTTTGCTGGAGTGTTTTCAGAGGAGAGGTGGTAGAAGGCAAATTATTGCTAAGGACTGAATAGTAGATGAACTACAGGCAGCATGTTTGACTATTCTTTTAAGAAGTTTGACAGAGAAAGGAAAGTCAGGGAGAAGATAGCAATCCTTTGGTCACAAGACCTAAAAGATGGAGAGGAAGTTTTGTATTATCATGGAAAATATTTGCATGTTTAAGAACTGAAAGAGAAAAGCCAATAACAAAAGAAAAGTTGGAATGTCCGGAGAGAGGGGAGGCACCTCGTGGAACAAGGAATCCCAAAGATGGGGCACAGGTGGTTGGACAGGTCTTGAATAGAAGCAAAAAGAGCTCTGAGTTTTCACTGTAGGAGGAATAGAGGTAGGAACAGATGCAGATGTAGACACTGTAGGTTAGGGAGGGAGATGAACTGGAGCCACAGACTTGAAGCTAATGATGATCATTTGCAATAGTCTTGGAGCAGGTTGCGGTTCTATGTGGCCCACTAATACCGGAAACCAGGAGTTCACCATGCACCTAGCAGTTGGCTAAGATGTGGAATTCTCTCCAGGTTTGCAGCAGCCAGGGGGTAGGCAGGAAGAGGGTTAGGTGGGTTGGGGATTTTCCAAGCTTGCAGGATGACATACCTTGGGTCCCTGCGGTCCAGGCAAGCCTTCAGGACCTGTGAATCCTTTCTGGCCAGGAGAACCGGGGGGTCCAGGAAAGCCCTTCTCCCCCTGTTAAAACCAAAACGAGGTGAGAAACACACAGAGCAGCAACTATCCCACAATAAACACACCAATAACCATTATGTTCTCTTGTTTATGACTTCATGGTGACTCTTTGCATGTTTTTTCCTTGGATTAAAAAAATCATAATTAGCACTCAGGAGTGACTACATAGGCAACCAGAAAGCTACCAGTTGTTAGTATTTGTCTATAGGCTTGAAAGTGGTGGCTCTTGGTCTTGTAGAAACTTGACTTTCTCCCAAATGGTAGGGCTATGTAGAGCAGAGCTTAAGGGAGACGGAATAAAAAATGAAAGGGAAAGCCCAGGTAGAAGCATCAAGGTTAGTGGAGTGTTTGTTGTGGGATGGAGAGACAGTGAGGGTCAGGTGCAAGAAGGTGCCTGGGGAGTGTGCATAATTACTATGTAGCTTGAAAGAACGCCACCAGGCAGGTTATGAGTCTGAGCCCTTTCTTTAATACACAGGAGTTAGTAATTTAATCTGTTATTTGTGTAGGAGATGCAGGAAAGGTAGCAAGGGTGGCATAACCAAAAAGGTGTGAGCTCAGTAATGTTCTAGAAGGAGTCAGATAATATTAGGGGAAAGTACCTAGTAAAAGTGAGTGAAAGTACTTTAAGCCCAAGGCTTGACACAGTTCTACCAACAAATAATTTTTCCATGGATTTGTATCTTGGAATTACGTTTGTCCCTCAGTGTCGGTGGGGGATTGGTTCCAGGACCTTCCCCCCACACGAAAACCTGTGGATTCTTAAGTCCCTTATACAAAATGGCATCGTATTTGCATATAACCTAGAACATCCTTCCATATACCTTAAATCTCTAGGTGACTTATAATACCTAATACAATGCAAATGCTTTGCAAATGGTTGTTATACTGCATTTTTTTATTTGTATTATCTTTAATTGTTGTATTATTTTTTATTATATCCCCCCCTCCCCGAAGTATTTTCAGTATGCCATTGGTTGATTCTGAGGATTCAGAAACCGTGGATAAGGAGGGCCGACTGTACTCTTCAACAGTAAAGGCCACCGGCTGATTTGGTTAATTGGGTCAATTTAGTTACACAATTGGCAAATTAAAACAAAAAAGAACAAGTCAGCTATTTTACATTGTGTGTGTGCACACACACTCAACAAGAAGAGAAATAAAAGAATGTGCTAGACCCCTCTCGCTACTCAGTTACTTTTATACACCCTACAGTAGCATCTTGCAAATAATAGAAACTCAATAAATGCTTCTTGAATGCAAGGAGAATCACAGAGAAAGTGCTTCTCAATGGGAACCTGAATTAGAATACATTCACAGATTCAAGAAAAAACCTAAATCCAACTACATGTGAATTATGAAATAATTTAAAATAAGTATAATTATTATAATTAGCATACACATTATATAGAAATTAGTTTAGATAAAGAGCTTAAATATGTTCTTAAAATATTTTAAAATAGTCATCCTTCAATGTTGTTAAACAATTAATTAGTGTCTCTGAGGAAAGGGTTTGGTAAACAAAGAAAAAAACTTTAGTTCTGCCTCTATCTTAATTATCACAAATTGCAAGTTAATGGAGCGAATTAATGAGATTTCACGGCATTCCTTTTTTTCTTGAATTCTGCAATGGAGCTACTTCCCTCTGCTAAGTTTTGCCTCAACCAGTGTGCTGCTGTGGGATTTCTCCACCAGGGGGCGAACTTGAACCAATGCTGCAGGACAAAAATCTGTGAATTTCAATGTTTATTTTCTGTCAAAGTGAATGAATCAAATCGTTTTCAGTTCTTCTCTTGTGTTTAGCAACATTGTAAATAGTGTATACATATGGAGACTTGTCATAAACTTTCTTTTTCTTTTTCTCATTTGCTACTTATTCTTTACAGACCGAGAGAGTTGTAATTTAATTGCCATTGTATATACAAGGTATCTGAAGCTTCCTAGATGACTTTTTTCTTTTTTTTTTTTTAGGTTAATGTTTATATACAATTACTTTAACATTGGATTTGGGAAATGGAACAACATACTGCGGATCTTTCTGCTACCGATGAAAGAAGAAGGTTGAGTTTTACCTTCTAGAGCTTTACAGTGTAAACAAGCAGTATTAGGGTTTGTTTTTACCTTCTCCCCTTTGGCCCCGTCACAGAAGCACTGGCCTTTGTCTTTACAGACACAACCCTAGGAAGAGGGAAAGAGAAAGGGTTTTGTTTAGAAACAGCTGAATAAATCCCAACCGGCAGGGTAAAAGCAAATGCATTTCTCTGTTCTTCGAGTATTGGACACTATCTGTTAGGAGCCAGGTGACCTTGTAGCAATATATCAATAGAAATATATCAATATATGAATAGCAATAAAGTAGAAAACTGAGAACATGTTGCATAAGGGAGAAATGTCGGATAAGAATACATCATTTGTATTGTACTTGGGAATTTTAAGTGTTAAAGTAATGGCCGTTTTTGCCATTACTTTTAATTACCTTTGTACCAACCTAATAATTTATATATGGAAACGACAAAGCTATCCTTTTTTTCAGGATAATATCTAATTGAATCATAAGAAATTGCTGCTGTCATAGTTAAAAAGTGGTCAAATACTGGCAAATTCTTAGGTTCTACATAATGTTCATATATGTGTATGTGTATATATGTATAATGTATACATGTATATGTACCTTTTATGTAGAACACAATGTATTTGGTTAGTGCCATTACTTGGACAATTTTTTTGCCATTACTTTCAATGGCAAAAGCCACAATAACTTTTGCACCAACCTTATATATATTTGTGTAGATTAATATGCAATATATTCCATAGGTGATATTAAGGTTTTCTTTGACTTAAATAATGTTTAAGACTGGGAAGAGGATCAATACCCATTACACATCTTTAAAGAGAACAAACTAACTCATTAATGCTAGTATCAGAATGTTCTTTCTTTTTTTATTCTCAAATATTTTGAACAACAGAATGTTCTTTCTTATAAAACCAAAACCAAAACAAAAAATTCAGCTGTGAGTTAGACATACCTTATCCTACCTAACTAGTCACTGTGACACACTTACCCCCCAGCCCTCACACCTATGCACATTCCAGCTCCAATGGACATCAAATTTTTAAAACTTTTCTCTGCCAGCAGAGGAACAAATAAAGAAATAGTTTCAAATAATAGACTTAAAATGTGTTTTGGCTGGGCACAGTGGCTCATGCCTGTCATCCCAGCACTTTGGGAGGCCGAGGCAGGCAGGTCACTTGAGGTCAGGAGTTTGAGACCAACCTGGCCAACCTGATGAAACCCCATCTCAACTAAAAAATATAAAAATCAGCTGGGTGTGGTGGTGGGCTCCTGTAATTCCAGCTACTCCAGAGGCTGAGGCAGGAGAATGGCTTGAACCCAGGAGGTGGAGGTTGCAGTGAGCTGAGATCATGCCACTGCACTCCAGCCAGGGTGACAGAGTGAGACTCTGTCTCAAAAAAAGAAAAAATGTGTTTTGACATATATGCTGCATATTATATGGTTACATATTAATCCTTTGCTTTATTATTTTTTCTTCAGGTTAATATTAACTGAAAATTAATTTGCTTTCTCCAGAAAATATGTTGATGGCAGAGGCCAGGCAAATCTAGGAGATATACTGGATGGTTAGTAGGGAAAATAAAAAAAGAAATGCTAGATATTCCTAAGGTGGAGAATTCTACTTATGCAACCAAAACAAAAAAACCCACACAAACAAGAGTATCTTTAACTGAATATCTTTCCTTAGTCTTGGGCAGTAGGCCTTGCTGTCATTCCAGGAAGGGAGCACACAGTAATTTTGAGGCATTCATCATTTGACACTCATCATGTTCATATACACTGCAGTTTATAGGAATGGAAAGTAACTACTGGGTATCTACCCAGAGGAAAATAAGTCATTATACGAAAAATACACTTGCACACTCATATTTATAACAGGACTATTCGCAATTGCAAAAATCTGGAACCAGCCCAGATGCCCATCAATCAATGAGTGGATAAAGACAATGTGGTATATATACCATGGAATGCTACTCAGCCATAAAAAGGAATGAAATAGGCTGGGCACGGGGGCTCACGCCTGCAATCCCAGCACTTTGCGAGGCCCAGGGGGGCGGATCACCTGAGGTCAGGAGTTCGAGACTAGCCTGGCCAACATGGCAAAACCCCATCTCTACTAAAAATACAAAAATTAGTCAGATGTGGTGGCGGGCATCTGTAATCTCAGCTACTCGGGAAGCTGAGGCAGGTGAATCGCTTGAACCTGGGAGGCGGAGATTGCAGTGAGCCGAGATTGCGCCATTGCACTCAAGCCTGGGTGACAAGAGCAAAACTCCATTAAAAAAAAAAAAAAAAAAAAGGAATGAAATAATGGCATTAGCAGCAACCTGGATGGAATTGGAGACCATTATTCTAAGTGAAGTAACTCAGGAATAGAAAACTAAACGTCGCATATTCTCACTTAGCAGTGGGAACTAAGCTATAAGTACACAAAGGCATAAGAATGATACAATGGACTTTGGGGGAAGTGTAAAAGGGGGTGAGGGATTAAAGACCACACACTGGGTACAGTGTACACTGTTTGGGTGATGGGTGCATCAAAATCTCAGAAATCACCACTAAAGAACTTATCCATGTAACCAAACACCACCTGTTCCCCAATAACCTATTGAAATAAATGAAGAGAAAGTAACCGACTGAGAAGGAAATTCTATAGTCTCCTCAAAGTTGCATATTTCTTATTTCTAGAAGACTAACTCATTGCAATTTTCCTCCCAGATATTTGGGATCATGAAGTCATGTCTTGACTAAATGATTTTAATCTTGTCTTTCTGGGTTTTTAAACTTTAATGCTCTTTTCAACCACATCTTTTAAGTATACTCTACTAAAACTCAAAGTGTGGATTCCCAGACGGCAGCATCTCCTGGAGACTTGTCAGAAATGCAAGTCCTCAGAAATGCAAGTCCTCAGAAATGCAAGTCCTCAGTGCCCCCTCCCACCCCCGAGCATGCTACTCCCTCACAGCATCTGGAAGAGGCAGCAGGGCCTCCGAAAGGAAAGCCTGAGTCCTTCACCCAAGGGTACAAGATACTGGGTAAGGAAGCTTAACCTGGGCATGGACCTTGGGCTCAAGTGTGCACGGAGGAAGCCGGCCACTGTTTTCAAATGGGCAATGATCACCTCTGATTCTTCTGCCTCCCAGATGCCACACAACACCTGGATTCTGAGCCTCTAGGGCTAGAGGGAAGAAGAGCAGATTGGCAATTCTCTAACCTGTGAGAAGGTGTGGGGGCCTTGAGACAGGCTTAATTTTATTTCTTGGAGTAAGAGTCACATTCACCATATGCTACTGGAAATCTTTCGGTCTTAGCTTAAGCAAGTGTTTGTTGATCTTCTCCAGACTAGACTGGTCCCCTTTGCCTATACACTCCCATTGAGCCTCTGCAGTTAGATATTCAATGCCTATTTTTTTCTGATGACTGTTTGTCCCAGGAGAGAAGGAATTGTGCAGTCATAGTCACACTGGTATCTTTGGCATATAAGATGTCGTAAACAAGTGTTTATGGATTGACTGGATGAATCAGTGGATGGACAGCTGGTTTATTTGCATCCAATTTGAAGGCTTATGAATTGCATGGCTATTTGATGGGGTGCCATGATGCAGATATTTTCTGTATGTATGAATTATGAACAACTATGATCAAAATGGCAAAAAATGGAACCAGAGGCTTTGGCTATTTTAACACACGTTAAAATTAACACAAGCCTAATTATTTATTAGTTGCTTGGATTAAAAGAAATTCTTTTGGAAAAAGTTTAAACCCAACCCTCAGAAGAGCTGACAAACAGTACCGGAAACACTGGTGTCTCCTCCCATCTAAGTTCACCAACTGTTAAGTTGTCCCACCTACTCCATCTCTCTGTCTGTCTCTCCTTCTCTCTTTCTCTCTCTCCACATACACATACACCACTTTCCCCCAAATCATTCAAAAGTAGACTGCACGCAACATGACACTGTACCCCAGATACTTCTGTATGCCTCTCCCCCATCCAATTACAACCCTTATCCCCAAAACTAAGAAATCAATGTTGATACAGTAACTTCAGGATACCAGTTTTTAAATTAGATCTTCAGCCTTATACAAGGTCCTCAATGACCATAGAAAATGAAAAACTGTTTGATTTTTAGCAAATCCATCATTTTATGCCAGAGATTTTGTCAGTGCTTTCACCCCCAAGAACACCTGAGGCCTGATGTCAACAAGTGGCTATCACAGTTGCAAGAATCCATAGGACCCGCCTGGGTGCTTAGCAGTCGGGTGAGAGGCTCTGATGTGAGCGTGCTGTTCCCGTGAGTCCTCCCTGCCTGGTGTCTGCTTTCCCATCACCACCTGCCGCCATGAGGTGCCTCCTTTATTGTCATCAAAATCACAGTTCTTGATTTTTTCTTTTTGATATTGTCCCTTAGTTTGGGTCTTGAACTTTTAGTGGTAAAATATTTAGTTTTTGTTGTATTTGGTTTGTTTGCACATTAAGGTAGAATTTCTATATGATAGCTGAGTACCAGCTTATTAGTTAATTGAAAAAGTTGAAGAGTCAAAAACAAACAAACAGAAACATGAACACTAGTTAACTTCAAATATATAGATGTTCACAAATTCTGTAATCTAGTGAGACAGGGTCCAGGTTGTTCCTTTGGGAATGGGTCTGCTGTTTAGAGTTCAGTGGCATCATTCCTGCTAAATCACACCCACAGTGCACCATCAACAAATTCCAGTTTTAGAATTTTTTTTTTTTAACAGGCCAATTGCTTGTAGGGGCCAGGCATGGTGGCTCACTTCTGTAATCCCAGCACTTTGGGAGGCAGTGGCTGGTGGATCACTGGAGGTCAGGAGTTTGAGACCAGCCTGGCCAACAACGTGAACCCTGTCTCTACTAAAAATACAAAAATTAGCAGGGTTTGGTGGTGCATGCCTGTAACCTCAGCTACTCAGGAGGCTGAGGCATGAGAATTGCTTGAACCCAGGAGGCTGAGGTTGTAGTTAGCTGAGATTGTGCCACTGCACTCCAGCCTGGGTGACAGAGCTAGACTCTGTCTCAAAAACATAAAAAGTAAATAAATACAATAAAAAATATAAAAGATGCTTGTGGAACAATCTGACTATAGAGTCCTTCTGGATATTAATCCATATTTTTCTCTAACTCTTTAAGTGCTAGCTCAGCCACATGTAATTGAATAGTTTTTCTCTTAATTTCATTTTATCAAATCTTTCAACCTTATTTTTACATAAACAAATGTCTTTTTATGCATTCATATTTAATCACTTATTTATTTAATATTTAATTAAATTACTTCGTTAAAATAGTAATTTCAACCATCAGGAATTAGAGTGAAATGGCTAATTTAAAACCATCTGGTCAAAAAATGGGCAAAAGATTTGAATAGACATTTCTCAAAAGAAGACATACAGATAGCAAACAGGCATATGAAAAGGTGCTCAAAATCATTGATCATCAGAGAAATTCAAATCAAAACTACACCGAGATATCATCTCACCCCAGTTAAAATGGCTTATATCCAAATGACAGTCAATAACAAATGCTGGAAAGGAAGTAGAGAAAAGGGGACCCTTGTACACTGTTTGTGGGAATGTAAATTAGTACAACCACCATGGAGAACTGTGTGGAGGTTCCTCAAAAAACTAAAAATTGCACTACCATATGATCCAGCAATCCCACTATTGGGTATCTATTCAAAAGAAAGGAAATCAGTGTATCAAAGAGATATCTGCACTCCCATGTTTGTTGTAGCACTGTTTACAATAGCTAAGATTTGGTAAAAGGTGAAAGATTTATGCAATCTGAAGAGAAACCAGAGTATACTATAGCTAAGATTTGGAAGCAATCTACGTGTCCATCAACAGACGAATGGATAAAGGAAATGTGGTACATATACACAATGGAGTACTATGCAGCCACAAAAAAGAAGGAGATCAAGTCATTTGCAACGACATGGATGGAACTGGAGATCACTATGTTAAATGAAATAAGCCAGGTACAGAAAGACAAACATTGTATATTCTCACTTATGTGTGGGATCTAAAAATCAAATCAACTGAACTCAGGGACATAAAGAGTAGAAGAATGGTTACCAGAAGCTTAGAGGGGTAGTGAAGGGTTGGATGGGAGGTGGAATGATTAATGGGTACAAAAAAAAATTAGAATGAATAAGACTATTTGGTAGCACAGTAGGGTGATTATAGTCAATAATAACTTAATTATTTTAAAATAAAGAATGCAGCCAGGCACGAGGGTTCACGCCTATAATCCCAGCACATTGGGAGGCCAAGGCAGGTGGATCACTTGAGATCCGGAGTTCGAGACCAGCCTGGGTAACATGGAGAAACCCCATCTCTACAAAGAAATGAAAACAAAAACAAAATTTAGCTGGACATGGTGGTGCACACCTGTAGTCTCAGCTACTCAGAGGGCTGAGATGGGAGGATTGCTTGAACCCAGGAGGCAGAGATTGCAATGAGCCAAGATCATGCCATTGCACTCCAGCCTGGGCAACAGAATGAGACCCTGTTTCAGAAAAAAAAAAGGTAATTGGATACTTTGTAACTCAAGGGATAAATGCTTGAGGGGATGGATGCCCCATTCTCCATGATGTGCTTATTTCATATTGCATGCCTGTATCAAAACATCTCATGTACCCCATAAATAGATATACCTACTATGTGGCCACAAAAAATGTTTAAATAATATAAAAAATAAAAGAAAACTGATTGGTATAGCAGACATGTGCTGGTATACTAGGGGGACGCCTCCAGCTCTGAGCTGCTATTGCACAGAGGTATGGAGAATTCTGGTCCATCCAGCAGTCAGATAAATGAAGAGCCATTGTGAAAGGCTTGACTGTTCTCTCTTGTTGACTGTACATATCTCAGATGATATGGCAGACATGTACCAGTTATACATGTCTGCCATATCATCTACTTGCATGTGGTCTGCCCTGCAGATGAGGCTCCAGAGCCAGGTCTAGAGCTGTGTTTCTATGCCTGCGTTAGTGGAACTGCTCCAAAATAATTCCAGCTTTAATTCTCAGTTAAATTGGCAAGGTGTGGCTTGCTTGTGCAGCTACATAATTAAGCTGACTAGGACTTCAGAGCACATGACAATGTTGCTGACATGTAGATGCTGCACCTGATTGTGTGAACTCAAAATTATAGTCAGGGCTGCTCTCTGGCTGCTGTTCAGCTGCTGCTGTAGAAATAAGCCCTGCCTGTATGATATTGCAGAGACCCCAGCACAGGGGCACTTGAATACTTTTGGATGGTGATGACAGTAGCTCAAGACTCATGATATTAATTTCTCTCACTAATGCTGTCTTTTCTTAAATACATTTTCAATTTGCAAATGTTTCAGTAATTCAAAAATTCAAATGAATTATTTAATTTAAAAGATACAGAGTCCATATTTTTATTCTCATTGATTTTAATCCATCTACATTGTTGGACCCATTTTTTTGAAACACTATGGTTACTTTAATAGTAATAACCCATTCATTACTATTCAACTGTTAAATCACATAAAAAACCAGGATGGCCAAAGGCTAACTATTAAGGAAGCATAACTAATGGATATTTCTTAAGCAACATTTTTATGATTTTTCTCCTTCCAGCAATAAATTACCCCATAGTTTCCTCATATCTTAATGGAATACAAAATCATTTGTCATGAACAGAAAGCTCTTAATAATAATATTATGGCTTTTAAACCCCCTCCTGCCATCAGGAAATGACCCGAGATTACATGATGTTTTAGCACTTTTGAATATTAAGTAGTTAAACTTGTGGAAATCATTCTTTTTCACAGTTGCATTTCTGTTTTACGGCCTTACTTAAAATGCAAAATAAACTTTCATTGTAGAGAATCCAAAAAGGTTTGGAATTCCAGAAATCACAGGCCATGTATGTATGGACCTACTGAATATATACGGACCCATCTATGTTGAGTCTACTCCCAGCATTGTAGCTACAAACTGGAGCTTTGGGAAATTTCTTTTTTTTTTTTTTTTGAGATGGAGTCTTGCTCTGTTGCCCAGGCTGGAGTGCAGTGGCACGGTCTCGGCTCACTGCAAGCTCCACCTCCCGAGTTCACGCCATTCTCCTGCCTCAGTCTCCCGAGTAGCTGGGACTATAGGCGCCCACCACCACGCCCAGCTAATTTTTTGTATTTTTTTTAGTAGACACAGGGTGTCACCCTGTTAGCCAGGATGGTCTCGATCTCCTGACCTCGTGATCCACTCACCTTGGCCTCCCACAGTGCTGGGATTACAGGCGTGAGCCACCGCGCCCGGCCGGGAAATTTCTTAATCCTTCCAGGTTCCCCCATCTGTCAAGGGAGATACTAGGATGTACCTTGCAGTGTTTTTGTAAGGAGTTGAGATGCTGTCACTAGCCTGCCTGGTACCCTGCACTCAATAAGGACTCAGTCACTGGGGGACTCCCCTTTCTCCTTTTCAAGATTCCAAGCCAAAGGACATCCACAACTATTGTTTGATCCTTTCTTCCATCAGTCTGCACTAGCCACCTTCCTCCCTGACATTTCCTCTTGAAGTCCCTTGTCCAGTGCCAAAGAACTGGTGTTGAATCTAAGAGCAAGGGTGAGAGACTGCTGTTATCTATCTCTAACAAACAATAAATGAATTAACTCATATTTGTTAATAGTATTATTAGAGTACACTGACTATATTGGTTGATTAACCAAATATCATTTGCCTAAGAGCACAGACACATTACAATGTTTTATTTAACAAAATATTGGTTAGAGACCCCAATGGTACTTGATGCTTATCCAAGAAAGGTGCCAGATCAAATATATTACACAAAGGCAGCAAGCCTTCCAGGAGTGCGGATCAATTGGGTCTCACACTCTTCTCTTGATCTCAATTCTCGCAGTGCCCGTGTGCCACCCATGTCTCACCTGCACATCGCTTTCTCTTATGAGGCAAAGTGGTACAGGGTGAAGGGCACCAGTTCCAGAGACGTACTTCCTGGGTCTAAATCCCAGCTCTGCCACCTCACCTCTGTGAGTCTAGGCAGTCTCAGGTGTCTCGGTTTCCACATCTGTGAAATGGGGTCAGATTGGTTAGCACAGGTAAGCCCTTAGAAGAGTTCATAGGATACACTGAGGGCTGTTACTGTAGGCTGTTACTAACTCATTGACTTGACATGGATCATTAGGTGCTCCTGAGTTGAGGGTTTATCACTTTCCCTAAACTGCAGGTGGGAACGGTGTCTCACAATTCCTTATATCCCCCTAGCACTGTAAACAATTATCTTTTTATCCTTAAAACTCATGAAGGATCTCATTAAACACATCCATTTTTATTGTTCGTTAAAAGGATCAGGAAATATGCACATGCATTTTTATTAATAGACCAGAACATAATTTCCAAATAATCTTGACTATTTCTCTCTCTACTGTCAACAGCCAGCATGCTCGTTCCTGTGCATGCTGGTGAAACAGACGTGGCCTGCCCTGCCTTTCTCCAATCTCTCTCCCGCAGCCCAGCCCAGCCCAGCCTGGTTTAATAGCAGGGGGAGTTGGCACCGTTCACAGCTGGTTAACACCCTACTGAGCAGGTCTGTTGATTTTGCATTATGATTACTGACCCTGCCAGTCCCTCTGCCCAGCCAATAGCCTGAGGGGAAAGTTTTTGTGTGTGAAAAGAAGAGCTGACCAAGTATAGCCAAACCGTGCCAGACAGACGCCACGAGCTGTCCTCTGCAGGGCCGCCTCTGCCCGTGTCTGCCTTAAGCAACCAACCATGTGCCCTGGCACCATGCCCTCCAGTGAAGAAGAATGACACCCATGGACTGCTTTGCGGGATGCCCCCGCCTGCCCCGCCCTGAAGCTGCTGTCACCACCCTTGGACATCAAAGAAATCTCACTGCAGCTGCCACTTCCTATCCCTCAACTCCCGTCCAGAGACACATCACTAGTCTAGACATGTAAGCCAGCCACCCGTTTTTGATTTTCTGGATGACAGCAAGCATACAGATTACTAACTCTGACAAAGACGGTGCAGTGAGGGCTCTCTGGTACATTTGAGAATAAATAATATGGTAAGAAAATTTTGCCCGTCTTATGCAATGCAGAGAATGGTAAGTATACCTATAATCATTAACTCCAGGTTCCTTTTTTTTTCTTTTCTTTTTACCCCCTAAAAGGTTTTGAATGCAGAAAGACTGAGAAAACTTCACTATTCATGTAAGAAAAATAGGCTCCACGGGATCCCTTGATCAGGATGGTGGTAGAGGAAATGAACTTCCATCAGCACTGTAATGATCTCAGTATGTTTTGAGCACTTTCAGTGCTGGCTGTCTCATATTATCTCATTATATCTTACAACAATTCTGTAAGGGAGGTACTGTTATAAGCTCCATCTAATAGATGAGAAACCTAGGATTTTGAGAGGCTAAGGATAGTAAGGAACATGGGGAGTGGGGATCTGAATTCAGGTGAGACAGTCTGACCCAGGGTCAGTCATATTCTCAGGTGCAGTGTTGCATTTCTTCTTCTTCTTTTTTTTTTTGAGATGGAGTCTTGCTCTGTCACCCAGACTGGAGTGCAGTGATGCAATATTGGCTGACTGCAACCTCTGCCTCCCAGGTTCAAATGATTCTCCAGTAGAGATGGGGTTTCACCATGTTGGCCAGGCTGGTCTCAAACTCCTGAGCTCAAGTGATCCACCCACCTCGGCCTCCCAAAGTGCTGGGATTACAGGCGTGAGCCAGCGTGCCCGGCCTGTATTTCATTATTGACGGGCTCTGCTGGCCACAAGGCACTGGGGGAGGAGGGGTATGTTTCTCCCCCTCTCACCCTATCACTGTGCCCCTCATGATGGGACGTAAAATCCCAGTGAAAAACATAACATAGTAGCTCATGAAATTAGCTGTATAATGCAGGACTTGGCAGACAGCAGCTTGCAGGACAAATCCAGCCCTCTGCCTGTTTCCATCCGGCCTATGAGCTAAGACTGGTTTTTATATTTTTCATGGTTGAAACAAAATTAAGAGAGAAATAACATTTTGTAATGTGAAAATTATATAAACTTTAAATCTCAATGTCCATAAGTTTGCATTTCATCAATACAAATGTTGTGGATATTTATTTTCTCTCTTGTTATATAGGTATCTGCATAGTAGCCTTCATTTTGCCTCTTGGCTTGCAAAGCCTAAAATATTTACTACGTGGCTCTTTATGGGAAAAGCTTGGTGATTCCTGGTACAAATTATCTTCATTATATTTTTTCTATGGCAATATAAAAATTGCATTAAAAATTAAGATAGAGGCCAGGTGCGGTGGCTCATGCCTATAATCTCAGCACTTTGGGAGGCCGAGGCAGGTAGATCACCTGAGGTCAGGAGTTCAAGGCCAGCCTGGCCAACTGGGGGAAACCCCGTCTCTACTAAAAATACAAAAATTAGTTTGGCATGATGTTGAGTGCCTATAATCCCAGCTACCTGGGTGGCTGAGGCAGGAGAATTGCTTGAACCTAGTAGGTGAAGGTTACAGTAAGCAAAGATTGCACCACTGTACTCCAGCCTGGGCAACAGAGCAAGACTCCATCTAAAAAAAAAAAAACAAACCTAACATTAGAATAGAAACTTAAAGAAGAGATCAGCTGTGAGTTCCAGTGAGAGATGGTCTTCTACCTTGGAATGGCAGACTGGGACCTGTCTCTTCTTTCTGTCCGCCTACCCCCATGTGCCTCCCCTTCTCCCACTGTGCTTCTGTCCAGAGCTTGGGGGACACAGGGAATACAATTTGGGGACTGGAAGAACCCAGCAGATCCTCTAGTCCAAAAGTTCTTCATGTTTTGAACTTCACAGGGCAATAAAATAAATGTGTCTTAAAAGGAAGACAAACAGAGGGCTGTCTTAGTTATATTTTTCAATATAAGAGCAATGGCCACCTCCAAACACAAACCAACACAATCACCCACCCCCCAAACCACAGCAGACCTCTCATCTACTGTCCTCATATTCCAGAGAAAAATTAAGATACCATAAAGCAAGTAAAATGCCCACAGAATAAAATATGTTCCTGGCTGGGCATGGTGGCTCACGACTGTAATCCCAGCACTTTGGGAAGCCGAGGCGGGTGGATTACTTGAAGTCAGGAGTTCAAGACCAGCCTGGCCAACAGGGTGAAACCCTGTCTCTACTAAAAATACAAAAGTTAGCCGGGCATGGTGGAGTGTAATTATAGTCCCAGGTACTCGGGTGGCTAAGGCAAGAGAATCGCTTCAACCTGGGAGGTGGAGGTTGCAGTAAGCAGAGGTTACATCACTACACTCCAGTCTGGGAGACAGGGTGAGATCTGTCTCAACAAAAAAAAAAAAAAAAAAGAAAGAAAAAGCTGTTCCCTTAACATGGGAACTTGATAAAAAGCTCCCATTTTACTTGATTAAAAAAAAAAATCTCTACCTCGTTCTTATTTTTCTCACTTGCTTTGGCCTGGTGCAACCCTGCACTGGGAACCACTAAATTAGCCACACCCACCTCCACTCTCTCTTGTTGGTCACTCTTTGCTTTGTCACCTGCTGCTGCAGGGTCTTCTGTCTGAGAGGTGAAAGTAAACTAATCTTATCGAGAGACATGATGCTAATGGGTTAATTTTTAAAAATCCGCCTGGGAACTGACACATTTTTCAGAAAACATTACCTCTTAAAACAAACAAAAAAGACAGAAAGCTGCCACCAGTGCCACAAGTGATGGAAAATTCGAGCTGCAGGCTGGCAGGTGGAGACGCATATTAAGGCGGATGGGACTTCTTAGGTCATGTGCCTGGTTTGTCTATTCATAGGACCATTTGAAAAAAAATCTTTGAAAATGTTATTTACAAAACCAAAGTTTAGGCCAGGTGGCTCACACCTGTTATCCTAGCATTTTGGGAGGCCAAGGTGGGAGGATTACTTGAGCCCAGGGGTTGGAGACCAGCCGGGGCAACATAGTGGGACCCTGTCTCTATAAAAAAAATTAGCCAGGCATGGTGGCGCAAGCCTGTAGTTCCAGCTACTCAGGATGCTGAGGCGGGAGGATCGCTGGAGCCCAGGAGGTTGAGGCCACAGTGAGCTGTAATCGCGCCACAGCACTCCAGCCTGGGCGACAGAGTGAAACCCTGTCAAAAACAAGAACAAAACAAAACTAGATTACTTTTTCTAAACATAAAAATTAATAACAAAAAAGAAAATTCATTCAGAGCAATAAAAAGACAGTTCATCTCAAAAATAGAAATTTAAAGTCCTATAATTTATTAATTGTTTTCTCAAACTATAATCATTCATTTTTTTTTTTTCTTTGAGATGGAGTTTCACTTTTGTTGCCCAGGCTGGAGTGCAATGGCATGATCTCGGCTCACTGCAACCTCTGCCTCCCGGGTTCAAGCGATTCTCCTGCTTCAGCCTCCTGACTAGCTGGGATTACAGGCGCCTGCCGCCACCTCACCTGGCTAATTTTTTATATTTTTAGTAGAGACAGGGTTTCACCATGTTGGACAGGCTGGTCTTGAACTCCTGACCTCAGGTGATCCACCCGCCTTGGCCTCCCAAAGTACTGGGATTACGGGCATGAGCTATCATGCCCAGCAGCATTCATTTTAAGTAATTTTTTGTTTGTTTGTTTGTTTTTTCAGTTTGGAAAACTACTAGCTTAGTTTTTACTTCCTGGTAGAAAAAAACAAAGTCAGAATAAACATAGGAAAATTTTAAAGACAATGGTTGAGATATCTGATGAAGAAAGCTTAGAGCTGACAGTTATCTGCAGACACAGGGAAACCCCAGAGGTCACCTGCGCTTCCACTGGCTGATGGTGGGAGAGCTACACTCTCCATTGTTATAAGTAATAGAATATTAAGATCGTAAAACGCCTTAAAGTTCATCTGTCTCATAGTCATTACTCCAAGGTCAGTCCAGATCTTATTTGGAATCTGGAACTTCTAATTTTCCCTTGGACCGATAAGCTGACTGCGTTCGGAGCGATTGCGTGCAAACTTCAGAGCACAGAGGCTCTGCTTCATGTTGACTTTTCTGCCCAGCAGTCTGGCCTGCTTGGAGTATCAGAGCCCACACCTAAAGGCTTTGTCTTGGAGGAGCTCACTATGGAGAAGAGTAACTTCTTAGAGCTGAATTCATTCCTGGCTTAGTTGCTCACTGCTATGCAAAACATCTTCTCCCCACAAGTGGAGGACAATAGACACTATCTAATTAATACTTTGATTGGGGCTGGATATAAGTGAGATAAATCATGACTATAACTCTCTGTAAAGGATAAGGAGAAAATCTGATACCAGAATTTGCTTATTTATTTGTTTATTTATTTATTTGAGACAGAGTCTCATTCTGTCACCCAGGTTGGCGTGCAGTGGCATGATCTCGGCTCACTGGAACCTCCACCTTCCAGGTTCAAGAGATTCTCCCATCACAATTTCCCAAGTAGCTGGGATTACAATCATGCCCGGCTAATTTTTCTTTTGTATTTTTAGTAGAGTTGGGGGGGCGTCTCACCATGTTGGTCAGGCTGGTCTTGAACTCCTGACCTCAGGTGATCCGCCCACCTCAGCCTCCCGAAGTGCTGGGATTATAGGCATGAGCCACTGTGCCTGGCCTGAATTTGCCTTCTAAAGTATATGATGTAAATGTTTGGGATATTTTTCCCCATTTGTTATGAGTAACACACTTCCTTGATAGTATCAGTTCACATCAGATTGTGATTAAGAAAACTATCTCTGTATAGTTTCATGATATTCCAACAGAACCTTAGGACAGTGGTTCTCAACTTTTCATGTATATGAATTATTTGAAGTCTTTAGTAACCATACTTTTCCCCTCGAGATCCCATCCTCAGTGAGCAGGTCTGAGGCCTAGAATCGGTACTTAAAACAAGCAGCTTGCAGGGGCTTAGTTTCAGGGGTTCCCCAGACCACACTCTGAGAACTTCCTTAGCATATCAAGTATTAAAAAGGAACTAAGATTCATCCCCAGAACTTTTATACCAATCTCTTTGATATTTATGAAATAAAACAGAAGTTATTTGTAAAAATATAGGATAGTTGAGATTAATGATCAATCCTAAATAAATTCCCCGAATTAGATGATGTCACTTGGTTGATTAAAAGTATTTAGACCTGGCCATCAGTGCTGAGTCTGAACTCCTGGGCATGGTGTGGGAGGCTCTCTGTATTCTGTGTCCCCTATATCCCCAGCAGAGAGGCCATTGGCCCCCATGGGGCTGCAGGTGCGATTCCTGCCCGCTGAGACCCTCTGCTTGCTTTCATATTCCTGTGCTTTTCCACATGGTTTTTTGGCCTGACATGCCCACTTCTCACTGCCTCTGACCTTGCTTGGCTGAGTTTTGCTGATTCCAGAGCAGTTCAAAGTTACCTGTCTTGAAAGACTACCTCCCTCAACCCGCAAGGTGGTTAGTTGCTCCCTCATTTGTTTTGTGCATAACTGACTTATAACACGTACCTAATTGCACTGTAATTATTTGTTTACATGCCTTCTCCACCACCCCACGAAGTTTCTCATAGCAAGCCACATCTTACTCATCTCTACATTCCTAGGAGGGGGGACAAGTTCACAGTGTTGGGGAGAGGAAAGTGTCCTCTTAGCTGCCTCCCATGACTTCAGGGGCCCATTTGATGATAATAGGACACTCTCTGGACAAAGCCTGCAGGTGGGTGTTGACCTGAGAACAGGCCAAGAAATGTATAACTTTCACTACGTATAAAATGAACATGAATCAGGCAGAACAGAAACAGTGCCAGAAAAGGAAAATGTGCAAGGAAGCTTGAAAGATAGCAAGCTCAGGGGCAGGGGGCTGAAGGACTGCAGGAGCAAGATTGGGTATTGTATGTCAAGGGTGCTTAAGGAGCTTTTTATTATCATTATCATTATTATTATTATTATTATTATTATTATTATTATTATTATTAGAGACAGTGTCTCCGTATGTTGTCCAGGCTGGTCTCAAACTCCTGGGCTCAAGCAATCCTCCCATCTCAGCCTCTTAAGTAGGTGGGACTACAAGCTACTTAGGTGCACCACTGCACCTGGCTTAAGGAGCATTTTAAACACAAGGATGCTGAGTTAAATGATCTACTGTGCTCAGTGATAGGATGGGACGCTTTCTCACCCTCAAAGCCATTTTCCCTCAGTCACTTATTTTCACTTTTTTTTTCCTAATGTCCAACTTCAAATTTATATTCAAATCTAGAAGTGGTATCATTTATTCATTCATTCAAAAAACATTTATTATGTACTATGCACCAGGCACTATTCTAGATACAGGGGACACGGTAGCTTATGTTCTAACAGGGGGAAGAAAACAATAGATAAGATAAATATATATGTATAATACACACGTTAACTAATTATAATTGCCAAGAAAAATTAATGCAGGAAAGAAAGAAGTGAAATGTCAGGGGTGGGTTGTAAACATTTAGATAATGTGGTCACGAAAGGGCTCACCTGAGGAGGTGATTTTTGGAATAAAGACTTGAAAGAAGGAGGGGAAGCAGTGACTGGGCTGCATAGACACAGTGGGATTTAAGCAGATTTGTGGTTTTTCCAGATGGATTTGATCAAGCAAGAGAGCTGAGGATGAATGCGAAAAAAAAAAAAGTGGTCCTGATGGCTCCTTGACCATGAAATAAAGGTCATCAATGAGGGAAGACAGGAGACTCCAGGAGCACAGAGACAGTGACAAAGCAATGGATAAAGGAATTGTGGGTACCAGTGAGATGGAAGGATTATGGGATTTGGAGTCCTAGGGACAAAGATGGAAAGACTGGAGGGTGCTTGGAGAGGAACTGTGATTGGTGATGTCAAGATCAAGAGTACTGTCTTACAGGGGAACCAGTGACAGAGGTCAAGAAGAAGATGAGACCACTGCAATGGTAATTTCATGACATGTACAGGTGTTGATAATTCCTTTGTGCTGGACAAGGTAAAACAAAGAGGGGTGATGACTTTGAAATGTTCTTAATAAAAAATTCCAGCAATAACGTCTGTCTGCAACTCATTGGACAAAAGCATCCAGCTCCTCAGAGCATCTGACTTCTTTTCTGATAACATGAAGATAAAATCATTATTCATTCTGAGTTATAGGACTCTCCACTGACACATAAAAATTTTAAACTATTCTCCATATATATGGAAAGGTATCAAGAATAATGTAATAAATACTCCTGCAGCTACCACCCAGCTCAGAAATAGCACATTATCAATGTAGTTGAAATTTCCTGTGTTATCTCTAAATCTTCAATACACTTTGTCATATAAAACTGCCTTATGGCCAGGCATGGTGGCTCATGCCTGTAATCCCAGCACTTTGGGAGGCTGAGGTAGGGATCACTTGAGGCCAGGAATTTGAGACCAGCCTATGCAACATAGTGAGACTCTGTCTCTACAAAAAATAAAATAAAATAAATTAGCCATGGATGGTGGTGAGTGCCTGTAGTTCCAGCTATTCCAGAGGCTGAGGTGGGAGGATTGCTGAAGCCCAGGAGTTGGAGGCTGCAGTTGGCTCCACCACTGCACTCCAGCCTGTGCAGTGGAGCAAGACTCTGTCTCTGGTTGGGCACAGTGGCTCACGCCTGCAATCCCAGCACTTTGGGAGGCCGAGGCGGGTGGATCACTTGAGGTCAGTAGTTTGAGACCACCCTGGCCAACATGGAGAAACCCGGTCTCTAATAAAATTACAAAAATTAGCTGGGCGTGGTGGCGGGCACCTGTAATCCCAGCTACTTGGGAGGCTGAGGCAGGATAATCACGTGAACCTGGGAGGCAGAGGCTGAAGTGAGCTGAGATTGCACCACTGCACTCCAGCCTGGGTGACAGTGAGACTCTGTCTCAAAAAAAAAAAAAAAAAAAAAAGGCTTTGTCTCTGAAACACACACACACACACACACACACACACATAAAACCGCCTTATTAAACAAGAAGCTCTGGTCCATTAATGGAAGAATCATTGTGGAAATTGAGATGTGGGTAAGATTCAAATCTTCAGCAAGTACAGAAAATCAGAAGGAAAAGCTACCAAGAAAATGCAGGCCCCAGGGAAGGTGAAGAAATCTTGGGGCAGAATTTGGACTTCCTACAGGTCGAGATGGTATTCAAGGAATTTCATGTAGTTTTAAACCTCAAAGGACAGGATACCTCTAGACAGCACTGGGGTTACAAATGCAAACAGAAGATGCTCAATACATACTGACTATATGAAAAAGTAAATCACAGAGTACTAGACAGATAACATAAGTCATAGGTGTAAATTATTTAACTATATAAAATATATAACTGTGGTAAAAACAAGAAAAGAAGATTAAAAATTAAACTTGGAAAATGTCAAGGATACAAGAGTGCTTCACAGCACTAAAAACAGACTATGGGGAGATAAGCATGTAAATACAATGACAGCTGGAGTGAGACGTCATACAAAAATAAATAAGAAAATGTAAGCTACATCTCTGGGAATACAAACGTTTGGATATTTTAGACATTTTGATGATTGACTGAGTTTTTCTTCTCATCCAGATGACTAATACCAAGTAAATAAAATCTTAGAAGCAGATAGACAAGAAAGCCAAGGGGGAATTAACAAAAGTCTTTGGGATTGGCTCTGCAAAAACAACCCACCCCGCTGGCACAGTGTATAGTGTCATAAGTGGAAAAGGCTCTAAGAGAAGGGTGAGTGCAGGAGCCAGGTGGCAGAGCAAATGGAAAAGGCAAAGATGGGATAGAAATAATGGGACCAAGGGGCCTGGCATGGTGGCTCACGCCTGTAATCCCAGCACTTTGGGAGGCCGAGGATGGCAGATCACCTGAGTTTGGGAGTTCAAGACCAGCCTGACCAACATGGAGAAACCTCCGTATCTACTTAAAAAAAAAATACAAAATTAGCTGGGCATGGTGGTGCATGCCTGTAATCCCAGCTACTTGGGAGGCCGAGGCAGGAGAATCGCTTGAACCTTGGAGGTGGAGGTTGCAGTGAGCCATGATTGTGCCATTGCACTCCAGCCTGGGGGACAGAGCGAGACTCTGTCTAAAAAAAAAAAGAAATAATGGGACTGAGGATAGAGACTTCATGTTAGGCTATTTTATTGTATATTGGAAGATGACAAATTCCACATAATGGCAACATCTGTTTTGTAGAAATACGAAAGGATATGAAAAAAGAATTTTTATTAATTCTGCTTTTTTTACAACCAAAATACAAATAAACAAATATAAAATAATTTAGAAAGCAAAACAATTGAAATTCAGGTCACAAGATTTCTAAACGTTAAGCATCAGATATCTTTTATAAGTCTCCAAGATGATTCTATTTCCACCTTTCCTAATATGTGCTTTACTTTTCTTTTAATATTAAAAATATGTTTTTCTTGTTGCTAAAGTAGAGTTTGATTGTTCAAGTTGGATCAACAGAGCAGACACCTTGATAGCTTGCTTCACTGTTAGTTTTGGAAGGAAGAGTACAGAAACAACAACAAAAGTGCATTTAAATTAGTTTTCCTAAGACAGAGATGGAATCATTATCATATCCTAATAAAAAATGCAGTATTTTCACACGACATTTTTTCTTTTCTTCTTTTGAGACGGAGTCTTGCTCCCTCACCCAGGCTGGAGTGCAGTGGCACAATCTCCACTCACTGCAAGCTCCTCCTCCCGGGTTCACGCCATTCTCCTGCCTCAGCCACCCGAATAGCTGGGACTACAGGCGCCCACCACCACGCCCGGCTAATTTTTTGTATCTTTAGTAGAGACGGGGTTTCACCGTGTTAGCCAGGATGGTCTTGATCTCCTGACCTCGTGATCCACCCGTCTCGGCCTCCCAAAGTGCTGCGATTACAGGCGTGAGCCACTGCGCCCGGCCCACACGACATTTTTTCAAATGAGCAGTCGCATTTGGAAAACCTTAAAAAGGGGTTTAGCTATTAAGGCAAATTTAAAATAACTATATATATATATATATATATAGCTATATATATAGTTATTTTATATATAGTTAAATATAGTTATAACTATATATGTGACTATATATAGTTATATGGAGTTTGAATGTGTATTTTAATGGATGAATCTGACTCTTAAAGCAATGCTGAGAGTGTCTTCTGCCCTTGTGCCAGCACTGTCTTGTTTGCAGAAGCATTTTGTAAAACAGAACAAGCAAAACCAGTAATGTCCAGAATAATGTTTAACTGTAAGGCCTCCAAATTTCATTACTTTTTCTCCAAAGAAAAATATTTAGGCCCCATCACAGGTGATGGTAACCAAGAATTCTGTATGAGCACATTTTTCTTGAACAGTTGTCATTACTACTGAATTCAGTTGCTGAAACCACACATTTTACTTCCAAATTTTCACATGATAAATAAACTGCTAGATGGCATATTGATAATTTTGCAATTTACGGCTTCCCTGGAGAAAGGGAGAGATATTTTATTTTAATAAACCCACCATCCTATAGTGATGGTACATCATGCATTATTTTGTTATGCTCAATATCAGCTTTTTCTATAGCCCAAACCTATAAACTGTGGCTATTGGTACAAACAGTCAAATAAAACAGGACTACAGTCAGGTTAACATTGTGGCTAAAATATGTCTTTGTTAACAAGCACATACTGCTGCTTGGTGAATAATGTGCTTACAAATTGCTTGCTTACAAAAGGAGCAAGGTGGTACAAGTCCATGTAGATAGGTAAGGTCGCTGATATGGTTTGGCTGTGTCCCCACCCAAATCTCATCTTGAATTGTAGCTCCCATAATTCCCACATGTTGTGGGAGAGAGTCAGTGGGAGATAATTGAATCATGGGGTGGTTCTCCCATACTGTTCTCATGGTAGTGGATAAGTCTCATGAGAGCTGATGGTTTCATAAGGGGAAACCCCTTTCAGTTGGTCCTCATTCTCTCTTGTCTGCCACCATGTAAGACATGCCTTTCACCATCTGCCATGACTGTGAGGCCTCCCCAGCCATGTGGAGCTGTGAGTCCATTAAACTTCTTTTTCTTTATAAAGTACCCAGTCTTGGGTATATCTTTATCAGCAGTGTGAGAATAGACCAATACAGTCACTAAATCATATACAATTATTAAACAGGATACCATTTGGACACAGGATTTGAGGAAACATGAGAGTCTATAGAAGTGCAATTTCTAGATAACTGAAGTTTACCATTAAAACCCAAACTCTGACCATCTGTGATTGTATGACAGGCTCTCCTGCCTTGTAAACAGACTGAAAGTGACATAATCCTCCTTTCCTGAACAATATTGCTGTCACTGTGAACACTTTTGGGCCCTAAGGGATTCTTGGTACATAACTGATACTTAAGAAATATTTGTTGAGTGATGCTGTTGCATACATAGAGATATTTATTTGCATTTATATCATTTAATTGCAGGATGGTCTATGGTTTTGATTGTTAAGTATGCTTTTTTTTTGGAGGAAGATTCTTTTTGTGGTATTAGGCTTTCTACCTTCCTTTCTTTCTACTGCTGCTTCCTTACCTATAGCTCTCTGATACCTCTTCTGTATTTCTAATTGTTTAATCTATGCTACTAATTAAGAAATCAGTAACTAAAGCTCGATTGAATTACTTATAAATTCAGAATAAAGAGATGCGGTAAGGTCTGAGGGCCTCAACTACAAATGAAGTGCAGAATCTTTGTAGTATTGTCCTGGTTTTTGTTTGTCTTCCAGATAACTGAAATTGACAGGAAAGGGTGGCGTTTATATACCCAGTCAGTACATTTTACAATAAAATATATACAATCATATTTTAAACATCCTTTGATTTTAAAAAATTTAATTGTGGAAGGATGCACCTTGCCAAATTTACCTTCTTAACCATTTTTTAGTGTGCAGGTCATTGGTGTTAAGTACATTCACATTGTTGCACAATTAATCTCCAGAATTCTTTTTATCTTGTAAAACTGAAACTTTGTACCTATTAAGCAGCAATCTCTCATTCTCTCCTCCCTCCAGTCCCTGCCAAACACGACTCTGTATTCTGTCTCTATGAATTTGACTACTGTAGGTACTAAATACAAATGGAATCGTGCAGTATTTGTCTTTTTGTGACTTGCTTCTTTCACTTAGCATAAGGAACTCAAGGTTCATCTATGTTGTAGCATGTAAACACCCTCTTATTTGTTTTATCCTAAGGAAAATTTTTAATATCAAAAGAGTAGTACAAACATCTATTAGTGAAAGCTAAGGCTATGATACACTGCCTGCACCTATGATGCTAGGGAAAACTGAGGGAGGATAAATCTGCACATAAAACAAGCACATAGGCCCGGTGCAGTGGCTCACCCCTGTAATCCCAACACTTTGGGAGGCCGAGGCGGGTGGATCACCTGAGGTCAGGAGTTTGAGACCAGCCTGGCCAACATGGTGAAACCCCATCTCTACTAAAAATGCAAAAATTAGTTTGGCATGGTGGTGGGCACCTGTAATCCCAGCTACTCGGGAGGCTGAGGCAAGAGAATTGCTTGAACCCAGGAGGCAGAGTTTGCAGTGAGCCAAGATCATGCCACCACACTCCAGCCTGGGCGACAGAGCGAGACTCTGTGCAAAAACAAAACAAACAAACAAAAAACAAAAACAACAAGCACATACGGAGGTGGTTATATACCTTGTGCCATATCAATACAGTGGAATATTACAGCAACTCATAAAAACATCAGACAGATTTATATGATATTTTTGTAAGAACCTATATATGCACAGAAATTCTGGAAGTAAATACATAGAATGATTAAAAATGGTTACTCTGGGGATCATGGTGATTTTCCTATTTGACTTTATACTTTTTTGAATTGCTTTAAAATTTTTGGTTGTACATTATTTCATAATGAGGGAAAAACGATAATGACTTTTCATTAAAAAAAAAATGATGATGATGAGACTGGTAGGCTCTTGACCTATCCACAAAATGAAAAATAAAAATGCACTGCTAGAAAAGTCTAAGTTTTAGGTTTAGTTGATGTTAATTTCTCATTTTAATCCCACATTCTAAGCCGAGTAAACAAACCAAAAAGTATCCAGTATACGTTTCAGACATTCAAGAATGAGTCAGTCTGAAGACAAATATTTTCAGAGACACTTTTCATTTTTGTGGAGTTGGTAAGTAGTGCCCTTTGCAGCCCTTAGGTAATAATGTGATAAGAAAGTTCTTAAACCAGACACCCAGACTGTCAAGCCCTAGGAGTTTATGAGAAGGCTCTTCAAAATATGGGACACAAAATAAATGACAAGGAGGCTAACAATATCCAGCTGACCACATTTCAAAGGACTAGGTAGCGATTCTCAAGTTCTCCACACACAAATCTTTGAAATTGTTTTCATTTGACACAGCTAGTGCCTATAATTCACAATGGACAGGTATTTGAAGAATGGAAAGCCAGTAACATGCCCAGAGATAGCAATAGGACCTGTGAAGTGTTTTAATAGGCTCTGGCCTAAGGAATAAAAACATGTAAAAAGATACAACTGTGGGCACACTCTATAGTGATTTGGAATTAAAGCAAGAAATATAGAAAAGGTTATGATGCTAAGCTGTTATGAAAATGCAACTTCATTTGTGATGTTTAAGATACAAACAACACGTTTAAATCAGAGAATATACAAATGACAAAATTCACATCAAAGAAGGCTTCTCTATATATAACACAGGAAAAATTAATAGCATGTCTGATATACTCACAGTTATAATATACTTGGGTTTGAAGGCTATCTAAGAATAACTCAACAATGACTTTTAATCTTTAAATGGAGAAAAGGTATAATATATATAAATAACCTTGTTTCCTCAGAATGCATATTTAGACTCCACACAGACATTGTATATTATCAAATTACTGAGAATTTTTGTATCAATGATCATTCTTAATTTTGTGATTTAGTACCAAGAAGTTCCTGAGGCATAACAGACTTTTCAATATGCGGAGGATAAAATGAAGTGGACTCCAATTTACTTCAGCTATCTTCAGAACTAATCCTCAAATGCATACCATATAGCATTAGTTTGTTTCTGGGAACACAATTTCACCTCTGCTGATTCCTAATATGCATTGTAATATTTGATCTGTAATTTTCTTTATATGTACGGTGTTTTTTCTTTTTCTTTTTCTTTTTTTTTTTTTTTTTTGAGACAGAGTTTTGCTCTGTCGCCCGGGCTTGTGTGCAGTGGTGTGATCTTGGCTCACTGCAAGTTCTGTCTTCTGGGTTCACGCCATTCTCCTGCCTCAGCCTCCCGAGTAGCTGGGTTTACGGGCACTTGTCACCATACCTGGCTAATTTTTGTATTTTTGGTAGAGACGGGGTTTCACCATGTTGACCAGGCTGGTCTTGATCTCCTGACCTTGTGATCCGCCTACCTCGGCCTCCCAAAGTGCTGGGACTACAGGCGTAAGCCACCGCGCCTGGCCATTTATATGTATGTTTTTAATCATCTAAAAAGCGGAAACAAGAATACGTATCTCTTACATATGGTGTAGAGCTTGGGTTGAAAACTACAGCCTACAGGGAAATCTAGTCCACCCCACTGTTTTTGCAGGACCCTTGAGCTAATAATGGCTTTACATTTTTAGATATAAAAGGAATATTGGTCTTTCTAGGGGAACAATTGCTAGAATAATTGAGGACCTTGCCTCTTAGCCCACAAAACCTAAGATATTTACTCTTTTACTCTCCAAAAAAAGTCATCCAACACCTAGTATAGAATAGAAAAAATTGGAACAGAGAGTAAAGAGACTTGAGTTTTTCAGACTGTGTGACCTTGGGCTGGTTAAGTACCCTCTCTGGATCTCCACACTCTTATACATGTGGTCTCTTTTAATTAATTCCAGTTTATGTTTCAGCCTACGCTTCAGCTATTTAAGGCATCCTAAGAAACTTAATTTTCACTGTACCCTAAAATAGCACTGTGACCTTGATTTGCCTTGGAGGAAGCCAAGTTGGGTCAGGATGAAAGGAAGTAGCTATTATGTTTACAAGGTTTTAAATGTCAAACCAAAGTTTGACCAAAACAGGTTTGTTTATGAACGGCCAAGGCTATTATTGAGTCAAGAGCCATGTTTAGTGCAAGGGTCTTTAGTTTGGCTTTAAGCAGGTTTATAGTCTCCAATTAGTCAAGAAAGACAATGTTGTGTCTTGACTTTGAAACCTCTCAACTGCTTTCATTAAATCATGGGTGTTCACCCTACACTGTGGCCTCAGAGTGAGAGCTAAGAATATTCTTTTTGCTGTAAGACAAGAGCAATAACGTGCACTGGGGATGTCCAAGAGTCATAAAAAATGTAAAGCACCCTTCTAAAATGTATTTGGAAGTGCAATGGGAGGGACCCAGGAGGGAGCTTGCCCTTCTAGATTCCAACACTTATAGTATAAAATTATAGTAATTAAGATACTGTGGTGTTGGTGTACAGATGGACAAATGTACCAATGGAACAGCATAGAGAACCCAGAAGTGGGTCCTCCATATGTAGAAACCTCATATATGGCAGACCTGGCACTACAGATTCCTGGGGAAAGGACAGATAAAGAGGCTGAGTGCATTGGTCATTCATATAGAAAACAATGCAAAGTTTCTCTAACTCATAAAAGTTCAATGCCAAATGAACTAAGGACTCAAATGGAAAAGCCAAAATTTTAAAACCTTTAGGGGGAAGTTTCAGAGGGTATCTTTATGACCTTGGGGTAGGGAAAGATATCATTAAAAAGATGCAAAAACATAAACTATAAAGGAAAAGATGGATAAATTCTACTATATTAAAATTTAAGAATTTGTTTCTCAGAAGATGTCATAGGTCACAAACTGTGATGTATTTGCAATATCTATAACAAAGAATTAGTGCCCAAGAATCAATAAGAAAAAGACAAAAAAAAACAAAAAAAACAGAAAAGATACGTGCAGTCATTTTTCAGAAGAGGATACACAAATAATCCATAAACATATAAACACATGCTCAATGTCATGAGTATTCAGAAAAACTGCACATTTATCCCAAACTCAGGTATGCCTTCACACACATCATTTTGGCAAAAGCTAAAAGTGGGTTCCAGACTCGCAAAAATCAAGTCTGGCCGGGCACGGTGGCTCACACCTATAATCCTAGCACTTTGGGAGGCCAAGGCAGGCAGATCACCTGAGGTCAGTGAGGTCAGGAGTTCAAGACCAGCCTGGTCAACATGGTGAAACCCCGTCTCTACTAAAAATACAAAAATTAGGTGGGCGTGGTGGCGCACCCCTGTAATCCCAGCTACTTGGGAGGCTGAGGCAGGAGAATTGCTTGAACCTGGGAGGTGGAGGTTGCAGTGAGCCGAGATTGCACCACTGCACTCCAGCCTGGGCAACAGAGCAAGACTCTGTCTCAATAAATAAATAAATAAATAAATAAAATCAAGTCTGACAGCACCAAATGTTAGTGAAGGCAAGGAGAAACCAGAATGCCTATGTCCTCCAGGTAAGATTGTAAATCGATTTCCAGCATGAATGTAGCACTTGCTAATAAAGATAAATGTATATGCATCCCCAAACCTACAGCAATTCCACCCTGGTGTATTCCCTGGAGAAACCCTGACATACTTGCATCAGGACAAATGTGCAAACGTGTTCACAGTAGCTTTGTGATAGTAAAAACTGAGAAACCCCATGCATGCCCCAATGGTAGAATGGAAAAACAAATTTTGTTACATTCATAGGATGGGATGTTATACAGCAGTGAAAATGAATAAACTACAGCTTTATGGGGCCGCGTGCAGTGGCACACACTTGTAATCCCTGTACTTTGGGAGGCCGAGGTGGGCGGATCACGAGGTCAAGAGATCAAGACCATCCTGGCCAACATGGTGAAACCCAGTCTCTACTAAAAATACAAAAAATAGAAGTGTGTGGTGGCATGTGCCTGTAGTCCCAGCTACTCAGGAGGCTGAGGCAGGAGAATCGCTTGAACCTGGGAGGCGGAGGTTGCAGTGAGCCGAGATTGCACCACTGCACTCCAGCCTGGGCGACAGAGTGAGACTCTGTCTCAAACAAAAATGAAAACAAAAACAAAAACAAAAAAACTACAGCTTTATAACTAACATGGAAGATGAAAACGAACACACGTACACTGAAAAAGTAAGTCACAACAAATGCATGCAGTATGATTCCATTTATATAGAGTTCCCCCCAAACAGGTGAAACTAATATATGTATATATATTTTTGTTTGTTTGGGAATAAGTATTTATGGGGAGACACGGCAAAGAAAAATAAGAAAATAGGTAACATAAAAGTCTGAATTGCATTTGGTGGTGGGGTGGCTGTGAGAAGGGAATGCAGTTGTGGTAGATTACACTGGAGTTATACTGCTTATGTTCTTTATCTTAACGCATATGTGTGCACCTGCGTGCATGCTTGCATGCGTGCTGTGTACATGTGTACTTGGGTGTTTATTTTGCATTCTTTTTTTCTTTTTGAGATGGAGTCTCACTCTGTCACCCAGGCTGGTGTGCAGTGGTTCGGTCTCGGCTCTCTGCAACCTCCGCCTCCCAGGTTCAAACAATTCTCCTGTCTCAGCCTCCTGAGTAGCTGGGACTACAGGTGCGTGCCACCACACTTGGCTAATTTTTTATTTTTAGTAGAGATGGGGTTTCACCATGTTGGCCAGGCTGGTCTTGAACTTCTGACCTCAGGTGATCTGCCTGCGTTGGCATCCCAAAGTGCTGGGATTACAGGTATGAGCCACCATGCCCAGCCTATTTTGTATTCTTTACACTGTGCATATATAATATGTACATCATTTCATGGATGATTGTACTTTATAATGTAGGATAGCTTTGCAATGCTTGTTAAAGGCACCTACAAAGATGCTTTGGAGCCTCTGTCCTGTTTCTGCAACAATATTTAACATCAGTTAAGGTTTGGTTCAACAATGTCCCAAAGGTAAACTCATAAATAACACAGATAGCTTTTACTACATGCCTGGCACTGTATTAAGAACTTTACTTACAGGAACTCATTAGATCTTTACAATCTTATAAGTGTGTTGTATTATTATTCCCAATTTACAGACAAGAAAGCTAAGCAACTTGCCTAACATCCCAATTACCCAGTTCATTCCATCAGGCATTTGAGAGTTGGTCAGAACATATCCATATAAAAAGAAACTGAACAGGACAGAGTAAAGGTCCCATCTTTTTTGTTTGTTTGTTTGTTTGTTTTTGAGATGGAGTTTTGCTCTTATTGCCCAGGCTGGAGCGCAATGGCACGATCTCAGCTCACTGCAACCTCCGCCTCCCAGGTTCAAGTGATTCTCCTGCATCAACCTCCAGAGTAGCTGGAATTACAGGCACCTACCACCACACCCAGCTAATTTTTTTGTATTTTTAGTAGAGATGGGGTTTCACCATATTGGCCAGGCTGGTCTCGAACTCCTGATTTCAGGTGATCTACCCACCTCAGCCTCCCAAAGTGCTGGGATTACAGGTGTGAGTCACTGTGCCCAGCCTAGGTCCCATCTTTTAATGTTCTAACACAGAGGAGGTGGAGTTCCCAGAAGATTCGGACACAGAGGCTTCACAGAAGAGATGGGGCTAGTACTGCGTTAACAGAGATAGCAGGATTCAAAACAAGGAATCCGTTGGGGAAGATATACCAGGCAGGGAGGATGACAAGCAAAGTCCAGAAGTAAAAGGTTCAGGCCTGCTGAGGACCTAAGGCCACTGGGCCAGTCTGGCTGGAGTGAAGGGAGCAAGAAGGGATGTTCTAGATGGTCCACTGGAAAAGCAGATGCATCTGAATTGGACCATCTAGAACCAGCTGGACGCAACATAGGCCACATACTCTTAGGGAATCCCCAAGATTATCCTGGGATGACCTTTCAAGTACCCCTGTTTGGAACAGGAATTAACATTGTGCTGGTGATGTATGACCATGGTTGGCAGAGCCACTTTTTCTCAAGTCATGTTTTGTGTCGTTCAGAAACATCTGGCTTAGGCAAAAAATGAGGTTCCAAAAGTTTGTTTGTAATGCTTCCCTTTCCTTCTGCTTTCCCTTGGGAATTCCTCAACTTGTATTCTCTTCCTGTTCTTTCTTCCTTCTTTCTCTTGCCATTTAAGATAAAAATTCCATGAAAACTTTAGGAAAATTTTAACATATTTGAAATATTTGCACACAGCATAATTTTGTTTCTCTCCCTCCTCTTTCTTTGTTTTTTGCTCCTCTTTCTAGAACTTTGTACTTACCTCCTTCTGTATATATGTGTGTGTGTGTGTGTGTGTGTGTGTGTGTGTGTGTGTGTAACCAACCGCCTAATGGGTTCACCTTTCTTGCTGCCTAGACAGAACTGATTTATCAAGACAGGGGAACTGCAATGGAGAAAGAGTAATTCACGCAGAGCCGGCTGTGCAGGAGACGGAATATTCATCATTACTCAACTCAGTCTCCCCGAACATTTGGGGATCAGAGTTTTTAAAGATAGTTTGGCGGGTAGGGGCTTGGGAAGTGGGGAGAGCTGACTGGTCAGGTTGGAGATGGAATCTTCATGGGTCGGAGTTAGGTTTTCTTAATGTCTTCTGTTCCTGAGTGCATTGGTACAACTGGGTTGGACCAGATTACAGGTCTGGGTGGGGTTAGCTGATCCATTGAGTGCAGGGTCTACAAAATGTCTCAAGCACTGATCTTAGGTTTTACAATAATGATGTTACCCCCAGGAGCAATTTGGGGAGGTTCGGACTCTTGAAGCCAGAAGCCGCATGACCCTGAAACTGTAATTTCTCATCTTGTAGCTAATTTGTTAGTCCTGCAAAGGCAAACTGGTCCCCAGGCAAGAAGGGGGTCTTTTTGGGAAAGGGCTGTTATCAATTTTGTTTCAGAGTCAAACCATGAACTGAATTCCTTCCCAAAGTCAGTTCGGCCTATGCCCAGGAATGAACAAGGACAGCTTAAGGGTTAGAAGCAAAATAGAGTTGGTTAAGTTAGATTTATTTCACTGTCATAATTTCCTCAGTTATAATTTTGCAAAGGTGGTTTCGTGTGTGTGGGGGGGCGGGGGGAGAGAGTAACCAATACTCCAATTTTTCTAAGAGGAGAATGCATTACTATTTTTTAATTATTTTTCTTCTCTTTTCTCCATTTCTCCCTATTCCCCACTTCCTACTTAGCCCCTTCAATTATAACCTTTTACCTCCCCTTCACCAGACACTCCCTACAGGGCAAGTTTATCCAACTATGGGCTTAGAAGCTCCAGAGCAGAACTCTCCCCCACCAGGGGACTGCTTTGAGAGATAACACTCAATTTACAATCCAAAGTATGCCTGCTGTGAAACTCTGTCTCACCTGGAGAGCTTTTGGCCACATTTACAACCTATTTCTGCCCATGAAGACACCAGCTCCAATGCCCGGTAGATAAGGCACCAAAGTGCGTATGTGAACCCCTAACTAGTCACTTCTGCCCCTGCAAACCCCCCTGCCCTTTAAAGCACCTGCTTTCTGCTCCAAAAGTGAAGCAGTATCCTTAAGGTGGGAAGCCTGTACTGTACTCCTTCCCGTAAGCTAGGTTTAGAATAAAAAGTCACTTTAATTATACCAAACCACACTCTTGTTAACTGGACTCTGCAAGCAGTGGGCCACTGAACCTGTGTTTCGGCTACGAGAGAGAGGAGGGAGAATGTAGGGAAATAAACAAGAAGTGAAGAAGAAATAAATATTTGGAAGATATATTTATTTTTATGTTATACTAAAATGCATTTTTTTAGTGTGTGTTTTATTTTTAATTTGGTGACTAGGTATTCCATTTCTGTGGGGTTACTAACTTTCTTGGTTGTTTTCCTAGAACTCTTTTTCTAAGGCACAGATAAGTTCTCTTAGTTTAGAAACCTGGAATGAAAGGCAAGAGATGACGAGTGGAAAGGGATAGGGTTGCCTTTTCTGGGCTCTGGCTTGGAGGGTAGGACAGGGCCCCCTCATTCACAGACCTGCTCTTCCTAGCCCAGGACTCAGGATTTCCTCTGGAGTACATATCAGAGCCCTCCTCTTCCATTCCAGGGTGTCTCCTGGGCTTCCTCTTAACCACAAAAGTGGTGACACAGTGCAAGTATGCAGTGCAAGTGCTTTGTAGCAGTTAGGGGTCTGGGTTTGAATCTCTGTTCCATTACTTTCTAGATGAGCAAACAAACCTGAGTTTCAATTTCTTCATCTAGAAAATGGGGTGATGATAAAGAATACTTCCTTATGGGTTGGTATGAGGCTTAGCTAAGACATGTAAACCTGCATACGAGTGTGTGTCAGTGATTTTCGTCGTTATTGCTACCCTGTGATCAAGCCCAAGCTTCTCCAACCTCCACGTGCATACAAATCACCTGTGAGTCTTTTTAAGACACAGATTCGGACTCATTAGGTCTGGGGCAGGGCTTGAGAGTCTGCATTTCTGACAAGTTCTCAGGTGTTACATACCTCTTGGTATGAGGTCACGGGCCGCATTTGGAAGGATCCAGCCATTTCCTCCTACTCTTCAGTGTTCCCACACTAACTCACTTTTTGCTGCTCAGCTGGCTCTCTTCCTGCTGTCCTTCCTTCCCTCTCCTCAGTTCCCACCTGAGCCTATCAAAATCTCATTCGATCTTCAGAACCAAAGTCTAAGATGATTTTTCAATTTTTCCGAGAACCTCCTTGCACATTAGAATCACCTGAGGGGGCGGGGCACAGTGGCTCAGGCCTGTAATCCCAGCACTACGGGAGACCAAGGCAGGTGGATCACTTGAGGTCAGGAGTTGAGACCAGCCTGGCCAACATGGTGAAACCCTGTCTCTACTAAGAATACAAAAATTAGCCGGGTGTGGTGGCGGGTGCCTGTAATCCCAGCTACTTGGCAGGCTGAGGGAGGAGAGTTGCTTGAACCTGCTTGGTGGAGGCTGCAGTGAGCTGAGATCGCACCACTGCACTTCAGCCTGGGCAACAGAGTGAGACTCCATCTCGAAAAAAAAAATCACCTGGGGGAACTCTTAAAAACCCTAATGCCCAGGCTACACCCCAGACGTGTTGAATCAAAACCCCAGTCATCAGTATTTTTGCAAGTTTCCCAGATGATTTTCCTTGTAGAGTCCAGGGTGAGAACCATTGCCCTAAAGCCTCAGCTAAGCTGCTCTTGATCTCCCCAGATACAATGCATCAACTTGCCAAGACACTGCTCTTACGACATTTGGCATCATGCTGCTTTATTTAGTGGCATGGGCCCTTGTCTTTTTATACCTAAGAAACCAGAAGTTCCTTGAAAGTGGAGACTGTCTTAATAATATTTAAAGCTCAGGAAATGTTTAAGAGAGTATTTTGAACTTAGTCGATTTCAAAAAAAAAAATATTTGTTGAATTAAGTTGTATAGTCATATGGGTTTTAAGCATTGTGGGAAGGAATGTAATACTATTATTGATAAATATTTTTGAAGTTATTTACTTGTTTCCATGTTATTTTAATTTAATCAATAATAATTTTAGCTATAAATATTATCAAGAAAATGCTTACATGTCTGGGATCATGTACAATTATAAAAATAATTTCTAATATAAAATATTCATTCTATAACTATGAGATACTATAGAAGCATTGTATGTCTCAATGCATTGAAAGCAAATTCTCCTATGTTATAAACATATCACAATGTTTGTACCTTGCAGAGATTGGCAATCTGGAACAATATATTATTATTGATCTTTATCAAAAGTTAATTTATTTTATTTGATAGAATATCGTATATACACTATTTCATATACAACCTAATATTTTGAAATATGTGTACATAATAGGGTAGCCAAAATGAGCTGAATAACATATGCATAACCTCACATAACCTCATAACATTTTTTGTAGTCTCTATTTTTAATATACAGATAAGATTATTTTAAACTATGAAATAAAAGAATATATCAGCTCTTGGGATTTCAAGATTGCATATAGAAGTATGCTAATTTTTTTGTAAAGTAACCACATTTACATTTCTCTCTAAATAAACTTCTGCTCCTTATTTGCAATATAATCAAATGTTGCCATAATTTTCACTTACCCATTGTAAAAGATGAACGGAAAAGACATACGAATCCTGTTTTCCATCACCGCTGTTGCACCTGCACACAACTTCATGTATTATGTATGTGCCCACGCATATGACCAGTCATTAGTCATGTACATTGGAAACATTAAACATTTGGAAGATTGTGATTATGTGTGTACACATATTCACAAACACACTTGACATTACAGGTTTTGTTCTGAGGATCCAGATACACAGTAAAGGAATATTTTAGGTTTCCCTGACTAAATATGGAAGCTACGCATGAACGGCTTAAGAGCTAAAGTGTGGCTGAGGCAAATCTGGGGATAGAATTTGAAAATCCCTGGCTACTTGGTACTTGTGTCCAGCTAGGCAATTGTTGGCTAATAGGATTAAGCTAAGACAGAGGCATTCAGAAGGAAAATGCCAACAAGGAATTCTGTTAGCCTGTCTTTAGAATCCCAGACAATCTGTCCTGCTTCAGCCATCATTTGCACGGGTCCCTTCGTATATGGTGGAGTCTAACCCTGAGCATCATCAGAAAGTTTAAGCAATGTTTGTGAGAGTCACTGGCAGAACTATAGTAAAGGATAAGTGTGAAGCCTAAAAAGAGAAGAAAAAATAGTGAGAACATAAGATAGAGAAAGAGAAAAAAATAGAAGGAAATGAAGAAAAGAGCAATAGAAGCAGTACCAGGTGGCAGCTAAAAGTAGCAGCTTAGATTTATTGAATGCTCATGTGACAGACATTGTTCTAAGTACATTATTTCTAATAACTTATTTAATCCTTATTGCATATTACAAATGAGAAAATTGAGGCACAGAAAGACTAGGTAATTTTCTTAAAGTCACCCGGCTAGTAAATGGTGGATCTTGGATTCTTGGAGTTGAATCCAGGTAATTTAGGTCTACTACGAATTATTAAGATGCCACTTAATATTAGTGCTGTTCATTTAATGTCAGCACCATACTATAAAGGTTCTTACCATTTTTTCCACTTCTGCATCCTCAGGTTCTATCTAGGCTGAATGTTAGTCAATGAATATTTATTAAGCCCTGGTACTGGTCTGGGAGCTGGGAATCCAGCAATTGACATTAGACAAAATTCTCATGCTTAAGAGGCTTATATTTTAGGGGAATGGGCTTGATATGTGGCAAATATTTTTGGAATATTATTGCTGAAAATAAAACTAGGAGATAATAAATGACTTTGCTACTGTAGTGTATATATATACACACATATATGTATATATACACATATATACACACATATATGTATATATACACATATATACACACATATATGTATATATACACATATATACACACATATATGTATATATACACATATATACACACATATATGTATATATACACATATATACACACATATATGTATATATACACATATATACACACATATATGTATATATACACATATATACACACATATATGTATATATACACATATATACACACATATATGTATATATACACATATATACACACATATATGTATATATACACATATACACACATATGTATACACATATATACACACATATATGTATGTATACACATATACACACATATATGTATGTATACACATATATGTATGTATACACATATATACACATATATGTATGTATACACATATATGTATATATACACATATATACACATATATGTATGTATACACATATATGTATATATACACATATATACACATATATGTATATATACACATATATACACATATATGTATATATACATATATGTATATATACACATATATACACATATATGTGTGTATATACACATATATGTATATATACACACATATACACATATATACACATATATGTATATATACACATATATACACATATATGTATATATACACATATATACACATATATGTATATATACACATATATACACATATATACACATATATGTATATATACACATATATACACATATATGTATATATACACATATATACACATATATGTATATATACACATATATACACATATGTATATATACACATATATACACATATATGTATATATACACATATATACACATATATACACATATATGTATATATACACATATATACACATATATACACATATGTATATATACACATATATGTATATATACACATATGTATATATACACATAGATACACATATATGTATATATACACATATTATATATATACACATGTGTATATATATGTGATATATATATATATATATATATATATTTTTTTTTTTTAGAGACGGATTCTCGCACTTTCTCCCAGGCCGGACTGCAGTGGCGCTATCTCGGCTCACTGCAAGCTCTGCCTCCCGGGTTCACACCATTCTCCTGCCTCAGCCTCCCGAGTAGCTGGGACTACAGGTGCCCGCCACCGCGCCCGGCTAATTTTTTGTAGAGACGGGGTTTCACCGTGTTAGCCAAGATGGTCTCGATCTCCTGACCTAGTGATCCGCCCGCCTCGGCCTCCCAAAGTGCTGGGATTACAGGAGAGAGCCACCGCGCCCGGCTAGTATTAATATATTTTAAAAAAATACCCGCATACCAGCATTATCAGTTCACTCCAGTTAGTAAACTTTGGATACTAAAATAAGACAGGCATGATTATTTAGGGCTTCAAGAAACACCTATAGTTGGAAATGGTAACATTTGTTAGGAAGAACAATGAAACATGAAAAAAGGCATGGGGACAGCCACAAGGAAAATACAGACAAGTGTAAATTACATAGCTCTCCGAATACAGGTGAATTGCATACCACAGGCAAGCTAGAACTGGTGTGCTCTAATATTGACACCCTACAATGTTACAACACATTCAAAACATCAAGTTCTAATGAACCCGTACTTAATAGTATAAAATAGCAAGAATATATTCTGGAAGGGAATTCTGCACCTGGATTTTTGTGTTGCTAACCAATCGTGAAATCAAACTGCTAAACAGGGCTTAGTGTACTGGAAAATCATTTGAAGTCCTTTTACCAGCATTCAGGTTAATGGTTAAAGGTTGGTATTTAAAGTGTGCTATAGTTTCCATTTAATACTTTAGTTAATAATACATCATTCCATGGTGTTTGAAAAATACATCAAAACAAGTAATGGCAAACTAGACCAGTGCTTCATTTGGGATCAGGAGGTGCTTAGAAAAAAATTAATCTGGCTATCCATTTCCAATAGACAAGAGTAATTAATTTCAATAGGAGAAACACATACAGTTGCAATGCTTGAGTCCCATAGATGGTTTTAAATCTCTCGTTCCATTCAGAATCCTTTCTGTTTTACAGTTGAAAAGGATTTGGTAGTTTCTGATTGGTGTCTATAGTGACATCAGGTATTTCTCAGTTTTTAGAATGAACTACTTGTTTCTCTAAACACACGACCCCACACCTTGGATTTCACAGTCTATTGAAATAAGGTCAACTGGAAACGGATACATTGCTACTATTCTTCTAACGTCAACTGGAAACGGATACAGTGCTACTATTCTTCTTTCTGCGTCTTCAGACCTTAACAAAAACCTTTGACTGAGACGACAGTGGCAAATACAATGTAAGCCTGGGATGTGACAAATTTGCCTTTTCTACCCAACATGTGTTGGGCTTTTGCATTTTGCTTTTTGATTCCACCTAACTATGTCAACTCCTATTAAACTACTGTTAACATTTTAACAACAGAGGAATTTTTTTTTCCTCCTTAGTGGAAAAGTTTCAAAACTATTCATGAACTTGTAAATAAGACCGTTTTTCTCACAGAAAATCTCCTCTTGCTTTTTACACAGATGCTAAGTAAATACTGTCCAGCTTTTACTATCTTGATTCTTTCTTCTTGAGCTGATTAGCTGTAAAAAGAGAGTCATTAAGGTAACATAACCTAATAAGAATAAATGTATTTGTTAACACAAAACTTTTTAAAGATACTTAAGGCATGTCATTATTACATTAAAATTAAATGTGAATAATATAATTTCTAATCTAAACTTAATTTAAGAAGAACACTTCTTCCCATGTTCTTGAATGTTTAAACATTTTCATAATAACATTTTGGAATAAATGCAAAGCAAAACCAAACAAAACATAAGCAGAGAGTTGAGGAGATCTGACATTTGTAATTGAACATTTCATTGTAATTGAACATGTAATTGTTCAATTGTAATTGTACATGCAATTGAACATGTAAATGAAGCCATAAACTTTAATGTAAATTAACATCATGTTACTTATGACAGAAACAAGTTTACAAGTACAAATCACAGAGAACTAAGATGCTTGCTTTTGGAGTCTGTGCATAAGTTTCTAGAATTTGCAATTGAGACCCAAAACATTTTAGCCCTGCTTGTACTGCTGAAGAGTCAGCTATGAATGGCTTTGTGAGTCTGAGCAGATTTTTGAGTCCTGCCTCCAATGCACACTAGAAACATGCACCAGCGCCTTCCTTGTTTTCTAAAATAGGGCAACTATTACATCTATATGCATTCTTTAGGCATCGACTATGTGCTATGGCTGTACTTGGGACAATGGAAAATTTGTGTGGGCTGGCCTTATGCAGAACAGAAGTGAGATGAGAGCCAATAATTGAACAATCAAGAGTTGAAACTCTGTGTAGAACCAGCATGACGTGGGATGATGGGGAAGAGTGTGGTGCTTTGGGTTGCTGGCACCCAGGAAAAACTTTGTGAATACAGTGGATGTTCAAGAATGTTCTAATGGAAAATCAGTGTAGATTAAAGGAAAAAAGTCCCTTCTTCGAATTGTATCTACACATACACACTATGTAAAGATACAAACTTCGTTCCTGTTCTTTTCCATCTACATCGAGATCACAAAAAGAAATATCATAAGATGGTGGGGTGACAGTCAGGCTCTGCTAGCATTCAGCTGTGCACCTGGGAAAAGCTTCAGTCTTTCTGGTCTTCAGTTTTCTTAGATTGGACAAAGCTATCTCTATGTTTTTTCCTACTTCTAGCTTTCTGTGATTAGGTCAAACCATACATGTCTACAGAATGTGGTACCTTCTAGACTGTGAGTAAACATGCAATATAATTTATGAGTTAACATATATAAAGATAAGCTCTTGCTGCAGCCTTCCTATTAACATTGGGAGGCACGATCCATCCTTCGGACTAGTTTTTTGTTTGTTTGTTTGTTTTTACATTTTTATATGCACAAGAACTATGCATGTTAAAAGCACAAACCCTTCTGAACTTGCCCTTCTCCCAACAACCTGTCTTCATTCTGATTCACTGAATTGGGGCTGGGGCCACAGATATGAATGTTTAGTCTGGGCTGGGCCCAAGAATCTCAATATTTAAGATCTTAGGTGATTCCGATGCCTGTGGGTTATGGACGACAATGCAGAAACACTAAAGTAAGGGATTAATCCTGACCTTGGGTCATTTCTCAAGCTGAAGACTTTCAGGGACTTTAGGAAAATTTCAAATCAATCTCTTTGGAATGCTTCAGATTAGAGACAAATCCCTTAGGTCTGTTTGATCCAGTCTTAGTTGCAGACTGAATGAGCCGAAGTGAACTACAACAGGGCATTGATTACCTGGTTATATTTAAATCTCTAAAATACTTATTTTCTAGGATGATAGTATGCCAGGGGCAAGAATTTTCAGAGGTAAAGATTGCCAAGTAGTATCAGAGATAGAAATGACCCAATCCTGGGGGAGGAATGGGGGTGAAATAGACAAGGAAATTCATGACTAACTCTGCTATAAAACTACTGAGGTTGCAATTACACAGGTAAATCCTCCGGAAGAAAGTGGAATTTTTCTTGTGATAAACATCTCACTCAAAGGCCCCTTGCCATGCTTACCAACCTTGACTTACTGGTAATATGTTCCTCTGAGCCTAACCTGAATTTTTTCATTCCTCAATTCAGTTTGCTCCTAATCTGTCCTTAGGAGTGAGAACAGCTGTTACTCTGCACTGGAAAATAAGTCCCACGTCCCTTGCCCTAATTCCTGTGACTCCGCAGGGCCATCTCAGTTGCTGCCATTTCTAATTCATTCACCTCCCTTTCCAGCCATCCTTCACTTCATCCTGCCTCTAAAAGGATCTTCTTAAGTACAAATCTCTGTTGATTCCCTGCTAAAAACCCTATACTGCTTCCCCATTGCCTTCAATACAAAATCAAAATGATTTTTAATGGTCAAAATTTAAATAAATAAAAGAGGATTTTTCATAAATATGGAATATCTTTTCCTTTTCTACAGGCTCTTCTCTCTCAACTTGTTAAAACTTACCTCACTGTAACAGATAGACAATTGGCTTTGAAACTTTTAAAACCTACCACCATGATGGGAATTCCTTGAGGTCAGGGAATTTTTTTCCCATTCATTTTCATTTCTCCAGTAGTAGTACATGGTGTGGAGTGTTTGTTAGATGAATACATTTTTAAAAAAAGACTGGATGAATAAAGAAATTATTTAATGTGATTGTCTAAAAACGTGTCTAACCATGCTTCATTTGAAGTGATAACATAAGGTATTTATAACAATATATTCAACTTAATTTTGTTCATTTGACACACAGCTTTACTGACAGAATGGTTTATGTTCTTCATAAATGATATACTATATTTGAATTTTTAAATAAGTATTGCTACAATTTGGAAAATCGGCATTTGAGGTTAAGAACCTGGTTCTAATCAGACTCTGATGGCCATTCACAAATCCAAGCTTGATTAAATCCTGATACAGAAACAAATATCTTGGCTCCAGTCTTTGGTTTCAATGGCACGAGTGGTTACAATCAGGAAGTTAGCTGCCTCCACTATCACTTACAGAAGATGACCCACATAGATAGCTGAGAACTGAATTAAATCTATTCCAACCAAGAGAAAAATGCAACAGTCCTTAGAGCAACAAGCTGGCAAGCGGGGCCTCTCTAAGAGGGAAGAGTCAAACAGTGGCCACTTCCAAGGGATTTGGCATTTTGACTGTTCTTCACCTCTGCATAAACACGATTTCCACAACTTACAGAGAAGGCAGGAGAAGCAATATATTGGAGGGGTCACCCCAGAGTTCTAGAGAGAGACTGCCAGGCTGACTTCCCAGTTCTACCACTCACCAACCTTGAGACACACCTTACACATTACTTCTCCTCTCTGCCATTTCCTTGTCAGTGAAATGAGATAATTGTTGTAACCTACCTCATGGAGGTGTGGGGGAACCCTCACCACCATGCCTGGCACAGAACAGTGGGCTCAGAGAGTATTGACTACTCTGCTTATCCTCTTGTTTCCATTTCCACTTTTCCAAGATAGGTGTGTATGTGTTGTGAGAAATGACTGGAAGTTTTCCCAAATGCTTTCTGGTAACCTTAGGGATAAGATTATGTCTTTCTCTTTTGACATAAACATGGTCAATTCTATAAATACAAGTGTTAAACAACTTTGCATTTCTGGAATAATACTACTTGGTCTTGGTGATTTTTTTTTAAGTATACAGTTATGTGTTACTTAAAATGAGGATATGTTCTGAGAAATGTGTCATCAGACAATTTTGTCATTGTGCAAACATCATAGAGTGTACTTATACAAACCTAGATGTATAGCCTACTGTATTAGTCTGTTTTCAGGCTGCTGATAAGGACATACTCGATGGTACACACCTGTAATCCCAGCTATTTAGGATGCTGAGGCAGGAGAATTGCTTAAACCCAGGGAGGTGGAGGTTGCAGCGAGCTGAGATTGTGCCACGGCACTCCAACCTGGGCGACAGAGCGAGACTCCATCTCAAAAAAACAAACAAACAAAACAAAACAAAACAAAAAAACCGTACCCAAAACTGGGTAATTTATAAAGAAAAAGAGGTTTAATTTTAATGGACCAACAGTTCCAGGTGGCTGGGGAGGCCTCACAATCATGGCGGAAGGCGAAAGGCACATCTTACATGGCAGCAGGCAAAAGAAAGCTTGTGTAGGGAAACTCCCCTTTCTAAAACCATCAGATCTCATGAGACTCACTCACTACCATGAGAACACCATGATAAATACCTACCCCCCATGATTCAATCGCCTCCCACTGGGTCCCTCTCACAACGTGTGGGAATTATGGGAGGAGCTACACAATTCAAGATGAGATTTGGGTGGGGACACATCCAAACCACATGACCTACTACTATACGCTTAGGCTATATAGTATACCTGCAGTCTGAAACAAACACATAAATAGATAACTGTGTTTTACATATTACCTACAACCATATGTAGGTTTATTGGTTCAGATCAAAAGTACATAACAGATGTGATTCCTAGGCTATAAACCTGTATATTGTAGGCAATTATAACGCAATCGTGTTTGTATATCTAAACATAGAAAATATACGGTAAAAATGCAATATAAAAGATAAAAACGGCCAGGCGCAGTGGCTTACGCCTGTAATCCCAGCACTTTGGGAGGCTGAGGCGGGCGGATCACGAGGTCAGGAGATCGAGACCATCCTGGCTATCACGGTGAAACCCTGTCTCTACTAAAAATACAAAAAATTAGCCAGGCATGGTGGCCGGTGCCTGTAGTCCCAGCTACTCGGGAGGCTGAGGCAGGAGAATCACTTGAACCTGGGAGGCGGAGCTTGCAGTGAGCCGAGATCATACCACTGCACTCCAGCCTGGGCGACAGAGCAAGACTCTGTCTAAAAAAAAAAAAAAGATAAAAACATAGTACACCTATATAGGGCATTTTCCATGAATGAAGCTTGCAGGACTGGAAGTTGCTATGGGTGAGTCAGTGAGTGAGTGGTGAGTGAATGTGAAGGCCCAGGACACTATCGTACACTCCTGTAGACTTTATATACACTGTACATTTAGGCTACCCTACATTTATAAAAACTAATTTTCTCCCTTCAATAATAAATTAACCTGAGCCCACTATAACTTTTTTACTTTATAAATTTTAATTTTTAAAACGTCTTGATTCCTCTGTAATAACAGCCTAAACCACAAACACATGGTACAGCTAGCTGTACAGAAATATTTTCTTTCTCTTTATCCTTATTCTATAAGCTTTTTTCTATTTTTAAATTGTTTATTTATTTATTGTTTAACTTTTTAAGCTTTTTTTGTTAAGAATACAGACACAAACACACACATTAGCCTAGGCCTATACACGGTCGGGATCATCAATACTACTGTCTTCCATCTCCACCTCTTGTTGCATTGGAAGGTCTTTAGGGCAATAATTCATGGAGCTGTCATCTCCTATGATAAAAATGTCTTCTTCTGGATATCTCCTGAAGGACCTGCCTGAGGCTGTTCTACAGCATACACACACACATACACACACACACACACACACACACACACATATATATATATATGTGGCATAGACTCTAAAATAATAATAAAAAGTATATTATGGTAAACAAACTAGTAAAATATTTATCGTCATTATCAAGTATTATGTATCGTACATAACTGCACGTGCTAGACTTTTATACAACTGGCAGTGCAGTAGCTTTGTTTACACTAGCATTACCATAAACAGGAGTAATGCATTGCACTGTGGCATTGGGACTGCTATACATCACTAGTCTATAGGAGTTTTCAGCTTCATTATAATCTTATGGGCCACCATTGTACATGTGGGGTGTGTCTTTGTTTGAAACATCATTGTTATTCAATGCATGATTATACTGAGTTTTTATTTTATTATGTTATTTTGCTAATTTTCTTTCAAGATTTTTTTTTCAGGATTTGGGATTATGGGATTTTACGTGATTTGGGATTATGATTTTATTTTTCTGCCTAATGTTGCTCAAGTTCAAAATCTATTTATAAAGATTTGTAAAATAACAAAAATGGAAACAAAATGTTAGGACCCCATCATTTTTCTCTATGCACCGAACTGTTGAATAGCCTAACAGTCATTTCTGGACATAATGAAAAAAATTCACTTATAACAATTTTAGGGTAGGAATTTCCTCAAAGGGTAATTAATAGAAAATTTTCTTTTTTCCCCAAGATTATTGGTTTATTTAGATTATCTATCTCTTAATTTTGGTAATATATACTCTAACAGGAAATCATTTAAGTTCATTCATGTTTTCAAATTCATTAGCATGGCAGGTGCAAATTATTTTTACTTTTGCCTGTATGTGTCTCTTCTATATTCTCATTTTGTGTATCAGTGGTGTTTCTATTTTTCTTTGATTAGAAGAGCTAGTATTTTTCTATTTTCAAGTATTTTCCAAACATTTAGCCACAATATTTATGAATTTACAGCATTTCTACTTTCTTTTGTATTCACTTCTTTTTACGTTTTTGCTTAATTTCCCCCTTTAATTTTTTATATTTGAATTTAAGAAAATTTTTTGAGTTGATTGCATACTGCATTTATCTTCTTTATTTTATTAAGAATGTGCTCACAGCAATGCCAGATAACTTTCACTCCTCCTTCCAGGCCTGCTCCTTGTCTTAAGGGGCTGACCATGAGGACCACAGAAAGGGGCTCCCACAAGGGGGTCCTGAGCTTTCAGGCTTCTGGCAAAAGATCAGAGAGAGGGAAGGAGCAGAGCGAGGTCAGGGCCTCTACTTTCCTGGCTCCCTCCCTGCAGGGCTACCTTGAGCACCTGGTCCCTCCCTCACAGCCCCTCACCCCTCAGCCCTCATTGATTGTGGCCAACTCAATACCACTCTCTTTCTTAGATCCAGGAAAGGGAGCAGTGGTGGAAATAACTTGTCTGTTGAACTATCTCAGACGGTTTACCTGAACCTCACCTTTGTAAACAGTGTCTCTATAAATAAACTTCTCAAATTATCCAATTGTGAGTGTGTCGTGGGTTTCTTATTGGGATGCTGATGATATAACAGGTATGCATTTTCTTCAGAAGACTCTTTGGAACATAACCCATAGGACTCTTCCTTCCTTCCTTCCTTCTTTCCTCCCTCCCTCTCTCCTTACTTCCCTTCTCCTTCTCCTCTCCTTCTCTTTCTCTCCCCTTCCTTCCTTCTTCTCTCCTTCCTTCCCTTCTCTTTCTCCTCTCCTTCTCCTTCTCTCCCCTTCCTTCCTTCCTTCCTTCCTCCCTCCCTCTCTCCTTATTTCCCTTCTCCTTCTCCTCTCCTTCTCTCCCCTTCCTTCCTTCCTTCCTCCCTCCCTCTCTCCTTATTTCCCTTCTCCTTCTCCTCTCCTTCTCTCCCCTTCCTTCCTTCCTTTCCTTCCCTCCCTCCCTCCCCTTCCTTCCTTCCTTCCTTCCTTCCTTCCTTCCTTCCTTCCTTCCTTCCTTCCCTCCCTCCCTCCCTCCTTCCTTCTTTCTTTCTTTTTTCTTCTTTTGCCTCACTCTGTCACCAGGCTGGAGTGCACTGGTGCAATCTCGGCTCACTGCAACTTCAGTCTCCCTGGTTCAAGAGATTCTCCTGCCTCAACCTCCCAAGTAGCTGGGATTACAGGCATGCACAACCACGCCTGGCTAATTTTTGTATTTTTAGTAGAGATGGGGTTTCATCATGTTGGCCAGGATGGTCTCCAACTCCTGACCTTGTGATCCGCCCACCTCGGCCTCCCCAAGTGCTAGGATTACAGGCGTGAGCCGCCGTGCCCAGCCAGGATTTTATTTCTAATCTTTGCATCATGAATATTTATTTAAACATCCTGCCATTGTGATCTTGAGTCCTTCCTTAAACTAAGAGTTATTTAGGAAAAAGATTTAAAATGCATAGGTAGGCCTTTTGCTGTCGTTGTTTTAAATTTTATTGCATTGTAAACAGATTTTGATTCTTCATCCAGTTCCATAAGTTTATCTAATTTGTAGAATTCCTTCATTGTTTCTTTGTGGTCAAATTATGGTCCATTTTTATAAATATTCTATGAGCACTGGGAATGAAGATGTATCCTTGTAGGGAGGAGATGCACTTAGTCCTATCAGGTGAAACTTTTTAATTGCATTATTCAGTTTCTCTAAACTAGTGCATCTCAAAGCATGGGTCTCAGTTTCTTACCTATGACAAGGTAAATATAGAAATTGAAAGTAAGCATTTAGAAAGCTTAGAGTGATTTGATAGAGTGATTTTATGCTGATTAAAATATTTGGGCTTATATTTTATATCTTTTAATTTCATTTTCTTTTAATTTTTTATTCTTATATTTTAAGAAAGTATTGGCTCACAATATAATGGAAATGTAAAAACAAAACAAAATTTTCTTCACTATAGAAAGTTTGAGAAACACTGTTCCAAACTCTTATTTGGGTTGACTCGATTCGTCAAGGATTGTTCATTCATGATTCACACTCACTCCCCAGGGGACAATGAAACCTCTCTCCCTGCCCTCCAGGACACCCCTAACCTTCTCCCCACCCTTCACTACAACAACTACCACAAACACACACTGAGCAAAGTCCCAAGGGACACTTGCAGAGATTGAGGACTTGGGGCACATGAGACCGTCAAGTGATCTCCATACAACCACCATTGTGGTGGGGTTTGAAGACTTTCAAAGCCCCAATACCAAGGGTGGGACAGGGGTTCACATTTATGTATACAGCATCATTTGATTCCACAATTAGCTGAGATGAAAAGAGGGTAGAGATGAAAAGGTTGGTTTTCATCCTGCCCTGGTCAGGGTCTGAGGAAAATGAAATGAGCAAGTCAAATATGATAGTGTGTGCTAAACCACATCTAACATTTCAAAGCATTATGTGCACATGAAGAAATTAAATATTTAATAAAATGGTAGGGGAGAAAGACAACAACCAGACACAAACTTAGCCTTCTTCACAATTCTATAACTAGGTTTAGACAAGCTGTTCAAGACAAAATTGATAGTCAGAACCTGGAGTAATAATTGTTTGGGATTAATTTACCATCTGTTTTTCAATGACGTTTTGCAACTGGATGGTATAATTACCGTTTATACTCTGTGTCAAAAGCAAAGAGAGATAAAAATGAATACTTGAGCACAGAGAGATAAAAATGAATGCTTGAATTTAGAGCAAATTCTTCCTTTTTAAAGATTTGCTTTAGAGATGAAGAAATTCACTGTACACATTCACAGAGAAATTTAAGGAAATATGACTTTCCTTCGATAATTTTTTTCCCTTTCCACAATTCTCAAGTGTCTGTTTTTGATAAGGGCACTGCTGTTGAAGAAATTGCCAAATTTATTCCAAGGTCTTTGTGTTTTGTAAGAGAATCTGTAATATTCTAAGTTCTTCTTATTATTAGCGTTCCAGAAACTAATTATGAAAAAAATCTTTATTTTTAGCCTTCATAATTACAAAAATAAGAAAATGATTTTCATTTAAGGTAACCTGAGATATGCCCAGTAGTTGTAAACACAGTTGTCTTTTATTAGAATAAAGTTTCTTGCAGGCCATAATGTAAAACTTCAGCTACATCTGTCTCCAAGATGAGTTATTTGGCCGACTTTGAAATCTGATCATCCTGATTTGCTGAGTCACTGTAATCTCCCATTGCAGCCCCTTGGCAGGTTCTTTGAATCCTTGATGCGGGGAATGGCCAACAGGGGAGCTCCACAAATGCACCGTGGATGGAGCCATTCAACATTTGTATGTGGCTGGTAAAGAGTGATTTTGTGAACTGCTTTTCAAAACACTTCTTAGCTTTCTTTATTGTTCTTCCTGCCCCCTCACCCACTTAAATTTTTTGTTTTTGCCTAAAGTCTGAATTCAGAAAATAGGTCTTTTGTATATGCCAACAGTCTTAAACTTTTGCGTCCTTTACAAAAAAAAAATCCATTTCTGGGAATGTGTACGAGGAATGTACTTCCAAATCAAGCAGAGTGTCATTGGCATGATCATAGCAGTATTACTTATAATAATAAAAATTTTGTTATTCCCCAAGTATCCAAAAAGAGCAAAGTGGTTGAGAAAATTTAAATGTCAAAAATTGTTTCCATGGCCATATACGTATTATTTATGTAGTCTATTTTTAAGAGAAAAAAGACATAAAATTTCATATATAATAACCTTTGCATCTATTTTTTAAAAAATTCTATACATAATAGAAGTGCTAGAAGAAGATGCTAAAAACATTAATGATATTGTCCTTAAGTAGTAAACTATGATTTGCTTTTTTCCTTTTAACTTTTCAGAATTTTGCACATTTTCATTAGTTATGACATATTACTGTTACCCAGTCTGGAGTGCAGTGGCATGGTCTTGGCTCACTGAAACCTTCACCTCTTGGTGTCAAGCGATCCTCCCACATCAGCCTTCTGAGTAGCTGGGACTACAGGTGTGTGCCACCAGGCCTGACTAATTTTTTAATTTTTTGTAGAGACGAGGTTTCGCCATGTTGGCCAGGCTGCTCTCAAACTCCTGAGCTCAAGCAATCTGCCTGCCTTGGCCTCCCCAAAGTGCTGGGATTAGAGCCACGATGCCCAGACTACCTATTACTTTTATAATAGAAAATAATTAATACACTTTGTTTTAATTAGTGATACATTTCAACCTCAAAGAATACACAAAGTCCCTCTTCTGTTACATATTTTGATCCGAAATAATAAACTGATATGTATATATTCCTAGATGACATATAAAACATATCTATTTATGTGTTTGCTTCAGACTGTAGAAGTGTTTCCATTTTAGTTCCTCAGGAATGGGTACAGACTGTTGTGAGAAGCATCATGCATGTCCATATTTTAAAAGGGAGTCAGGATCTGCAAGAAATGGAATTCAAGGCATGTTTGCAGAGCCAGCAGAGGAAATATAGTATCATGGAGCAGGCACGCCAAGATGGCAGTAAGGGAGAAGCATCACTCTCTTGAGTTACCTCCAGCTCTTGAGGGACCTGCATGTGCCTTGCATTTAAAATATGACAATTGATCTCAATGTATTCTTGTTTGATGAATTTTTCAACTCATTTATGAATAGTGACTGCAGCTAAGATGCATCAGGGAATGTGCTGAATGCAGGGGATGTTTGCTTTTTTTTCTTTTTTTTTCCACCTGACATTCTTCCTTTCTCTTGGTAGAAGCACATCCATCTACCTAGCCACTGTTATGGCGTTAGAGCATGCAACTCCAAAGTTTTTCTCTGATGATTTCTGGGAAAGGAAACTTCCTGATTTGGGGGGAAGAATTACTGGTAGAAATGGCTTGTCTTCATAGCAGAATAACACAGAGAAGTATATGGCTGAGACCACGAGGGAAAGCAATCTTAGGATGAAGCAGACATCATGTGAAGACAAGGGGTGAAGGAAACCTGGTCTTTGATGATATCTTTGAAATGCTAGGTCCAGCCTCACCTGAAACCTCCATGACTTCTAAATTTTTAAATTATGGAAGCAAATAAATATATGTAAAATGGTTTACTCTATTTTGAATGGAGAGTTTTAGGTTACTTACAATTTCAAGCCTGCAAATTAGAACTCTGGGTTATTTAGGTCTTACTTGATAAAAGAAATGCATACTAATATAGTGAAATGGACAGGCTTTTTACCGATACTAACTTGTAACACGAATGTAGCACAAGTCTCTGGGTGAGCAGTTCTTTGATGCTAAATTTGGGAGGGTGCAGAGTCATCTATCAGTCATCACCACATCACGTTGATTAGACCAAAAAACTCACAGATCTGCTTGCTTCTTTCCACCCTCTTGGTCACTGTGTTCCTTTTGGCCACCTCCTTGTCTCACGGGGATCACCACCACACCTTGCCTCTGCTTCTCTGTGTTCTACCCACCTCCTCTCTTGCTCACCTCTAATCCATTTCCCACACCACAACCAGGGTCTCTTTCCAAAGCACAAATCTCATGATGTTTCTGATCTGCTCAAGATTTTTCTGTGCTCTCCATTCCTCTAAGGATCAAGGTCAAACTCCTTCTTATGACACTACAGGATGGAGCCCTGCCTTTCTCCCCAGCTCCCTTTTCCTTCCTCCCCTGGCCTCTCTCCCTCCAGACACTCACCTTCTCTCTGGTGCTCAAACAGAATCCCAAGCCAACATGGGCTGTTTTCTGTATATGGAAGAGTCTCTCCTCCCATCCTTCCTGGCTAGATTTCAGTCTCAGTGTGGACATCATTTTCTCTGGGAAGGGTTTTCTGACACCCTTCTATATGCTCCTTCGGCAGGCATTCTCTGTCATTGCATCCCTGTCCTATCATGTGACATTACAATTGCCCATTTCTTGGTCCATAACTCTTACTATACTGGAAGCTATGAGGACAGGTCCATCATGCTCAGTCTCATGTCTTCAGCCATAACACAGCACCTAGCACACAGTAAGTGCCTTATAAATATTTGTTGAATGAGTTAATGAATTAGGAAATGATATGGCAAGCCCAACACATAATACCATATACATGTCAGTGAAAAAGTTATATTCCGCTTGCATATATGTGTGTCTAATTCAGAAAGTTATTGATTTGGTAGTGTAGCACATTTAAGTGAAAATGGTTCCAGTTTTAAACAAGTTAAAAACATTTCATTTGGGTTTTGATTCCATGAGCCACAGAACCTGAGCCAGTTTTCTAAGCAAACTGCTGTAACTCTGTTACGTGAGATGGAGTGGGGGAGAAGTGCTTTAAAAATAGCTGACCTGACCGGATATCCCTCTCGGTGGCCTGGGTTATGTAAAAGTATTTTGTGTTAAGCCAATGACTCACAATGGCTCGCTGAGCTTTAAAAAGACTATTTGGGGTCCTTTTTCAGTGTTAAATATCTGCTTATAAACGGATCAGACTAAAACTCTCCTAGAAAAAAGGATACAATGTCCAAATGTTACCACTTTCTAACTCCAGATACTTAAAAAGAATTCTGATATTGATACTAAAAGTGATTTTTTTTTTTACAAAGTCCTTTAACAATGTAGTGAAGAAGCCAGGATTCCTCTAAAGAAGAGTTGCTAGATTTGGGTTTAACATACTTTTCTACTGGAGTAGAACAATCAGAAAATATCTGGAGTTACTAACATTTATTTTAATTTTTTTAAAGGAGTAGTTCGGGGATGTTGTTCTTCTAGCCCTCATAAAAACAAAACAGTGGGGGCTGCTGTTTGTTTGTTATAAACTGTATTCTTGGGTACAGCTGACTGGACCAAAGCAGGCAAGTCTACTGTGCTGTGATATGCCCTGACTCAACAGCTCTATCGAGACAAACATGAAGTGATCAGCTGGACCAATCTTATTCCCTCTGGAGATATGGGGCATTAGATGCTTGGTAGTGGGAATGGAAGCTGAGATAAACAGAGAGAAGGTAGAAGGCAGACACTCTGGAAGGAGAAGACATGAATGAATAGAAACCATGATGTGGAAGCTGAGTAGGCAGAAACCATGAGCTAGGACATACATGCGTTGGTTGTCTGGAGCAGGAATGGTAGAATTTCTACTGCATTGCTATAATTCCCACTGTGGAAGGGACAATGGGCTAATGAGGTCAATAAGCCTGCATATTCCTAAAATAACTTCCATTATCTATGAGACCTGCCTCAAGAACTAACTTCCTATTTATCCAATTATTAAGGGTGTATACTTACAGAAAACTCAATTTCTTGGGTCTTTGCCCCAAGCTTCCTCCCCTGCAAGAAACCCCATCTAGTTATATATGTGCACACCAGCTTGTAGAGCCATTTGGATCATACACAGCTCATCCCTGCTGCTGTACTTCTCCCCTGCCATGATCACACCATCAAAGTCAATTTCTATTCAAAGGCATCCCTGGAGCAACCATTCTCTTCTTAGTCACAACTGTGTGATTATCAGCGTCTCCCCATCCTCACCCTCATCCTCCCTCCAATTTTCTGTTTGCAGAAGACCCAGTCCAGCAACTTGGTAAGTCAATATCTGAAAGGTTGCTGGAATCCAGATTCCTGAAGAAGATGGAAAAATTACTCTAGTATCCTGAGTAGGGTGCTTTAAACTTTTAAAGACAGTGTGTCTTCCTGCACACAAAGATAGAAGAAATGAATTACTGTTCATCATGTGTACTAAAAATATCTGGAAAATCTCTAATGAGTGAGGAGAACACCATCAAGAGGAGCTGTTTCAACTAACTCTTTTCTAACTGAATGTTCCAGGAAGCAGATCAGTGCCCTTATTAAAGAGTCCCAAGGGAATTTGCTCACTCCTTCCACCACGTGAGGACACAATGAGAAAGTATTATCTATGAACCAGGAAACAGGCCCTCACCAGACACCAAATCTGCCAGTGCCTTGATATTGCAATTCCCAGCCTCCAGAATTGTGAGAAATAAATGTCTGTTATTTATAAGCCACCCAATTTATGATGTTTTAGTAGAGCAACCTAAACAGACTAAGACAAAAACCTTTTCTATTCTTCACCTGTCCTGAAACAAGAACATTTAATGTGATAGAATACCCCCTCAAAAACAGATGATCTACACTCTCCCTCATGGCATCCCAATCCTATTAACATCTACAGATGGTGGAGCCTACTTACCCCCTTAATAAAACCAAACTTAGCATCCTCCAAGGTTGGCCTAAGGGAAGAACTTCCTTGTGAAGAGGACACTGGCTGAACTTTGTAACTCTAATTTCAGGTCAACCAAATTCAAACTCCTTTTGTGCTGCTCTCACTATTAGCTGTTCCCCACACTAGCCTGGCCTCGGGAGAGCAGAGATGATGATGCCACTGTCAACACTGGCCTTGTGCAGCAAGGGTGACAGCAGAGTCTCCCCTTAATTCCCAGTGGGACATCCAAGACAATGGTGTCATCATAAGCCTCATTATTGGACACTCATCATTATCACACCATCACAACAGCTGTTTGATTTTTATTTTCTTGGTTTCTTTGACTTCTCATTATGTAATGCGCGTTATCTTATTCAACAGTGCTGTGATCGAGGGCGTGATAGAAGCCTGAAAGTATACGAAAAATCAAACCAAATCAAATAATCTCCCGTTCTCCAAACACCACCCCAAGGGTGGGGGGCAAATCTTTAGAAACAGAAGGCGTGACTAACACACAACCAGCTATTCTAGTTAACAAATTACTGTCCACTCCCATGCTGTTGAGTTCTCCTTCCCTGTAGGAGATGCTGACTCCTTCATTATCTGGACACTTCCAGTAGCCCACAGGTCTAGAATTCCAGGTCCAAGAGGGTGATGCCCAGAGAGAGGCAGGCGTTCCCTCTTCTTCCTCAGTCTGAGGCAATGTTTTCACATGAGAGTTCCAAGGACCATTTGCATCAGAATGAACTGAGATGCTACAACTGCAGGTTTCCAGGCCACACCATAGACTTATTGAGCCAGAATCCCTGGGGATTTTGCCAGGAAATCTGCATTTTCAAATACACTCCCTCTCATGCACACTGAAGTTTGAAAACCAGTAGCCTAAGGCTTTCCTTCTGAATTTCAGTTCTCTTTTTACTTCTTCCCTATTGACAAGGAATGTTTTCTCTCTTCTGTGGGGATTATAATTACACCAAATAGCTACATGGTGATGGGAGTAGGGGAAAATCAGTGGACTATATAACAAATTAAATAGATATTCTCTTTATATATGAAGATGAACACACTATCTTAAACCTACAGTTGTCATTGCTTTTTTAGTAGTAATGACTAGCTTACCTATATTCAAGAGCAAGAACAACGTGTACAATTGCCCTTCTTCTCATACAGCTAAAAGGTAACTGGTCCATATAGAGATTTTATCTGATCTTGGCATGTTGTCTAGCAGCACTGTGCACTCACACTTGGGGTAACTGCGAAAAGCCCTGTGTCAAAGCACCTCAAACCACCCATCCTTTGTTTGATCAGACCTTGCACTTGGCCAGAAGCTTTCTGCTTTTTACAATTTGGCTGACTGAATCCACTCCTAAGAAAAGAATTGCAACCTAATGCCAAAAGTCCAGTGAGGGCCGGGCGCTGTGGCTCACGCTTGTAATCCCAGCACTTTGGGAGGCCGAGGAGGGCAGATCACGAGGTCAGAAGATTGAGACCATCCTGGCTAACACGGTGAAACCCCGTCTCCACTAAAAATACAAAAAATTAGCTGGGCGTGTGGCGGGCGCCTGTAGTCCCAGCTATTCGGGAGGCTGAGACAGGAGAATGGCATGAACCTGGGAGGCGGAGCTTGCAGTGAGCCAAGTTCACACCACTGCACTCCAGCCTGGGCGACAGAGTGAGACTCCATCTCAAAAAAAAAAAAAAAAAAAAAAAAAAAAGGCCAGTGAGGCAGCCATGCAAAGGAGGGGTCAAGAATGTATACACAAGTTTAGAGAGAATTTTTCTAAAATGCGCATAATGAAAAAAAGATGAGTCTTTCTATATATTTAAAATGCTCTATTTGGTTTATCTGGTTCGGGTATGAACTTTAAGCATAATCAAATTTTGTTATGTTTTATTAACTTGATACCTCACTATTTTATATTTTGAGTAATTTGAAACAGTAAAGTAATATTTTAAGTTATTGCTGGTGGAAAAGGAAACGTGATCCCCAAAAAGTAAAAGGATATATTAATAAAGAAAGACTTGGAAGTGAATACCAAAATGTAGTAGCATAGCAAAAATATTGACCAGATCTTTCTTGGTACAAAATATAAGACTTATCACTTTTTGAGGGGCATCAATGAGCAAGGCAGAAGCTGAAACCAAGCTGGCACTCAAGGTCACCCAAGAAGGACTGATATTTCAATAGTTATCATTTCTTTTAGAGACTGATTGAGTCAATCTTAATTTTACCAGGGCTGACACTCATATGTCTGCAAAAGTTGAAGTGCCTCACAGTTTGCTGATAAGCAATAATTAACCAGCAACTCAGTCTCCGCATTCCCTTGTCCATCTTGGGTAACTGCCAGATGAGTTTCCTAGCCAGGGTTCACCCATGTGCACTTGCTGGTCTGCATTTGTTGATCCTGAGGGTACTTCTCTCCTCACTTGTTCATATAAGAGGCTTCTTGGCTGAGGCAGAAGGTTGCTGAACCACCAGTTCTGCTGGCCAGACTATTGTCTGGATTCCTGATGTCTTGCCAGGGTTTTGAGGTGGCAAGCAACAGAAGTGATTTAGGCTAATGCAATGATCAAAAAGGAATTTGTTGGAATGACATGGGGGCAGCACATAGAAATTGAAGAAAAGTTAAATAAACACAACTCAGAAAAAAACAGCCCCAGGGCTGTTGTGAGAATCAAGGTACAAGAACTGATGGAGAGTTTTTGCAAGGCGCTGCTGTCAGGATGAATAACCTCCTTGCACTCTCAGTTGAAGATTTAAATTCCTGGGAGAGGGCACTTGACTGGCTTGGCTTAGGTCCTGTGCCCAATCTTTTGACTAAGGGACTGACAAGCAAGGAGGAGAGAGTAGTTCTCTCAAGTGAAATTGATGTGCTACCACCAGAAGTAGGAAAGAATAATTGTCAGGGGAAAGTAGCAGATATCCATGTCACTCTGTTTTCTGGTGTCCATGGCTTCCATAAGCCTGCCTGTTGACCTTGGACATACTATCTCATCTTGGTTTGGAGTCCTTTTGGCCAAGTTTGGTAACTCCACCAAGTTTGAGTCAATCTTCTACCTGTATGCCCCCTAATGCCTGGTCTGACCTAAAGTCTTAAGTCAAATGCAATTCCAATGAGCCCTCTGATTTGTATTTTCCTCGTTTCCATCCACCACCTTGTTCTGGTCTCTGGTTCTGGTCTGCACTGCTCCTTGGGACTTTTACATATCCCTGAGCACCATTTCTTTTTTCTAATTTATTTTTCAAAATGGGAATTAATCATCCCTTAGTTTTATTCTAACTCATAGCTTGTTCCTCCTTCTCCTGGAGGCCCCAGAATGAGAGTGTGGGAGGTCATCTCTTATGGGACATGGTTTGCTATGGTGGCCATGAAGAACGTAATCATTTTCAATTTGCTTATAGAGTGAGGAACTACCATTCTGATTTTAGAAACAAAAAGTACTGTCTTTCTTTACTTTGAATAAACAGGAAAATTAGAGGCCAAAAAGAGCTTATAACAACATAGATCAGCCCACTCTATTTAGATCAATTCAGTGATTTATCCAATTGAAAAAGCATAGCAGTTTCACATGTAAAAACAAGTCTGACTTAGGGGAAGCTTCTCTAAATGCTGCTTTGTGAAGGTGAACTTTATTAAAACAGACTCCTAAGTAAATCATTTACAGTATGTTAGTAAATGTTAGAGTAGTTGGTATTAGTCTTCTGGTTTTATATCAGAACATATTAAACACATTGCAAATGTTGATTTGTGTAACTAAATAATTCTTGAATTGGATATATGTGTGATAGCTCAAGAGGGGTTTGATTGATATTCTGTTTCAATAGAGGCTGATTAAAATTGTTAACATTTTTCCCCAATAATTGTGGGTGTTAAGGCCTTTATTACAAATCTGTTTTTTCCCCATTATATTTGCTTCTGAGATAATAATATAGCTATTATATAATCTATTTCTGAGATTATAATGCACTATAATGTTTATCAAGCTACTGCTCAACTTGATATAAGGAAGTCAATTTAGTTTTAATTTTGATGCATGGTTTAAGCCAGATCAGCCTTTAAGAAACCTAGAAAAAAATCTAATAGATTTTATTCACAAATATCCCCTGCTGGGAGGTCATTAAAAATGAATGAGAGAATCAGGAGGGGATGGGATGAGTAGAGTGGTCTAGAAAAACAGGACATTGCTCTTTGATGCACTGACTCAAAATTCTCTTCCAATGAGTGAATGATCTTGAGCCAATGTGCATGTTTTATGGTGTTCATGAATGGGAGGTCTCTGAACCCACCTCATTCCAGATTCATAGCTGTCGTGAGTGGGTGGAGGGGCACAGAAGTGGAGAGCTGATTGTGGCTGGAGGCTTTAAATCTATCAAACATTTGGCTGACTCCTGGCCAATAAACAAGGAAAATAACTGTAAATTCCATATTTATTTGTGGCCAAGATATTCCTATGGTTCATTTTTGGTAAGAGCTGAGACAAATCAATAGGGAATCAGCAGTAGGTTATTCTAGAAGTAATGCTGAGAAAATTGGCTATTTGGGGGAAATTTTTTAAAAATTAGATCTTCAATTTATGGGAAATCATATTTTAGATTAAATAAGAAAAGATAGATATACATCAAAATGTTAATTCTAGTTATATTTACAAGATAGAATTTAGGGTGATTTTATTTATGTTTTTGCTCATTAGTATTAAAACTGTGTCTATTATTTGGAAAGGAGAACTTGCAGTATAAAAAAATTATACCCATTACTCTAATTAATAATTCTACTATATGTCCGTCATTAAAAAATCAGATATGTAGGCAAAAATCATCATAGCCTTGTTAAAAACATAAAAACTTTAAGTTAAATTATGGTATATAAACATCATCAAATATTATGCATTCATTTTTAAGGGATATTTACTGATGTGAGAAAATACAATATAATGTCAAAAAAGCCGGATACGTAATACCATATGCCATATGATCTCACTTTTATGCAAATATACCAAAATATTCTCACTGGTTATCCCCAGGTTCTAATATGAGGAGTTATTTTTGTTTTATAGTTTTGTTTTTACTTTTATCTATATATCTCAAATATTCACAAATGACATGCATTACATGTATAGTTAGGGAAAAAAGATCTGTGTATAAAGAATAGTTATGTTCAATCTAATAATTAGTTGCAGTGGCTTCATTTTGAAACTTCACAAGGATTCATCCTCTGAAGGATATTTCAAGAGTTTCTGTAAAAGAGTGCATCACACATAAGTGCTCGGTAAATGTGCACAAAATGAATTTATACTGCCGACCCTGATGCAGCCAACTACGCATTAATGGAATTTGAGGGAGGCTGTGTACCAAAGCTGGTTCCATGCCTTCTCTTTTAGATACATGTCAAAGAGTTCTCTATTTTAAAGACAAGAAAGGCAGAAATTATTAATATTAAATGTTACCCAGAAATATCTCTATACCAGGTATTTTTTCTCTATTAACAGGTATTTTCATTGAGGTACCTGATAAAGTCATCACAAAAGTGATGAAATCACTGGCTGAGTTTTAGCGTCAGTATTTACACAGGATGCTGTAAGGTAAATACTCTGCTCATTTTTTAATCGGGATAGTCCTAAGGGAGGATGCCATTTCTGCTGATGTTTCAAATAATGTTATTAGAAAATACCAGCAGCAAAGAATGCACTGAATAATATTTTCAAAAACAAGAAACTCCTTAATGCATTCCAGGAAGTTGATACTAGGTCACGAAATAAAAGGAGAATTAAATGAGTATAAAAAACATTTGGACTATTGCTTTTCTGATATTGAATCTCATTCCTGTCTCAGTAATACTTGGCATTTGTGGAATGCTTGACTGTGTGTAAAATGTGCGATTGTATTGTTTCAGGAGATAGGAGGGGAAGATTTTATGTGCCACATCTTGTGATTCAGGAAACAGAAACTGAATTTGAATCTGAGTGGCCTTGGAATTTTAGTGACTTGCCCAAAACTGTCACAACAGTGCCTTTCTTCTGGACCATGATGAAGGGTTCTTACTGCTGCCGGGCACTGCCTCTTTTAGATCCCAGGGTGCCTCAGATGTCCTTGCCTGCATGACTGCCCTTGTAGGGTGTGGGGATGCTGCTCATTCAGGTCACATGGGCTCTGAATGTTCCGTCTCTGAAAGGCCTGAGCAGGTCACAGCGAGTAGAAGCTCTGAACGGTTTCGTGGGCACAGTCCCAGGCACAGACAGTACTCAATAAATCCACATCTCATTCTTCTGCCTTTCTGCAGCAATTAGAGAGCACTGGCACCTGCGTGGGACATGCAGTCTTGCTTCCAATCAGTTGGAACCTCATCTCATAAGATTTCAGAGGCTGCCCTGTTCTCAGTTTTTATTGCTTTTTGGAAAGGATTGCTGATCTGCTTTTGCGTAAGATGGCAAAATAAGAATCTAGTCCGTGTCTGTAAACCTTGAAGCACTGCTACTAATCGCTGACAAGGGCTTGATCTGGGGCATAAAGTAGAAGACAGTAAAAGCACCGCACCGCCCAGTAACTCTACTTGTTGCTTTCTGAGTTCATTACCAACAGTTTTAAGCACTTTACTTTGCAGATAAACAATGTTTTCAAGCCACTGAAATCTTACTATAATACTTTCTGGCTCCGTTGCACTTACGCATTTGCTTAATATAATGCCTGCAAGTTCACTGTTCAGTACATTTATCAATCTTATTCCTCCTCTCAACTCCACTCAAAGTTTGCTTTTCCATATTTACCTCGTTATAACATGCATAATTTTACTATTATTCTCTGCACACGTATCTAAGCCCATCACTTGATTGCATACTCCATGAGGACAGAAGGGACCACATGAGTTTTATCTCCCTTTGTTCCCAGCGTGTAGCACTGTACCCCTCACATAGTAAGATATGGAAAAGTATTTGCTGCCTTGTGGAATGAATGAATGAAACATTCAATGTTTTGTCCCAAAATAACGTTTTATTCTTCTGTCAAAGGATTAAAGAACTACTAATTCTTTATTGACTTTTTAGTTTGGATATCTAATAAAATACCAACTGTGACATTAAGAGCTCGAACCACAAAGATGGATGAGACGTGAAAACTTCTTCAAGGAGTTGAGTAAGGGAAGCAACATGGAAGTAGGTTAAACTATTTTTAGATTGCAGAGTCAAGTAATATTTCAGTAAATAAAAGTAATTAATTGATGCTTTTTTTAAGTCTCATGAAGCATTCATCATTTTAAAACTCAAATTTATCTCATATATTACTTAATTACTTAAATGGTAAATACAGTGGCATCTGACACTCATTTTTAATTATCTGGGAAGTTTTTGGTTGGAAAGGGCTGTGGCCAGGCACGATGTCTCATGCCTGTAAACCCAGCACTTTGGGAGGCTGAGGCCGGCCTATCACTTGAGCCCATGAGTTCAAGACTAGCCTGGGCAAAATAGAGAAACCCCAGTCTACAAAAAATACAAAAATTAGCCAGGTGTGGTGGCATGCATCTGTAGTCCCAGCTACTTGGAAGGTTGAGGAGGGAGGATTGCTTGAGCCTGGGAGGTTGAGGCTGCAGTGAGCCAAGATTGCACCACTGTACTCTAGCCTGGGCCTCAGAGTGAGGCCCTGTCTCAAAATAATAATAATGATGATTTATTTTTTTAAAGGAAAAGGCTCTACCAAATATCCTTATAACCGGAAATCCCAATTATAAGCCCACTTTCTCTACTAATTTGATGAACATCATTGGATCAGTCTCTCACCTATAAATCAAGAATGACACCCAGCACTTTGGGAGGCTGAGGTGGGTGTGTCACCTGAGGTTGGGAGTTCAACACTAGCCTGGCCAACATGGTGAAACCCTGTCTCTACTAAAAATACAAAAAAAAAACAAAAACAAAAATTAGCTGGATGTGGTGATGTGTGCCTGTAATCCCAGCTACTCAGGAGGCTAAGGCATGAGAATTGCTTGAACCTGGGAGGCAGAAGTTGCAGTGAGCCAATATGATACCACTACACTCCAGCCTGGGCAATGGAGTGACTCTGTCTCAAAAAAAATAAAATAAAATAATGACATTACCTCATCATCTAAATCAGACATTTGTTAAGAAAGCATCTGCATACATAATCATTTAAAAAATGACTTTAATAAACGTCGGAGAGTATGGAACTCTATATATAGTATACACACATTTCTTTTTTCTTTTCTTTTTCTTTTTTTGATATGGATCTCACTCTGTTGCCCAGGCTGGAGTGAAGTGGTGTGCTGTCAGCTCGCTGTAGCCTCCACTCTGCAGGGCTCAAGCGATCCTCCCACCTCAGCCTCCTGAGTAGCTGAGACTGCAGGCACATGCCACCATGCCCGGCTAATTTTTAAATTTTTGGTAGAGAGAGGTCACATTGTATTACCCAGGCTGATCTTGAACTCCTAGGCCTGGGTAATACAGTGAACTTTTTGCCCTGGCCTCCCAAAGTGCTGAGATTCCAGGTGTGAGTCAGCATGCCCGGCCCGATTTTCTTTTTCCTTCTTCACAATTTCATGAATAGAAGATTTGTTCTTACCGTAGATCTCAGCAATCTCAGCATACAATTTTTTCCTTTCCTTATTAAGTTGAGAGCTTCCACTTTTTCACTTAAAGGATGCACTTTATGGCTTTTCCTTGGCATTTCCCAATGGCCAACATTACAAGTCTTGTGTTTGGAACCATTGCTAAGTAAAGTAAGAGCTATTTGAACACAAGCATTGCGATACTGTGACAGTCACTCTGATAACCCAGAGGGCACTCAGTGACTTGTGGGCAGGGAGCATAGACAGTGTGCATCTGCTGGAAAAGGGGATGATTCACGCCCCAGTGGGACACAGCAGGACGGTGCGAGATTTCATCATGCTACTCAGAACGGTGCACAATTTAAAACTTATGAATCGTTTATTTCTGAAATTTTCTACTGAATATTTTGGAACCCATTGACCACAGGTAACTAAAACCTCAAATAGCAAAATAGCAGATAAGGGAGGACTACCGTATTTCTAAATACATAATTGGAAATGATCAAAATGTTCAATAAGAGGGCATTACTTAAATAACTTATGGTACCAATCTACAATAAAGTTCTCTATAGACATTTAAAAATTATATTTAGAAAAATAGGCCAGGTGAGGTGGCTTAAGCCTGTAATCCCAGCACTTTGGGAGGCCGAGGCGGGCGGATCATGAGGTCAGGAGATTGAGACCATCCTGGCTAACACAGTCAAACCCTGTCTCTATTAAAAATACGAAAAAAAAAAATTAGCCGGGAGTGGTGGCAGGCGCCTGTAGTCCCAGCTACTCAGGAGGCTGAGGCAGGAGAATGGTGTGAACCTGGGAGGCGGAGCTTGCAGTGGGCCTAGATGGCGCCACTGCACTCCAGCCTGGGTTACAGAGCAAGACTCCATCTGGAGAAAAAAAAAAAAAAAAAGGAAAGAAAAATAAATGACACAAAAATTTTCACCAGTCTGTTGTTAGGAGGAAAAAGCAGAGTGGAGAAAAAAAAATCTGGAAGGAAATAGACTAACATGTTACCAGTAATCCTCTTTGGGTAATATGATTATAAATAGTTTTAATTTTTATGTTTCTTTTCATACTTGTAGACTTTTTCCAAATTTTGTACAGCACATATAACTTTTTTTTAAAGCCAGCATGCAAGTTCTTTAGCTTTCCCAATATCAGCATAAGCAAACAGCATAAAATTATCCTATCATTCTGGTTCAACAAAGAAAATAAATATCTGGCCTTGTTGCCTTGGGTCTCTCCAGACAAACTTCGTCATTTGATACAGAGAAAGAATATTGCAGATTTGCCAACTTCCCACTTGTGGAACTTTTTTCCTTGAGAAGTTCATGTAACAACCAAAATATCCCGGTGGGAAAAAAATCCAATGACCTGACTGTTTTGTCTACATAACGACAAATCTCTCAAAGTTTCTAAATACACTTGAACTCATTTTTAAACACTGGGATCACTTCTCTAAGAAACCAGTTTGGAGAGACAATCTAATTAACAAACATGGATCTTAAAGATTAAACTGGAAAACTCCTAACTTACCCTAAAACTACCGCTAGAAAATTAAAAGATTTTTATATGGCTGTGTTTCAAATGGCTCTGAAGGTTACGAGTTTTAAAGTCATGATCTCACCGCAATAATTAATACCAAAATGCTGAGAATATAAAATATTATTTAAATATACGTGTGTGCAAATTTATATGTACACACTCATATCATACATATACAATACCGACGCTGGTATGTGGAAATATTTATTTTTATACCCTAGGAAGATTCAAGAAACATTTTTGATAGTCTGATATTGTATGTACTAAGCACTAGAAGTGGGGTGGATTTTTAACCTTCCATATGTACATAAATAATTATCAAAATAATGGCACCAAATCAATTAAACGGGACAGACTGAGCAATTGCCATGTTGATCTAGACTGGTTCTCTTCCCCTCCTCTTCATCTGAGGAGCTCCTCACTTCTTCCAGATCCTTAACTGGGTTTCATCTTTCTCTGTGCTGGTCCTGTGTCAGGTGGGATAAGGGCTCTTGGGCCTAGCTTGGCAATCTTGCTGTGGGCTTCACAGCCACATTTGGCTAATTCACACCTATCCCAATGAGACTGAAGAAAGACGGGCAGAGATATGTCAACAGGAATGAAAGAAGAATGTTTCCATCACACCATTTTATATGTGGGCTGATTCCCAAACCACACTGTCATTTCATTACTAATGCAAATGTCTTGGGAATAGCATAAAAACACTGCATTATATCTCTTTTGCTAAAATTTTGATTTGTTAAACATGAACATTAAAATTATACCATAGACAGCCATGTAGAGGCCTGTGGACTTATTGCACCCTATTTATCCAGCAATGCTCAATCCTCAATTAGCATAACCACGACAGACCCACCTCCTCTGTGGTACCCTGACTCCCTGTGTCCCATCCCCCACCTCACCTGTAGCAAAATACTCAGCATATTCCTTCAGGGCCAGGAATTCCCTTTGTGATCAGCATATAAACTCAGCTTTTAAAATTTCATGTTATTTCTTTATTTCAAAAGCTCTGTTTGTCTTGGTTTTTTTTATTTCATTTTTTGAGATGGAGTCTTGCTCTGTCACCTAGGCTAGAATGCAATGGCGTGATCTCAGCTCACTGCAACTTTTGCCTCCCAGGTTCAAGCGATTCTCCTGCCCTGGCCTTCTGAGTAGCTAGGGTTACAGGTGCCTGCTGCCATGCCCGGCTAATTTTGTATTTTTAGTAGAGATGGGGTGTCACCATTTTGGCCAGGCTAGTTTCGAACTCCTGACCTCAGGTGATCTGCCCACCTTGGCCTCCCAAAGTGCTGGGATTACAGGGCTGAGCCACTGTGCCTGGCCTGGTTTTATTCTTTGACAACCCAGAAGTGGTAAAATTGGTAGTGTGTGGCCTCTCTCCACTTCTGAGAGGCCCTGTCCTGGACCACATCCCTCAGTGCTTCACAAGGTTGTCACCATGTCCAGCCTCAGTCTGCTTCCCTGACCACCTCTACCAAATGTTAAAAAGTCTCCTTCTCCATCACCACACCCCATCCTCTCCTGCAGCACCACAATCTGATGTTACACATTTGTCTCTTCACTGGGCTGCTGCCTTCTAACTCCATCATGGCTGGGGATTCAGACTATTTTGTTTACCAATGAGTCCCAGCACCTAGCCCAGCGCCTATGTCTTCTATCTTAGCGTCTGGCCTTGAATAGTAATGATAATAAAATAATAGTCGCTAGGCCGGGTGCAGGGGCTCACGCCTATAATCCCAACACTTTGGGAGGCCAAGGTGAGCGGATCACTTCGGGTCAGGAGTTCAAGACCAGCCTGACCAACATGGTGAGACCCCGTCTCTTCTAAAAATACAAAAATTAGGCGGGCATAGTGGCAGGTGCCTGTAATCCCAGCTACTCGGGAGGCTGAGGCAGGAGGATCACTTGAACCTGGGAGGTGGAGCTTGCAGTGAGCCGAGATTGCGCCACTGCACTCCAACCTGGGTGACAGAGCAAGACTCCATCTCAAAATAATAATAATAATAATAATAATCACTAGACTAAAAACGCTGGATATGCATTCTGTACCAGGCACTATATGGAGCACTTCTGTCTGCTATAAATATGTTGTCACCATTTTCAGACAAGAAAAAGAGAGACCTTTTTGGAATTTACTTGGCCAATGTAATACTAAACCTCTTACCTGTCTGGATGCTAGTGATAATTTGATTTCTAGTTTAAAATGAAAGGCAAGGTGTGGTGTGTTGGTTTTCAATATATTTCCCTTGCCCCATTCCTTTTTCCAATTATTTTCCGTTTTGTGATGTGTTTTCAATTTTTCCTGTACATAACTTAGAAAATTACAATGCTTGTCAAATTACAATGCTAATTTGTATAGATTTAAACATTGCAGCCAAGGCCAACTATCTTAATTTTCTGGAGGTAAAGATGCACAGATATTTATGCACAACTCAGCCTGATTTTTTGCCTTCAATTAAAGTGTTTCATTTAGACAAGTATTTATTTCTTATGGTAAATAACCAGACAAAATCTATTCTCTCCACAGAATGACATGATGGATTGTATCACCTACTCTCCTCTGGATGCCACTTACATAGACATATGCTGTCCAGGACAGTGGCTACATATGGCTATAGATGCTTGAAAATGTGGCTCATTTGAATTGAGATGTTCTGGAAGCAAGTACAAAATACACACCAGACCTTGAAGACTTAATAGGAAAAAAAGTCTGTAAAATATCTCATTAATGTTTTCAATAGTGATTACATATTAAAATGATAATATTACAGATGTATTGGTATAAATAAAACATATTAAAATTAGTTTCATCCATCTCTATTTTTTAATGTGGCTACTAGAAGATATTAAATTTAAAATGACATATGAGGCTTGTAGTCATGGCTCACATTATATTTCTATTGTATAGCATGGAAACAGATGTTTACCCGAAGTTTTGTAGGTGTGTGATGTTGAAAACTATCGCAGTAATAGAATTTAATTTAGTCTCGGTTAGGAAATGGACCTGAAATCGGAGGCCCTAATTAGCATTTACATGAGGAACACCTGGAAGAATGGAAAGGCTGACATGGCTACTTTGAGAAAAGCAGAGCCAGGGACTTACATTTTGGGAGATCAACGTGGAACCTGGAGTAAGGTGCTTTCTTACCAGATTTGTACTTATTTCGTCACCATAAAGTGAAGCTTCTGTCTAATCCTTTATGCTAGGAAGAGCAAAGAGTTTTCTGTTGTATCAAAAGGTTTTTATTAATAGTTCCTAATTCCCACTGATGTCTAACACTGAGAATTTTTATTATAGAAATGATATTAAAACTAACATTTTAAACTGTGATTGTCACAGGTTAAGTTTACCCACCGAGCTTCCTTTGCTTCATTTAGTAGCTTTGCTCTAACTCATTTTTTCAGTTAAAGAGTTTTAAGGCCTTCTTTATGTTTGTAATACATCTTGAGACCAGGGGCAGAATGTTACGGACTGAAAGTTTCTGTCCCTCTAAATTCCTAGGTTGAAGCTGTAAGCATAGGGTAATGGTCTTTGGAAGTGGGGCCTCTGAAGGTAATTAGGTTTAGATGAGGTCACGAGGGTGGGGTCTTCATGATGGGATCTGTGCCCTTATCAGAAGAAACCGGGCCAGGCACTGTGCCTCACGCCTGTAATCCCAGCCCTTTGGGAGGCAGAGGCAGGTGGATCACTTGAGGTCAGGAGTCTGAGATCAGCCTGGCCAACATGGTGAAACCCCATCTCTACTAAAAATACAAAAATTAGCCGGGTGTGGTGGCCTATGCCTGAAGTCCCAGCTACTGGAAAGGGTGAGGCAGGAGAATTGCTTGAATCCAGGAGGCAGAGGTTGCAGTGAACCAAGATAGTGCCACTGCACTTTAGCCTGGGCAACAGAGCAAGACTCCATCTAAAAAAAAAAAAAAAAAAAAAAAAGAAGAAGACGAAGAAAGAAGAAGATGATGAAGAAGAAGAGGAAGAGAAAGAAGATGACAAAGACGAAGAAGAAGGAGAAGGAGAAGAAGAAACCAGAGCAGTAGCTCTCTCTCTGTCTTTCTCCCCAACCACCCCCGCCGAACTACCTTGTGAGGATATAATGAGAGGTCAGCAGTCTGCAAGCCAGAAAGAGGGCCCTTACCAGCACCCAGACATTTTGTTACTGTAGGTAGCTAGTCAGGCATGAGCAGGGCAGGAGAGGGCCCCCGCCTCATCAGGAATGTCAGGCCACTATCATATGATGGTCAGGCGGTTATTGAACAGTCTTTGTAAAGTAATAATTGGTTGCAGCCAGTGCCAGGGAAAGGCAGTCTCCCAAGAAATGAAAACACCTGAAGGTGGTGAGCAGCATCTTCCCGATAAGATCTCAGGAGTTGGGAGAGTGGGCTCAAGCATGCACATTAAGAGGCAAAATGGCGGAGTTTAACTGGTATATGACCTTCCAGGGACATTCCAAGTGTAAAGGAAGAATGTCTCAAGTGAACACGTATACAACTCCAGTGAACACACTGCGCATGCTCCCCTCTCAAGCGCCGGCAGGCCACTGCGCATGCGGACAGCCCACCCCAAGGGAAGAATCAGGAGAGAAGGGACCCTAGACCCCAGAAGTATGCCAACGTATAAAAACCCTAAGTTAAAGGTGAAACGAGGCACTTGCCTTTCAAGTTGCCCGCTTGGCCCTCTTCCAAGTGTACTTTCCTTCCTTTCATTCCTGCTCTAAAGCTTTCTCATAAAATTTCACTCCTGCTCTAAAACTTGCCTTGGTCTCTCCTTCAGCCTTCTGCCCCTCAGTTGAATTCTTTCTTCAGAGGAGGCAAGAACTGAGGTTTCTGCAGACCCACACGGATTCACCACCAGGAACAATTTGGCACCCTGATCTTGGACTTTCCAGCCTCCAGAACTGTGAGAAGTAAGTGCCTGTTTAAGCCACTCAGTCTATGGTATTTTGTGATGGCAGCCCAAGCAGACTAAGACAGACGCCAACAGCTTCATTCCAGAAAACAACGCACATGTGGATTTTGTTCCATCATACACGTCAGTTATTTAACACCTCAACTTTCCTGTTTAGAGGTGTCAGCAAACATATGGCCACAGTGTATATGTCTTAGGTGGACTCTCACAGGTGCCCACTCCTGTGTTAGCTACATTTATACCCTGAGCATGGCACTAGGAATTTACATACACTATCTCAAAGCGTGTGAATCTACATACATAAAGTTCAGAACAGGCAGAACCAAAATACAGCACTTGGAATAAGTATTTAGATGATAAATCCATTTTAAAAAGCAAGGAAATGATTATTAGAAGTCAGATTCTAGTTTCTTTCAGGGAAAAGAAAGGGGATTGTGGCTGAGACAGATGCAAGGGTGACTTCTGGGTGCTAGCAGTGTGCTGTTCCTTGACCCGAATGGTCTTTATGTGGGTATTCAGCTAATAAGCCATTAAATGCTACATTTGTTAATTCACTTTTCCATATTAGTGCCACATTTAATAATAGTATATGTTTTAAGAAGAGCCATTTTAACTAGACTTTATCCCACAGCAATACAAGGATGGTTAAATAGTTTAAAAATAAATTAATTTGCTACCGTGACTGACTAAAGAATGTATGATTTTCTTAAAATAGATACAGACTAAATAAATGATAACATTAACATCCAGTCATTAAGTAGAACAATGACAGTAATATTAGGGAGTGAAACTCCCTAAACTGATGAGGACAATTATTAAAACTCTACAGAAAAAATCATACTTAATAAAATGTTAAAATATTTCCTTTAACTTCAGTAATGAGACAAAAATACATACTATTACTGCTTTTATTTAGCATTGCCCTGAAGTGCTGGTGATATGGTTTGGCTGTGTCCCCACCCAAATCTCATCTTGAATTGTAGCTCCCATAATTCCTATGTGTTGTGGGAGGGACTCGGTGGGAGATAGTTGAATCATGGGGGTGGTTTCTTGTGGTACTGAATAAGGCTCATGAGATCTGATGTTTTATAAGGGGTTTCCCCTTTCATTTGGGTCTCTTTCCCTCTTGCCTGCCACCATGTAAGATGTCCCTTGCTCTTTTGCCATGATTGTGAGGCCTCCCCAGCCACGTAGAACTGTGAGTCCATTAAACCTCTTTTTCTTCATAAATTATCGAGTCTTGGGTATGTCATTATCAGTAGCAGGAAAACAGATTAATACAGCTGGTCAGCACAGTAATACAAGGGAAAAAAGGCATAAAGATTAGAAAGGAAGAAAAACTATTCACTGACAATGTGACTAGTTACATAAAAAAATCTAAGAGTATCTACAAACTGTTAAATAAGAAAATTCAATAATATTGCTTGACCCAACATCAAAAATTAAAAATCAGTAGCATTTCTGTGTACCATCCATGTGTTTATACTTCAACAACAAGCAGTTAACCTACCTATATGTTCAGTGCAATACCAATTAACATCCCACAGAAATCTTTGATGGACCTTTGACATGCAGATGCTAAAATTCAACCAGAAGAGCAAAGAGGAAAGAATACCTGTCATAAATTTAAAGAATAATAATAATAGGGATAACTGTTCTATCTTCTACTTGTCCTACCAGACATAGATTTAATATAAACATAGTGATCAAAACAGTGTGGTATTGGTGGAGGGACAAAAAAATATTGGACCAATGGAATAGAGAGTTTACAAATAGATCCACATATGAATGGTATACACGTTTGCAGCTATAACACTGCAAAACATTAGAATCTACAATGAACTCAAACAAATTTATAAGAAAAAAACAAACAACCCCATCAAAAAGTGGGCAAAGGACATGAACAGACACTTCTCAAAAGAAGACATTTTTGCAGCCAAAAAACACATGAAAAAATGCTCACCATCACTGGCTATCATAGAAATGCGAATCAAAACCACAATGAGATACCATCTCTCACCAGTTAGAATGGCAATCATTAAAAAGTCAGGAAACAACAGGTGCTGGAGAGGATGTGGAGAAATAGGAACACTTTTACACTGTTGGTGGGACTGTAAACTAGTTCAACCATTGTGGAAGTCAGTGTGGCGATTCCTCAGGGATCTAGAACTAGAAATACCATTTGACCCAGCCATCCCATTACTGGGTATATACCCAAAGGATTATGAATCATGCTGCTATAAAGACACATGCACACGTATGTTTATTGCGGCACTATTCACAATAGCAAAGACTTGGAACCAACCCAAATATCCAACAACGATAGACTGGATTAAGAAAATGTGGCACATATACACCATGGAATACTATGCAGCCATAAAAAATGACGAGTTCATGTCCTTTGTAGGGACATGGATGAAACTGGAAATCATCATTCTCAGTAAACTATCGCAAGAACAAAAAACCAAACACCGCATATTCTCACTCATAGGTGGGAACTGAACAATGAGAACACATGGACACAGGAAGGGGAACATCACACTCTGGGGACTGTTGTGGGGTGGGGGGAGGCGGGAGGGATAGCTTTAGGAGATATACCTAATGCTAAATGACGAGTTAATGGGTGCAGCACACCAGCATGGCACATGTATACATATGTAACTAACCTGCACATTGTGCACATGTACCCTAAAACTTAAAGTATAATAATAATAAAATAAAAAAAAGAAAAAAAAGAAGGAAAGAATATACTATTTGATTGAAAATGTTGGGACGATTTGTCATCTACATGGAAAAAGATAAAAGTAGATCTCATAATTCAGAAAATAATTACAGGATTAAGAGATCTAACTGTAAAAGAGCTAAACTATGAAACTTTTTTTAAATGTAGGAGAACATTCCTATAATCCCAGGAAAGGAAAAAAAAATTTTGACAAGGTACAAAAGACAAAATGTCAAAACAAAATCAGTTTGAGATTATAGTGAAAACAGTATTATACATTAAGGCACCAATAACTCAAAGATAAACCAAAGATTGGAATAAAATATTTGCTATACACTTTAATGACAAAAGTTTTGTATCCAAATATATAAATAACTTCTAATTAATTAGCAACAAAAAGGCAAAGTTCACAATAGATAAACAGACAGAAAGTTGCACTATGCAGTTCACACTGAAGGAAATATAAAGGGCCAATTAAAAAAGAAAAAAGTTTACAAACTCACTGGTCAAAACAAGATCTCATTTCACACCATTAACATCTAAGCACACCAAGCTTTGCCAAAGACATAGGGAAACAGGCACTCTGGTACATTGTTGGTACAACCCTTTTGCAGATGAACTTGTCAATTCCTAATATATTTAAATTTGTTTTCTCTACGAACCACTTAGGAATTCAAATTCTAGTTGTCACAGTGGTGCATATACCAAAATATGCATTGCAACTTTATAAAATGAAAATATAAAGACAAGCTTACTTTGTTTAGGGAGATGGAAAAATGAATCATACTTTATATAACTAGATACTATGCAGCAGCTATTACTACAAATACATCATATCTATATGTACCAACATGGATAAAATCCAAAAACATAATATGGAGTGATAAAAAGCAAGCTCCAATAGATACGTGTAATGTGAAACTATTTATCACATATGAAAGACCACAAAACAATAATACTTATTTTTTACGGAGAACAGACACACACACACAAAACTGTGCAGGGAAATTACATACATAAACTTTTTGGGATGGAAGAGGGAGTAAAGAATGTGTGTATGACTTTCTGTATTCAGATTTTTTTTTTCCTAAAGGTAGAAATCTGAGAACAAACAAGTCAAAGTATATTAATACTTGCTTAATCTCAGGGATAGATAAGTTGGTGTCTGTTCCATTACTTTTTGTTTTCTAATTTAACTGAAAGTGCTTAAATTTGAAAATGAAGCCCGGTGAGAAGGCATCCTCCCCAAATGTAGGTGTTTTTCACGTTTTGACATTTGCTTCTCATATTGCTGCCCTGTCTGGAATGCTAAGGCAAGAAGAAGGATAAACCATGATATCTTAATGTGTGAACATCACCTTATCCAGAAATCAAAGAAGGGGCTTTCTATACCTCCACTCCCAGGTCTATTGCCTGAGACAACAACAAGGTGCCGCCCTATTTCAAGTGGGTGAGCTGGGCCCTGACAGCTATAAAACCTGGGGATGCGCTGGGCAGCCAGCCTGGAACTGGATGCCTGTGCAAAGTAGCAGAGGTATTTAATTCTCGGCACATCAGTCCAAATTGTGTGGGTGGACAGTTCCACCCCGTCTAAACAAACTTAGCATGTAGAGTCAACACCGCTGCTATTTCCCTGTTTTGAGAAATGCTAAAGTAAAACTGAATAAATTGGAGCGAAACACATCCTTAACTGGAGTAGAACAAAAATAATAAAATATAATGGCTCCAAAGTTACATTTAGCTCTCACTTATACATTGTTTGGCCCACACTATGTTTTTGTAAAGTTTTGGCTTAGTTGCTAATATTTAGAATTTGAGAAGTTTCTAATAAAAACTGGATTCCCAACTTCTCTCTTGAAGTGATGCTGGCACAATTGGGCTTGAATTCTAGCATGCTAACAACTAGGTTCTGAAGAGTCTCTCTTACCCCATTGCCTTACTCCTTACTTCACCTGCTGGCCCCACTGGGGTTTCAACTCTCATTTTACACATGAGAAAACTGAGGCTCAGAGTGGTCAACAGCCTTGCCCAACAGCAGAGTTTCTCTGTGAAGGGAGCCATGTTGGTGCACATTGCCCGATTATCAGTGAACGTTGTGATTCCTTTTTCTACAAGATGAAGGCACATTTCATTATTTTACTGGCATATTTTCTCTCTAACCCAGCAGGTACACTGGAAATGATAATCCTGAAAACTTGTTAATGAAAGACTTACTTCAAGTGATGAGAAAAACAATACAAATGGATTAATTTCAGCAAGAAGTCACCAAGATTTGGCCAAACTCAAAACAGAAAAGTTTACATGTAAAAATAACAAAGGAATGTAACAACAGAATTGAAAATGGTATAACTAGAGTTTGCATGGTCCCCAAGCATTACTTTTTCAGGCTGATCCTCACATAAGTACAATTCTTCCACCCCTTCCCAATCTCATTCCTGTTCTTCTAAATTCAGAAACATGTGCAAACCCTGCTCTGGATCTCTTCTCCAGGCTTCCCCACAACACACATTTCCTTTAGGATTTTGCTTTTTTGGATTTATTTGTCCTGGTTAAAGCTGGTAGATAATCCCCACTGAGTTTTATCTATCATGCCTAGTAGCATTTAAATACCTGGTCTGGGAATTCCTAATGTATGCAAAGTGCATTTTTGTTAGAACCAGCTACACAAACAGATTACATAGATTACAAATGTCCTTTAGAATGTGAAACAGTGAATAATCTAAATGTAAACTGATAGGGAAATGGTTCAATTAACTTTGGCATATTGTGAAATACTGTGCAACAAAGCAAAAAGAAAAACAGGAGGATCTTAAATACTGACATGGACTGGTCTACAGGTTGCAAAGGAATACAGCACAGTATCATTTATGTTAAAAGGCCAACAAAAACATACATATATGTTTGTGGGTTCATATGTGTGTGTGTAAATTCATGGACAATGTTTGGAAAACTACATGAAATATGAAAGTGGTGAAAGTGGACACCTCTTGGAAGACAAGGAAATGGGGAGAGGTATGGGGGGTGTCAGAGAGGGCTTTAGTTTCACCTATAATGTCTGCAATGTCTTCATTTAATTTAAATAGGAAAAACATATAGAACCTATATGTGACCATAGGTTCTAAAATTCTTTTCATGTAACATATATAAATATTTATGTGACCGTTAATTTCCAATCATAATCTCAATGATAACATTTGTAAAAACATCTGCTCATCCTTGGAAATGAAATTTCCTATGCCACGTTATCACCCAAATCAACTTTTTAAAGTGTAAAAATAACAAGTATCTGAAAAGTTAAAGTTTACTTTCACAAGGTAAAATCAAGTGAGTCAACTCTAGGAGGCACAATCGTTTTGAGGACAATCAATTTCTATTTAATGGCAAAGAATAAGAAATATGGGATGGATTTAAATAAATCCAGTTTCACTCAAATTCCAAGTCAAAAATCAAATCAAAGTGTCAGATTGCTTAAATGATTCTAACCTGAGTTCGATTTCTAAGGTGCTCTTAATTTTTCAGTGATAGCATTTGCTTTTCCCAACAATAGCAAAGGAAAACTGGAGGGCAAGTTTTGCAAGGAAGAAACTGAGCCCCAGAGAGGTCAGGGTTTAGTGTGACGTCCCAGCTAGGAAGTGGCGGCTGGGACTCCCTGCAGGTGTCTCCTGCCAGCCCTCTGTGCGCTGGGCCAAGCTGCTTGATTTGATTCACCAGCGTGACACCGTGCATCTCCACATCCGGTGTTCTCACGTATCATCCCTGGCGATTATCTATGTGTCTATTTTTTAATTTACTGACCTCTGGAGGCCTGTCCCCGCCATCCCTGACTCCTAGGCACTGGACAAGCCCCCTCCTCGCCTCTTCCCCCAGCCCCGCGCATTCCACCTGTTCCGGGGCATCCCCGCTTGCTCCCTTCCGCTCGCTGCCTGTCCCGGGACCTGCGTGAAGCCCTCAGCCTCGCCACTAGCCCGGCAGCCGCTCCACTACCGCGCCGCTGCGGGTGGGGCCAGCGCGTCCCCCGGACGCGTGGAGGAGGGATGGAAGTGCGGGGGTGGGGGTCGCGCAGCCCCCACTCACCTTGCTGGCTGCGGGCGCCGCCGCCAGGAGCACCAGCAGGAGCGGCAGCAGGAGCACCTGCGGCCTGGGGGCGGTCCGGGCGCTCATGGTGGGCGCGCGCTCAGAGCCTGGGCGAGTCCGGGGACCCTCAGGCTCTCAGGCCACCGCGTCTCCTGCGCAGCGCGGCTCTGGGAGCCCGGCTGGAAAGCTCGCCTCGCCACTCGGCCGGGGCGGGTTTTGTAGGGCTCGGTCGCGCGGTTCGTCCCTCCCCACCCAGGCTTTTTGGTTGTGGCTTCAAGGGAGGGAAGACGTGGCTCAGGTCCCGCCCTCATACCCCCTCCCTCCCAACTTACCAGGCAGTGTCCCTTCTACCCGGGCATCGTGCCCAGGAGGCGAGAAAGGGCTGGGCGCCTGAGGGGCAGGTGGGCGCGGATCCAGGGTAAGGGGTTAAGGAGGTGATGCTCCCAAGGTCCGGGGGCCCAGGCGGGGAAGTGGGGTGCGGTCGGAGGTGGGGCGTTTGGGGGTGTGCGGTGGGGAGGTGGCTGCGCGGTGGGGAGGTGGCTGCGCAGGGTGGAGGGAGTGGCCAGCGGCCCTGCCCAGATTAAGCGGGAGGCGCGCCGGGCGTCTGCACTCGGGAGGCCCCGCTTGTTCCCCGCGCCCGCGGCGGTCCGCGTTCCCCGCCTCCAGCCCGCCTCCAACTTGCGGCCGCCGGGCTTGGCTGCGAGAGCGCCGCGAAGAGGCAGCGGGGCGCGGGTGGATTGGGGCTGGAGGTGCGCGTCCCGTGGGGTGGCAAGGCGGCAGCTCCTGGCGCTGCGGGCGTCCCCACAGGTAAGGCGCCCATAGGTGGGGCAACCGCTGTCCCGGGGCCCCGGCACCTGCCTGGGAGGGGCAGTGGAGGGAGCGTGGCATTCAAGGGGTGGTGGCGGGCCCAGCTGGGGAGTTGTGGCCCGGGGGTCACCAGAGGAGAGCGCGTCTGGCTCCTGGGCTTGTCTGCCTGGGCTTTAACTGGGTGCTGTGTGTTTTGATTAATTTGGAGGCTCGAGTTACCGGCCTGGCAGTCGGGGCACTCCAAAATGCCAAGAGAAAGAGGCAGCTGAGGAGAAAGAGAAAGCCCATCTTATTCTCCGCTGAGTTGAACTGCTTTTCAGGCCAAATCTTATCTGCGGAAATGCAGGGCAAAACAAGACTCAGCTCTGGTCAGGGTGCGCTCTTCCTGGGGGTGGCCTGCGATGCAAATGTGCCAGGGCACGGTCCTCCAGCCGGCTCTCGCCGTTTCCTGTGCTACGGACCACACTGGCTCTGGTAAAGCAATTAGACTGTTTCTCAGAAGAATGTTGTGAAATGCATAAAATACAATTAAATCAGAATCAGTTTTATTGGAATGCAATTATGGAAGTCCTCAAGTCGTGATATAGTAACTAACACAGGTGCATCATCATTATTGCATTAAATAGCTTGATTTAACAGCAGGCCGATTAAGCAACAGTAATGTCAAAGTAGTGATGTCTGCAAATGGTATTTTGAGATAATAGCCCAAACTGAAATGTGACATGAAAATACCGGTGGGTGCAAATTATCAAGAACTGCCAATACTACTGTGCTCTGTTGCCTGTGCTCATAAGGGAAGGACATGTTGAACTTCTGTGACATGTTACTAAAAGTAAAGATGCAACTTATTTTCCTATGTGAGTTTCCTATACAGATCACCTGAATTCCATCCTCAGGTTAAGAATCTTTGCTTTGGAACAGTGTTGCTGATATTTGCTGCAATTGGCTTCAGACACCAAGTATGATCATGCAGTTGGTCACTGATTTTAGGGAACCACTTGCTTGCAGTTAAATTTGGGATCTATTGGTATCTTAGAACTTTGTAGCCATGCAGGTAGGCAAAACCCTAACAGTGAATGAAGACACTCCTCCCATTCTTTTTATTTTGACTATAGCATGAATCTTACAGTCTTCTTTCTGTCTTTTATGCCAGTGATTCTCAACTATCGTTGTGCATTAGAATCTTTGGGAGGATAAAACAATGTTGCTACCCAGACCATTCCAAGCCAATTTTATCAGACTCTCTAGCTGTTTTAAAATTTCCTGTACATTCCCATGCACAATCAAGTATGAGAGCTCCTGTTTTCACGAACATGTGAAAATTTCACGCACATGTTGAATTAGGATATATTCTTAGTAGAATAATAAAAAGCACATATATTAAACTCTTCATTACAACTTGGGAACACTGCGGAATTTATGACCATATCGCAGATGTTGCTGTGTGGTATGCAGTAGCTTCTTTCCATTGGTAGGGAAGGTTCTTCTGGAAACTTCTGCCACTCTTGTGGAATGAAACGGTAGGTGTTCTGTTGATGAGGTGACAGTGTCCAAGAGTTCTGAGAGTCACATGATTATGTTTCACAAACTGACAGTATTTAATTTTAAAAAGTACAAACAAAAAAATCTCAATGCTAATGTTAAATGCTTCTCTTTGCCAAATTCCAGAAGATTCCTCAATTTGAATTTTAATTGCCTTTTCCTGAAACCAAGTCATTTTGTTGGAGGACTAGACTTGGTTTTATCAATTTTGGAACAGGAAGTAATAGTCAACTGCAAGTCATTTCTGTTGCAGATACAGAGCTGGAAAGAAACTTGTGATGTAAATACAGCAAGAAAGAGGCAATGCTGGAGAGCTTGACCTCTGGAGTAGACTCTGGAGTTTTGAATCCTTTCCATACTTACTAGTGTGACCTAACCTCTCTGGGCTGGAGTCTTCCTTCTATAAAATAGACATACTCACCATACCCACCTCAGGGAGTTGTTGGAATCTAATGAGATAGCAAAAACCCTTTGTGCAGAATCTTCACACAGTAGTCACATAGTGAAATTTGATTCTTTTTTTTTTTTTGTACAAAGGAAAATAGGTGGCCCTGATGAGAAATGGTGGCACGTGGTAGAGATGCTCTTCTGAGCTCAGTACTAAAATGGCTGGAGGCAAGCATAGCCTATGAACTCCCTTGAGGTTAATACACTTCCAAGGCCTCTAGAACCTTGCCTTGGCATCCCTTGGGACCAGCAGCATTGGCCTCCCTGGGAGCTTGCTGGAAATGTAGAGTCTCTGGTCTCACTCTGGATCCACTGAATCAGATCCCACATTCACCAAGATCTCCAGGTGATTCGTATGCACCTGGTACTTAAAACTCTGAGAAGTTGCTTATCTAAAAGCCACATTTAACCACCTATTCCCCACCTGCCACATTTAGAACAATGTTTGACAGGCTCACCTGTCAAACAAACAGGTGGTGTTAATTAACTGGAAGGCTTGATTGTTAAAAAAATTGTCTTTGGGTCAAGAGAGTTGATTTTTCACAGTTGGTTCTTTAAATGTAAAACAGCAAGAGGAAAGGAGGATGGTTCTTTTCGTACATTCAAAGGACACAGAGGTCTCTATTTTTTTACTTTGATGCCATGTAGGAGTTTTAAACAAAATGAGTGGTTATTGTCTTTGACAAGTCCTATGTAATTTGTTTTCACAGTATCATGTCCGTTTTCTACACACTGTTTAAATAGTTGTGTCTGCTTCACTACATTTCAATGTAAGCCCCATTAGGGCAGGGGCCATTTTTGTGTTCTTTACTGATGTTGAATGAATGAGTGAGGCTGTTACTGTTTCCTGAATGAATTAATGAAAGCACAAATGAAGTTGAATGACTTGTCAAATTCACCCAGCATTCACACTTAGTCTGGTTTCTTCCTAAGTTCATGATCTACCTCTAGCCTTCATTGTAGAGGGACGAGCCTCTACTTTTAATGAGATACAAGATACACCTCTTATGCTGCCCACAGCTGCTTCATTAATCTTGTTTCATTTCATCTCCCCTCTTAGCCATCCTTTTCCTTTTAAGAACTTTCTCTTTTCCATACCTCTGAAACAATTAGGCTCTTGGGTGCTTTTAGAATCTGAGTGATTACCAACTCATATCATTTCTTGCCATTGCATCTCTGGACTCCTCTTCTGCTTCTCTAAGTTCGTGGCTCCTGCCTTGCACTATCATCTGTGGATTATGGTAGCTATCTAGCTAGTTTTCTGTCCTGCAGGCTTTCTACTCTGAAACTCATCTTCTATGTAATTATCAGAGTTACCAATTAAAATTGCAAATTATGCTAGCAAGGACAGGTGACTTTAGAGGCAGTTACAAACAATCCCCCCAGTCCAGAGGCTTATCATTATGGAAGTTTTCTTATCATTTCTACTACATATTCATCACGGGACATGGGGAGGTGGGAATGGGGTGGGGGTCCTCTGTTTATTGTAGCCACTCAGGGACCTCCTGGAAATTCCCTCTCAACATCTTCTCTAATCACCTCAGAAGGGGAAGAGAATGTGCTAAAGTAAAACTACCCTTCAACCTTCCTCCTAGATGTGACACAGGCTACTTCTACTCACATTTCACTGGCTAAGTGGATCACGTGATCATGCTTTATTCTGTAAGGGGCAGGGAAATGAAATCTACCACATGCCTGGAAAGAGTGGGAAACAGGTGGCAAATGTCAGTAATACTCATCACACACATCGTGCCACTTGTTTGTTTAAAAGCTTCCAGAAGTTCCCCTTTAACTTCACAACTGATTTCACATTTCTTGGAATAGAATAGTGTGGTCTCAAGTCAACATTTTTGTTTTATCTCTTGTGTCATCCCAAGCTTTTTATGATTTCTCTGGTTCACTATACAGACTTCCTCACCTCACACCTTCGTATTTACTATTGCCTCTGCCCACAGGGACCTCCTTCTTGGTCTGTCTTCTACAACTACCTGTGCTTTAAGATCTAGGTCAAGGATTAAAGAGCATGGTCCCTGTGAACACCTTTGTCCAGAACTTTATTATATAGCACAGAAATAATATGTGGTGATTTGTTGTTCTATATTACAAAGCCTTTGAGGGAATGTTCAGAGATTATTTGTTAAGTGTATTAGTCTGTTCTCATACTGCCATGAAGAATCACCTGAGACTGGGTAATTTATAAAGAAAAGAGGCTTAATTGACTCACAATTCTGCATGGCTGGGGAGGCCTCAGGAAACTTACAATCATGGTGGAAGGCACCTCTTCACAGGGCAGCAGGAGAGAGAATGAGTGCTGAGCGAAGGGGGAAGCCCCTTGTAAAACCATCAGATCTCATGAGAACTCACTCAGTATCATGAGAATAGCATGTGGGAAACCACCCCCATGATTCAATTACCTCCCACTGGGTCCCTCCCATGACATATGGGGATTATGTGATTACAATTCAAGATGAGATTTAGGTGGGGACACAAAGTCAAACCATATCATTAGGGAATCTAAAAAGTATATTTCTTGAGGTATAATCTATGTTCCATAAATTGCATCCACTTAAAGCATGGAATTAAAAAAGTTTTGCCGATGCATCCACCCTATGAAACCACCACTGCCCATCAAGCTGCAGTATTTTTCTATCACTCCCAGAAGTTTCTTTCTGCCTCTTTGCTATCCATCCCTCTTTCCAAACCCCATCCTCAGACCACTACTGATCTGCTTTCTGTCACTGTAGACTTCATTTTAGTTGGCATTTTCTAGAATTTTGTGTTGACGGAATTATACCGTGTATACTATCTTACATCTGGCTTCTCTGACTCTGCATAGCAATATTCAGATTCATCCATGTTGTGTAGATTAGGAGTTTGTTATTTTCTATTGCTGAGTAGTAGTCCATTGTGTGGAGATCACACTTTGAAAAAAAGTCCATTTACCTATTTTTGGGAATTTGGATTGTTTCCAGTTTGGGGCTACTACAAATCAAGCTACTATGAATATTTTTCTACAAGTCTTTTTGTGGGCATGCATTTTCATTTCTCTTAAGTAAATACCTAGGAATGAAATGGTTAGGTCATATGGTAGATGTACATTTAATTATAAAAGAAATAGTTTTCCAAAGTGGTTTTATTCTACCTTCTCAATGCAAGGTAGAATACCATGCATAGGAGTTCCAGTTGCTCCATATATTTATTTTGCTGTTAATTTTTTAATTTTAGCCATCCTAATGTTTATACAGAAGTATCCCAGAGTGGTTTGCATTTCTCCAATAACTAACGATGTTGAATATCTTTTAATGTACTTATTGAACATTCATGTAGCTTCTTTTGTGAAGTGCCTATTCAAATCTTTTTTCCGCTTAAAATTTGGCTTTTTATCTTCTTATTGTTGAATAGTAAGAGTTATTTATATATTGTGGATACAAGATCAATGTTAGATACAAGTATTGTGAGTATTTTCTCCCATTCTGAGAATTGTCTTTTCATTTTCTTATTATTTTTAAGAAGCAAAAGTTTTTATTTTGATGGAATATAATTTATAATTTTTTTCTTTTGTGATTTGTGCTTTTCTTGTTACCTGAGAACTCTATACCTATGCCAAAATTGCAGAAATTTTCTCCTATGTTTTCTTCTTGTGTAGTATTGTTACTTTTACCTCAATGATCTCTTTTAAGTTAATTTCTGGGTATGGTATGAGATAAGGATTCATTAAATTTTTTTTCCATGTGAATATCCACTTGTTGTGGCACCAGTTGTTGAAAAGACTTTTTCCCCCACTAAATTGCCATGATTGCCATGGCACCTTTGTGAAAAATCAATTGATCATCATGTTTGAGTCTTTTGGTTCCATTTATCTACATGTCTATTCATTTACCATCATTCTTATGACTAGTTTTTTAGCAAGACTAGTGTAAGTCCTTCAACTTTGTTGCTTTTTATAAAAATTGCTTAGGCTATTCTAGGTCATTTGCATTTACATATATATGGATTTTATTTGTTAATATTATGTTAAGGAGAGTCATGTTTATATTCACAAGATATATTGTTCTGTAGTTTTCCTGTAATATCTTTGTCAGTTTTGGTATCTGAATAATGCTAGCCTCATAAAATAAGTTGGCCAGCACTCTCTTTTTTTCTATATTCAGAAAGAGGATATAAAAAAACTGGTATTATTTTTTCATTAAATGTTTGATAGAATTCACTAGTAAAGCCACCTAGCCCTGAAGTTTTCTTTGGGGAAGGTTTTTACTTACAAAATTCATTAATTATAAATTTAATTGCTATAGGGCCATTTAAATTTTCTATTGTTTCTTATGTCAGTTTTGATAATTGATGTCTTTCACAAAATTATTTATTTCCTCTACATTGTTAAATTTATTGACATATAATTATAAGAAGATTCTCTAATTATCTTTTTAATCCCCTTTGTCATTTAATACTGTCATATTGTCATTTTTAATATTCCCAAGTTTTCAGGTTTATCAGTTGTATACAGAACCAACTACTAATGTTGGGTTTCATTGATTTTTCTCTACTGTTTGAATGCTTTCTCCTTGGTTAATTTCCTCTTTAATATTTATTATTTTCTTCATTTTGCTTCAGGTTTAATTTGTTCTTTTCCTAGTTTTCTAAGATAGAAGCTTAGGTAATTGATTCTTGATTTTTTTCTTTTCTAATAGGAAATTTTATACCTAGAAGATCCTTTTCTGCACTGGGTTAGTTGCATCCTATAAATTTTGATATGTTGTGTTTTTATTATCATTCAGCTCAAAACATTTTCTGATTTCTTCCTTGACTCATGGGTTATTTGGAAGTGTGCTGTTTAATTTCCAAATATTTGGGACTTTCCTAGATGGCTTACCATTGAATTCTAGTGTAATTATCTGCAAGATTTCAGTCTTTTGAAATGTGTTGAAACTTGTTTTATGATCCAGCATATGATCTATTTTGGTGGATATGCCATGTCCATTTGAAAAGAATATATACTATTATGGCTTGGTATAGTGTCCTAGTATATATTAAATTAAGTAAAGATGGTTGATAGTGTTGTTCAGATCTTCTGTGTCTTAACTGGTATTATACTTTGTTCTATCAATAACCAAGAGAAGATTATTAATTCCCAATTATATTTTAGGATTTGTCTATTTTTTCCTTCAATTTTGCAGTTTTTCCTTCATCTAATTTGAAGTTCTGTTGTTAAGCACATATATTAATATTTATAGCTTCCTGCAATATTAATTTTTAAATCATTATCAAGGGTCACTGCCTATCCTGAAGTCTTTTTTATGTGCTGTTAATATATCCATTATAGGTTTCCTATGCTGACTGTTTGTGTGGTATATCTTTTTCCAGTCTTTTATTCTCAGAGTGAATTTATGCTGACTGTGATTCTACCTAGAATTGTCCTTCTGTATATCTCCTTCTAACTAACTGAAAAATTTATCCCTTGTAATTTTTCTCTCCTGATGTTTAAAAGATACTTTATAAGGTACTGTCATAGCTTATTCCTATTTTTTTTTTCCATTTCCCGAGATCTTCCTTCCTTCCTAAATCAAGTCTTATCTGCTTCCTGGGGTCTGCCTGGTGTGCCCTGGTTTTCACTTTTTTTTTTTTTTTAGACGGGGTTTCACTGTGTCACCTAGGTTGGCTGCAGTGGCCTGATCTCCACTCACGCAACCTCTGCCTCCTAGGCTCAAGTGATTCTTCCACCTCAGCCTCCCACGTAGCTGAGAATACAGGCACGTGCAACCCAGCTGGCTAAATTTTTTGTTTTTTTGTAGAGATGTGGTTTCATCATGTTGCCCAGGCTGGTCTCAAACTCCTGGGCTCAAGTGATCCATCCACCCTGGCACCCCAAAGTGCTGGGATTGCAGGTGTGAGCCACCACACCCGGCCGGGTTTTTATGTTTATTGCTTTTTCCCAATGTATTGTGAGCTCTTTTTTTTTTCCTCCATGGCAGATTAGAAAGGAAGGAAAGAAACATTTATTGAGCTGCTCCTACATGCCAGGCATTGCGGTAGGCACCAAGTCCTACTCATTTAAGTCTGTTAGGTATTAATTTACACACTGAGAAATGAAGTGTTCACAGGGGCTACAAACTTGCTAAGGATTACATGGCGAAGTGTAATTTTTAGTTGCATAATTAATTAATTACTTATATGATGGGAGTCATCAAGATCTGAACACAAATCTTCTTAACTTCAAAGCTCTACTTTTATTCAGTAACCATGAGCACAGAGATAGCAATGGAGGGAGGCAGATGGTTTCCATGTAGGGGCAGTGGCAGCAGAGGTGAGAAGTCATCGAAGGCAAATGCTAGCCTCACATTGTATTTGGGAGTGGACCCTGCCTAGTGGAATTGTTGAGTATTACCGCTGGAGTTCACGCCCAAGGCAATTCCAGGAGGTCTGAAAGGTCCAGAGAATTCAGATAGAGTCTCCAGCCCTACTTATGGGGAAAATCATAAAGCAAAACAAATGTGGGGGATTAGTGGTTTTGGCAAGAGACTTGACAATACTCTGAATCAAGATGTCATTCTTAACTTGGAGGCAAAGGGCTCCTCTGATTTGGAAAGTCAGTTGTATAATTTTGGAACATGTATTACCTTCTTGTGGTTCCGAGAAGTGACATTATTATGGTTGCTGTCAAATTTTCTGTTGATATTGGGAGGAGACCTCAAGGGGAAAATGATAATAAAAGCCTATATTGCCAGATGGTGGGTGAACTGAGATCTGGTCCAATTGCACTAACAAACTCAACTCCAGTGTCAACTGAGGACTCTGCAGCAGTCTCAAACAGTTCAGCTGAATCTGGAGGGAAGGAAAGGTGGGGGTGGGCTTGGCCATAGTCCAGCACATTCTGATCAAGTTGGAACTCCGAGTCATTCTCAAGAATTTAGTTGAGTAATTGTCCAGTTTTCCTTGCTGCTTCTCAGAAAACATGAAGCTCCATCCACATTCCGGTGGTCCATGGACCACATAGACTCATGACCCACTTTGAAAACCTTGGGATGTGGGATGAGAGTGACTGTTTTGCTAAAGAGCTCAAACCAACCTAAATTCTTTGAAAGTCTGAAGGTAGGGTCAACCCCAAAAGGTGGGATTTTAGAAAGAGCAAAACCAAGTAACCAGCTTGTATGTTGGGAAATGGTTAGGTTGACTCTGAACAGAAAAAAATGTAGCCCTCCAAAGGAGGTGTCCAGGTAGATGGATGTGAATAAGACATGTCATTCTTTTTCTGGGAACACTTTCATGACCTCTGAGATCCTCTGCTTATTTCTCTACAAAAGCTGAATATTCGAGAATTCTGTTTTAGAAAGAGAAATGTATATAGAAACAGGTGTTCAAGCAATCACAAAAATTATTTTGGAAAGAGAGTATTCAGATGGCTCAGTGTCGAAAGGCCAAAAAGGAAAATATGTGCAGTCAGTGAGTTAGTAGTAAATTATTTTACTGAACCAATAAAAAATTATCATTAAACAGAAATCAAAGATTTAATGTTACTTTGGAAGAGGAGAAAACATTTTTAGGCTTCTGTTACCTTTCTGTGACTGGAAGCATCCAATACTCAGTGTTCTGTTTATCTGGTCCCCCAATCTTAGACATTTCTCCTCCCCCATTCGATGAGAACCCCAGCAGGGTGTATTTGTTTTCAAGATTGGGTTGCTGAGAAAATAAATTCCCTGTGGTAGAGATAATGATTTGGAAGATCTCAGATCTTGTTCCCAAACCTGTCATTTGGAAAGCATTGGGCAGAGACTCATAAGAAGTCCCAGGGGAATTGGAGTCCAGGAATTTTCATAAAGGAGTGAAGGGGGGAGAAAAAAGCCTCACGGAATTAGAGGAGGATAACAAAATGGTATTTGCTGAATGTACATGCTGGAAATTACTGCCGCTGGGAAAGAGGTTGTGGATCTTACTTGGGTTGGTGAGCAAGGTGGACTTCAAAGGCCCAGGGTGCTTATGTTCCATTTCCCTCTTGGAAGAGAGGAGGAGGAGGAAGTGAGCTGCTTCTTGTGGTGGTGGAGCTTTGGACCCAGCTGTGAAGGGTGGGGCCATGCCTTCTGTCCAACTGGGCTGCAGAGGTCAGTTTGCTCAAGTAAATTGACGTAAGACTTTATGTCAGGAATGGGGCAGCTCTCAGGAGTAAGCTGATCATTTATCCTTTCATGAAACCATCTGTCCTTCTCTTTTTGCATTTTCCTCTTTTGAAACAGGTTTTCATGCTTACTCAGTGTGTCCATTTTCTCTATATTCAGTTTTGCCCTTCACTTTGGCCTGCCTCAGCCATCTAATGTCCAATTCTACGGTCAGGGTATCTCCTGATGCATTTTTCTTTCTTCATCTCTCTCTTTCTCTCCTGTCTCGGTTTCCTAATTTCAACTCTCCTAGAGGAGTGATCCACATTCTGTCTGTACTATCCTCATCCCAGAGTCAGTTCTCTGTCACTCAGCCAAGTTCTGGGTTGGGCTGCTTTGGGTCAGTGGCTTATCTCGAGCCTTTCCGTGTGGCTGGGGAGACAAAATCAGGTGATAGAAAACCTGGTCATGCTTCCACATAGCTGAGCTGAAGGTGGGGCTCTGACACAACTGTAGAGAATGCTCCCTTCTTGAGAATAACAGTTAGCAAAATAATGCCCTTTAAAAGGCACAGCACCTCTGCAGAAGTTTCCTGTAGAGGGAATCTTCTAAAACTGTTGTCTGCAATGTTAGTGCTATAACACTTTGGCTTGTTGCTGTTATGATATGGTTTGGCTGTGTCTCCACCCAAACCTCATTTTAAATTGTAGCTCCCATAATTCCCAAGTCTCCTGAGAGGGACCCAGTGGGAGATAATTGAATCAATGGGGGTGATTTGCCCCATACTGTTCTTGTGGTGGTGAATAAGTCTCATGAGATCTGGTGATTTTATAAGGGATTTTCCTTTTCGCTTGGCTCTCATTCTCTCTTGCCTGCCACCATGTAAGATATAACTTTGCTCCTCATTCACCTTCCATCATGATTGTGAGGCCTCCCTAGCCATGTGGAACTGTGAGTCAATTAACCCCTTTCCTTTACAAATTACCCAGTCTCAGGTGTGTATTTATTAGCAGTGTGAGAACAGACTAAATACAAGTAATTTTTTTTGGTGATAGTGATAGACTCGAACAGAAACACACTGCTTCGTCTATTCCCACATGATGACACCTATTCATTCGTGGGAAGGTAGATGAGTGGAATGCTCTTCTGAGTGATGGGGTATTTTTGTTTGGTGCAGTCAAAAGCTTTGTTGAAACAAAATATTTTGTGCTCTTAACACAGGTGGTTGCAACAAAGAAAACCCTCTTAGATTGTTGCAGACAACATGTGGCTGCACTTTGCGAACTGCAAAGCGCCAGGCACACTGCTGTTTACAGTGTCAGGCCAACAGCAAGATGGAGGCTCTGCTCAGCTGTGATCTAGCAGTTGCATCTTAGGCAGGAGAACAGTCATAAAAGTCTCTGCAACTCTTTTGTGGCTTGTTTTAAGGCCTGCTTCTGGTGAAACAGTGAAAAGGGCAGTTTTTAACCTTTAGCAGCTCATTCAAGACAGAGATCTTCAAACTGAAGCACATGGACCCTTGGGAGACAAAAAGATTCTCAGGAGTTATGCAAGCAACTTGGAAAATTCACTAAAGGATTCCATTTCCAGATTCTCAATTGTCATGTATATCCTTTTGTAGAATTGCTCTATCCAAAAATGGGTGTTTCTTCCAAGTTTTCACTTCCTCTTTCACAATTGCCCTGCTTTTCAAAAGAAAGGCAACCCCTCAACCACCAATTTTTCCCAAATATTACCACCCTGCTTTGTCCCAGGGTGTAAGAACTGTCTGGGGGCTGAATGAGGGCCAGTGCATTGGCTGGTGTCAAGAACAGGAACCTGCCAGCTCCACAACTCCTGGGTCAGGGAGTTTCCAACTTTTTGTTTTCATCATAATGGAGGGAGGACTTGTCAGCCTGGAAATCATTCAAATTAATTCTAGATGATAAATTAGTATCTCACTCTTGGTATATATGTTAGTTCATTCAGGCTGCTACAACAAAATACCTAAGACTGGGTGATTTATGAACAACAGAGGTTTATTGCTCACAGTGCTGGAGGCTGGGAAGTGCAATGCCAAGGCACCAGCAGATTCAGTGTCTGGTGCAGGCTGCTTTCTGCTTTACAGATGGTGCCTTCTTGCTGCATCCTCACATGGTGGAAGGAAGGGGCAAACAAGCTCTTTCAGGTCTCTTCTGTAAGGGCACTCACCTCATTCTGGAGGGCTCAATCCTCATGACCTAATTGCGTCCCAGATGCCTCACCTCTTAATACCAACACATTGGGGGTTAAGTTGCAACCTACGAATTGGAGGTGCAGGACACAAACATTCAGACCATGGCAGTTTACTACTCAAGAGAAGTTAAAAGAATTGAGTGATATTTGTGTAGCACATTTTTTTCATTCACAACTTCTTGTTTATGTTGAATAAATTTTATTAGTACCTACAGTTTTGGAAACTAAAATGGAATAGGATTGTTGCTGAACCTGTCTCATTTCAGTAGAAAGGATCGTTGATCTTGAGCTACATAAGCTGATACGAAATAAAAAGGCCCAATTCATTCACTAACAACTATATTTCCCACAAAATTTTACTTTTGATATTCAATAATTGTTTATCAAGATTAAAATTTATGTTTTTGATGAATTATATACTACTAATAATTATAATGAAAGCCAATTTTGGAAAAAATTTTAAGAATTAGAGACATAATCATAAGTATTTTGTTGCAGAGAAATATAATAATGTGATCAATATATTTTCAAGTATGGAAATACATTGCATTAGGATATATGTGGGGGAATGGAATGGAAATATGAATTTAAAAAATAGCAATGTAAAATTCCTGTTAAAGAGCTTGTGTGCATTTATTTTAAGCTGATGCTGGTAAAAATCAGACTGCTGTGACATTATGATTTATTGGATGCATCTAAAATAATGCTGTAGTAGTTTTATTTTAAAGGTCATCATTTATAATACTCCAGAAATTATATTCTTTGTAGCTATTAAAAGAGAAGATGAAAGTTTTAAGATGTTAAAAAAAAAAAAAGGAGGGCTGATATGGTTTGGCTCTGTGTCCCCACCCAAATCTCACCTTGAATTGTAATAATCTCCACATGTCAAGGGTGGGACCAGGTGGAGATAATTGAATCATGGAGGTGGTTTCCCCTATGCCGTTCTTGTGACAGTGAGTGAGTTCTCAGGAGATTTGATGGTTATATAAGGGGCTTCCCCCTTTGCTCAGTACTCCTTCTGTCTCCTGCTGCCCTGTGAAGAGGTGCCTTCTGCTATGAGTGTAAATTTCCTGAGGCCTCCCCAACCATGCGGAAATGCAAATCAATTAATCTCCTCTTTTCTTTATAAATTACCCAGTCTCAGGTATTTCTTCTTAGCAGCTTGAGAATGGACTAATACAAAAGTGTATAGTTAAAAAATTTTTATTATAAGATAATTCTTATAATAAGAGAATTCTTAGTAGAAGAGCAGAGAAGTCCAAAGGTAGCTAAGCTGGAGTGTCACTAGGGAGAAGGGACACACACTGGAGTCAACAAACTGGTTCTGCCACTTACTAGCCTTGTGACTTTGCATAATTACTTAAATTGATTCACTTTTTTTCCTGCACAATGAAAATATTAATTTCCTTACTAAATCATGGTAAGAATTAAGTGACTTGATATCCTACATGTGATCAAAGTGTCAGTTTCTCTCCACTTTTCCCAAGGCCAGTTATCCCTCATTCTTCCTTCTTCCACGCCCTCACTTATAGTCAAAGTTAGTCTCCTTTCATATCCCCTATTAAATATACTTGATTTACATTCAAAAGATCCCAAAGTATCTTCTATATGTTCATTTACCCAACCAATATATATTGAGAACTTAATACATTCCAGGCACTACGATGGTACTGGGGATACATCTGTGAATAAAAAAAGACAAAATCGCTATTGTCATAGAGATTATATGGTAACCAAGGACATGTGATGAGAATGCATTGGCTACTCCCAGTGTCCTTTCATGGTTTTGGCTAGTGAGAGACCAGTTATGTTTCTGCAAATTGGCCCATCCATCCGTCTGTCTGTCTGTCCATTCATCCATCCATCCATCCAATTAAAATGTACTGAGAAACTCCCAGGTGTTAGGACCATAATCAGGCCTTCCCTCTCTGGAACGTGACCACAACAACACTCTATTTTAATAAAATTCTCCTCTGTACAACCTTTATCACAATACATGTGAATTTTATTTGTATCATATATTTTGGGATCAAAATGTAAATACCTCTTGTTTTTCTTTAATTTTTGACTGTTTCCTATTTATTAAAAAATATCAAATGCTGTTTAAGTATTCAAAAAATTTGCGTTTTCCTTCCAAAACAAGAATTTGTTTTTATTGAGATGTGCTTTAGACAAGCTTGTCCAACCTGCCTTATTTTGTTGTTGTTCTATTTTGTTTTGTTTTAGGCTTTTAGCAGCCTGAAACCATGATTTTTAGTTTCTTTCTCTAGTGATAAGCAGAAAAGAGAGATGAGGAAGGGGCTTTACTGGCCCAACCAGAAACAGAAACTAGGGACCTATGACTGAATTCTCTCCCTTAGGCACCCCTGAGTTTATAACTAAAACAAATTTAAAATTATGGATTTAGGGATAGGAAAAGATCTGGGTGTTCAAAGTGATTCAGTTTCTGCTTGATATTGAAACTTTATTGTAGAATGTTGTTCTACCACTTACTTGGGAAACAAGTCTTCCATACATACAGCATTGAATTAATTTGCTCAGCTTTTACCTAGAAGTTTAAAAATAGGTAATGGCCAGGTGCAGTGGCTCACGCCTGTAATCTCAGCACTTTGGGAGGCTGAGGCAGGCTGATCACCTGAGGTCAGGAGTTCAAGACCAGCCTGGCCAACATGGCTTAACCCCATCTCTACTAAAAATAAAAAATAAATAAATAAATAAAAAATTAGCCGGGTGTGGTGGCACACTAACTACTCAGGAGGCTGAGGCAGAAGAATCGCTTGAACCCAGGAGGCAGAGGCAGCAGTGAGCCAAGATCGCGCCATTGCACTCCAGCCTGGGCCATAAGAGCAAAACCCCGTCTCAGAAAAAAAAAAAAAAAAGTTGGTAACATTGAACATTCCCGGTTTCCTTCTCTCTACCTAATTCTCATAGAGACAGGTCTTTTAAAGAAGCCAAAGTTTTTTAAATGATACATTTCAATTATTTGAGCCAAATATATCTTTTATCAAAGTAAAGACTTCTTCGAGTCAAGTTTTAAAATATTTTTTCTATTTTATATTGATAAAATTAAATTTTATCTCAATAAAAATATAATTCACAAGATGAAATAAAATTCAGCATTTTAACTTTTTTAAAGTTTACTATTCAGAGGTTTTTAGTATATTCATAATGTTGTGCAGCCATAACCACTGCAATTACATCATCCCAGAAAGAAACTCAATTCTTTCCTCTCCCAAACCCTGACAACTATTAATCAATTGCCTATCTATCTGTATGGATTTCCTATTCTGGACTTTTTATATACATAGAATCATAAAATATGTGGCTTCTTTCACTTGGCACAATGTTGTCGAGATTCATTCATGCTGTAGCACATATCAGCACTTCATTCCTTTTCATGGCTGAATAATACTCCATTGTATGGATATACCATATTTTCCTTATTCATTCACCCACTGATGGACATGCGGGTTGTGTTCACCTTCTGGCTGTTATGAATATGCTTCCATGAATATTCATGTGCAAGTTTATGTGTGAACATGTGTTTTCAATTATTTTGGGCATATACCCAGGAGTAGAATTGCTAGATCATATAGTAACTCTATGTTTAACTTTTTGAGGAACTGCCAAAATATTTTTCACAGAGGTTGTATCATTTTACATAAAAATACTTTTATATGTATTTGCTGTATGTGTACAAATATACAAAAATGTATGTTTGTATACTAGAAGTTTCCTTTTCTAGTTTCATAAAGTAAAAGAAGCATTTGAGTGAATTTTAACTTGGATGTTCAAGGGAAAAAATTAAACAGAAGAAAATTCCACATAGCAAAATGAAGCAATTATTTATACATATATAAAAATATATTTTATATTTAAAAATATATATTTTAAAAATATAATATATACACATAATTTTTCCATTTATCAAAAATATATTCATGATATAGAAAGGGTTTGAAGATTTTTTATTTCTGAAGATAAAAACTGATATTTATTCAGTTTCACCATCACTAAGGAAAGATTGTTGAAGTTACCCTTTAGAAAATATTTCCATAACGATAAAAAATGAAAGTAATTATTTTCAACATTATAATGCATGCTGTGTTTTAAGTGATATATTTATATCTAACAGGAACAGACTTTGACCCAGAACACAGAACCTCACTTGTCAACAAGAACCTTCTGGAAGAGAAGACTGGCAGAATATTTTTTAAGTACTAAGACTTGCCTGCGATGTGGTCTCTGCACATAGTACTAATGAGGTGCTCCTTCAGATTGACCAAGTCCTTGGCCACAGGTCCCTGGTGAGTATCCTCAGTGTGATTGCCTGCTTTTATTTAGTAATTTCTACTCAATGTTTGTTCTATGGATGTAAACCGTCTGAATGCTTAATATGTCAAAAAGCCAAATCATTCCAGAAAGCTAAGGGTATGTCTGCCATTTCATGACTCATTTTTATTATTGAACACCAACCCTCTCAATTTTCCCTGAAATGCATCCACAAAATCACCAAATGGGAAGTTGCACAAGGAAAGGCCCCAGATTCTTGCTCGCTTACTCACTAGGTTTGAATAGCAAAAGACATATGCCCAAAGTTTCAGGGTCCCTATAACTAGAAGAGTTAGGACAGACTACTTCACAAGTACAGATTAATAACACCCCCAGCCCTCCACAGATGTCCACGTCTTAATCTCTGGAATCTGTGAATATGTTATGTCACATGGCAAGATGGCAAGGGGTAATTAAAGCTACGGATAGAATTATGGTTCCTAATCAGCTGACATTGAGATAGAGGAGTTGACCTGAGCTTGACTATCTGGATGGGCCCAATATAATGACAAGCATCCTTGGAAGTGAAGGAGAGAAGCAGGAGAGCAGTCGGAGAAGGAGCTTTGACTACAAAAACAGAGGCCAGCGGGATGCAGCAAGAGAGACGCAACTGGCCACTGCTGGCTCTGAAGGTTGAGGGGGACCAGGAGCCAAGGAATGTGGGCAGCCTCTAGAATCTGGAGAAGGCAAGGAATCAGATTCTCCCCGGGGACCTCCAGAAGGAATACAGCTCTGCCAACACCTTGGTTCTTGGCAGTCAGACCCATTTCAGACTTCTGACCTCCAGAACCATAAGATAATATATATGCATTGTTTTAAGCCTCTGAGTGTGTGGTAACGTGTGACAGCAGCAATAGGAAAACAGGAAACCAATATGAGATTGTTCAACGAGACTCAAAATGACATTGGGAGTTAACACAGGGAAATGTTAAACAGTGAAAAAATACAAAAAGTTCTGAGGATAATGAACAAGAAATTACGGGGAGTGAAAGAAGTGAAGGTGGTGGGAAGGAATATGGTCCAGTCTTAACTGATTTGGGGTGGACGTGGAAGAAATGGAAAGGAATCTTAATTGTGGATTTTTTTTTAAAGAAAAAAAAAAAAGGAATGATCTTACTTTTTAATATCTACAGTGGCAGAAAGAACAAGTCCAGTGCAGTATAAAGGGACTATGAAGGAGCTTCGGACCTGACCCGAGCTGGCCCCCTCGGGGCCATTCTGTCTGCACTCTTTGGAGCATATTGTCCAACTTTTCTAAGTCTGTTTGCTCTTCTATAAAAGGTTTAAGAAACATGCTGTGCCTACAATCCTTGATGAGATTATATAGAGAAAAGCGACAATTGCTATAAAATGCAACATATCCTATTTAAAAATGTCCAGTGATAATAACTCATTTAACAAGCAAGAGTTGTAAATACACATTCAACCTGATTTAAAGCAGTTGATTCCCGGTGTTTAACACCTCCTTTATATTTTTCTCTTTATTTATTTGGTTACTACAATGAAAAGCCAACCTGGCTTGTGTTGGAATTATCATGAAAACAGCTGAGGAGAGAGGAAATTTAGTGTGGGAGCCATTAAGTATGGGCTGGACCCAGTTACTCGTCTCCCAGATCCACAGCCCTGTAAACATCTGTAGTGTCTGTCGGCATCTCAGCAAAAGAGGAAGAAGTAGAGGGTGGAGAACAAAGGCTCACTTAGGACATGAGGTTTTAGAGAGGAGAAGGCTCTACAGAGAACAAAAGAACAAGGATGGCAGATAAATCACAGCCCAGAACTGAGCCCCAGTTCTCCTACCATCCTTTGGAATGGTGTGACCCGAAGTTCTAACCACAGCTGTTTTAAGCGTTAAATAAGATGATGGATCCAGAAGCTGTTTGACAAATATAAGGTCTAGAAAATATATGCAGATGTTTAATGGGTGTTTTGTTTTGTTGTTTTGAGACAGAACCTCACTCTGTTACCCAGGCTGGAGCGCAGTGGCACGATCTCGGCTCACTGCAATCTCTGCCTTCCGGGTTCAAGTGATTCTCTTATCTCAGCCTCCGGAGTAGCTGGGGTTACAGGCATGCACCACCATGCCCAGCTAATTTTTGTATTTTAGTAGAGATGGGGTTTCGTCATGCTGGCCAGGCTGGTCTTAAACTCCTGACTTCAGGTGATCCGCCCACCTCGGCCTCCTAAAGTTCTGGGATTACAAGCCTGAGCCACCGCACTTGGCCTTTTAGTGGTCTTTTAAAATTGCATATGTCCTCTGTTAAAATTTGTTTGTAATAATGAAGTTACCCCAGTTGGATTTCTGCCTCACTTATAAGGCCCTGGACTACATAACTTTTCCCTAAATATTCCATATTATTTCCTTTTTTCTCCAAACCATCCTCCCAGTCCAGTTAGGTTTCCTTCCACCTTCCCTCCTTCTAGTTGCTTCCACTAAATGGCATTATGGGATACACTGGTCTCAGCAATGTGCATGTCTGAACAAAGCTGCCTCCTTCCTTCTCTCCTGCAGTTTTCATTCTGAGAATCATCTTCTTTCACTCATCTGTCCCTCCAGGTCTCACTTTCAGAGGGTCCTCACGGTCCCCAGCACAATGAGGACCACACAAGGGGTTCAACACACACTTCTTGGCTGATTAAAAAGAGGAAAGGCAATGATGGCAGCCAGAGAGAGGAAAGCATGGATCTTGTCACTGATGACAAGTCGGCTAGTAGGAGCAGCCTCATAGAAATAAAAAGTAGCTTTCTGGAATTAATTCCTTTACTCTTTTTCTTTTTGTTTCACATGAAAAGAAACTGTTTAAATTAATCTGCGTTTTTGTTTTTCTGTAGGTCACTTATACTCATTCTCTTTTCTGTACAATATGTATATGGGGTAAGTACATTCACTAGCTCTGGTTGCGTTGTGAAAATTCACTTTATAGAATGCATAATTTTTGTTATACTTTCAAAGAAATCACCCTCTGGGACTCAATTTTCTTACCTGTAAAATGGAGAATAGGACTAAATAAACTCTAAGATTTCTTTTATATTGTATAGTCAAGACTGCTTTCTGAATTGCCTAGGTATTGGGGATTTCTTTATTTTAATACAAACATAACCCTTTCTTTAAAAGTTTTTTTTTGGAGACAGGCAAGAGGCAGCTGGGCCATTTCAAGATTAAATCAAGAAATACAAGAATAATTTGAACATTTTAGCTCAGAAGAAAAATAAGCCCAGAACATTCTGTAATAAGCTATCTTTCTTCTGCTTCCTCACTGAAGAATCCCAGTCATTAAACTCACCCTCAGACGTGTCTGGGAAATCCCATTGTGGCCTGCCTGCAACTCAGGTTGATCTTGAGACAACTGACTTGGTTTAAATCACTCTAGTGAACATAACCCTATCTGTTCATACTCTCCACCTTGGATTCACCCAATGCAATTTCAGTGAATCAAGTTATTGTAGGTTTTTTCAAAGCAAATCAAAGTGCAAAATTACCTTCTGTTCTCCTTTTCCTACAAGTTGGGAGCAGAAAACACCTGGGTCAAAGAATGAGGAGCCAGTGGTTCTTGGCTCTGCCAAAGATTCATTTCTTAACTTATATAAGACTCAGTTATCTCCTGTATTGAGTAGGGATGATAAGACTTGCCCGACTTTGTTGACATGCATTTGAGAGTATCACCTGAAATAATGAGTGGAAACAATACTATGATATATACATGTGTATTTTTTCTATTTCTCTTACCTGATTTTTAAAAGTTTATTTTTGTGTTATATTCTTTTTCCTGTTATAAAAGTCTGCAGAGTCCTAGATTTTACTTTTTTTAAAATATTGCATACAAGTAAACATAATTTCTGAATCAAAGATTTTTCTATCCCAGGACTTCTACCAGCTTGTGGTGTGCAGAGAGTCTAGAGATTTCACACAGGGAGTGGCCATATTATCATTGGGTTTTAAAGGTAGCAATACAAATCGATGCGATGTCTGTGGGAAGCGATTTGGTATTACCCATCCGGATTTTGAATGCACGTACCTATTGACACAGGAATGTGTCTTTTTGGAATTTGTCATACGTGTTTATTCTGATTCATGCATACAGATAAATATGCCCAAGAGTACTAATTTCAGGGTAGTGTTCAGTATAGACAGAAGGGAGCTCCCTAAATTTCCTTCAACAACAACTGGTTAAACAAAGTATGGTATGTGGTCTGATGGATAGGCATATGTATTACTTTGGAATGATTTTGAAGACTTTCAATTATGTGAAAACAGCAAAATATAGAGCAATCCACCATTTGGATAAAAATAAAACAAGTCCAAATCACCAAAAGTGTGTTTGTACACATCTGTGCCTGTGTGCCCATGTGCTCATCTGCCTCTGTGTGTGCGTGTGTGTGTGTGTGTGTGAATGAGGTCATTGTATGAATATGCTTATTAATGCCCAAACACCTATTTGAAAAAAATTATCCTGTATAGGAGGGAACTTGGGGCCAGTGTTGAAAGAGGACATTTGTTTTCCTGTTACACTCTTTGGCACCATTTGAATTTTTAAAATTATGTGTCTATATTATTTGTTTTTCAAAAAAGAAGATGGAATTACAAGTATAAGACATTAATAACTTCTTTGTTTGAACTTTTTTTTTTTTTTTTGTGAGACAGGGTCTCACTGTGTCACCCAAGCTGGAGTGCAGTGGTACGATCTCAGCTCACTGCCACCTCTGCCTCCCAGTTCAAGTGATTCTCCCACCTCAGCCTCCTGAGTAGCTGGGATTCCAGGCATGTGCCATCACATCTGGCTAATTTTTTTGTTATTTTTAGTAGAGACGGGGTTTCACCATGTTGGCCAGGCTGGTCTTGAACTCCTGGCTTCAAGTGATCTGCCAGCCTTGCCCTCCCAAAGTGCTGGGATTACAGGAATGAGCCACCGCAGCCAGCCTTTGAACTTTTCTATGTGACAAATATATGTTTAACAATATCTGAGATAAGGCAGATAGTGACTTTTCCTTTTTTCTCTTTGAAGAAGAGTAACATTAGTTTCCGAGAGCGTGAATGTATTCCCAGTGAATGTCGTTCGTACTTTGAATGTTTAATTGTCTGAAATATTGTGTTTATCTTTTAAAATGAATTTATACAATCTATTTTTGAGGTGCAGACCTCTATAATTTCACCCTCCTCTTTTAAATATTTATTGGGGAATGTTTACGTAGAATAACTTTGCAGAGGCTAAAATCACCTCTTGCTTTTTCCTTTTACTGATCCAAGTCAAACCTTGATATGTGACTATTCCTGTTTTTTTTTTTTTTTTTTTTTGAATCTACTAATCTATTTTAAAGTGATTCTTTCCTGAAACATAGTTTTGCTGCAAACATCTCAGTGATGTTTGGCAAAAATAAGCAAAGAAATAATAATAACAAACTTGCCCTTATTATCAAGCCATCTAATCAGCTGACCTTATTTTTTTTCCTCTAGTTGTTTTGATATTTCAGCGAACACATAGTAATGAAGCCCAACCTTAAATGAACCCAAGTATTCAATCTAGTTACTTTAAGTGCTTTCATGCTGTCCCGACCTGGGCCCGGGCATTTAATTTTTTTTTTAACCTTATCAGGGTGTTTAACTTAATATTTCTGCATTTATAGATAACAACATTACTCAAAACTCAAGAGGCATATATTTCTGAAACTTCAAATACATTTTTAAACTTAAACTATCTAATCGCTTGACTCTCGTCAAGCTTCAAATTCTTGTATGCTTTTAATGATCCATGAGAATATTGTTTACAAAGATGTCTTTTTAAAATTAATGCTTAAAGATATTTTCTTTTGGATTGTGTCTGAGCATATTTTTCTCCAAAAAATAAGCCTAAACTGTGCGAGTGAAAAGAAAAATAATATATGCTGATTAGACTCTTTTCCCTCCCATACACATATACCTGTTCATATATATGTATACGTACATGAATATTCACATATACACATATATATTCAATGCATTCACACATACATATGTATATATGTCTTCCATGGGACTATAAATATTAGTTTTATTGTTTTATGTTTTCCCATCATACAGTGGTCTAAAGGCTTGAGTTTACAGCCTTAAGTTTAAAAAGGTTGATCAATCATAAAATTGTATGGCCAATGTATAAATGTTGCAATGACAGCTAGGCCAGATCATGAGCCAGGCAAACCTTTTCTCTGATGCTTTCTTGATATTCTTATCCATGCCCTTGGGTCCTAGCACCTAGAGGTGATTTGTCCACTACACAGGGGCCTAAACCACCACTCCCTCCCCACTGGCAGGCCCAGCCTGGGAATGCACGCTCAGTGCTCATGTTCATTGCAGGTGCATCATGGTGATTGCTGTTAAGGGATCTGCCTATGGAAATAGTACTCTGGGACTATGCTTTTATATGGAAGTGGATGATGACTCTGGATATAGGTGATTAGGATTCATGAGAACAAGGAGCTGATTCTTCCTAAAGGGTGTGTGTGTGTGTGTGTGTGTGTGTGTGTGTGTGTGTGTGTGTGTGATGCTCTAAAGACAGTGTTGGAAAGTTTGCTAAAAGTGGGGAAAAGGTCCAAATTATTCAAGTTCAGGAGTTTCTGTTTGAGAAACACATTAGAGAAACCATCTTGGAGTCTCAGCAAATTGTAGGAACAACAATTTTAATTTTAAGCCCAAGGATGGGACAGAAGAATTGTCCTAGGAAGGACAGTTTGATGAGGGAGGAGATACACTGTAGCTGATCTTGAAGATAAAGCAAAACAGGCCCTGAAAAAAAAACAAGCTTTTCATTTAAACTAGACTCCACTGTCTATGCATGGATTGCCTAACCACATAGTTTACACTCTAAGACTGTTCACAACTTAATAAATTAAGTCTTACCGAAAGGGAGAAACTGCAGAAGATTCCAGTTAAAGCCAAACGACTTTAGAAGGATACTTATTTTCCTTCAGCATCCTCAGTTTGGAAGCTTCTTGCTCATATAATCAACCCTCCTTATTATTAAGCTACTGTGTAAGTTCTTCATCTTTTTATATGTCATGATTAGTCTTTTCTTCTCATGGAGTCAAAGGTAAACCAAGAGTGCTTGTTATAATGTATGTGTTATGCACGTAGTTAAACGATGAGTACTGGTATACTAAATAAGATGCTTCACTTTCCAGAGTGGAAAGAAATACATTGGTCCTTGTGGAGGAAGAGATTGCTCTGTTTGCCACTGTGTTCCTGAAAAGGGGTCTCGGGTAAGTGATGTAAAGACCAACATGGGCAGCATTCCTGAATTTTGAGAACTTGTGAATATTTAATATAAAGTAATCCCAGATTCTTGGCAAATTTTAGTCCTCGATAATGTTTATGTATTTCACAGCCGAAGTTTTTCACATTCTAATAGCAATCTCAACTATATTAGACAGTCCAGGCTTAGAAGATAGTCTAGGAAGCTGCGATTCACCCATTGTTTTATATGACACTAGTCTTGTGAATTGTCCTGTGGAGGAAGGGTCCTGGTGTGAAATGGTAACTACTGGGTCACCATCCTGAAATATGGCATTTTAAAGGCTCTGAGAGGTACTGAAGTTGGTAGAAAAAAATCCAAGTTTGTTTGGTCTTTCCAGACAGTTGACCACAGGACTCTTTCTTGGATTGTCGCTATTGAAACAAGTGGCACAGTGTTCTAATGAAGTGATAGCTATATTTTTTGTATGCTTGTTATGTGCCAGGCACTGTTCTATGAGTTCAAAATGCTTCTGCTCATTGACTTCTCGTAAGAACCTTCTTAGGATACCATGTTTGCAGTGCAGGAGACTGAAGCCCAAGAAAGTTAGTGTCTTGCTCAAGTCCACCCAGAACGTTTGCGTTGATGACCACGCTAGATTCTCTGTTCTGCAAAGCCAAGAACCTCTTTGGTTACTGTCTGTCAGGTCTCTTGAACATTTGTTAATGTCTCCCCCATGTTCTGACAGCAGCCCACTAATTCATTTGTGATAAAGTATTAGATCAAACAATTCTCTAATTACAATTACTCCCACAATCTCACAAGAAAGGAGTGTGGTATAGAAGTTTGGGACAATTTTTGAGTCAGATCAATGATTCTTTTGAAATGTGTCCTCATCCATTCTCGCTGCTGTAACAGAATACCATAGACTGGGTGGCTTACGAGAAATTTATTTCTCACAGTCCAGGAGGGTGGGAACCCCAAGAACAAGGTGCTGGCAGATCCAGTGTCTTGCTGAAGGCCTGCTTCCTGGTGTGCAGATGGTGTCTTCTCACTGTATCCTCATATGGTGGAGAGAAAGAGTCCTCTGGGGTCCCATTTATATGGGCATTCATCCAATTCATGACTACTCCGCTCTGATTAATTACCTCCCAAATACCCCATCTCCTCCTACTATCACCTTGGGGGTTAGAATTTCAGCATATAAATTTTGGGGGCCACAAACATTCAGTCTGTAACAGTGTTCAAGTCAATTGTAGGGGGCTGTGCATGACATTCAAAAAGCACAGTACAGTAAAGAGGAGTCTACAAGGACACAAAACACTACCCACAAGAGAAGGGACAACATATTTCTCTCATGGTATTGCTTCATCTTTACACAGCAGGTGTGCAATGGGTTCCTTTGTTGGCCTATTTTACTGGGAGCAGCTACCTTATTGAGCATAAGTTATGACAAATCCACTGATGCTTAAACTGCTTTGTTCCTTCTTCAGTACATCAAAAATTTTGTTCATCAGAATTTATCTTGAGCTTTTTCTTTTTTTTTTTTTTGTTTTGAGACAGAGTCTCGCTCTGTCACCCAGGCTGGAGTGCGGTGGCGCGATCTCGGCTCACTGCACGCTCCGCCTCTCAGGTTCACGCCATTCTCCTGCCTCAGCCTCCTCAGTAGCTGGGACTACAGGCGCCCGCCACCATGCCTGGCTCATTTTTTGTATTTTTAGTAGAGACGGGATTTCACTGTGTTAGCCAGGATGGTCTCGATCTCCTGACCTCATGATCCGCCAGCCTCGGCCTCCCAAAGTTCTGGGATTACAGGCGTGAGCCACTGCACCAGGCCAGAGACCTTTTTCTTTTCTATTCTTTTTCTTTTTTAGACAGGGTCTCACTCTGTCACCCAGACTGGAGTGCAATGGCATGATCTTGGCTCACTGCAACCTCAAACTCTTGGGCTCAAGTGAGCCTCCCACCTCCACCTCCCAAGTGGCTGGGCCTACAGGTACATGCCACTACACTAGGCTAATTATTTTTTTGATTATTATTATTATTATTATTATTTGTAGAGGTGGAGTCTTGCTGTGTTTCTCAGGCTGTTCTCAAACTCCTGGCTTCAAGTGATCCTCCCTCCTTGGCTTCCCAAAGTCCTGGGATTACAGGCATGAGCCACTGTGTGAAGCCGGTCTTGAGCCACTTTCATAATATAATTTTAAAAGTGAAGCTTCAAGAAAACAAAGTCCTTAGCTTTTTTGTGTAAATGTGCACATTATATAGAAAAAAAGCCTGGCTTTTCTGTGAGGTTATTAATGTAAATATACCAAGATTGTACAAATGCAAAAAGGAAAAAAAACCTCAGTGCCTCTAAATTTTATGACTTTGAGCTTCAGGACCAAGATAAATAGATTTGATCAGCCCTGTGGCAAGAAAGAGATGAGCCGACCCCAAAACAAAGAGGACCAGTTGCTTTGATAAAGGCACCTCAGTGGGTCTCCCAATGTGAATGAGGCTGAGAGTTGTTTTAGCAGAAAAGGGGATGCTACTGGTTTCCAGCAAGTAGAGACCAGAAGTGCTGTTCAACATCTTACAATGCACAGGACAGTCCCCACACCAAAGAATTATCCATCCCAAATGCCAACTGTGCCAAGATTGAGAAGCCCTGTTCTAATCTCACCTCTGCTCTGTGATGCAAGTATTATTATTTCCACCCTTCAGAGCAAGGAAACTAAATTCCCAACAGTTCTAAATAACTTGCTAGGATGCAGGAGAACCAGGAATCACACCCACGTGTCTGGCTTCAAACCCAGCATTTGCTCCATGATCGTGGAAAGATCATTACACGAAGGTACCAACTGCTGGGTTGTAGCATCACTTTGTAAACTTGGGTTGCCACTTGACTCTGACCAAGCCTGGGTTTCCTTGCACGTACCCCCATTGGTCCTTCTCTTCTATGTCCTTGGGCTGTTAAACAAGCGCAAGGCATTGCATGTGTAGATGGTGTACTTTCCACCCTCTAAGCAGTCTCTGGATAGGGAAGGCTCCCAGTCCTGAGCGGCACTCTGCTGTGTGTGTCTTTGTGTCTGCGTGGTCAAGGAGAGCTGTGTGTGCCACAACAGGGAGCCTGTGGTCTTCCTGAGATGAATGGGTTTTCCATGGGAAGGCTGCAAGTCGTTGTGACATCTTCCAGCGAGGATTTGGGAGTGTGACTTGTGCGTAACAGAAGGTGGTTTGGGAAAGTAGCACTGTCAAGTCCTCAGCAGCCGGCCAACCTTCTGAGCTGCAGTGACAGCTCACGGGGGACTATCAGAATAGGAACACACCAAATTCCTAAGGCTTGAGGGATCTGCCTGAGGCTGCACAGCCTTCAAGTGGCATAGCGGGCTATTCCTAAGAAGGAAAGTGTTCCTCTCTTACAGGTTAATGCCCGTAGTAGCAGTAGGTAGTAGTAGGTAGTAGTTTCATCAAACCCCACATCAAAACTGCTATGTCTAAAGCAATCGTTGACAGGCAAGGCTGGTTCTGTGCTGAGGAACGGCCATGGTTCGCAATTTAACTGGAGAGGAGAGCTAGAGTTAGAGGTGGAGATGGAACAATCTAAGGTGGAGAATCAAGGGGGGCCTCCTTTGATGTCTACAGAATGAAGTCCAGCCCCATCACTGTACTGCTGGAGGCTCACAGTCTAGCCCCAGCATGAGTTTTCATCTGTAATCCCCATTACTGCCCCTTTGACCCTCTCCAGCTGCAGCAGTTGGGCCACTCATTCACTCTTGAAGATAATCTGAATATTTCCACTTCTCTGCCCTTTTCTGAGTGCCTTCCAACTTGCACTCTGCCTCTGTCTTTCCTGTTCTTCTCAAAGGAGCTCAGTGGAGATGCCAAACCACAAGGCCTTTCTGCTCATCACAGTCAGTGTCGATGTCTCCCTGCCAGAGCCCCCTAGCAAGCTGCTTACCTGCTTCTCTTTTGCTGTACTTGTCCTGCCCTGCTCTGTAGCTCTGGCTGGATTTGAGAGTGAATGTGCCCGACTTTATTGATTAGATTGCAAGCATACACTTCTTGAAGGTGGTCATGAGAACACAAGTAAAACGTTGATCCTGATTCCTGACCCACTGTGGACACCCTTGAAATATAGTTTGCCTACCTTCACTTCTCCCCTTTGTAAACTGGGGGTCATTTTTTGTACTTTGAGATTATCACAGTAGATAGCACACAACAGGCAGTTAATACACATAAATTAAGAAACTAAAATTCAGGGGCCAGGCATGGTGGTTCACGCCTGTAATCCTAGCACCCTGGGAGGCTGAGGTGGGTGGATCACCTGAGGTCAGGAATTCCAGACCAGCCTGGCCAACATGGTGAAACCCCACCTCTACTAAAAATACAAAAAATTAGCCAGGCATGGTGGCGGGCGCCTGTAATCCCAGCTACCTGGAAGGCTGAGGCAGGAGAATTGCTTGAACCCATGAGGCGGAGGTTACAGTGAGCTGAGATTTCGCCATGGCACTTCAGCCTGGGTGACAAGAGTAAAACTCTGTCTCAAAAGAAAAAAAAAAATAGATTCCAGCCTGGACAGGATTTGGGAGCTGAGCTGGTGGTCAGGCCAGCATGCAGGGACTCTGTAGGGGGATCTCCCATACCCAAGAGAAGAGGGGGACAGAATTAGTGGGGAGCCTCTTCCCCAACCCTAGACTTTCTCCCCACACACTAGCATTTAAGCCTGTTAGGAAATGAGTAATCTCACATAGTTCAAATTCCCTTGTGAATTTCAGGTAGGGTCAGAAATAAGCACTTTGAGCAGCAGCAACAAATAAGAGGGTTGCAGCTCTTGGACCTTTTAAGGTACAATGGCACCCTAAGAGCTCCAGGCTGAGGGGAGGAGACTGGAGCTTACCTCCTTGATCTTTTTCGGGTTCAGAGCCCTCACCTGGGATGTGAGAATTTGTCCTAGAGGGGGCTGGTTGGTCCCCTCGGCTCTAGCAGCCCATGGTTCTGTGATATGGGGCGTGGGTTTTCACATATGACAGCTATTTACTTGGTTTCCCAAATGACTTGTGACCAGGCCCTAACATTTCCATGAACCTCACTATGGCCCATCTTTAAGGGTGTGAATGAGGTATATCAGGCAGGATTTTCTATTATTCCTTATCAGTTTCAAGGGAGGAAGCTCTCTGTGTTTACTGGTGGGCTCCTTGCAGGGAAAATTACATGTCCTTACAAATTAGAATGAGGACCTTTTATAAGTTATACTTTAGTAACAAGGATGATAATAAAGACACTGTCCACAGTTTTTTCCCCATATTGTTTTCTATTCAAGGGAGTATAACAATTGCAAAATTAACAAAACCTTATGATGTGGTGGTTTTACAAACACGGAGGTCAAATGACGTAAATGTCAAGAATTGTCTTAGTCTTTTTGGTTTGAAAACCAAAATCAAACGTGAGTGAGTCATTCTTTCTTCGGAGAATTTCAAATCACTAAAAAACTGCAAGTATTTTCCCTGCGATCTCATTCACTCATCCCTTATACTCCTAAGAGCTTGCATTCCATGATAAAAATGGAATTTACTTGGGAAAGTTTAATTACTGTTAACATTTTTCATTTCATTGAATTACTTGCACTCAAAGTTCTAGAACTCAGTCTCACTATCACTCACACAGCTGTGTTTTAGGACATTTTCTACCTGTAGCCTGATACATGGTTCAGAACAATAATTTTTATGTCCCCAAAGTTCACTTAAGTCAATTGTGTTCCATTTTGATGTAAACAAGTTCCAGTGACAATTAGAAGTTGGCAAAGGTGGTCTTTCAACCCCTGAGCTTGTTGGGTTTGCTTTTTTGTTCTTCTTGCTATATCTTCCTCCTCCAAGAACTCTCTGGCTCATTTTGTTACTACTGGAGAATTCCCTGGTAAATGAAGTCCCTGTCAGAGATGGCAGACTCAGATGTCCTTGGGGAACAGCTGGTGACCTGAATGTAGTAATGGGGAGAGGAGGTGCTCAGGATGGGGCTACTAGGAGCTGGACGGTGCATTTGTCATTTAAAGGCATCAGAATTCAGAATTTTTAAAAAACCCAGTGCCTAGCAATTAAACACACTCCCCAGTAAAATTCAGCCCACCAGCTTCCAGTTTATAATGTGGGCTTAGCTTGTTAAAGTGTCCCCCCTGTGTCAAGAACAGGAACCTTGATTTCTGAAGAATAAAAAACTTGCAAAAGTTAAAGCCTGAATCTTCAGCTATAGGATGATCTGTGTAGGCTTGAGTAAGGATTTCTTTCTTTTTTAAATTCTTTTTCTTTTTTTTTTTCTTTTTTGAGATGGAGTCTCTCTCATTCAGGCTGGAGTGTCGTGGCGCTATCTTGGCTCACTGCAACCTCTGCCTCCTGGGTTCAAGCAATTCTTCTGCCTCAGCCTCCCGAGTAGCTGGGACTACAGGCACCCCCACCGCACTTGGCTAATGTTTGTATTTTTAGTAGAGATGGGATTTTGCCATGTTGGCCAGGCTGGTCTCAAACTCCTGACCTCAGGTGATCTGCCAACCTCAGCGTCCCAAACTGCTGGGATTACAGGCGTGAGCCACCACGCCTGGCCTTGAGTAAGGATTTCTGGACAGGGTTTGGGAGGCCTAGAGAGTAAAGGAAGGATCCCTGCCTATCATTTAATGCTTTTTGGCGTATTAATAAATTATAGTGGTAGAAGTAGCAGCAGCAGCTGATGTCTACATGGGAAAATAACTCCAACTAACTAACATCATTTCAGTAGACTGAGAAATATCTCTTTAAATCCAGCATCCGTGCATGAGAAAAGAGAGAAAAGAAGCTTTTATCTGCCTACTACACTGTAGAATGTATTACCTATTTTCCAAACAGACCGAGTCTACGTATAGAGCTAACATAACAAGACTCTCCCCTGGGAATCCTAGTTGTGGTTTGGGTCTGAAGGCAGTTTTGGGCACATCTGCCCTGGTCAGTCACCTCATTAACTTGTCAGTGATTTGCAACAGGGCCTTTGGTCTCCTCATGTGGAGTTCAATTCCACAGCAACAACTGCCAAACTGTGTGACCCAGCATGACCCAGGCCAGGCTGGGTGCGGAGCTCAGCAAATGCAGGGCCACACTGAACTTGTTATTGGCAAGAAATAAGGGCTAGCGATACAGGTGCACTCAAAAGCAGGGCACAGTTTGGGGGAAATAATCTACTATATAGGAAAATAGAAAGCACTTAGTATAAGAATACCTCTTTAGTACAAATGTAACGTCTGACTAATTAGCTAAGATGAGGAATTATAATGGTTTTAGGAAATAAAAGCAAATTTCTCCTTTCAAACAACCATATTCAATAATTTGCCAAGAAATCCACAAACAGCTGTCTCCAAGGTGCTTATTTCTCTATAACACAATCTTTTTTTTGTTTATTTTTTATTTTTTAGACAGAGTCTTGCTCTGTTGCCAGGCTGGAGTGCAGTGGTGCAATCTTGGCTCACTGCAACTTCCACCTCCTGTGTTCAAGCGATTCTCCTGCCTCAGCCTCCCAAGTAGCTGGGATTACAGGCACACACCACCATGCCCGGCTAATTTTTGTATTTTTAGTAGAGCCGGGATTTCACCATGTTGACTAGGCTGGTCTTGAATTCCTGGCCTCAAGAGATCTGCCCATCTCGGCCTCCCAAAGTGCTGGGATTACAGGCAAGAGCCACTGCACTCGTCCTCTATCATACAATCTTAATGGCAACGAATAATAATACCAATAATAATAGCTTTCCATTCATTCGGCAAGTAACCATTGAGCACTTGCCACATGCCAGGCATCCAACCAGGCCATGGAGGCCTCAGTCGTAAAGAAGAAAGTCCCTGCAGCCTGGAGCTCAGAGCCAAACCGAGAGACAGACAAGACTCCCCTCCGGCCACTATTTCTGGCTGCCTGAGGAGCGCCAGGCACTGTTTGAGGTGCTCAAGTCACATCAGGGAAAAGATGAGACAAAAATCCTTGCTCCCTCCCCAGGTGGACAATTTGGTGCCCTGGCTTGCTTTGCATGGGAGCATATCGGGGTCAGGGCACAGGGAGCTGTGGGTTAGCACTTGAGCTTGAACCGGGTGGAATTAGAACTCTCCTAGCCACAGTCTGAAGGAGAAGCCTTCTGTCAGTTTCTATGGCTGTGTAACAAATGACCATATACATGGTGGCTTAATACAACAGAAATGTATTCTCTAGAGGCCAGAAGTCCAAAAGCAAGCTGCTGGCACTGCCAGGCTCCCTCCACGGCTCTGGGGGAGAACCTGCTCCTTGCCTCCTTCCACTCCTTCTGGTGTCAGCAGTCCTTGGCATTCCTTGGTTCCTAGCGGCCTCACTTCAGTCTGTGCCTCTGTCTTCACATCGCCTGCTCCTCTATGTGTCCACATCAATCTCCCTCTGCGTCCTCCTTATAAAGGTGCATGTAGTAGCATTTAGGGCCCACCTAAATCACCCAGGAGAAACTCTTCAGCTCAAGAACCTTCACTTTATCAGGTCTTTTGCCGTCTAAGGCAATAGTCACAGGCTCTGGGCTTAAGACATGTCGTATCTTTTTTTGTGGCGCCATTCAGCTCCCTACAAGTGTTCAGACAAGGGGAACAGCCTCCGCTTGAGCCCTGAAGTGGGAAGGAGACAGGCTAGCATGTTTGAGGGACTGAAACGTGACTAGAGAGAAATTTGACCACAGTGGGTAAGGAACCCGGCAGCATGCAATGCAGCTTAAAAAGCAGACAGGGGCAGGGTAGGTTGGCTCATGCCTGTAATCCCAGCACTTTGGGAGGCCAAGGTGGGTGGATCATGAGGTCAGGAGTTCAACATCAGCCTGGCTAACATGGCGAAAACCTGTCTCTACTAAAAAAATACAAAAATTAGCTGGGCATGGTGGTGGGTGCCTGTAATACCAGCTACTGGGGAGGCTGAGGCAGAGAATTGCTTGAACCTGGGAGGCAGAGGCTGCAGTGGGCCGAGATCGTGCCACTGCACTCCAGCCTGGGCGACAGAGTGAGACTCCATCTTAAAAAAAAAAGAAAGAAAGAAAAAAAAAAAAAAGCAGACAGATTTTCCTGCATAATAAGAAATTTTTGAAAGATTTTAAGAAGGGAAGAAGCAGATTGGATTTATGTTATAAGATGATCTGGTGCTGTTTGGAAAATGTGGCTGGTGGCAGGTAGGTAATGTTAGGGAAAACCTGTTATGAGGCTGCTGCAGTCATGCAGGTGGGAAGTCTTGGTGGCTTAGCGAGGGGGTGAGTGTGGAGGGTAGGGAAGTGGATGGGAGGTGGACATATTTGGGAGGCAGACTTGATAGGAATGAGGAGACTCACCTGGCGCAGTTGGGGCAGGCAGTTAGAGGCATGCGGGCCTCCCAGGAGAGGTGTAAGCTGCTGTGCAGACAGTGGTGCCCGCTCAGGAAGCACGTTTCAGGGGCGATCATGAGTCCAGGTTTGGACTTGCAGCGCTTGTGGTCAGTTGGATATGTGACTGGCACTCAGAAAGAAAGGTCTGGGTTAGGGAGGGACACGGAGGGATTGTCTGTGGGTGAAATTGACCACTTGGAAATGGATGCTTTGGCTGGAGAGAAAGTGACAAGAAGCCAGGGCAGCCCTGAAGAGCTCTGGGGGAGACTCCAAACAGGAGGAAGAGGGGGCCACAAGACACAGGTGGGAGCAAATCAAGGCAAGGCCAAGGGGCAGGGATGCTGGAGAACAGGGCAGGCAAGAAGGAGGGAGAGTTGAGTGGGTTAGAGCTAGTCAGGGAGCTTACCAGGAGCCCTTAGCCTTGTTTAGGCCCCGCAGAAGACGCAGATGCCATGTTTTAAAATGGGAAAACCCTTCTCCAATGGCCTGGAGTAAGGGGTGACCTTGTTGTTCAGTGGCAAAGCCATGTCTCCTGGTTCTCAGTGCAGGGTTCTTCCCACTGCACCATGCTGCCTCTTAAGAACACAGTGAAAATCTCGAATGAGTGTTACTCCAGGCTAAATCCCTCAGTTGCCCCTATTTCATTGTGAACAAGTGCGGTTACTTTAAGGTACAAGAAAACACTCTGCCACTGAAGTCCAGTCTCTGGATTGTCTACTGTTGATAACACCTTTTGTTATTTATTTTGATAACTCTTCCTGGCACCTAACGGGCCTTTTTCCTGCAATAGGGGAGGCTCCTGGAGGCACTGCCAAAGGATTCGTGAGTGATGTTGTAGTGTCACCCAGTGGCTGACTGGTTGAATTACAATCAAGCCTTAAAAAGGAGGGAAGCATTAGAAAAGAAAGGAATGATAATAATAATGGATTAAGAATAATGAGACTCATAAAAAGGATGAATATATTTAAAAGAATATTTATTTGTTCATTTTAATTGTGGAAGTTTTAATTGATCATGTAATCCATGAGTATATGTTTAGAATTTATACTGTGCAAGACAGTGGTCAAGATGCTGAGGTGGAAATAAAAACGTTCATGAATCCCTGGCTGCAAAAAGTGTACCAGAGGCCAGGCGCAGTGGCTCATGCCTGTAATCCTGGCACTTTGGGAGGCCGAGGGGGGCGGATCACTTGAGGTCGGGAGTTCGAGACCAGCCTGGCCAACATGGCAAAACGCCATCTCTGCTAAAAATACAAAAATTAGCCAGGCGTGGTGGTGGCCGCCTGTAATCCCAGCTACTTGGGAGGCTGAGGCAGGAGAATTGCTTGAACTGGGAGGCAGAGGTTGCAGTGAGCTGAGATTGCACCACTGTACTCCAGCCTGGGTGACAGAGTGAGACTCTGTCTCAAAAAAAAAAAAAAAAGTATACTAGAAGACATCACCCCAAGCAGATATTAAGCAAAGTAGCATGCACAAGGCAATAATGAAAAATAGGTGATGACGTTATTTAGTCATTAATTATTTTAGGGTAGATGTGGTAGTTTGGAGGGGAGTGAAATTGATGAGGACTGCAGTTAAATGGAAGCAGAAACCTTGAAGTCAGAACTGAACAGCCTCAGGTCCTTTGTCTCATGTCTTTGAGTCTCAGCTTCCTCCTTTGGGAATGAGGTCGTAGATACAGGGATGACTTTCTGCTTTACAGGGTGGTAAGGATTCCATGAGAAGAATGTATTAACACACTGTTGTGTTGTGTCTAGATTTGTACATGGTGGCAGTTATTACTGCTACTGTTATGATTATAATATTTTTGGAGGGATGGCAGAATTTGAGCTACAGGTAAAGAAAGGCTACTCTGACCTCATGGAAACAAGTGTGATTGGGGCAGAGGGTGGGGGTGTGGAAACTGCAGGGAATAAGGTTGGCGGGTGTGCGGAAAGGAGATTGTCCCCATTGCAGGTGTTGGTGAAAGCAATGACACCAGGAAAGGGGTGACTGAAGAAGATTCATTGACGGTTGCATGGGGCAGTGGGGAGAAGATCAGGGTTAAGGAGACGCGAGAGATTGGTGCTTGTGGAACCCGTGCGAGAGTTGACAAGACCATGGGCCAGGTGCTTGGCAGTGGGAGGAAGGTAAGATGGGAGCATGAGATTTGGGTTTTGGTTCAAATCGAGATGTGATTGACTTGGTCATGAGAAGGACATGGAGAATGAGGGAAAGAGGGTGACAAGGCTGGCAGCTGGATGGCGAGCTTAGATGATGCCAGGAACAGAGTTACTCTCTTCAGTGACAGGGAAGGAGGAGGCAGAGGGCTGAGCTCAGCTTTGACCCAATGTGTGAGATGAATTAACAGGGGAAGAGGATGCAAGAAAGTTTCTAGAAAACAGTTGGGGATATAGGATAGGACCAGAAAGTTAAATTTGAGAACCACAAAAAATAGAGGTATTCAATTAATTCAATTAATAACATTGTGTCCTAAAGAAACTTTATAAAAGAACATTGAGTGTATCTGGATAGACTGTTTTTAAGTGTAAAAATAAGAAGAGGCTTGAAGGGATTGAAACGTCACTCCGGGCATGGCATGAGCGTGATTTAGTGGATGAACCCTCCATTGTGCTAGGCTCAGGCTCAGGTAGGGGGAAGAGGAGAGGTTTAGGTGAGAGACTGACTGGTCCAGGTGTGAATCTGAGCTTGCTAGGTGTGAGAGCCTGAATAAGTTACACCTTCCTTCATCTATATGGGGATCATAGCCTACACTATTCAGTGTTGCTGGTTGCATTAAATAAGGTAAGGTATGGAGCATGGCAGCCACATAATCCATAACCAAGCCTAATAAATACATTCCTTCCCCTTCCTGTGACATTTTTTATGATAAATGTCATGGTCTTAAGAGTTCAAGGGTGATTTGGAAAATCTGTATAATTAGTATAACAAAAGCATCTTTCCTGTTTGTTCAGTTTTTCATTTATTTATACCTTGCACTGATTTATACCTTGCATTTATTTATACCTTCTGGCTAAGAAAGAGCAGGAAGTCATGGCAGAAAAAGTGTGGCTGTACCTGTATTTGTAGTTGTTTATTTGTAGTGTTTCTCCTAGTGCTCCTACTGACAAAATGACAAACGATTTCTTAGATTTTTGTCATTCCCCATATGTTTTGGTCCCTGGGGCAACCAGATCATTGCCAGCCAAAAAGGCTGACTTGAAGATTTTGGTTTTTAAAAAGTACAGTACATACCCTCTTATCTTTTGGTCTCTTTTACTAAGTTGTTATGAAATAAAAGTAATTTTATCTTAGCCCTGTTCAAGAGACATTCTAGACTTAGGCAACCGACAAGGGACAAAATCCTAAAGGAATGCCCTGGCTTCAGAAGACAGGGAGGCCGGCGGTTCTGTGTCTGCTCTCATCTCCTTCATCCTTTATTTGTACAGCTGGCCCGAGAGCCTACTGCTGCTCTAGGGAGGCGCAAATAACAGGTTTGATGATACGGTGTCAATTTGGCCTTTGAACCAAAAGAAAGAAAGAAAGAGATGATCTAGTGGCTTCACATGGCATGCCAAAGTCTCCTCAGCTGTCAAGCTGATTGTCATTTCTGGATTCAGCGGCTCTGTCTTCTGACTTCGAAGCTGCAGAGGCAGTTGCATGCGCACGTAGCCAAAAAAACCCAGGGGTGCTGTGCATCTGAAAGCCAGTCATTCCACTGGGTGGTTTTTCTCTTTTTGCTAGACTGACTCTGGCACAGCAACTTGTTTTATAGCAGGTTATTGTTGGTGGTGGAGAGTGCAGGGTTAGGACTGGGTGAAATATTTCTTTAAAGACTTTTTTTAGTGATGCAAAATTCCTGTGATTATTTAATGATTCTCTAGTTATAAAAATGTCTTTTATGGGCCTGCTACTTATGTCTATTTGTCCTGAAGTGAATTCTATTATAACCTTATGAAAAAGTAAGCCTACATATTTACCTGTAAGCACAAGTTCTTTTACTGACCCATTCTTTTACATGAAACAATTTAAAGAAAATAGAATTATTCTCTGTATGCTGTGAATAAATTATTTACTCAAATTAGGTGAACTAACAAATGACTATTTCAAAGATTGGTGTTTGGGAAATTTTGGTGAGCAGCTTTCTGACAGATTTTGTGCTGTTATTTGAGGTTTAATGTATTTCCTTTAAAAATTTATCATGTAGCAAAATACTTATTAAAATACAAAAAAACCGCACTAAATACAAAATCACAAAGTCTTCACAGTTGTAAAAAAGGAGAAATTTATGTTAGTTTTTCCACTTGCAAAGTAGGGGTAGTGTTTGCCATTGCATATGGTTGAAATAAAGGCATAACAACACCTACATTATAGCTCAACAGCAAAAAACACCAACATCTCTGTTATTCAGAGTCATTGCTCATGGTGTGAAGTTGTACTCTGCACAGTTTGCTGTGGAATCATTGCCATTTTGCATAATTACTGTTAACCAACGTTCTAGGAATGACAATTCAGAGACATAAGACAGCATTTACACTTATCTCTTTGCATCCATGAGGAATTGGTTCCAGTTCCCCTCTGGATACCAAAATCCATGGATACTCACGTCCCTGATACGAAATTGCATAGTATCTGCATATAACCTATGCACATCCTCCCAAATACTACAAATCATTTCTAGGTTATTTAGAATTCTATGTAAATGCTATATACAGTATACAGTTGTTATACTGTATTTTAAAATTTTTAATTTTTGTTGTATTGTTCTTTTCTGTTTATTGATTTTCGAATATTTTCCATCTGGATCGGTTGAGTCCTCAGAACGGGAGCCAGGGATATGGAGGGCCGCCTGTCTTGCCTTGGGGTAGAAGTGGGCTACCTTATTATTTTATAAAGAGTTTGTTGTTCTCTGCCTTTCTTACCATCATGACCTTGGGCACTTAGACTCGGCCTTCCCCTCCAGGAGCAGAGGTTGGGTGGCTGTGGGCTTGGGAGGGACAGACAAGTGAAGAGGGTATGATAGTCACGGGTGAGAGTGTTACTGCAGAGGCACCTTGGAGAGGCATCTCCTTCTCCAGAACAGGGGCAGGAGATCAGGGGAATCTTTCCACTGCAGCCTTGAGAGATGAATCAGCCAGAGGCAGAGAGGGGGCGCTCCCGGGACAGGACAGCCTGCGCAAATGCTGTGAAAGAACAGAGCTTGTCTAGAAATCTGGTGCAGGGAGGTCAGGGTGGCAGGCTGGGAGGAGGGAGGAGATGGTGAGAGAGAGGAGTTAGCATCCTTCAATAATGCAAATAACCATTCCCTGCTTTACTTTTTTTTTTTCCTCCCGAAGTATTTTATATGGGCAGGGTGCAGTGGCTCACACCTGTAATCCCAGCACTTTGGGAGGCCAAGGCAGGAGGATCACTTGAGGTCAGGAGTTCGAGATCAGCCTGGCCAACACAGTGAAACCCAGTCTCTACTAAAAATACAAAATTTAGACGGGTGTGATGGCGCGCGCCTGTGGTCCCAGCTACGGGGGGAGGCTGAGGCAGTAGAATCGCTTGAATCTGGGAGGCAGAGGTTGCAGTGAGCTGAGATCACACCACTGCACTCCAGCCTGGGAGAAAGAGCGAGACTCCATCTCAAGAAAAAAAACAAAAAAAAAATAAAGTATTTTATATGGCATTTTCTCAAATCAGCACACGTTTCTATACTAAATGGAGTTTTATTATTCTTAACTGTTGTGTTAAATATTTCCACGCCTTTTTTCCCCTCTGCAAACTTCCCATTAGCTCACTGGATTTGGTATTGCATGCCTAAAATGAAACACATTAAAGAGATTTATAGTCAGTTAATTGGCTCTCTCTTTTTCAGTTACCCTTTTATATTCAAGCATGCATTTTAGTATGTATCTAAATAATACATTACTGTAAAGTACTGCATTCACAAAAGATAATTTGGGGAAGTTTATGTATAAACTGCATGCAAGATGAAAAGATAATTCCCAAACTTAATGAAAAAGTATTTATTTCCTGAATTTTATATGTAGAAAACATGGGAGCTTTTAGATTATGTTAATTAATCTTATTTCTAACACAGGTTAGACAGAAAGGTGCTCTGAAGTCATTGTTTGTTTTTACTTTTAGATCGTAGTTTAGAATTTGTGCAGTCACCTATTGTAAGTTGATAAACCCTCACAATACCCCAAATGGTTTGTGCTCACGTAATTACACTTTGTATTTTATTGTTGTCTTTTTCATAATACATATTTATGTATTTAAGTTTCCTTTAAAATTCTAAGCTTTTAGCATTTATATGGATACTCAATAAATAGTAGCTATTTAACAATGATGAATGAGCATGAAGAAAAGGGAAAATGCCTATAAAATATAGTTTTGATTTGTAAAATTTAGGCAGATGTTAAAGGTTGTCAATCATGTTTGTCGAGTTAATGACTTAATGGTGAGCAAGAAGTGGTAACTAATCTTTATTATAAAATCACTTCTGCTGATGGTAAGATGTACACAAAGTATGAGGTTGGTGAAGAAGTAATTGCGGTCTTTGCCATTGCTTTTAAAAGGCAAAAACCACAATTACTTTTGCACCAACCTCATAGAATGTAAAATTGCCCTGGCTTGTGTTTTCACTTATGAGACATGCAGTTTCTTTTATGTCCTAGAAATGTTCATTTATAAACATCTATTTAGGGAAAGTGTCTGTTCTTTTGTTTCTCTACTGGTGGGATTATATGACATACTATTCTGTGGCTTGTTTTTCTCCTTTAACAATTATCCATTTATAATAATAATATATAATAACAATAGTTAGCATTTGTTATGCCAGGCACTATGCTAAACACCATTACATGCATTATTCTTTTTATGCTCATAAGCCATTGACAGATAAAGATGCCAAGGAACAGAGAGGTTAAGAAACATACCCAAGGTCACACAGCAAGTCAGTGTGGTCCTGGGCTTCAAACCCAGGAGGCTGACGCATAGCCTGGGTGCTCACTCTGTTTCTCCCTCATGAGCTTGGGGAGGATGTTCTATGTCGGCCTGAACAGATGGACTTTGCTGGCAGCTTGCACGTGCTTTTGGGGTCCCACACGTCTTCCTCAGACCTGTTGTTTCTGTGCTCAGGCTCTGGGGGACTTCAGCTGCTGGCATCTGTGTCTGTCAGGGCTTTATCCAAAGCCCCGGAGGCACAGTTGGCAGGCACTCCATACCCATCACCAGGGCCCTCAGCCAAGGAGATAAATACCCCCACTCCCTTCCCCTAGGGCGGGATAACACTGAGATGTGGGCTCCCCTCAGGGTTAAGTCCCAGGTGCCCACAGTATAACTGACCTGAAACTGCCCCTTTCTTGGCTGCCTTCACTTCCGTGGGTCGCGCTCTGTTCCTGACCTGCACCTCCTTCACTTCTCAAATGGAGAAGTTGGTCTCATTGACTTCTCATCCTCTGTGTTGCTCCTGGAGCACCCTGATGAAGTCAGGCTGTGAGGGCTTTCCTGTTTGAAGGCACCCTAATTTATTCACTGAGTCTCAGGTTGGTGCCTTTCCCGTGGATTTCCGGTTTCTCTTGCTATTGCATATAACACTGTGGTGAATGTTCTTGCACTATTTTTACGGGGCTCCTGCCCCATCTCCCTCCTGGTGTCTGGGCCTGGCCAAGGCCAGCAGCACTATCTAAAGTGACATCCCACCTGGGCATGGTGGCTTACACCTGTAATTCCAGCACTTTGGGAAGCTGAAGGCAAGCGGATCACCTGAGGTCAGGAGTTCGAGACCAGCCTGGCCAACATACTGAAACCCAGTCTCTACTAAAAATACAAAAATTAGCCAGGTGTGGTGGCATGCAACTGTAATCCCAGCTACTTGGGAGGCTGAGGTGGGAGGATCACTTGAACTCGGGAGGTGGAGGCTGCAGTGAGCCGCGATCACACCACTGCACTCCAGCCTGGGAAACAGAGTGAGACCCTGTCTCAAAAAAAAATAATAATAATAAATAAAAATAAACAAAGTGACACCCCAAGTGTGGATCAGGACCAGGTGGGTCTTAGTTACTGTTTCTTCTCGTCAAGGTGCTCTCTGACCTTCTACCCAATGTGGGGTTGACCACATGAGGAGCTCTGGCCTTCATGCTATGCGATTGTCTGGGGCCCTTTGGTTGAGCCCTGGTTTTGGAGGGTGGCTGCCTAGCAGAACACTTCCATTTGCCCATGAAGTATTTCCTTGATGGGACTGCACAACATTGGGTTGCCAGAGTAGGGCTGGCATGCTGATTTCGGGTGACTCCAGTTTTTATATAGATGCGACTCTGCAAGAAATATTTTGCTCAGGGCCCTGCATTCCCAAGGGGCAACCCTGTATTAGCCCTGGAGACCTAAGACATCTGATCTGAGCAGATATCTCCTAAACCCTGCCAAGCTTTTCTGTCCATACATCAAGACTTACTTGCTTATTTAATGCAGTCATCCATGCTGTTTTGTGAAGCAAGAAGTTATAAAATAATTTTTCTTAAATCTTTGCAAAAATTTTGAGAGGTATGAAATATTGCAAGTCGAACTCTTGACCTCAGGTGATCTGCCCGCCTCGGCCTCCCAGAGTGCTGGGATTACAGGTGTGAGCCACTGCACCTGGTCGGGATATCGCTTTAGATGGTGCTGCTGGCCTTGGCCAGGCCCAGACCCCAGAAGGGAGATGGGGCAGGGCCCTGAGACATGGGTTCTGAGGTAGGAGCCCCATAAAGCTTCTTCACTTAAAACAAGAGGTGGCCTTTTCATTCATGGAAAGTTGGATTACATAAATTTAATGTGACATGGAGACTAATTCCAAAATATGACTAAGAAATTAGATAAAAGCAGCCAAAAAAGAAATGTTGTCCTTCGAAAGGGCAGGCAAATCATTAGTTATTTGAAGTAAATAAAAGATCTGGCAGTTTCCCTTACTCTATTTGTGTCACGAACATAAAGGTAAATAAAACTTTGATTTTTTAGTTTCTTGCTTCATTAAAAAGCCCAAGATCTCTAAATTTGATTGACAGAATGAAAATAGTAAGATAACTATAATCACTTGATATATGTGTTTCTGTGCACACACATACATACATACTGCACACATACATACATATACACATGTGCAGTAATTGAAATTTATCATATAGCTTAATTCAGATTAAAAAGGGCAATGCCACTATTTCTTATGTTTTAAGTCAATCATTTTCTTTTCTTGTCTTGTTTTTCCTTTCATTTCCTTTTCCTTTTATCTTTTCTTGTCTTTCTTTTCTTTTCTTTTTTTTTTTTTTTGAGATAGGGTCTGTCTCTGTCACCCAGGCTGTAGTGCAGTGGTGCGATCAGCTCACTGCAACCTCGGCTTCCTAGGCTCAAGTGATTCTCCACCTCAGCCTCCCGAATAGCTGGGACTACAGGCCCACGCCACCATGCCCAGCTAATTTTTATATTTTCTGTAGAGATGGGGGGTCTCACTTTGTTGCCCACGCTGGTCTTGAATTCCTGAGCTCGAGTGAACCTCGTTGTCTCGGCCTCCCAAAGTGCTGGGATTACAGGTGTGAGCCACCATCTCCAGCCATTTGTTTCTATTATTAGAGTTGTGCAAATCTAATTTCCAAGTCTTCTGTAGGCCTGAATGAGTATATGTTTGTGTTAGAAGACAGTAATTAAGAATTGCACCCCCATTTCTTTTTAATCTTCCTTCTCAGGGTCCACCAGGACCACCAGGGCCACAGGGTCCAATTGGACCCCTGGGAGCCCCAGGACCCATTGGGCTTTCAGGAGAGAAAGGAATGAGAGGGGACCGCGGCCCTCCTGGAGCAGCAGGGGACAAAGGAGATAAGGTAAGCCACATCTTATGTGGAGATTCACATGAAAGACTCACCAGCACTACTGCACCATTTTTTGTTTTTGTTTTTTTTAGACAGTCTTACTCTGTCACTCAGGCTAGAATGCAGTGGTGGGATCTCAGCTCACTGCAGCCTTCGCCTCCCAGGTTCAAGCGAGCCTCCCACCTCAGCCTCCCAAGTAGCTGGGATTACAGGCACATACCACCATGTCCAGCTAATTTTTGTATTTTTTAGTAGAGATGGGGTTTCACCATATTGGCCAGGCTGGTCTCGAACTCCTGACCTCAAGTGATCTGCCTGCCTCGGCCTCCCAAAATGCTGTAATTACAGGCGTTGGCCACTGTGCCTGGCCAGCACTGGAGTTTTATAACCACGAGTAGTATATACTTGAACCTTATAATAAATGAAGTCCCTGAACTCCTCTGCAATAATTCATCCTCATTTTTGGCCCCTTTCCAGAGGAGCATGCTCTTCTGGACCTTTAAATACATGTGTGTACCCAGTGAGAAGTTATATTGTTTCATGGCTTTTTAAAAAACCTACATGACATTAATTATATGCATCACACTGAGTTTTCTCTTTTCACTCAACAATATGTCTTAGAGACCATTCCTTATCAGGCTATGTAGATTGAACTTATTCCTGAAAAAACATTGTATAATATGCCATAGTATGAATAAAACTATAGTTTATTCCCTGTTGATGAGCACTTGAGATTCTACCCCAACTTTGGGTAGTGCAGATGTGCAAAAATAATCCTATCAATTGCCTGTGTTCACAGTTAAGGGTTTGTTACTCTAGGATCGAGATTCGGAGTGTTAGATTTCTGTTCACAGCATGTTGAATGATTTACTTAAATCAGTACTGCTAGGCTGTTTTCCCAAGTACAAAAGAAAAGCACAAGAATTGGTTCTTAAATGTTGGCTTTTAGACTCATCATGTAAAAAATAGGTGACAATGACTGCTCAGCATGTTTAAAGATGAGTAATTAATTGTTACTATTTTCAAGTAAATCAGCTTATTAATTTAATAATTTTTATCTCTTTGTTTTATTTTCTGGGATTTTAGGGTCCAACTGGTGTTCCTGGATTTCCAGGTTTAGATGGCATACCTGTAAGTATCCCTAAATTTTCTCCACTTTTTTCAAAAAGGCAGAAGTACTCATCAAAATCCTTAAAACCACATGTATATATACATAAAATATATATTTATAGAAACCACAATATATATATTATATATAGCAAATATTTGCTATATATACCACAAGCAACGTAATATATATATATCTTTCACCATAATATATATCTACATATATAAAAGATATATATTAGATATACAAGATATAGAATACATTAGGTTGGTGCAAAAGTAATTGCGGTTTTTGCTGTTACTTTCAATCCCCCACAATTACTTTTGCACCAAATATATTGTATATATAAGATATGTATAGTATGTATACTATACAATATGTATCTTATATTTTACATATATAAAATCTATAGTATATACGATATATAGCTATCTTACATATATTTTATATAGTATCTTATATCTTACATATAGTTTATATATCATAATATCTGTTAATTATATATTGTATAACATGTATAAAATATGGTGCAAGATATATATATGTTATGGTGCATGGTATATATTATACATAGCAAACTCTTTTTATATTTTCTCATTTTAGTGCATGAAAGGGTGTTTACATTTAAATTTTGTACAATAACTCCCAGAGCAAAACACTTTACTTGGAAAGCAACGTTTTCTAACAGGTTAGAGAAAAAATTCCAAAATATGAGCTAGGTATACTTGTTATGTCAAGTACAATGTTCTTGAAATTAATGCATACTCATAAGGAATGTTTTTATTTGCTGATGAGTCCTAATATTTGTAGTGAGCTTAATACTCCCATTTCTCATATGAAAATGGAATGGAAAAAAAAAAAGAGGTATGTGGGGGCTTTATAATTCATTATAGTATTTCTAAGGATTTTAAGGAAGGTCCCCTCCTCAATTTCCCAGAGTACTGCAAACTAAATTAGTTTAAATTTGTTATCTTAAAAAAAATTTAGGTTTTATTTTTACATGCTACGTAGCCTTTTGGGGTAAAGAGAAAGTTTCACAAAACTAAACAGTAAATGTGTGAATCACAATTGCCATAATTTGAGTATTCATATTGCATAACCTTTATGTAATGATATTTTCGCAAAAATGCTTCACTTATAATTTTGTTTTCTGCAGGGGCACCCAGGGCCTCCTGGACCCAGAGGCAAACCTGGTATGAGTGGCCACAATGGCTCAAGAGGTGACCCAGGGTTTCCAGGAGGAAGAGGAGCTCTTGGCCCAGGAGGCCCCCTAGTAAGATACCCACAGTTCATCTTAACAGGAATCTTAAGTGAACAGGCCCTGTGGTGGAACAGGCTTGATGTATTCAAGAAACAGAGTTAATACAAGTGTGCCTGGAGCATTGTCAACAAATGGGAGTGGCTGGGGGATAAGGACAGAGAGATAGGCAGGACTTAGAACATGCAGGACTTTGTGGATGATGGAAGGAGGCTAGATTTTCTTATCCATGTTAGGTAAAGGCACTGGATGGTTTTAAGGAAGGAAGCAACATGATCTGATTGATGTTTCATTAAGATGTCTCTGGCTGCTGTGAAGAGAATAGATAGTAGGGAAAAAAGAGCAGAGAGACCAGGTAGCAAAATGTAAATTGTTTATCATTCAGGGTTAATTGCAGAAACAAACCCCACTAGGTATTTTGAACAGAAAGGGATCTGCTACAGGGATTCTGGCACTTATTATAATAGTTGGAAGAGTAAAACTTAGGACCACACGAGACCACTGATTTCAAAGGTTCACAGCTAGCTGAGATCCGGAGTCAGGAAGCTGTAACTGCACTGTAACCACTGCCTGTCACCCCACGTCTAGACACTAGCAAACAGAACACTCAAGTTTCTGCTTTCCTGCTTGGCAGCAACAACAGACCAGGAAGAGAATCTCTTCCAAACTTCTGCCTTCCACATCTCCTAGGTGGAACCTAATTCACATCCAGCTATAAAGGAGTCTGGGCAATGTAGTTTTTATCTTTCTAGCCCCTGTAATGCAAAAAAATATATTAGAAAAGATTTGGAATGGATGTCCAGCAACAGTTGATAGTATCCAGCACTTGGGGGAAAACTTACGGCTCTTAGCTTTTTTTTTCTTCAGAATTTTGGACTTTCATTTAAACATAACTGGAGCAAGAGCTACCCCCCATATTCCCTTTCTTTCTCTCTTTTTCTTTTTCTCACTTAAATAAAGATCAGAGATTATTTGACCTTTCCAAATTGTTTTTCTGTGATTTTTTTTTTTTTAGCATTTCTCCCTTCCTTAATAAAATATCATTTCACAAGTTTCTTTCTAGAAAGTTTTCTTAGCATGACCACCATAATCATTCATTCTGCTGTCACTCACGAGTCTTCCTTTTGCTCCAGATTCTAGAGGAACTGATCTGAACACTAAACTCAAAAAGAATTTTCCATACTCACATTTTTCTTCTGGTATCAAATAAGAACATCCACCACCTTTCATTGTTAAGTTTTTCAACCATCCTTTACTTTCAAACTCAGCCATTTGAAAACTCAAGTGCAGTCTGGTGAATGCACATTTATTAAGCTCCTCAAATCAGGCCAAACCTCATTCTACAGATTCATGAGCATTCAAGAGAGCAAGGGTTCTCAGTTTTAACTTTAACATAGCATGCAGTACCAGCCACAATCCTGAAGTTTGTCATAATGGTCTCTTTGCAAAGCAACCAACTTCCCCTTGACTCATTTACTATACAGACACCCCTCACTTTGCACAGTAAAGTAAGAATGACCAGGCAAGCTAAAAACCACGCAAAGAAACCTTATCAACTGATGAGAAAATTAATATTGTCCCATGACTTTTAAAATGTTTTGTTAAAACATTAGAAACTTTGCCAGTTATATAAGGAAATGAAAAAACTAAATATTTCTTTAATATACTGTAATTTGAAGCATTGAGAACCAAAGTGTTTTATTTCTTTGTAAAAACTTATCAAGAGTAGTTTCAACAGTACTTGCCTTTTTCTCATCATGTAACTTGTGATACTAAAGGAATATGTCTTTTATGTTTTGAGGAAGTATGATACTCCTAAGTTCGGATCTGTTTCCAGTGTTGTGAAATATCTCTCAGGGTTCCTTTAATGTGAAGTTTTCATCTGTGTCACTTTACCTAGGACGCTGTCATCCTTTTCATCACAACCACTTTCCTGGTTTCTCTTTACTAAGTTCCTCTGGCTGCAAATAGTCTCTCAAATGACAACAATCTCATTATTCCCATGATCAGCTATTGCTTCTATAACTCCACTTATGTTTTATTTGAATTTCATTTCCAGCATTACCATTTTCATTTCTTTGCTTCATTTTCATCATTATTGGCCGATTTCCTCTTCCAACTATCCATTTTTGTAAAATGTTATTTGGGTTTATTGCTGGGAGATAAGGAGGCAAGCCAGCTACAAACTTTGCTGTCTGTGTCTGTGTGTGTGCTCTGAATAATACGTGTGCAGGGGCCAATCACAGACAGACTTTGACAGAAATCATTGAAACTGACCCATTAGTCCCAGAGATGTTCTTTGGATCAACATAGAAATGGATCCTTCTGATCTTAAAGTTTGAAACCTATGTGTTTTATCTGAGTTCCTTCCTCAGGAGAGGACCCCCAGGCCTCTCAAGAAGTATCAAAGAACTGAAACACACCAGATCATGGCATCCAGACAATGAGATGCCAGACCCCTGATTTTGTTTCCTTACCTAGGTCCTGTTTTCCAATACATTGTTACGTTTCTTCCCTGCTATGTGAACCCCTAATTTTAGTCAGTCCAGGAGATGGATTTGAGACTGATCTCCCAACTCCTCAGCTGCAGCACCTAATTAAAGCCTTCTTCCTTGGCAGTAGTCGTCCTCTCAGTCATTGACTTTCTTTGCAACATGTTTTGGTAACATCACGTGATCATGCAGTAATCACAATTCACATCTGTTATTTATATAGCGATTTGTGGGCTGAGAGGATAGCAATGAAGTTTGTACGTTATGCAAGTACTCAATACACAATGGTGACTGAAATTTGAACCATGTTGTTGGAGAACTGGTGTTATTTAACTTAACTATGAAACTGAAATTCATTCAGACTGGAACTGTGCAAAGCCAAAACTGCAGATACTACCAAACCTGATTTCTCAAGTAAATTGTTGATGCAATTTAACCTTATGCTGTTAAATATCTCCCATCAGAAGCCAAGTCAAGCACTCCTCTAAGAGAGATTAACTTTGAAATGTATATATCTTTCATATGAGCTTGATATATAAAGATGGTAGGATTTTTATGTGGTAACCAAGAGAAGATATATTAAGAATTGAAGTAGGGGCCGGGCACAGTGGCTCATGCCTGTAATCCCAGCACTTTGGGAGGCCGAGGCGGGTGGATCACGAGGTCAGGAGATTGAGACCATCCTGGCTAACATGGTGAAACCCCGTCTCTACTAAAAAATACAAAAAAATTAGCCAGGCACGGTGGTGGGTGCCTGTAGTCCCAGCTACTTGGGAGGCTGAGGCAGGAGAATGGCAGGAACCCGGGAGGCAGAGTTTGCAGTGAGCAGAGATCGCGCCACTGCACTCCAGCCTGGTAGACAGAGCGAGACTCTGTCTCAAAAAAAAAAAAAAAAAAAGAATTAAAGTAGGATATTAAGATATTAAGTAGGAAAACCTTGGGGAGGGGAAGAATACACTGAGGTTATTTCATTCACTTTTAAAAAATATCCTAAGCAAACTAGCAACTATATACAAAAACCTTCTGAAAGGAACATGTTATGTTTTTAAAAATAATTCTTAGGCCTATTTTGAATACAAGTACTGAAATGGATAAAATCTCTCTCTCTATATATATATATACGTTTTACTGTTTCTAGGGCATAAATTAACAATTGCAAAATTAGTTATTTGTAGGAACAATGCATGTGTTTTATATTGTAAGGAAATATGAAAATTTTCTGCTAAATAGCTATATATGAGTAGATATTCTGTCTTAGAAGATTCCTTAACAGATCTTAACTGAATATGGAGTAAATATATGTGAGAACCTTAGGGTGATAATAATATGGAAGAGGATACAGAAATGTCTTCTTGTTAATCATGTCAATAATGGTAATTTTAACTGATGAGTTATATTTTATATAGAAAAGAAAATACTGAAATGGTAATATGCTATTTTCCTGTTAAGTACATACATATTTTATTTTCAGGGCCATCCTGGGGAAAAGGGAGAAAAAGGAAATTCAGTGTTCATTTTAGGTGCCGTTAAAGGTATTCAGGTAAGTATTATGATCATGATGGGTTAAAAAATTTTTTCTTCCAAATAGGTAAGCCCATGCAGGAAATACTCAGACAGGATTTTTCTTCAAAATGTCCCTGAATACACCAATTTTTATCATTACCCTGACCCTCAGGGATGGCATCATGCTTTTGTGTGAAGGCAGTGGCTTTAGTCGCCAGTAAAATTCCAGCACTGTAAAATTCCATTACTTCTGAACTAGTCAGAACTGCAAGGGATGTATTTATTTCAAGGTTTCTCAACTCCTGACATTGTGGGCCACATATTCATTTGGTGTGGGGCTGACTTGTGCATTATAGGATGTTGAGCAGAATCCCTGGCCTCTGGCCTCTACTCATTAGACGCCAATAGCATCCCCCACCTCTGAACTCCCCAAAGCGTATATCCAGACATTACCAAATGTCCCCTGGGGGGAAATCACCCCAGTGGAGGACCACTGATTTATTTGTAATTAAAACATTGTAATATTAGTACTTGCCATCCAGTACAGTAAAAGTCACCATTATTGAACTTGAAAATGATGTAAACCTTATAGCACTTTGCTTGATACATTTAATGGTGTTGTGTTTTCAGCAGGGAGTGATGTCCAAATGTTCAGAAATAAACTCTTGAGTGACCACCTCATCTCTCAGATGAGAAGCCATGGATGAGTGATGGGGATCAGTGGAAATGATGCATTAACAGGAAAATACAGCCCATGTTCAAGATGTGTGGTCATTTCTCTTAAGGAAGAATATTCTGCAGCAATTAGATAGAACTAGTCCTAGATTGCTTCTATGAGACCCTAGGTTCTGTGCCACGCAGAATGGACACACCTGAGCAGTGATCCCTTTAGTAAGCTCACTGTTTATGTGTGTAGCCTCTGTGCCTATTTGTCCTTCTTAAACAGCAAGAACGATGGATTTGTTTATAGCTTAAATGATATATTAATAAACTAAACGTCAACAGCAGGGTCATTCTAGGAACCAGGATGGTGTATTGGAAGGAGAGAACTGAGGCTTACTCTCCACTGTGACTTTAAGCAACTCCCTTAACCTCCTCAGCCTCATGTTCGTTATTTGTGAAAGAAGATTAAAATAATATTTACCCTGCCCCTTTCTTAGTGTTGTTAAGACTGTTATAATAATTTATATTGCAGCACATTGTAAATGGTAATGTCCCATATTAGTTATAGTGAGCATTTTTTTGTAATTGTGGTAATAGAGGACATGTGACATACAAATATAGAAGGGGGATGAATATAGAGAATTCCTTATCTTAAGGGGAAACAGAAGATCCCTAATAAAAATGACCTGTAGATCAATAACCTTTGAGAGACAATGCTCTTAAGAGTCTATATCCACTTTATACTCATTCTAATGGCTATGATAAAAAAAACAAATCTAGCAATTGTTGGCAACTACATGGAGAGTTGGAGCCTTATGCATTACGGGTGGGAATGGACAATGGTGCAACCCCTGTGGAAAATAATATGGTAATTCCTCAGTAAATTAAACATAGAATTACTATATGATCCAGCAATTCCACTTCTGGATATATACCCCAAAGAACTGAAAGCAAGGACTTGAATGGATATTTGTACATGCATGTTCATAGCAGCTTTATTCACAGTAGCCAAAAGGTGGAAGTAATCGTGTCCATCAACAGATGAATGGATAAACAAAATGTGGTATATTCATCCAAAGGAAGACTGTAAAAGCTTTAAAAAGGAAAGATATTCTGACACATACAACAACATGGATGAACCTTGAAGATATAATATTATGCTAAGTGAAATAAACCAGTCAAATATCATATGATTTCACTTATATAGAAAAATAGTCAAATTCATACAGATGGAAAATAGAAGGGTGGTTGCCAGTGGCTGCAGGGAAGAGGGATGGGGAGTTAGTGTTTAATGAGAACAGAGTTTCCACTGGAGGAGACATAAGAGTTTTGGAGATGGATGGTGGTCATGGGTGAATAACAATGTGAATGTACTTAATGCCACTTAAGTGGCATTAAGTGAACTACCTGTACACTTAAAAATGGTTGAAATGGGCCAGGCGTGGTGGCTCACGCCTGTAATCCCAGCACTTTGGAAGGCCAAGGCGGGTGGATTACCTGAGGTCAGGAGTTCGAGACCAGCCTGGCCAACATGGTGAAACCCCGTCTACTAAAAATACAAAAAAATTAGCTGGGCATGGTGGCGCATGCCTGTAATCCCAGCTATTTGGGAGGCTGAGGCAGGAGAATTGCTTGAATCCAGGAGGTGGAGGTTGCAGTGAAGGGAGATGGCGCCACTGCACTCCAGCCTGGGTGACAAGAGCGAGACTCCATCTCAAAAAAAAAAAAAGGTTGAAATGTCATATTTTAACTTACATATATTTTACATTTTAAAAAAAGAGGCTTCATTCAAGAGAATATATAGCCTTTGATCTTTTAAAGTAGGTTGAGTCTCAGCACAGAGTCACAAGGCGATAGAAGTAGACAGAGGCTGGTGTGAGGCAATTTCCACCTGAGTTTCTTTTCTGTCCACTCTAGGGTAGTCAAGGGGGTCAAGATGTTTATAAAGCATAGCAAGGTGTGGAAAGACACCAGCAACAGGTAAACTGTGAGGAAACGGGACCACTGGATTGAGAATTTAGAACAATTTAAACAAAGAAAAAATCTCATTTTGATTCCATGTCATTACTTCAGCGACCTTTCTCTGTTGGGTAGAAGGAGAATTCAGAGCTTAAGGAGAAGGAAAATCACCTCCGCATATCCCTTCCTCAATTTTAGTCAACACCAAAAAAATTGAACAAACTGCAGTTAGATGAGTCCAGATAATTTTGTGTATATTTCTATTTTTACATAATCTCTGTTTTAGGAACATTGTGTGGACTTAAAGCAATGCATTCTTATTTTTGCAGGGAGACAGAGGGGACCCAGGACTGCCTGGCTTACCAGTAAGTCTCCTGAGCAGGCTCTATGCTTCTATTTCCTCCTCAAATAGCCTATGATCCACGTTTTAATCCCAGCAAAGCCAGCTACATAATTTGTGCGGCTCACCTAGTGCAAAATGAAAATGTGGGTTCCCTGTTCAAAAATTATTAAGCATTTCAAGATGGCGACCACAGAACATGAAGCATGGGGCCCTGTGTAACTGCACCAGTCTCATGCCCATGAAGCTGTACTTGAAGCTCATCAAGCTCCCTCCTGCCTTCCTCTTCTGTCTTCTAATGATCTCGTGACATTACTCAGGTATATGCAGCCACTTAATATTTAGGAAAGTGAGTCCACTTAGCAACTACATGTATAATATATACCAGCTAGAATAATCTTGCATTGCTTCTCGCTACCATTTTGCCTGGTGAATCAGTATTTGTATATTATATTTAATATTTTGCCCATCTTCATCTCTCTGATGTTTCTGATGTGAGAAAGTTTCACAAAACTAAACAGTAAATGTGTGAATCACAAATGCCACAATTTGAGTATTCATAGTGCATAATCTTTGTGTTATGATATTTTTGCAAAAATGCTTCACTTATAATTTTGTTTTCTGTAGGGGCACCGAGGGCCGCCCAGACCAGCAATTCAATGATTATATTAGTCTTTCCAGTTTTTCGATGTTTACAAGACTAAAATTGAGAGCAGTTTTGCCGGCCAGGCGTGGTGGCTCATGCCTGTAATCCCAGCACTTTGGGAGGCCAAGGCAGGTGGATCACGAGGTCAGGAGTTTGAGACCAGCCTGGCCAACATGGTGAAAGCCCCTATCTACTAAAAATACGAAATTAGCCAGGCGTGGTGGCGCGTACCTACAATCCCAGCTACTCAGGAGGCTAAGCCAGGGAATCACTCGAACCCGGAAGGCAGAGCTTGCAGTAAGCTGAGATGGCACCATTGCACTCCAGCCTGGGCAACAAGACTGAAACTCCATCTCAAAAAAAAAAAAAAAAAAAAGACTGGGTGAGGTGGCTCACACCTGTAATCCCAGCACTTTGGGAGGCTGAGGCGGGTGGATCACGAGGTCAGGAGTTCAAGACCAGCCTAGCCAAGATGGTGAAACCCCGTCTCTACTAAAAATACAAAAATTAGCCAGACGTGGTGGTGCGTGGCTGTAATCCCAGCTACTTGGGAGGCTGAGGCAGAGAACTGCTAAAACTCAGGAGGCAGAAGATGCAGTGAGCCAAGATCTCACCACTGCACTCCAGCCTGGGCGACAGAGACTCCATTTTGCCTTCCAAAAGTTAAGCTATAATTTTGCCCTGTAACTTCTGGCTAGTGATGGAACGACTTTCCTGGGCTGGTTTCCTTACTACGATTGAAGCTCAGGTCCATGTAATAAATGTGATACCTCAATGTTGCTGTTAAAATAAATATCAGTTCATCCTCCTAAACAGAGTAATTTCATTATACACTCCCCAATCATTTGACCTGGGCAGAGTCAGCAGGAGCCCGGGGAACATCTCTCCACACTTCCAGGCTAGCCTGGCTGTAACCTTTCCTTGACAATTTGTGTATAGTTGTGTTACAACTTACATGTTGTAGAAAATTTTGTATGGCTGACTCATCTTGATCTCAAATTAGGGACTATATTTCCGCAATTTGAGATCTTGCAGACCATGTTTTAAAAACATACTAAAAAGTATAAATACATTAATATATAATGTTAATTAATAATAATACTTTAAAAGCATCCTGATGTATATCAAAATTGTAACAGAATTTAGGAGTAGGTAGTAATGCATTTTCTTTGCTCTCCACTTTTGTTATTACAGGATGTATTTGTAAATAGGTAGATTGATCTCTGGGTCTTAACTGGACCCTAAATGAAGGAATTTATCACAACTACCAGAGTGCTGCTACCTTTAGCTTGGTGCTTTTTTTTTTTTTTTGAGACAGAGTCTTGCTCTTTCGCCAGGCTGGAGTGCAGTGGCACAATCTCGGCTCACTGCAATCTCCGATTCCCTGGTTCAAGCGATTCTCCTGTCTCAGCCTCCCGAGTAGCTGGGACTACAGGCGCCTGCCACCACGCCCATCTAATTTTTGTATTTTTAGTAGAGACGGGGTTTCACCATGTTGGCCAGGATGGTCTCGATCTCCTGACCTCGTGATCTGCCCCACTTGGCCTTTCAAAGTGCTGGGATTACAGGTGTGAACCACCGTGCCCGGACTGCTTGGTGCCCTTTTAGGGCTGCATCAAAGCTGCTGTTGAAAATGTCCTAGCAGGGCAGATGTGCTGGTGGCTGTGATTTCTTTAGAGGTTTTTATCCACATGGGATCACACGCAACTCTTTCTGTGAAAGATGATTACAATTTTGGGTAACAGATGCACTGATTTTTCTCATGTTTAGGGATCTTGGGGTGCAGGAGGACCGGCAGGTCCCACAGGATATCCTGGAGAGCCAGGGTTAGTGGTAAGTACAGCACTGCTGATGTGATCCCTTTAAAAACCAGATTCTACATGAAAATAAAGAAGCAACATTGCCATTTTGGGTCAGACACAGGTGGGCCGTTTGAGAGATTATAATCGATGAATCAGTGAAAACCCACCATTATCAGTGGGACTCCATCTTGAAGCACAGGTCCCTGCGGATGAGCCACTGACATCATCTTCACAGAAAACAGCCCATCCATGATAGAAACTCCATCACTGCATGTTTTAAAATTAAGGGTTTCCTAAATAGGACCCTATTTTGGGGTAACAAAAGAAGGCACATTCTGATTTCTATGTCTGATGATTGATTTGTGTTTTTTTCTCCCTTGATTTAGGGACCTCCGGGCCAACCAGGGCGTCCAGGTTTGAAGGTAGGCAGTCATGAGCAAGATACATCAATAGAGCCCTGAACAATGAAATGGTTGACCACTGATATTTGTCAGAATGATGGCTTTCCTCTTATCAGACTTCCCAAAGTATTCCATGAACTGCAATATATTGTGTAGCCAGAAGTCTTAATTGCTTTTAATTACTTTTTTAAAATTCAAAAGCAATTAGATTCTTTTTCATTTCTTTCTCAGGGAAATCCCGGTGTGGGAGTAAAGGGGCAAATGGGAGACCCGGTAAGAATTCCCTCTTGCTCTGAGGAGCAGATGGTGACGTGTGTGTGCTGCTCAGGGGTGGAGGCTGTTCTGATTATTTGAACTTGTACTCATTATCTAGTCACTGCCCAATTTTATGGCTGAGAACTTTTCTTTGCCGAATTATTATGGCACCATTACCCTTGACTGTAAAATGAAAGATCTGACACAATTTAACACTACTTTCGGGTTAATTTGTGCAACACATTTCACCCTAGCAAACAGATTGAACATTTTTGACAATATATTATGTCCAGAGTAACAGCTTTGTCAAATCACGGATTTGTTTTGCTTAATTTCACATAAATCCTAAACTCCACCCTTAAATATGCATATAAATACAAATATAAATGACTGGAACCAAGAGCACTGAGCAATACACAATCTCCAACCCACTCCTTTTCTATGCCTGTCCTCCCCGTCTCCTCCCCCTGCCACTCACACCCACTGTCCTTTTGGCCGACATGTAAAACTTAGTAAGAATAAGCTTTAGAAAAGTGATTTAAGGGCTGAGCACGATGGCTGATGCCTGTAATTCCAGCACTTTGGGAGGCTGAGGCGGGTGGATCATGAGGTCAAGAGACTGAGACCATCCTGGCCAACATGGTGAAACCCCGTCTCTACTAAAAATACAAAAATTAGCTGGGCGTGGTGGTGCGTGCCTGTAGTCCCAGGTACTCGGGAGGCTGAAGCAGGAGAATTGCTTGAACCTGGGAGGTGGAGCTTGCAGTGAGCCAAGATTGTGCCACTGCACTCCAGCCTGGTGACAAAGCAAGACTCTGTCTCAAAAAAAAAAAAAAAAAAAAGAAAAGTGATTTAAGAAGGCAACTCACCTGGAAACAATCTGAACATCCAGCAGTAGGTGAGTGGCTCTTTCAACAACTGAGGGCAAGTCAATATTAAGCATCTGCTCCATGCCAAGCTAGGACTGACACTGGGTGTGGGGATTTAGCAAGACAGACCTGATCCCTGCTCTCATGGAGTTCCAGCGTGATTGAGTAAGTCATGGTACAGTCATTTAACAGAACGGCACAGGAGTCAAAAATATATATAACAACTTCATGATGTGGGGAAGTGCCTGTGATATAATGCTGAACAGAAAGTACAGGTTACAAAAATATAAACTCAACTTTGTAAAAGCAACAGCAACAAGAAAGACATTAAAATATACACAGAGAGGGATTTCTCAACCTCAGGCTGCTGCTATTTCATTGTTGTGGAGGCTGTCCTGTGAATTACAGGATGTTTAGCCACATCCCTGGCCTCTCCCCACTAGATGTCAGTAGCATCCCGTCCCTCCAATTGTGACAACTTAAAATGTATCAAAACATTGCCAAATGTCCCTGTGGGAAGGGGTTGCCTAACTACTTTCCCCTTCCCCCAACCTTGAGATCTCTGGCTTGTAGAAATGACTGAATGAAAATATACCAAAACAATGTTTTTCAAGTTTGGGAAGCCATGGAGCTCTGGAATATGTTCGTCGAAGCCACAGGAGCCCGTGTGCCATTGCAGAATCCAGCAAGCATTGGCATCTTAGTGACTTTCCGCGCCAGTCCAATCAGACACATTTGCAAACTCAGGCTGTGGAATAACTTGGAAGTATTTGGCTATGAGGTGGCCATTCAAATGATCTCAAATGTGCTTACCTTAATTCTTTTAGATTGTCAGGTGAATGAACACATAATTTTACAATTTTGGGCCAGGCCCAGTGGCTCACGCCTGTAATCCCAGTACTTTGGGAGGCCGAGGTGGGTGGATCACCTCAGGTCAGGAGTTCGAGACCAGCCTGGCGAACATGGCGAAACCCCGTCTCTGCTAAAAATACAAAAATTAGCCGGGCATGGTGGCGTGTGCCTGTAGTCCCAGCTACTTGGGAGGCTGAGGCAGGAGAATTGCTTGAACCTGGGAGGTGGCAGTTGCAGTGAGCCAAGATTGTGCCATTTCACTCCAGCCTGGGTGACAGAGTGAGACTACGTCTCAAAAAATATAAATAAATAAAATAAGATAAAATATTGATGCAGAATTCTCAGATGTTCTAGAGCATGTTTGCCCACCTCATTTTAAGAAACACTGCCCTAAATGGTTGCTATTTATGCCTACATGATATAATTATGGACCTTTTACATTTTAATTCTTCATAGTTTTCCTTCTTTGTACTTTTGACTATGCTGAGTATATGGTACTTTTACAATATGAAAAAAATAGCAGTATGACCAATATTTTGAAGAAGCCGGCTGCTTGTCAGCTTTTAAGGGTTTTGTTCAGGTTTATCTCAATTACAAGAATAAGAGTGGCTATCTTTACCAATACATGCTATGCTTTTACTCATGTTTTGTTAATGTGCTTGTTCAATGGTTTATTCACACAGCAGATATCTTTAGGGCAGGTGCTACACCAACACTGTGTTAGGTGTGTAGATAAATCAAGGAAAAAAAAACAAAACAGACAATGTTTCTAATCTGGCTTTTCTTCAATTTCCCAGGTTTAGGTAGAAATTGAACTCTTTTTTTTTTTTCTATTTAAACTTGATATTCTTCTAAAAATTCCACCTATCAAAAGCATTAGTAGTTTTAGTAATGATATATTGGGGAATTTACTTTGTTACCCTCAATACGGGAAGCATTTTATGTATATTATCTATTCAATGGAAGAATAGTTTGAGGTAGGTAATATTACAATCTCCATTTCACAGAGAAGAAAAATGAGGTTTCAAGGAAGTAAGGAAATGAGGACTGAGAGAGGTTTTAAGGAACTTGCCCCAAGTGACAGAGCCAGTAAGGGCCTGGTTTGCAAACATGGGTGACCTATGTATAGCCTGTTCTTAACTATGACAAAAAGAAAGATCATACTAAGTGTAGAATAATAGTAATACCCAGAAAAGCACAAAATATTTATTTTCTAATTAATGGTGAGAATTTATGATTGTGGCAAAATTCATTCAAGAAACATTCTTTTCTTCAGTAGAAAAACATCTATCATGGCATAAATAAAAATTTTGGCTATTATTTTACAGTTTTAAAATATTATTGAAAATAAATAGAAATAATCTAATCTAACCAGAGTGAGATGGCTTAATACATCACAGTACATTCTTGTGATAGATTATTTATTGGCACTAAAAATCAGGATTGTTACGTGAGGCCAGGAGTTTGAGACCAGCCTGGCCAACATGGCGAAATCCCATCTCTACTGAAAATACAAAAATTAGCTGGGCACGATGGTGCATTATCTGTAATCCCAGGTACTCAGGAGGCTGAGGCACAAGAATCACTTGAGCCCGGGAGGCAGAGGTTGCAGTCAGCTGAGATTGCGCCATTGTGCCCCAGCCTGAGTGACAGAGAACACTCTGTCTCAAAAAAAAAAAAAAAAAAAAATCAGGATCCTGAAGAGATTTTAGTATAATAGAAAAAGGCTCACAAAATATTGTAAGAAAAATATAAAATTATTTAAAAATTTAATAAAATATGCTGTATATTTTAAATCATGTTTATATATTTATTATAGTATTCTGATTATATTTTCATAAACATAAAACAAATTGTTTATTCACCTATATACACATATATGTACATATATACACATATGTACACACACCACCAAAAATTATATCAAAGTTTTAATAGGCCGGGTGCGGTGGCTCACGCTTGTAATCCCAGCACTTTGGGAGGCCGAGGCGGGCGGATCACCTGAGGTCCGGAGTTCGAGACCAGCCTGACCAACATGGAGAAACCCCCGTCTCTACTAAAAATACAAAATTAGCCGGGCATGGTGGCGCATGCCTGTAATCCCAGCTACTCTGGAGGCTGAGGCAGGAGAATGGCTTGAACCCGGGAGGCGGAGGTTGCTGTGAGCCGAGATCGCGTCATTGCACTCTGGCCTGGGCAACAAGAGTGAAACTCCATCTCAAAAAAAAAAAAAAAAAAAGTTTTAATAGAGATTACTTCTGGATAGTAGGATTTTTTATTTATTTATTTATTTATTGAGATGGAGTCTCGCTCTGTCGCCCAGGCTGGAGTGCAGTGGCACAATCTCTGCTCACTGCAAGCTCCACCTCCCAGGTTCATGCCATTCTCCTGCCTCAGCCTCCCAAGTAGCTGGGACTACAGGCGCCTGCCACCACGCCCGGCTAATTTTTTTTTTTTTTTTTTGTATTTTTAGTAGAGACGGGGTTTCACCGTGTTAGCCAGGATGGTCTCGATCTCCTGACCTCGTGATCCACCCACCTCGGCCTCCCAAAGTGCTCGGATTACAGGCGTGAGCCACCGCGCCTGGCCCTGGATAGTAGCATTAAGAATCATTTTCATTTTTTAAATTTATTTTTAACAATAAGTGTGTATTAAATTTTTATAAGAAAATAAATATCCTTTTATATTCTATGATGTACTTGCCACAACTTGTATTTTAAATCCATGACACATAGGATTGGAAGCATTATACCACAATACATGGGTGAAAACCTTCAAAACATAAATTAATATGAAATTTTCATTATCTTGCTTTTTTTTTTAAGGGTGAGGTTGGTCAGCAAGGTTCTCCTGGACCCACCCTGTTGGTAGAGCCACCTGACTTTTGTCTCTATAAAGGAGAAAAGGTAATTCCCAAATCCATATGTCACCTTGGAAAGTAGCAGTAGAAAATATTTTTTGACATGGATCTGTGGCAGCAAAGTATAGAGGTCTTTCTATGCATCACTGCACTAGTTTCAAACCTACTTTAATAAGTTGGTACTACTGTTGGCCCCATCGTGCGGCATTGAAAATGAGGCTTGGAAGGTTCCCAGTGTTCTCAAGTTTACCCAGCTGCTGAGTGGCAGACCTAGCTCAGGCTGCTAAATTATGACATGTGCTTGTTAATGTTGTTTTGACGTGTGGATTGAAAAGACCACCGGAAGCCCAGTTGTCCTTTAGATGTTACAGATGAGTTTGATGTCTTGATAATTGAGAAGGTAACAAATGCATAGAACTGGGCCGTAATAGATTCTTGGCAAATATTAATTCCTCTGTCAGCTACCAGTGCTGGTATTATTGGTGCCACATGAAGATTCTATTGTTGCTTTTCAATTGCTGGGTTAAATTTCTTTACTTTGCTCAAAATAAGCCACTTTTTCAATGGCTGCATTCCCAAATTGTATCTGCTGCCTGGTTCCGTGGTCCACTGTGGTATCCCATATACCTCTCACATAGAGAACTGGCTCAAATAGTATCTGGTTTATAAGTGTGCTAATTAGAACAGGTGAAGAGTAATCTCTTAAGATTTTTTTTTTTAAGGTGAAACAGATTGTAAAAAGAGATGATTTCTGAAGGAGATGGAATTCAGTATGTTAAATAATAAGAATAGACCAAATTATATTCATTGTAATTTTTAGGGTATAAAAGGAATTCCTGGAATGGTTGGACTGCCAGGACCACCAGGACGCAAGGTAGTTTATTTAAGTACCTTTTTTTTTTTCATTTGTGTGATGTACTATCTTAACTTAAAATGTTATTTCTCATGGTCTTTATCATTGCTTTAAGTGCTAATATATATTACCAGAATTTTTCACTATCTTATCATAATACTATAGAGCTTCTATTCTAAAGTAGTTGTTTTCTTTAAGCTGCTGACAATAATTTTTGTTTCTCATTTTGTTTTTTTTCCCTATTGCTGAAATATTGCTTTCCCTATTGCTGAAATATTGTTGCTTGAACCCCTCTAAATGTTGTCATCTCTTAAAGGGAGAATCTGGTATTGGGGCAAAAGGAGAAAAAGGTATTCCTGGATTTCCAGGGCCTCGGGTAAGCATCATTTGCTGTTAACATCAGTGAATTTGGAGATATTTCTCTTTCATGTTTTTATAAAACCAGGTCAGTAGTCCCACAAGCTCAAAAGTGAAGAATAGCTCATGTAAGAACAAAACATTTTGGACGAGAATTATGGAATATCTAAATATCCCAGAGCATCCTTCCATTGACATCATTTAGATAAAACAGGCAAGCAAAAGATAGAAGAATTTGGGAAAAGTGACAGGATTGTGCCATCTCTTGTCTGGCACCTCAGTGCCAGTAGGAAAGTAGCTTGGAATAGTTAATTTAAGTCTATTTGAGGAAACAACATGGTGATATAGGGGCAGGAGCTAGAAAAAAAGTACAATATTAAGCTCCAAACATCACCACATGTCACTAATAGAAAGCCCACTCATAGAGTCACCATGGAGGCCAGACCGCAGCTGGCATGGGCATTGAGTTTATTTGGTTCTAGATTTAGTACTGAATGGGGAAATATTGGTTTCCATGGTCATTTTTATTGCTAATGATGCACAGAGCAACTATTAATTTCCAGGCAAATTATATTGCAGAGATTTTAAAGATATTTGGCCCAGTGCAAGCACTAAGTTAAGTAAATTAAATTTGGAAAAGCAACGACAACAAAAATACATTCTTAATTAAAACACTGGCAATGACATGGATTTTTTGAATAAGACTGAGGATCACTTCAAGTAGCAAATGTTATAAAGAAATGGAATCTATTTTATATTTATTTCCTTTTATTCAGCTAGCTTTGCAAACAGGACCAAATATCCATGGAACAATTTGATAAGGTGAAAAATGATGCACTGAGCTGGTTAATGCATTCTGATTTAATTCTGTTTATCCTGATTTTTGTGAATTTATTAGGGGGATCCTGGTTCCTATGGATCTCCAGGTTTTCCAGGATTAAAGGTAAATGTACCTCATTATAGAGATAATAAATACATTTCATTAGTAAATGCAATTTAGTATAATTCAGAAGTTGTACTGTTGCGTGCAAACACAGTAATTAGGAAGGCAGACACATTCATTTTATGGATTGCAGGATTTAGCTGTGGGTGCAAAAATTGAAGCACAAGATTGTCTGATGCAACTGATGAACAGTGTTAAGACTTTGCATGGTCTCAGTGGGCAATGTGTTGCTTAAATTAAATGAGAATGAGATAATTTGTCACCCAGTCACTTTTTTTTTTTAAGGCATGTTTGTGCTTGTTTGTAGGGAGAACTAGGACTGGTTGGAGATCCTGGGCTATTTGGATTAATTGGCCCAAAGGTAAAAAGTGAGCCTATTTTAATATATCCTGATAAAAGTTTATATCCTTAATATTATCTAATTTATTTTTAGAAGTATTGCCAGGAATCATTCAAGAATGTAATTTTTAGAAGAGATACAGTTAATTTTTTATTCAATTGTTACATTAGTCTGTTTTTCATGTTGCTGATAAAGACATATCCAAGACTGGACAATTTACAAAAGAAAGAGGTTAAATGGACTTACAGTTCCACGTGGCTGGGGAGGCCTCACAATCATGGCAGAAGGCAAGAAGGAGCAAGTCACGTCTTACATGGATGGCAGCAGGCAAAGAGAGAGTTTGTACAGGGAAACTCCTATTTTTTAAAACCATTATCTTGTGAGACTCATTCACTATCACAAGAATAGCACAGGAAAGGCTGGGCGTGGTGGCTCAAGCCTGTAATCCCAGCACTTTGGGAGGCCGAGGCGGGCAGATCATGAGGTCAGGAGATCGAGACCATCCTGGCTAACACAGTGAAACCCCGTCTCTACTAAAAATACAAAAACAAAATTAGCCAGGCGTGGTGGTGGGCGCCTGTAGTCCCAGCTACTTGGGAGGCTGAGGCAGGAGAATGGCATGAACCTGGGAGGTGGAGCTTGCAGTGAGCTGAGATCACACCACTGCACTCCATCCTGGGCAACAGAGTGAGACTCCATCTCAAAAAAAAAAAAAAGAATAGCGCAGGAAAGACCCACCCCCCATAATTCAATCACCTCCCACTGGGTTCCTTCCACAACAGGTGGGAATTGTAGGAGTTACCATTCAAGATGAGATTTAGCTGGGGGCACAGCCAAACCATATCAGTTGTCCCTTGTTATCTGTGGGAGATTAGTTTCAGAACCCCTAGGCTACCAAAACCCTCAGATGCTCAAGTCCCTGATGTAAAATGATGTAGTATTTGCATAATACTTACACACGCCATATCTTATATTTTAAATCATCTCTAGGTTACTTATAATCTCTAATACAATGTAAATGCTATGTAAACAGTTGTCATATTCTATTGTTTTATTATTTTTATCATTGGATTGTTATTTTTTTTAAAATATTTTTTATAAGAGTGCTGACTGTATAGTACTTTAATGCATGCTGTGTGTTATTATGCATGATTATCATATTATCATATCAGTGTCATATTAAGCATTATTATGTTCTACATTTGAGAAGTGATCCTTTTGAAGGTGAATAATCATGAGAGTTTAAAAAAATTCATAGGCTCATTGAGATTAGAAACAGAGGGCATCTTAGAGAGTTTTCTGCTTTTAACACCACTGCATTTTTTCTTTCCTTTTTAACTTTTGTGACCTCATCTGGCACTTGCTCAGCATGTGCAAGGGAATTGTGTTCCCTTAAAGCCATGGTGGCATTAAAGGAACACAATTTAGAGGGACGCTATTTGTTGCTAAAATAAAATGTAGATTCGGACCTTGTTAGGTGAATAAACTATTTGTCATCGATGCCAAGTTAGACATTAATGCTCATGGTATATCTAAGAAACTTGGTGACATCAGAGGTATCCAATTTATAGGCATAGAATAATTTCACTGGAGTTAAATTTCTTTTCCTTTGTAGAAGCTTTGTGACTTGCTATTTACTTCCACTACTTGTAGATAAGAGATTAGATGCATCTTTGCTGCTCCTAAGACTCCATGGATGCTTCATTTCTCTAGTCAGCCTATAATCTCTGCTTCTTATATGAATGTGCACATGATCGTTCTAATACTGGTTTAATGCCAGGCAACATGAGTAAAATTAATATTCCTTTAAAAAGTGAATGAATGAATGATTTCAGGGGGATCCTGGAAATCGAGGGCACCCAGGACCACCAGGTGTTTTGGTGACTCCACCTCTTCCACTCAAAGGTTTGTGTTCCTATTCAGTTCCTCCATAAATTATGCAGAAATAGGAGTTGAGTGGCCAGGACAGAAGAGTCTGGCCCAGTATTTCCATAGCTTGCACACTAGGCAGGCTGAATGCACGAACTGTAGCATGAGTGTATAATTATACATGTGCATGAGGTTTTTTTCAGTACATATACTGTATGCTGGGATTTTTATTGTTATCTTTCAGAAAGTCTATTTTTAATCGCTAAAAATTGTATGAAACTATTTTACTGGCTGGGTTCAGTGGCTCACGCCTGTAACTCTAGTACTTTGGAAGGCTGAGGCAGGCAGATCACTTGAGGTCAGGAGTTCGAGACCAGCCTGGCCAACATGGTGAAATCCCATCTCTACTAATAATACAAAAATTAGCTGGGTGTGGTGGCACATGCTTGTAATCCCAGCTACGTGGGAGGCTGAGGCACGAGAATCGCTTGAACCTGGGAGGTGGAGGTTGCAGTGAGCTGAGATCATGCACTCCTGCCTGGGCGACAGAGGGAGACTCCGTCTGAAAACAAAAACAAAAACAAAAACAGAACTATTTGACTAACACCTATCAAGATGCTGCCACCAAAAGGAGTAGCCTAAATCAGTGACAAAGAACCCCATTCAAAGTTCACGTGTCTGAGGAAGAGGCACAGCCAAGGCGGTTCACATTTAAGATATTTCGTTTTAAATGTAATGAGAAACTGCAAAAATGTCTCCTAATTATACTTTACTGAGTCTCACAAAAAGTAATTGTTGTCTTAATTTTAAAATGCACATACCATTTGTTTATTCTCATGTACCATTATCTTTGGCAGGCCCACCAGGGGACCCAGGGTTCCCTGGCCGCTATGGAGAAACAGGGGATGTTGGACCACCTGGTCCCCCAGGTCTCTTGGGCAGACCAGGGGAAGCCTGTGCAGGTACGGATGCCCTGATGTGCCCTGGCTTTTACAGGTCAGATTTCCTGCATCATCATCAGCACCAGTAGCTTTCAACTGTAGCTGATATTGGAATCACCTTAGGATTGTGTAAAATAATACCGATGCCTGTGCACACCCCAGACCAAGAATGTTAGACTCTTGGGAGATGGGCCTGGGGATCTGATACTGTAGAAGCGCTCCTGTGTCTGTAACATATAGCCAAGGTTAAGAACCACTGAACTCAAACCAATTAATCACTTACTTGGGAGGAATACAGGTTTCTCAGCTGCACCCCAGAACATTCAATCAATATCATAGGGGTGTTGTAAGGAATATGTATGTATAACAACAGGCCTCCCACAAAGTTATCGCATGCAGATAAGGCTTGGAAACCACTGCTAGGATTAGTGTTTCCCCATGTTTTCCCACCCTGCTGGAAGGCTCTCCCTGTTGACATCTACTTGTAAAATTTAGTACATTCACCTAATCCCTTGCTTAAATCTCCTGCATGAAAGGTGGAAGTAAAAATTATGATTAAAAAAACTTTCATTCATAATTACTTTAAAAAAGTCTTCTTCCCTCGCGTCAAAAACAAAAATAAGAAAATGATGGGCCACAGTGGCATTTGGTAAAAAGCCTGGGAAAGAGTCCTGTTGGCATAAGGACTTTGAACTCCTTCAGGTGCTGCGCTGGTTAATATTCCTAGTAAGATTAGGAATTGAAGTTTAGAGGGTATTTGCAGTCTGTGAACCCAGGAGAACTGATTAAACCTGTGAGGAGAAAAGTCTTGAGTAAACGTAGTTTTACCCAGCCTGTGTCTCTTGTTATATTTACTGAGAAGAAGTGAGAAATTTTCTGAGATATTCAACTGCTAACTACAAAACTCTTGTTTAATCTTCCATGAATCTAGCTTTCAGTTTGCAGGATTCAATAACCACAAAGGTGGAAAAGCTTTGTCTAGTTCACTTAACCTTTAGATAGCACAGCCTTGGCCTAACTGACCCAGGAGTATATAAATAATATAGAGTATTCCGTTGGTCAGAAAGCACTGGACTCTGGTCTTAGAATTCTCCAATCAGGCTTGTTTGTAATAGAATAGTGTCTCCAGCATATTAAAATGAAGATCTAATAGTAAGTAACAAGTGTCTCTAGTGGATTCAAACCCAGGAAACCTCTTAATTCACAAGGTTTTAAAAAATAAATTAACCCAATAGCTTTCAAATCTTGACTATGACCCATAGTAAGAAATGCATTTGATTTTACATTTATATGAAAAACATATACATTTATATTACACAAACATGTATGTATCCATATGTACAGGTGATTCAGACAAAAATACACAGAAGTATACATTTTCGGTATGTGACACACTCTTCTATCCCATTCATTTCTTTTATAATAAAAAAAATTTAATGCTGTCACAACTTACTCTATTGACTTCATGCTCTACAGTTGGGTGGACAATACTGCAAGATGCCACACACTGTAGCCCATTCTCCCTGTTGGCAGGTGGTTAAGCATTCTTCTTGGCAATGGGACAAGGCAGCAGGCAGCACCCAGGTTCATCCAATGACTGATTGTATTGAGTCCACATCAGGTCTTAGAAATGGCATGAAGACAAGATGGCAGCCAAATCCACAGGAGCTCATTTTCATTTTGTTCTAAGCACAGGAGTGTATCTAGTCCTATTATATACTTGTATATATAATTTGTAGATATGATAGATATTATTGTTAATATCTATGGTATTTACTATATATACAACGTATAGAATATCTTGTAGATAATTTGGTAATTATCTACAGTATTTACCATGAGATAAGCACAGTTTCAGAGTCAGACACTTGTAATCAAATCCCACCTTAGCATTTAGTGAAAGCCATATAGTATAATGTGGTACAGTGAAATACTTAATGCATTTGCACTATGAACTAGAAAAGTTCCAATTTCTCCTACTTGCAAGCTGTGTGATCTTGGACATTTATTAAACCTCTCTGTACATCAGTTTTCTTATCTGTAAAACAAGACCTTGGGGTTGAAAGAAATAATATGTATACAGCCTTTAGACTGCAGTCTAGTGTATAGTAAAGATTCAATATATTAGCTATTATTACTACAGATATTTGGCCTAAACTTTGTGTGCCTTATCTGTAAGGTATAAACTTTGCAGGATTGTTCGAGGAGTGAATATGTTTGTATGTCTACTGAAGCCCGGCACATATGGACACAATAATGACAGCCATTAATTTAATAAACATGCTACATTACTGATTACTGACAGGGTTTCAGTTATCTCTTGCGGAAAAAATTTCCTAAAACCTAGTGGTTTGAAACAATAGCAATCAGTACAGTACCTCTCACTCTTTCTGCAGTTTAAGAGTTCAGGAAGGGCTGGGCCTGCCTGGACACCTCTCTGATTTCTCTTGTGTAGCCTCAGGAGCCTCCCTGGGTGGGCTCTGTACTAAGGCTTCCTTACAATATGGTAGCTTCTTATCATTGCTTATATGGTAGCTCAGAATTTCAGTCTCAAGTGTTTTGGCTCACAAGGCAGAAGCTGAATCATCTTTTCTAATGGCCTCATTCAGAGGGAGGCAACACACCCACCTTTTGATAGAGAAATGTCAAAGTTCAACAAGAGGATGTAGGACAGAGCTCCCGTGATGGCCATCTGTCAAAAATGCAGTCTTCCACAGAGAGGATCTGGAGCCAGACACGCTTAGGAAAAAAGCTGTGAGAGGTGGTCACTCTCACAGAGGCTTCCGGCTATCTTTTTTTTTGTTTCTTTTTGAGATGGAGCTTCGCTCTTGTTGCCTAGGCTAGAGTGCAAGAGTGCAATGACACGATCTTGGCTCACTGCAACCTCCGCCTCTCAGGTTCAAGCGATTCTCCTGCCTCAGCCTCCCAAATAGCTGGCATTACAGGCACCTGCCACCATGCCCAGGTAATTTTTGTATTTTTAGTAGAGATGGGGTTTCACCATTTTGGCCAGGCTAGTCTCAAACTCCTGACCTCAGGTGATCTGCCTGCCTCGGCCTCCCAAAGTATTGGGATTACGGGTGTGAGCCACCGGGCCTGGCCAGCTTTCAGCTATCTTTAAGCCAAAGACAGCAGCAAGGGGAGCAGGATGTCAAGGGGAAGCAGGATTTCCTGCTGTTGCATTATTCGTTTTGACCTCATCTGAACACACTGAACATTCACTGAGCATGTGCTCTTGCTGGATGTTACACTAAGCTTCTTACATGGATTATTTTATTTAATCCTCATAACAAGCCTCTGGAGGTATATATACAGAATGCTCAATAAGTTAAATAAACTGCTTAAGGTCCCCTGCTACAGAGGGAAAGGCCAAGTTGAAATCTGGTACCTCCATCCTTCCCCATCAACCTGGGCTGCTGTGATAGGTACAATATTTTATGTTCTACCTAGATGATTACGTGAGTCTATATTTTTACCCACTAAGTATGCTAATATGTTTATTTGGATTATTTTTACCAAGTTATCAAGGTAGAAAGATTGAAAAACTAATCATTTAATTAAATCAAATATGTTTCTTCCCCAATAATCCTAAAGAATGGGGAAAAGGTAAGAAAATCTGATTCTCTAAACCCATTTCTTTCCACTGTGTGCTTATTTCAAAGGAGGCAAGACATTTTAATGGCTGGGATATTGTCTTTATTTTTGAGCTATGTTTTTTCTTTTAATGCAGTTTATTCAAATTATTATAACTCCTGCTTTACGGCTAGTAATCTGTTCTGTGGAAAAGCAAACTTTATACATCACTTATTTTTTTTCTACTTCTGAAAGCTGTCATCTAGAGCATTAGGAAATAGCTTTGTGGAGATATCACTGACATATAAAAATTGTTTATATTTAAGATACACAGCTTGATGTTCTGATATATGTATACATTGTACAATGATCACCACATTCCAGCTAATTAACCTATTTGTCACGTCTACATAGTTATCATTTGTGGGGGGTGGTGAGAAGATTTATTTTAGATCTAGCCTCTTAGCAAAATTCAAATATAAGATATAGTATTGTTAACTATCATTTTCACGCTGTACAGTAGATCTCTGGAACTTATTTATCTTGCATGACTAAGACTTTGTACCCTTTGACCAACATCACTCCATTCCTCTCTTCCCCCAGCCCCTGGGAACCACCATCCTACTCTCTGCTTTTATGAGTTTGACTATTTCAGATTCCACATATAAGTGAGATCATGCAGTATTTCTTTCTGTGTCTGGCTTATTTCACTTAGCATAATGACCTCCAGCTCCGTCTCTTTCCCTTTAAAAAATTCGATAACCTAAGCAAGTGTGTACCAATCTTGATTTCTTCTACAGAGACGTTTACTCTGAGAGTATATGTAATTTTCATTCTTGATTTATCTTGCAGGCATGATAGGACCCCCTGGGCCACAAGGATTTCCTGGTCTTCCTGGGCTTCCAGGAGAAGCTGGTATTCCTGGGAGACCTGATTCTGCTCCAGGAAAACCAGGGAAGCCAGGATCACCTGGCTTGCCTGGAGCACCAGGCCTGCAGGGCCTCCCAGGATCAAGTGGTAAAGTACTCCTTATTCATATCCATTAGCATTTATGCTGCTTTTGATATTTGCAGTGCCACTAAGAAAGCATAGTTTTTAAAATATTTTAAAAGTTATATGATGTTTCATGAGCTAAGTTGGTTGTCTTTTACAAACAAATAAACTGAAGTTGGACTTTCACATCCATTAAAGTATGTGCAATCATTTGGTTAGGAGTTTCAGTGTAAATGATAGAACTTGGTAAAATAATACCAATTTTTTTTAAATGTAGTTTTAATTTTCATCAGAGTTATATATGGGCTTGGTTTGTGACTGCCCGGTGGGTTTATTTTGCCCACTGCCCAGGGAGAGCCGATTTGTCGAGACAGGGGAATTGCAATAGAGAAAGCGTTTAACATACATAGAGCTGGCTAAATGGAAGACTGGAGTTTTATTATTACTAAAATAATAAATGAAATAAAAATAAAAATAAAAAAGCCTCTCTGAAAATTTGGAGGCTAGGGTTTTTTAAAGATAGTTTGGCAGGCAGGGGGCTGGGGATGAGATCATGGGGGTGTGGAAAATGGTCCTAACGTGTTGAATCCACTTCTGGGTGGGTGCCACGGGACCCTTGAGTCATGAGTCTTGGGTCTAGGTGGAGCCATCCAGTCATCAGAAACGCCAAAGTCTGAAAAGACATCTCAAAAGGCCAATCTTAGGTTTTATAATAGTGATATCATTTATAGGAGTAATTGGGGAGATTGCAAATCTTGTGACCTCTGGAATAATAATGCTGCTAATCATTTAAGTATACCTACATCTTAGCAGAATACAGGCCCTTCTTGTTTTGTTTTGTTTTGTTTTGTTTTGTTTACCTGGTGGCTTTTTATTAGCATTATGAAGGTAGTTTAGTTTTGGGGAGGGCTATTATTATTTAAACTATAAGTAAATTCTTTCAAAGTTAGCTTGGCCCACGCTCAGAAATGGCCAAGGGCAGTTTAGAGGCTAAAGACAAGGTGAAGTTATTTAGGTCATATCTCCTTCACTGTCACAATTTTTTCACTGTGAGAATTTTTGCAAGGGCACTTTCAGGTTTAAGAGTCAAACTGTTCTACAAGGCATGGTATGGATAACTCAAATCCCCCACAACTCCTTCTCCTAATCCTTCCTCTCCAAGGGCAATCATTTCAACACATGTGGCTGGATATTTTGTTATTTGCCTCTATACTGACATTCAATGTACTTGTATTGCTATTTCTCAATTTTTCCAATTCAGCATTATCTTTTGACTTTCCTTTACGGAAGATGAATTTAGCTTTCTTTCACCAACCCCTCACCCGACATGTGCACATTTTCTACTCCCACAAACTACAATACAATTATTGTCATAATTTTGCTTCCATAAATATTCAGAGTTTACACTGAATAGTTGGTTATATAAGGGCCATTCACCAGCTGAGCCATATAAAGTATAAATTATTGCTTTTCCAGAACATCTTGTCAATTGTCTTGTTTCCTTTGTCTGTTTGCTTGGTTTTCAATATACTTATAATTTAACCTCAAACTGCCCAGAATTATCTAAATTTCATCATTATACACTCTAACTCATTAACTATTCTATTAGTATTAGCTCTTTGAATAAATCTCTCCTGCAGCTTTTTGAGTTGTTCAGATTAGGTCAGGTTGCATTTTTTAATTTGTTGCCAGAATACTGTCTTGAGATCTTCCTTTACCAATATCCTGAGACTTTCTTTCCTCCATCCTCTCTCTTTCTCTGGGGCCCTCTATTTCCCATATATTTTTTAATGCTTTACTACCTCATTATATTTCCTGGGAAAAAGTGTAAATAAAAGGGCAAAGTTGGGAGATCTTGCTTGTCTGAAAATGCCTTAATTCTGCTGTGGACTTTGATTTCTAGTTTGGCTGAGTATAAAATTTTAGTTAGGAAATCTTTCTCCCTCAGGATTTTGATGGCATTTTCTATTGTTTCCTAGCTTCCAGTGTTGGCTACTGAGAACTCATAACATTTAGATACTTTATTTTTTGGTTTTGAAATCCATTTTCCTTTCTGGAAGCTCATAGGAGCTCTTTTTTTTTGTTTGTTTTTGGGGTCTTAAATTCCACTTGATTTGCCTTAGTGTGGGTACATTTGTACTGGCTTGCACACAGTCAGTAAGCAGTTTTAATCCAGCATGTAGCTTTCATGTCATGTCTTTTCTTTTCTTTTCTTTTCTTTTCTTTCTTTCTTTCTTTCTTTCTTTTTTCTTCCTGAGACAGAGTGTTACTCTTGCCCAGGCTGGAGTGCAGTGATGCAATCTTGGTTCACTGCAACCTCTGCCTCCCTGGTTCAAGCGATTCTTCTACCTTAGCCTCCTGAGTAGCTGGGATGACAGGCACGTGCCACCACACCCAGCTAATTTTTTGCATTTTTTAGTAGAGACAGGGTTTCACCATGTTGGCCAGGCTGGTCTCAAACTCCTGACCCCAGGTGATCTGCCCCCTTTGGCCTCCCAAAGTGCTGGGATTGTAGATGTGAGCCACCGTGCCTGGCCCTATATCCTTCATTTCTGAAAATTTTTCTTCAAGTGTTTCTTTGCATTCAATCTTAGCCAAAAGGCTGAGAAGAGATCAAGTGTCCTTTGAAAACGTTGTCTCCTCCATTTTTTCCCCTCTTTTTTCTCTTTCTGTACTCTATCTATCTGTCAGAAAATCAATCCTACATGTCTTTTTTTTTTTTTTTTAACCTTTACTCTATTACTCTCCAGCTGTTTATTTTTCTGTAACACTTTCTGGGAGATTTCCTGAACTCTACATTACAACCCTTCACCTGAATTTTTAAATTTCTGCTCTCATGATCTATTTATATCTATATCTATATCTATATCTATATCTATATCTATATCTATATCTATATCTGTTTTTCAATTGCTGTGTTCTCTTTTAATGTTTCCTTTTGTAGCAGGCTGTTCATGTTTCAGGGATGCAATACTCTCCCTCATCTTCTGTTTTAATTGTAAAATAAATTAAAATAGCTTGCTGTGATGCGTGTTTCTTCTAGGTTTTTTTGGCGGGGATAGTAGGGGGTCTATTTTCTTTCCCTGCTGCCAATTTCAGGAAGGGGATCTTTTGGTCTGTTTTTTTAGACAAATCATCCTGTTTTGGACCTCACTGTTGTTCTTATTCCAGAGGTACAGATTCTTGAAATTTAGGAGACATTTCTGGGGTAAATCAGGTTCTTTCTCAGCTTTCTAAGCTTCCTGTTTCAAATTCAGCTTTTTTTTTTTTTTTTAAGGATCTGCCAAGTTCTTTTACTTGGTTGTTGCTGGTTCCTCTCCCTTTTTCCTTGTCCTGTGGGTTTATACTTATTTTTATTTATTTATTTATTTTATTTATTTACTTATTTATTTATTTTGAGATGGAGTCTCATTCTGTTGCCCAGGCTGGAGTACAGTGGTGCGATCTCAGCTCACTGCAACCTCTGCCTCCCAGGTTCAAGCGATTCTCCTGCCTTGGCCTCTCAAGTAGCGGGGATTACAGGCACGCACCACCGTGGCTGGCTAATTTTTGTGATTTTGCAGAGATGGGGGGGGTTTTACCATGTTGGCCAGGCTGGTCTCAAACTCCTGACCTCAAGCAATCCACCCACCTTGGTCTCCCAAAGTGCTGGGATTACAGGTGTGAGCCATCGCACCAGGCCAGTTTATGCTTTTTTTATAATATTCTTTTACTCTACTGGGATTTGGGGAGGATGCCAAACTGTTTGCATTTTATCTGTCGTCTTTAACTGACATCTCTGAAATTTTATTTCTATAAGCTCTGCTTTTCCATTTTCTTCATTAGCTAAGAATTGATCACTGAGTGGGGGAATATCTTTGCCATACACTGAGTCCATTTTTTTGTTTATTTGTTTTGTTTTGTTGTCCATTATCTTGTTTTGCAACCCATTAATTTAAGGTAGGGCTGAGATTAGGGTTGGCTTTATCAATGGTTATGGTAGCAGAAGCATGCCATAACCACTGCATCATCTATATGTGTGTATATTCTTATTTCAGACAGAAAGAATCCTAGGAAAACAAGGGCGCAAAGAATGGGGTTGGGAAAGGAAGCACGTGGGGGAGGATGTGAGTGCAAAAGTCACTTATTCTATAGAAGACAGTCAGAAAAATTATGTGATTCTCTCTGCCCACCCCCTTACCTCCTTGACAGTGATATACTGTAGTGTTGGGAACCCCGGACCACAAGGAATAAAAGGCAAAGTTGGTCCCCCAGGAGGAAGAGGCCCAAAAGGAGAAAAAGGCAAGTAGGCACCAAAGGTAGAATTTCTAGAAGACAACTGTACATGGATGATCGGGGGCATTTCTGAGATGTGTAATGTGGCATTTCATTCAGATTTGTTACTCACCTTAGTCACCCACTAGAGTACTCCATTAAGTGCTATGTGATTACAAGTCACTGAAAAGTCAAAGCCTTGTGTCTTATATATTTATAAAGCCTTGTGTCTTATATATTATAAAAGTCAAAGCCTTGTGTCTTATATATTTATATATATGTATGTATATATATATATATATATATGGAACATTTGCCTGCCATGAATTTTGTCTGCAAATGGTGACTTTGCTCACAAGGTCCTCTTGATTCCTTGAGAGTGGCAGTGATAGGACAGTATTGATGTTTGATTTTTGTGGGACCTATATTTCCCAGACTCATCAATTGCCTGTCTCTCTGCTTCTCCACTCTAAATTGTTTGGAGCCGTTTTGGGCAACTGAGTCAGGTGGGTGTGACAGCATCAACACAGATGAGGAGTCTGACTACCCTGAAGACATTTGTTTAAGACAAAAAGTCCTGATAATTGGAAAATGCATTGTGGTGAATTATCAATTATAATATTCAATGCAATCAAAATCCTTCTTCATGTATTATTTTGTCTCCTTAATTGTTTAGGGTTTGTGCACTCACCAATTAATTTTTTCAGTTTTTTTTTCAGGAGGAACCAAAGGATGGGCTTTTAAACTTTTAAAAATAAAAAAGTTGAATTATTTTTAACGTTTCTTCAGTAGAATTGGATATCAGCTTTTCCCTAGAATTTGTCAGGATAAATTTATTAAGGAACGAAACCCTCCATTTGTTTAGAAATGGTATGCCCACCCTACATCCCATGCCTAGGCACCCCATGTAGTGCCCCATGCCACACCCAGCCCCCACAGCACGTGCTCTCAATTGTCTGCAAGAAGTGCATATCGGACTCTTTGTTCTTCATTTATGCTATTGGTTTTGTACAGTAAAGCCCTTATTGGGGATTTTATTCAGGAAATATGACAAATCTGCCATTGATCCTCTGTCTAGGAAATGAAGGACTCTGTGCCTGTGAGCCTGGACCCATGGGCCCCCCTGGCCCTCCAGGACTTCCTGGGAGGCAGGGGAGTAAGGGAGACTTGGGGCTCCCTGGCTGGCTTGGAACAAAAGGTGACCCAGGACCTCCTGGTGCTGAAGGACCTCCAGGGCTACCAGTGAGTACCTCTTACCAGTCATCTTTCCAGTTAAAAGAGACATGGTATTAGTCTGTTTTCACACTACCATAAAGATACTACCCAAGACTAGGTAATTTATTAAGGAAAGAGGTTTAATTGACTCGCAGTTCTGTATGGGTGGGGAGGCCTCAGGAAACTTACAATCATGGCAGAAGGGGAAGCCGGCATGTCTTACACGACAGCAGGTGACAGAGAGCATGAACAGGGAAGAGCCCCTTATAAAACCATCAGATCTCATGAGAACTCACTCACTATTGTGAGAACAGCATGGGGGAAACCCTCCCCATGATCCAGTCACCTTCTACCAGGTCCCTCCCTCAACACATGGGGATTATGGCGATTACAATTCGAGATGAGATTTGGGTGGGGTCACAAAGCCAAACCATATCAGACACGTAGAGATAAAAATCGAGGTGCCTCTTTCTAATTTATTGTGTGATATATGATTTATGTTTTGAACCTACAAACATTATGCTAATGCCTGCAAAAACAGTTTATTTACTCATCCATTCATCCATCGTTTACTTATTCAACTAATTGGTATTGTTAAGTGCCTGCTATGTTCTAGGCCTTGTTTCAGGTGCTGGGGATACAGCAGGGACCAGAGCCCAGTCTCTGCCCTCCTAGAGCTTCAGAGAGGACACAGACCATCTAACAGATCAGCAAGTAAATATCCAGTATGTCATGTGGTGATAAACGCCATCACCATCGATTGTAGCTGGAGAGAAGAGAGAGAGGGGCAGAGCAGGAAATGAAGTCAAGGAACTGGCAGGAGGTTAGGAAGGGCTGCAGAGCATGGGGCTTTACAGATGGGTGAGGTCTGAGCCTTTACTCTAGACTACATGAAACAGCCAGGGGAGAGTTTTAAGAAGAGTGAGACAATAGTTTTAAATGGATCACTCACTCTGGTTGCTCTGTGGAGCATAGACCATATGGATAAGGGACATTGGCTGGGAGATGAGCTGGGAGGCTGCTGTGTAATCCTGGTGAGATATGACAGCCAATGCCTTAATGTGGTGGTGCTGGGTGTGGTGCAAGGTGGTCAGATTCTGGATATATTTTGAAGACAGAGCCAACATGTTGGCTGTTAGTTTGGACATAGGATATAAGGAAAAGAGAAGTAAGGGACAGAACCAGGGTTTTTTGTTTGAGCCACTGGAAGAAGGCAGTTGCCATGTACTGAGATGGGAAGGCGATGGAAGGAGTGGGCATTGGGTGAGGAAAGAAAGCAGTACTGTTTGAGACATTTCAAGTTTGAGATGCCTATTATACAGTCAAGTCAAGAAGTCAAGTAGGCAGTAGGATGATATTCAACTTAAGGATTCAGATGAGAGGTTTGGGCTGGGGATATAAATACTGGCTTTGTCAGAGTTTACGTGATATCATGCCAGAGAGTGGATGAGATTTACCTCAAGGTGGTTCTCATTTGGTGAAAGTTACAGATGAAGCAGGTTGAGGCAAAGCCTCTCAGCTGTCTGATTGCTCATAATGCAAGCACTGCCCACTGGGGTACTCCCCTGGAGACTGGAGAGAGCCCTCTGTCCCCTCCTTATTAACAAGGCTCAATCCTGGGATGGCCTGGAACTTGACCATCAAGCCCCAAAGGACTTTTTTCCATTTTCCCCAGAAAATCTCATGAAAATAAGGTTCCAACCCGAGGGCCTTAAGTGAAGTTAATGATTAAGGTGTCCCAGCAGTACCCTTGTCACATGTACAAAGCCCACTGGCCACCTCTGCTCAATAGGAAGCTAGGTCCTTAATGCATGTATGTGCATAAGCATGGTTGCAATTGTTAAGTAGTTTGCATTCAACATTTTACCATAGTCATTTTTGTGTGTGTTGGTACTTAATCTTCTTAGTGAAGATTTTAATGGCTCTAAAATATTTTTGCGGCTTCCTGTTGAGTTGCTACTTAGGGCTAACATCTTTGAGTGAGGACTGCTTGTTTATCTAGGGTTATCATGGCTAAGGTTTACTTAATTCAGTTGCTCTATGGGGCTTTCCTTTGTAGGCTGGCCACGTTTCTGATTGTGTATCTGGTCTGTTGTGTATATGATTCTGTCCATATGGCTTCTCTGCATTAAATTCATTACATTGTGGTCATAGTCAGGGACCAGGGTCATACCATGGGGCACTAGGGAAGGAAAGGGTAGAGAAGGGAGGGAAGGGGGAGGAGAAGGGGAAGAGAGAGAAGAAAAGGAAGGGAAAGAAAGAAAGGAAAGGAAGGAGGGAAGAAAAGAAGGGAAAGGAGGAAGGGAAGGACAGACAGAAGAGCATGAAAGACGGTGCAGACTATGGGGTGCTCTCGCTCTTGGGGGCTCTCCATCCTCCCTACATCTCCTCTCTCTGGAGATGGTCTGCTTGTCTCTGGCCCTAGCAGCCACAGATTGGTAGGAAAGAAGAAAACAGAAAACTAGGCTTAAGTTCTTTGCAATTGTTTGTATAATTGAACCAAGTCTTTGCATTCATTGCCTTAGCCTGACGGCGCTCCCTAGGATGGGATTTCCGGCCAGGATGCTCTAGTGCAAGGCACTAGGGCCTAGGAGCAAGTGGACCAGCTTCAGATCCCATCTCCGACATTTGGGAGCTCTGCAGTCTTCTAAGTTTTACTTGCAGCATTTATAAAATGGATATAAGAACACCATCTTAGAGGCTTGTTGGTAAGAATTCAATTGAGTCATGTGTTTTGCACACTGTATAAGGTACATACCAGTGAATTAAAGTCCAGGAGGCTGCAGAGCGAACCAAAGGTCGCAAACTGTCACAGGCTGATAACGTTTGGATGTGTGCCCCCTCCAAATCTCATGTTGAAATGTAATCCCCAGTGTTTGAGGTGGGGCCTGGTGGGAGGTGTTTTGGTCATGGGGGTGGATCCCTCACGAATGGCTTAGCTCCATCCCTTTGGTGATGAATGAGTTCTTAGTTCTTGCTCAGTTAGTTCACAGGAGATCTGGTTGTTCAAAGGAGTCTGGGACCTCCTGCTTTCCTCTCTTGCTCCCTCTCTCACCATGTGATACACTGGCTTCCCACTTCACCTTCCGCCATGATTGGAAGCTTCCTGAGGGCTTACCAGAAGCTGAGCAGATGCTGGTGCCAGGCTTGTACAGTCTGCAGAACCATGAGCCCCTTTTCTTTACAAATTACCCGGCCTCAGGTATTTCTTTATAGCGAAGCAAAAGTGGACTAATATATGGGCTATTTCTGACCTGCTGGAATGTTTGGTTGTGTCCTCATGGTGTTTGTTTTTGAGTTATTAATGTGAGGTTTATGGCTTCTCCTGAGATATTAGAAGTTTATGAACACAAGGTTATTGCGTTCCCACTGCTGCTGTGGCTGCGGGTTGATTCCCCCCATGCCTACCCACCTGTTCCCCTTGGACTGGACAGGCGCCACCCCTGTAGGCATCTGCAGTTGATGTCCCTTATCTAGACTGAACAACTAGGATATGCCTGGCAGAGAGGAAGTGTTTTTTTTGTTTCGTTTTGCTTTTGTTTTTTTTTTTGGTGGAATTTCACTCTTGTCGCCCAGGCTGGAGTGCAATGGTGCAATCTCAGCTCACCGCAACATCTGCCTCCCGGGTTCAGGCGATTCTGCTGCCTCAGCCTCTCGAGTAGCTGAGACTACAGGCATGTACCACCACACCCAGCTAATTTTGTATTTTTAGTAGAGACAGGGTTTCACCTTTTTGGTCAGGCTGGTCTTGAACTCCTGACCTCAGGTGATCTTCCCACTTCAGCCTCCCAAAGTGCTGGGATTACAGGCATGAGCCACCGTGCCCAGCCCGGAGAGGAGTTTTTGTTGCTGCTGGGCTTCCGTTGTTAGAGTAACACAAGTGTTTGGTGATCTCAGGTCTTAAGATTGTAAAAAGTAGCTCTCTGTCTGAAGCTGCTGAGAACCTTTGCCCCAGGAATCGCTTAGGTTACACATTTATTTCACTAGTTAACTGCTGTATTCTCAGTACTCAGAGTAATGCCTGGTTCTTTGTAGTTTTCAAAGAAAACTACAGTAATGGTTTTAGTAATGTTTAGTAACATTTACTAAACAATGGTTTAGTAATGGTTCAGTAATGTTTTCAGTAAATGTTTCTTTAATGAAGTCCAGTAATAGTTTTCCTTACTAGCTCAAATAAGTCTATGATCTACTCTAGTACTTAAAATTCGACACCTACAGAGCATTAGAGCAATTCGTCATACATTTGAAGTCTCCAATGTGCTGAGTAATACACTGCTCAGACTCCTGGGATGGGTTCATTCTTCCAAGGTACCAAAGTCTTATTTATTAAGCATTCCACTTTTTTCTCTTTCTGGAAAGAAATTTGTCCAAATGCTATGTGAACAGTTTTCTGTCCTGATAATTTATTCTTCAGAAGGGCATTTTCTTTATCCATTTCTTGGGCAGGATACCATATGACATACACTTTGGCCAGGCCCCACTGCTACTTATGACTAGCATATATAGTAAAAATAAGAATAAAAGAAAACCCAACCTACATTAGTACTTTATGATTTCTAATTCTTTCTAATATATTGATTTATACTAAGAAATTTGTTCTACCCACCTTTTTGATGGTTCACAGACATTGCTACAAACAGGATGCTATACTAGAGTGATATCAGAGATATTGAGTTATGTGTGGACATACTTTTTTTCTCTGCATGAAATGGCTTCCAACCCTGTTGTCCATTTGAGTTTTTATGTCTGTTGTTTGCATTTTTGGCTTCCTCTTCACTGTTACTGCCTGATGATTGCTGATGCCACTGTGCCCATCTCCACTGGTACCCTCCTCCCCTCTATAGCTCTCAGCTTATAAATTAGTACAGCCGGTTAAAAAAAGATAGTTAAGCTTGCTTGAACACATTGTTAGATTGTGTGAAAATAAGACAAGACCAGGTGTGGTGGCTTACTCCTGTAGCCTCAACACTTTCAGAGGCAGCAGGATCCCTTAAGGCTAGGAGTTTGAGACCAGCCTGGGCAATACAGCAAGACCCCATCTCTACACACAAAAAAGTAAAATCCAATTAGCCAGGCATGGTGGCATGCACCTGCAGTTCTAGCTAACTGAGAGGCTGAGGTAGGAGGATTGCTTGAGCCCAGAGGTTTAAGGCTGCAGTGAGTTATGATTGTGCCACTGCACTGCAGCCTGGGGGATGAAGTGAGACCCCGTCTCAAAAAAAGAAAATAAATAAAAAGAAAATACGACAAGGTAGTGGCATCTGTGTGAGCAAAGCAACTGGCTTGCTCAGTCATTTTTACCTCCCTCCAATTTCTTTGCTGTGGTTTTTTGATTATTGATATCACTAGGTAAGTAACCTTGGGCTCTGTATAGTGTTTCTATAATGGTATTTGAAATGGTGCTTGGCCACCCTAATATACTGACAATAGGTTCATATATATATATTTTTTGACACAGAGTCTTGCTCTGTCACCCAGGCTGGAGTACAGTGGCACGATCTCAGCTCACTGCAACCTCCACCTCCTGGGTTCAAGTGATTCTTATGCCTCAGCCTCCCAAGTAGCTATGACTACAGGTGTGCACCATCACATCCAGCTAATTTTTGTATTTTTAGTAGGGACGGGGTTTCACCATGTTGGCCAGGCTAGTCTCGAACTCTTGGCCTCAAGTGATCCGCCTTCCTTGGCCTCTCAAAATGCTGGGATTATAGATGTGAGCCACTGCACCCAGCCAGGTTCCCATAATTTTGACATGGTTTGATATTCAGTAATATGTAACACTTAAAAAGTATGACTCAAATTATTCAGATTTGAGCAATGTTGTGGTTAAGAGAGCATGAGCATGTCAGCCAAAATTAGCTATTTACCTGTTATACAGAATAAATATATTAGCTTCAGAAAAGGTTCTTAATTCCTCTTCTCCTGCTCATCAACTTTCCTTAGCAGGACGTCACTTCCATGCCTTTTTCATCACAAACTTATCCCTAAATCTCTACCTTCAGCTCTGGTGGCAGCTCTTGTAGTTATCCCACTCTCTTCTTTCCTCTCCATTTCACATTACAAAGCCCATGATAATTACAAAAATTAGTTATAAATTTTAATTTGAGGTAGTTGACTCACAAGACGTTGCACAGTCATAAAGTTCCCATGTATGCTTCCCCAGCTTCCCCAGTGATACATACACATAACCATATTTACATAACCACAGTACACTGTCAAAACCAGGAAATGGTCATTGATACAGTCCTCTTAACTCAGGTACAGACCTTATTCAGATTTCACCAGCTTTTACATTTGACATGTAGTTCAAGAGCCCCAGCTTTGCAAGACAGGACTACCTTGGAAGGCAGGGAAGTGGAAGAGACCAAGAATGCCAAGCTAGAATCTTTAACAAGAGATTTAGGAGGGAAGAAGAGAGAGATTCAATATGTACAGATGTAACTGTTGATCCATCACAATTAACCTAATTTGTTTCTCTTATTTTTCACCAAGGGAAAGCATGGTGCCTCTGGACCACCTGGCAACAAAGGGGCGAAGGGTGACATGGTTGTATCAAGAGTTAAAGGTGAGCATAATCAATCACTTAACTCCCTGCCATTTTATGAATGATGTATGGACCCTCCTCTTGCAGTAATTTCCCCTGTGACCATAGATCAATTCTATACAATTTAGGATGGTTGAGATTACTTAAAAAAATACTTCCTGCCCTTCATAAGGTTGTATGAATGTTGAGCCAAATCCCCTGTCTCTTATTTGAAAACATAAATATTCCTTTAGCCACACATTCACATCTTCATTATAGTGAACTTGAGTTTGGCTCAAGCCCTCCTTTGGCTTGGCTGGTGTTTATTCACCACATTACAGTATTCTATATTAGTCAATAATATTTTCATTGTAAATGAAAGAAGCCCAGCTTGAAATCGTTTTTTTAAGTAATTTATTGACCTAAACAAAATGTGAAATATTAAAAGGTAGTGTTTTTTATTAGTAAGAGTTCCCCAGGGACAGAACTAATAGGATATATGTGTATATGAAAAGGAGTTTATTAAGGAGAATTGACTCATATGATCTCAAGGTGAAACCCCACTACAGGCTGTCTGCAAGCTGAGGAGCAAGGAAGCCAGTAGTGGCTCAGCCCCAAAAGTAGTGGCTTTCCTACTTTTGAGTCCAAAAGCCTCAAAAGTAGGGAAGCCAACAGTGTGGCCCTCAGTCTGTGGCTGAAGGCACAAGAGCCCTGGCAAACCACTGATGTAAGTTTAAGAGTCCAAAGGCCGAAGAACCTGGAGACTGATGTCCAAGGGCAGGAAGCATTCAGCACAGGAGAAAGATGAAAGCCAGAAGACTCAGCAAGCCAGCTTATCCCACCTTCTTCCACCTGCTTTGTTCCAGCTGTGCTGGCAGCTAATTGGATGGTGCCCACCCACATTGGGAGTAGGTCTTCCTGTCGCAGTCCACTGACTCAAATGTTAATCTCCTCTGGCAACACCCTCACAGACACACCCAACAACAACCCTTTACCAGCTATGTAGGCATCCTTCATTCCAATCAAGTTGACACTTAATATTAACCATCACAGGTTGGCATTGGGACAACCAGATCCCGGCCTCCAGTGGCATCAAGAGGCTCTCCCTGCATCTTTCATCTCACATTGTACCATCTATATTTTCTCCCATCAGACTGATTTTCATACCCCCAGGCAGCTCCAAGTTCTTACATCCAGAGATGAAGAGAGCCCTGCTTTGTCAGCTCCAAATAGAAAAATAATTTCAGAAAGGACTGATTAGCTTAGGGCAAGTACCCAACCGCAGACCATTCCCCCTTTCCCATGGCCAGGGATAGAGTGCTGTGCTTGGCATCACAGGTAGGGGAAGATTCTGTGATTGGCACCTTCACACACCAGCTCCTTGCTGGAATGGGAAAAGGAGCTTTTCCCAAGTAAAGAGATTCAATGGTTCTAGCAATTGTCATTCTCCCCTCTGGCTTTGGCATGTTTTATGTGACTTGAGCAATTGAGATACACAGGAAACTACCAACCCAGAATCAAGGTCATTTTCTTTATTTTTTGTCCTCTCTATCCTACTTTACCCTCTGCTGATAAGAGCTTGAATATCTTTTGACCTCTATTTCCAGGGCACAAAGGAGAAAGAGGTCCTGATGGGCCCCCAGGATTTCCAGGGCAGCCAGGATCACATGGTCGGGATGGACATGCTGGAGAAAAAGGGGATCCAGGACCTCCAGTATGTAGAATTCTTCTCTTGCTATAGAATTTCACTTTCTTATATGGTCATACAAACAACTATTTCCCCTTTCTCTATTTGCCAAGCTGAAATTCAGTAAAATATCAACATACTATAAATCAGAGTCACTTTTGGCACCCTGACATGGAAAGATGATTGTTTTAAGAGGTATAGCATCATTGGACATGGTCTAAAATCCTCTTGGCAGTTCAGTCCTAGCAGGACTTTCGGTCCTTGGTCTTTATATCATTCTCGTGGTGTTCATTTTCTTCTGAGAAACTTGTATCCTAGAAGGGCCCCACTGATTTTAGGTGTATTCAGTTGACTCTGTGGGGTGGAGGATGGAGCTCGGGTCCCGATGTTTAGCATCAATTCTGTTTCCTGGAGAAGATGCACATGGGGGAAGTAGTGAGCATGAAAGGGTGAACTCGTGCAAACCCACAGAGTCAAGGCGTTGGCTGATGGAAAATCTCACTGATAAAGGATGTTGCTGCATTTTTCAGACATGCGTTGGGTGGATACCATGTGTAGGTAATGGTAATTAAGGTCATAAAAGAAGAGGATGAGATGATCCGATGCTTAGGAACTTAAAATATCTTAAATATGTGCAGTATTTCTGAATGCTTACAATATCACAGAAACCAGACTAGATGGTTTCCTCAAAACAGTCTTCTGAAAAGCAATACCTTTCCAATTTTACAGTAAGAAAATGGAGGCTTAGCATCTGATATTCAAGGCTACCCATCTGTCAAATAGGCAAAATAGGAGTGAAAACTTGTCTGTCTTATTTCAAAGTGCATGCTATTTCTACCAACCTGTGCTGCCTGCCATATATAATGGGAAGCCACTGAGAGTGTTGCAACAGGGAAAGACCATGTCCTGATTCTACAGGAAACCCTTCAGACAGAATCCAAGTGAACAAGAGAGAGAAGCCTGGAAATTGGCTTAGATGGTGTTTATAGCTTTCTGACCTTTCTCCTGATCACAAGTATGTGAATGATCTCTGCTTTAGGCTTGGTAATCTCTGCTTAATTCATTCTTCCTCTCAAGGAACTACTTAGAAATCACTGTCACTGAGTGGATATTGTCATAATGTACTCATCTAATTGTGAAAAAGCAGCGTCTATATAGATCAAACTAGGAGACGAATTTCAACGTTCGCTGAGGTCTTCCTAGATTCGTTGAAACAATCCAGATCCATAAGACTGTTGTAGACCACATTTGAGACCAGGCCATGTAGAAGGATAAAAGGTCACTCAAAATGCCAGCAGGACAGTGTCAGATATTCCTTGCATTTGAGAGTGCTTGCAGCTGTTCAGTCAGGTGGGGTGCAAGAAGGGATGAGACCCACATATGGTGGGCATGGAGGCAGCCCTGACTTGAAAGCCTCATTCCCCATGGGAGCTGTTATCCACTGCACAGCTTTTGAGAACCCCACCAGGGATTGCCAGTGAGGGAATCCTTGATGCAGGCTCCCCACAGTTCTTCCAGACCAGATGCAAATTTTGCAACTGGGGATTGATTTTACTATAAGCAGTACTGCCTAGGAAGGTAGTTGACAATCTAATTTTTATCAGAGGAACAGAACCAGACAGTTAACCAAAAGTCAAATTGTCATGCAAGAGGAGAAAGGACTTGCTAGGCTTTTACCCACAGGGGTGGAGGATGATGGAGTCTAGCTATGTATCTTGTCAAGAGAATACATAAGAATGTATTTGATTTGTAATCCCACCACCTCCCTTGATCTACTTATTTCTATATTCTATGACATATGATATTAGAGAATGGTTTGACATAAATCTCTTATTCTGTATTTAAGGCATATCACACACATTGTTTCCAGTATTTGAGGCTTAACACACATGCTTATATTATATGTATGTATATAAATTGTAAAATGTGTATATTGGCCAGGCGCGGTGGCTGACGCCTGTAATCCCTGCACTTTGGGAGGCTGAGGCAGGTGGAGGTCAGGGGTTTGAGACCAGCCTGGCCAACATGGCGAAACTCAGTCTCTACTAAAAATACAAAAATTAGCCAGGTGAGCTGGTGGGTGCCTGTAATCCCAGCTACTCAGGAGGCTGAGGCAGGAGAATCGCTTGAACCTGGGAGGTGGAGGCTGCAGTGAACCGAGATAGCACCACTGCACACCAGCCTGGGTGACAGAGAGAGACTCCATTTCTATATATATATATTTAAAATATTAAAAAGTATCTAAGTTATTTATTTTAAACTTACATTTGCTTAAGAGTAACTGTCTCCTGAAATTATGGACTTTTGCGTGTGTTTCTGTAACCTACAATGACTGCTTTGAGTTCATGGACATTCAGTGGTTGGTAATTGACTCATGACATAACATTCCCAGGGGGATCATGAAGATGCGACCCCAGGTGGTAAAGGATTTCCTGGACCTCTGGGCCCCCCAGGCAAAGCAGGACCTGTGGGGCCCCCAGGACTGGGATTTCCTGGTCCACCAGGAGAGCGAGGCCACCCAGGAGTTCCAGGCCACCCAGGTGTGAGGGGCCCTGATGGCTTGAAGGGTCAGAAAGGTAATTTTAAAAAAATTTTATTTATTTCAATAGCTTTGGGGTACAAGTGTTTATTTTTCTTATGTGGAAGAATTATATAGTGGTGAATTCTGAGATTTTAGTGTACCTGTCACCCGAGTAGTGTACATTTTACCTAACGTGTAGATTTTTGTATCCCTAGACCCCTTTCCTCCCTCCTCCTTCTTTTTTTTTTTCTCAGTATTCAAGTGTTTTTCTTTTTCTTTTTCTTTAATTTTACTTTAAGTTCTGGGATACATATGTAGAATGAGCAGGTTTGTTACATAGGTATACATGTGCCATGGTGGTTTGCTGCATCTATCAACCCATCATCTAGGTTTTAAGCCCCACATGCATTAAGGTATTTGTCCTAATGCTCTCCTTCCCCTTACCCCTGACCCCCTGACAGGTCTCGATATTATGTGATGTTCCCCTCCCTGTGTCCATGTGTTCTCATTGTTCAACTCCCACTTATGAGCGAGAACATGCGGTGTTTGGTTTTCTGTTCCTGTGTTAGTGTGCTGAGATTGATAGCTTCCAGCTTCATCCACATCCCTACAAAAGAAAATGTTCTCATTCTTTTTTTATGGCTGCATAGTATACCATGGTGTATATATGCCACATTTTCTTTGTCCAGTCTATCATTGATGGGCATTTGGTTTGGTTCCAAGTCTTTGCTATGGTAAATAGTACTGCAATAAACATATGTTTACATGTGTCTTTATAGTAGAATGATTTATAATCCTTTGGGTATATACCTAGTAATGGGATTGCTGGGTCAAATGGTATTTTTGATTCTAGATCCTTGAGGAATCACCACACTGTCTTCCATCATGGTTGAACTAATTTACACTCCCACCAACAGTGTAAAAGTGTTCCTATTTCTCCATATCCTCTCCAGCATCTGTTGTTTCCTGACTTTTTAATAATCTCTACTCTAACTGCCGTGAGATGGTATCTCATTGTGGTTTTGATTTGCATTTCTCTAATGACCACTGATGAAAAGCTTTTTTTCATGTTTGTTGGCCACATAAATATCTTCTTTTGAGAAGAAGGATATCTGTTCATATCCTTCACCCACTTTTTGAAGGGGTTGGTTTTTTCTTGTAAATTTGTTTAAGTTCCTTGTATATTCTGGATATTAGACTTTTGTCAGATGGGTAGATTGCATAAATTTTCTCCCATTCTGTAGGTTGCTTGTTCACTCTGATGACAGTTTCTTTTGCTGCACAGAAGCTCTTTAGTTTGATTAGATCCCATTTGTCAATTTGGCTTCTTTTGCAATTGCTTTTGGTATTTTAATCATGAAGTCTTTGCCCATGCCTATGTCCTGAATGATATTGCCTAGGTTTTCTTCTAGGGTTTTTATGGTTTTGGGTTTTACATTTAAGTCTTTAATCCATCTTGGGTTAATTTTTGTATAAGATGTAAGGAAGGGGTCCAGTTTCTGCTTTCTGCATATGGCTAGCCAGTTTTCCCAACACCATTAATTAAATAGGGACTCCTTTCCCCATAGCTTGTTTTTATCAGGTTTGTCAAAAAGCAGATGGTTGTAGATGTGTAGTGTTATTTCTGAGGTCTCTGTTCTGTTCCATTGGCCTGTATATCTGCTTTGGTACCAGTACCATGCTGTTTTGGTTACTGTAGACTTGTAGTATAGTTTGAAGTCAGGTAGCTTGATCCCTCCAGCTTTGTTCTTTTTGCTTAGGATGGTCTTGGCTATATGGGCTCTTTTTTGGTTCCATGTGAAATTTAAAGTAATTTTTTTTTCTAATTCTGTGAAGAAAGTCAATGATAGCTTGATGGGAATAGTACTGAAGCTATAAATTACTTTGGGCAGTATGGCCATTTTCATGATATTGATTCTTCCTATCCAAGAGTGTATAATGTTTTTCCATTTGTTTGTGTCCTCTCTTATTTCTTTGAGCAGTAGTTTGTAGTTCTCCTTGAAGAGGTCCTTCATATTCCTTGTAAGTTGTATTCCTAGGTATTTTTTTCTCTTTGTAGCAATTGTGAATGGGAGTTCACTCATGATTTGGCTCTCTGCTTGCCTATTGTTGATGTATAGGAATGGTTGTGAATTTTGCACATTGATTTTGTATCCTGAGACTTTGCTGAAGTTGCTTAGCTTAAGGAGTTTTTGGGCTGAGACGATGGGATTTTCTAAATATACAATCATGTCATCTGCAAACAGAGACAATTTGACTTCCTCTCTTCCTGTTTGAATGCTCTTTATTTCTTTCTGTTGCCTGATTGCCTTGGCCAGAACTTCCAATACTATGTTGAATAGGAGTGGTGAGAGAGGGCATCCTTGTCTTGTGCTGGTTTTCAAAGGGAATGCTTCCAGCTTTTGCAAATTCAGTATGATATTGCCTATGGGTTTGTCATAAATAGCTCTTGTTATTTTGAGATATGTTCCATCAATAACTAGTTTATTGAGAGTTTTTTCATGAAGAGATATTGAATTTTATTGAAGGCCTTTTCTGTCTCTGTTAAAATAATCATGTGGTTTTTGTCAGTGGTTCTGTTTATGTGATGAATTATGTTTATTGATTTGCATATGTTGAACCAGCCTTGCATCCCAGACTTGATCGTGGTGGATATGCTTTTTGATGTGCTGCTGGATTCCGTTTGCCAGTATTTTATTGAGGGTTTTTGCATTAAGGTTCATCAGGGATATTAGCTTGAAAATTTTTGTTGTTGTGTCTCTGCCAGGTTTTGGTATCAGGATGATGCTGGCCTCATAAAATGAGTAAGGGAGGAGTTCTTATTTTTCTATTGTTTGGAATAGTTTCAGAAGAAATGGTACCAGCTCCTCTTTGTAGCTCTGGTAAACTTCGGCTGTGAATCCATCTGGTCGTGGGCTTTTTTTGGTTGGTAGGCTCACTACCTCATTGGTTACTGCCTCAATTTCAGAACTTGTTATTGGTCTATTTGAATAACCAAATAAACCAGATTTGAATTCTTCCTGGTTTAGTCTTGGGGCATCCTCCCTTTTCTGAATCTCTGAAGTCCATTATATCACTCTTATGCCTTTGCATACTCATCACTTACCTCCCACTCGTAAGTGAGAACATACAGTTTTTGGTTTTCCACTCCTGTGTTACTTCATTTATAATTATGGCCTCCAGCTCCATCTAAGTTGCTGCAAAAGCCATTGTTTTGTTCCTTTTAATGGCTGAGTAGTATTCCATGTTTTTTGTATACCACATTTTCTTTATCCACTCATTAGTCAACAGGCACTTAGATTGGTGCCACATCTTTGCAATTGTGAATTGTGCTGCTATAAACATACATGTGCAAGTGTCTTTTTCATATAATGACTTCTCTTCCTTTGGGTAGATACCCAGTAGTGGGATTGCTGGGTCGCATGGTGGATCTACTTTTATCTCTTTAGGGAATCTCCACACTTGTTTTCTACAGAGGTTGTACTAATTTACATTTCCATCAGCATTGTATAAGTGTTCCCTTTTCTCCACATCCATGCCAATATCTATTGTTTTTTGTCTTTAAATAATGGCCATTTTTTGCAGGAGTAAGGCAATATCTCATTGCAGTTTTAATTGGCATTTCCCTAATGATTAGTGATGTTGAGTATTTTTTCACATGCTTGTTGTCCATTTGTTTATCTTACTTTGAGAAATGTCTATTCATGTCCTTTTCCCACTTTTTAATGGGATTATTTGTTTTTTTCTTGGTGTTTTGTTTGAGTTCTTTGTAGATTCCGCATACTGGCCCTTTGTCGGATGCATAGTTTGCAAATAGCTTCTCCCATTCTGTGGGTTTCTGTTTACTCTACTTATTTATTTTTTTTGTTGTGCAGAGGCCTTTTAGTTTAACTGGGTCCCATTTATGTATTTAGTTTTTGTTGCATTTGCTTTTGGGGTCTTATTCATGAATTCTTTGCTGAGGCCAATATCTATATGAGTTTTTCCAATGTTGTCTTATAGAATTTTGATAGTTTCAGGTCTTATATTTAAGTCTTTGAACCATCTTCAGTTGATTTTTGTATAAGGTGAGAGATAGGAATCCGGTTTTATTCTTCTAATACATGTAGCTTGGCAGTTTTCCCAGCATCATTTATTAAATAGGGTGTCCACCCCCCAATTTTTTGTTTTTGTATGCTTTGTTAAAGATCAGTTAGCTGTAGATATTTGGCTTTGTTTCTGGATTCTCTGTGCTGTTCCATTGGTGTATGTGCCTACTTTTACAACAGTACCATGCTGTTTTGGTAACTAAAGCCTTGTAGTATAATTTGAAGTTCAGTAATGTGATGTCTCCAGATTTGTTCTTTTTTGCTTAGGATTGCTTTGTCTATTCAGGCTCTTTTTTGGTTCAATACAAAATTCAGGATTGTTTTTTCTAATTCTATGAAAAATGATGTGCATATTTTGATGGGAATTCCACTGAATCTGTAGATTACTTTTGAAGTGTGGTCATTTTCACATTATCAATTATCCCAATCCATAAACACTGGATGCATTTCCATTTGTGTCATCTATGATTTCTTTCAACAGTGTTTTGTAGTTCTCCTTTTTGAGAACTTTCACCTCCTTGGTTAAGTATATTTTTAGTTATTTTATTTTAGTTTTCACAGCTGTTGTAAAAGGAATTGAGTTATTAATTTGATTCTCAACTTGATTGTTGTTGGTGTATAGCAATGCTACTGATTTATGTACAATGATTTTGTAACCTGAGACTTTACTGAATTTGTTTATCATATCTAAGAGTATTTTTGAAGAATCCTTAGGATTTTGTAAGTGTACAATCATATTATCGGCAAACAGTGATAGTTTGACTTCCTCTTTTCTAATTTTGATGCTGTTTATTTATTTCTCTTACCTAATTGCTCTGGCTAGTACTTCCAGAACTATGTTGAATAGGAGTGGTGAAAGTGGGCATCCTTCTCTTGTTCCTGTTCTCAGGGGGAATGCTTTCAACTTTTTTCCATTCCATATGATGTTATCTGTGGGTTTGTCATACATAGTTATTATTATTTGAGGTAGGTCCCATCTATGCCTTGTTTGTTGAGATTTTTTGTCATAAAGGAATGCTGGATTTTGTCGAATGCTTTTTCTGCATCTATTGATCATGTGGTTTTTGTTTTTAATTATGTTTATGTGATGGATCACATTTATTGACTTGCATATATTAAACCATCCCTACATCCCTGGGATGAAAACCACTTGATCATGATGAATTCTCTTTTTGATATGCTGTTCAATTCATTTAGTATTTTGTTGAGGATTTTTGCATCTATGTTCATCAAGGAAATTGGTCTGTAGTTTGTGTGTGTGTGTGTGTATCTTTTCCTGTGTTGGTATCAGGATGATACTAGCTTAATAGAATGATTTAGGGAGGATGCCTTCTTTATCAATCTTTTGGAACAGTTTCAGTAGGATTTGTACCAATTCTTTTCTCTCAGTGTCTAAGTAGAATTTAGCTGTGAATCCATCTGATTCTGGGTTTGTTTTCTTGGGAATTTAAAAATTACTGATTCAATCTCACTGCTTGTTATTGGTTTGTTTGAGGTTTCTATTTCTTCCTGATATAATCTAGTAGGGTTTTATGTTTCCAGGAATTTGTCCATTTCCTCTAGATTTCCTAGTTTGTGTACATAAAGGTATCCATAGTAGTCTTGAATGGTCTTTTGTATTTCTGTGGTGTTGGTTGTAATGACCCCAGTTTCGGTTCTAATTGAGCTTATTTGGATCTTCTCTCTTCTTTTCTTGTTTAATCTAGCTAATGGTCTATTGATTTTGTTTATTTTTTCAAGGAAACGGCTTTTTAACTAGCTTTTTATTCATTAATTTTTCATATTTTTTTGGTTTGCATTTCATTTGGTTCAGTCTGATCTTTGTTATTTCTTCTTCTAGCTCTAAGTTTAGTATGCTTTTGTTTTTCTAGTTCCTTGAGGTGTGACTTTAGGTTGTCAATGTGTGCTTTTTCAGACTTTTTGATGTAGGCAGTTAGCACTATAAGCTTTCCTCTTAGCACTGCTTTTGCTGTATTCCAGATGTTTTGAAAACTTGTGTCAATATTATCATTCAATTCAAATAATTTTTAAATGTCCATCCTGATTTCATTGTTAACCCAGATATCATTCAGGAGCAGATTATTTAATTTCCATGTATTTGTATAATTTTGAGGGTTCCTTTTGGAGTTGATTTCTAATTTTATTCCACTGTGGTCTGAGAAGATACTTGATACAATTTCAGTTTTAAAAAATTTATTGAGACTTATTTTGTGGCCTGTCATATGGTCTATCTTGGAGAATGTTCCATGCTTCTGAGAAGAATGTATATCCTGCAGATCTTGGGTAGAATGTTCTGTAAATGTCTGTTAAGTTAATTTGCTCTAGTGTGTCACTTACATCCATTGTTTCTCTGTTGACGTTCTGTCATGAAGATCTGTCTAGTGCTGTCAGTGGTGTATTGAAGTCTCCCACTATTATTGTTTTGCTGTCTATCTCATTTCTTAGGTCTAGTAGTAATTGTTTTTTGAATCTAAAAGCTCCAGTGTTTGGTGCATATAAATTTATGATTGTAGTATCTTCTTGTTGATCGTTTTATCATTACATAGTGACCATCTTTGTCTTTTTGTTATTACTATTGTTATTTTGAAGTTTGTTTTTTCTGATACAAGAATAGCTATCCCTGCTGCCTTTGGTTTCTATCTGCATGGAATACATTTTCCTACCCCTTTATCTTGAGTTTATATGAGTATTTCTGTGTTAGCCTCTTAAAGACAGCAGATATTTGGATTGTGTTGTTTTTGTCCATTTTGCCATCCCGTATCTTTGAAGTGGAGCATTTACACTCAACATGAATATTGAGATGTGAGGTATTGTTCTCTTCATCATGTTAATTGTTACCCAGATAGTTGTCTTTTCATTGTGTTATTGTATTATAGGCCGTGTGAGTTCTAAAGTTTCAAGAGGTTCTATTTTGGTGCATATCAGGCTTTTGTTTCAAGGTTTAGAACTCCTTTTAGCATTTATTTATTTATTTATTTATTTATTATTATACTTTAAGTTTTAGGGTACATGTGCACAATGTGCAGGTTAGTTACATATGTATACATGTGACATGCTGCTGTGCTGCACCCACTAACTCGTCATCTAGCATTAGGTATAACTCCTAATGCTATCCTCCCCCCTCCCCCCTCCCCCCACCCCACAACAGTCCCCAGAGTGTGATGTTCCCCTTCCTGTGTCTATGTGTTCTCATTGTTCAATTCCCACCTATGAGTGAGAATATGTGGTGTTTGGTTTTTTGTTCTTGCGATAGTTTACTGAGAATGATGATTTCCAGTTTCATCCATGTCCCTACAAAGGACATGCACTCATTGTTTTTTATGGCTGCATAGTATTCCATGGTGTATATGTGCCACATTTTCTTAATCCAGTCTATCATTGTTGGACATTTGGGTTGGTTCCAAGTCTTTGCTATTGTGAATAATGCCGCAATAAACATACGTGTGCATGTGTCTTTAAAGCAGCATGATTTATAATCCTTTGGGTATATACCCAGTAATGGGATGGCTGGTTCAAATGGTATTTCTAGTTCTAGATCCCTGAGGAATCGCCACACTGACTTCCACAATGGTTGAACTAGTTTACAGTCCCACCAACAGTGTAAAAGTGTTCCTATTTCTCCACATCCTCTCCAGCACTTGTTGTTTCCTGACTTTTTAATGATTGCCATTCTAACTGGTGTGAGATGGTATCTCATTGTGGTTTTGATTTGCATTTCTCTGATGGCCAGTGATGGTGAGCATTTTTTCATTGTTTTTTGGCTGCATAAATGTCTTCTTTTGAGAAGTGTCTGTTCATGTCCTTCGCCCACTTTTTGATGGGGTTGTTTGTTTTTTTCTTGTAAATTTGTTTGAGTTCATTGTAGATTCTGGATATTAGCCCTTTGTCAGATGAGTAGGTTGCGAAAATTTTCTCCCATTTTGTAGGTTGCCTGTTCACTCTGATGGTAGTTTCTTTTTCTGTGCAGAAGCTCTTTAGTTTAATTAGATCCCATTTGTCAATTTTGTCTTTTGTTGCCATTGCTTTTGGTGTTTTAGACATGAAGTCCTTGCCCATGCCTATGTCCTGAATGGTAATGCCTAGGTTTTCTTCTAGGGTTTTTATGGTTTTAGGTCTAATGTTTAAGTCTTTAATCCGTCTTGAATTGATTTTTGTATAAGGTGTAAGGAAGGGATCTGGTTTCAGCTTTCTACGTATGGCTAGCCAGTTTTCCCAGCACCATTTATTAAATAGGGAATCCTTTCCCTATTGCTTGTTTTTCTCAGGTTTGTCAAAGACCAGATAGTTGTAGATATGCGGCGTTATTTCTGAGGGCTCTGTTCTGTTCCATTGATCTATATCTCTGTTTTGGTACCAGTACCATGCTGTTTTGGTTACTGTAGCCTTGTAGTATAGTTTGAAGTCAGGTAGTGTGATGCCTCCGGCTTTGTTCTTTTGGCTTAGGATTGACTTGGCGATGCCGGCTCTTTTTTGGTTCCATATGAACTTTAAAGTAGTTTTTTTCCAATTCTGTGAAGAAAGTCATTGGTAGCTTGATGGGGATGGCATTGAATCTGTAAATTGCCTTGGGCAGTATGGCCATTTTCACGATATTGATTCTTCCTACCCATGAGCATGGAATATTCTTCCATTTGTTTGTATCCTCTTTTATTTCCTTGAGCAGTGGTTTGTAGTTCTCCTTGAAGAGGTCCTTCACATCCCTTGTAAGTTGGATTCCTAGGTATTTTATTCTCTTTGAAGCAATTGTGAATGGGAGTTCACTCATGATTTGGCTCTCTGTTTGTCTGTTGTTGGTGTATAAGAATGCTTGTGATTTTTGTACATTGATTTTGTATCCTGAGACTTTGCTGAAGTTACTTATCAGCTTAAGGAGATTTTGGGCTGAGACAATGGGGTTTTCTAGATATACAATCATGTCGTCTGCAAACAGGGACAATTTGACTTCCTCTTTTCCCAATTGAATACCCTTTATTTCCTTCTCCTGCCTAATTGCCCTGGCCAGAACTTCCAACACTATGTTGAATAGGAGTGGTGAGAGAGGGCATCCCTGTCTTGTGCCAGTTTTCAAAGGGAATGCTTCCAGTTTTTGCCCATTCAGTATGATATTGGCTGTGGGTTTGTCATAGATAGCTCTTATTATTTTGAAATATGTCCCATCAATACCTAATTTATTGAGAGTTTTTAGCATGAAAGTTGTTGAATTTTGTCAAAGGCCTTTTCTGCATCTATTGAGATAATCATGTGGTTTTTGTCTTTGGTTCTGTTTATATGCTGGATTACATTTATTGATTCGCGTATATTGAACCAGCCTTGCATCCCAGGGGTGAAGCCCACTTGATCATGGTGGATAAGCTTTTTGATGTGCTGCTGGATTCGGTTTGCCAGTATTTTTTGAGGATTTTTGCATCAATGTTCATCAAGGATATTGGTCTAAAATTCTCTTTTTTGGTTGTGTCTCTGCCTGGCTTTGGTATCAGGATGATGCTGACCTCATAAAATGAGTTAGGGAGGATTCCCTCTTTTTCTATTGATTGGAATAGTTTCAGAAGGAATGGTACCAGTTCCTCCTTGTACCTCTGGTAGAATTCAGCTGTGAATCCATCTGGTCCTGGACCCTTTTTAGTTGGTAAGCTATTGATTATTGCCACAATTTCAGATCCTGTTATTGGTCTATTCAGAGATTCAACTTCTTCCTGGTTTAGTCTTGGGAGAGTGTATGTGTCGAGGAATTTATCCATTTCTTCTAGATTTTCTAGTTTATTTGCGTAGAGGTGTTTGTAGTATTCTCTGATGGTAGTTTGTATTTCTGTGGGATCGGTGGTGATATCCCCTTTATCATTTTTTATTGCATCTATTTGATTCTTCTCTCTTTTTTTCTTTATTAGTCTTGCTAGCGGTCTATCAATTTTGTTGATCCTTTCAAAAAACCAGCTCCTGGATTCATTAATTTTTTGAAGGGTTTTTTGTGTCTCTATTTCTTTCAGTCCTGCTCTGATTTTAGTTATTTCTTGCCTTCTGCTAGCTTTTGAATGTGTTTGCTCTTGCTTTTCTAGTTCTTTTAATTGTGATGTTAGGGTGTCAATTTTAGATCTTTCCTGCTTTCTCTTGAGGGCATTTAGTGCTATAAATTTCCCTCTACACACTGCTTTGAGTGCATCCCAGAGATTCTGGTATGTTGTGTCTTTGTTCTCGTTGGTTTCAAAGAACATCTTTATCTCTGCCTTCATTTCGTTATGTACCCAGTAGTCATTCAGGAGCAGGTTGTTCAGTTTCCATGTAGTTGAGTGGTTTTGAGTGAGATTCTTAATCCTGAGTTCTAGTTTGATTGCATTGTGGTCTGAGAGATAGTTTGTTATAATTTCTGTTCTTTTACATTTGCTGAGGAATGCTTTACTTCCAAGTATGTGGTCAATTTTGGAATAGGTGTGGTGTGGTGCAGAAAAAAATGTATATTCTGTTGATTTGGGGTGGAGAGTTCTGTAGATGTCTATTAGGTCTGCTTGGTGCAGAGCTGAGTTCAATTCCTGTGTATCCTTGTTGACTTTCTGTCTCGTTGATCTGTCTAATGTTGACAGTGGAGTGTTAAAGTCTCCCATTATTAATGTGTGGGAGTCTAAGTCTCTTTGTAGGTCACTCAGGACTTGCTTTATGAATCTGGGTGCTCCTGTATTGGGTGCATATATATTTAGGATAGTTAGCTCTTCTTGTTGAATTGAGCCCTTTCCCATTATGTAATGGCCTTCTTTGTCTCTTTTGATCTTTGTTGGTTTAAAGTCTGTTTTATCAGAGACTAGGATTGCAATCCCTGCCTTTTTTTGTTTTCCATTTGCTTGGTAGATCTTCCTCCATCCTTTTATTTTGAGCCTATGTGTGTCTCTGCACGTGAGATGGGTTTGCTGAATACAGCACACTGATGGGTCTTGACTCTTTATCCAATTTGCCAGTCTGTGTCTTTTAATTGGAGCATTTAGTCCATTTACATTTAAAGTTAATATTGTTATGTTTGAATTTGATCCTGTCATGATGATGTTAGCTGGTTATTTTGCTCATTAGTTGATGCAGTTTCTTCCTAGTCTCGATGGTCTTTACATTTTGGCATGATTTTGCAGCAGCTGGTACCGGTTGTTCCTTTCCATGTTTAGCGCTTCCTTCAGGAGCTCTTTTAGGGCAGGCCTGGTGGTGACAAAATCTCTCAGCATTTGCTTGTCTGTAAAGTATTTTATTTCTCCTTCACTTATGAAGCTTAGTTTGGCTGGATATGAAATTCTGGGTTGAAAATTCTTTTCTTTGAGAATGTTGAATATTGGCCCCCACTCTCTTCTGGCTTGTAGAGTTTCTGCCGAAAGATCCACTGTTAGTCTGATGGGCTTCCCTTTGAGGGTAACCCGACCTTTCTCTCTGGTTGCCCTTAACATTTTTTCCTTCATTTCAACTTTGGTGAATCTGACAATTATGTGTCTTGGAGTTGCTCTTCTCGAGGAGTATCTTTGTGGCGTTCTCTGTATTTCCTGAATCTGAATGTTGGCCTGCCTTGCTAGATTGGGGAAGTTCTCCTGGATAATATCCTGCAGAGTGTTTTCCAACTTGGTTCCATTCTCCCTGTCACTTTCAGGTACACCAATCAGATGTAGATTTGGTCTTTTCACATAGTCCCATATTTCTTGGAGGCTTTGCTCATTTCTTTTTATTCTTTTTTCTCTAAACTTCCCTTCTCGCTTCATTTCATCTTCCATCGCTGATACCCTTTGTTCCAGTTGATCGCATCGGCTCCTGAGGCTTCTGCATTCTTCACGTAGTTCTCGAGGCTTGGTTTTCAGCTCCATCAGCTCCTTTAAGCACTTCTCTATATTGGTTATTATAGTTATACATTCTTCTAAATTCTTTTCAAAGTTTTCAACTTCTTTGCCTTTGGTTTGAATGTTCCCCCGTAGCTCGGAGTAATTTGATCGTCTGAAGCCTTCTTCTCTCAGCTCGTCAAAGTGATTCTCCGTCCAGCTTTGTTCCATTGCTGGCGAGGAACTTCGTTCCTTTGGAAGAGGAGAGGTGCTCTGGTTTTTAGAGTTTCCAGTTTTTCTGCTCTGTTTTTTCCCCATCTTTGTGGTTTTATCTACTTTTGGTCTTTGATGATGGTGATGTAGAGATGGGTTTTTGGTGTAGATGTCCTTTCTGTTTGTTAGTTTTCCTTCTAACAGTACCCTCAGCTGCAGGTCTGTTGGAGTACTGGGCCCTGTGAGGTGTCAGTCTGCCCCTGCTGGGGGGTGCCTCCCAGTTAGGCTGCTCGGGGGTCAGGGGTCAGGGACCCACTTGAGGAGGCAGTCTGCCTGTTCTCAGATCTCCAGCTGTGTGCTGGGAGAACCACTGCTCTCTTCAAAGCTGTCAGACAGGGACATTTAAGTCTGCAGAGGTTACTGCTGTCTTTTTGTTTGTCTGTGCCCTGCCCCCAGAGGTGGAGCCTACAGAGGCAGGCAGGCCTCCTTGAGCTGTGGTGGGCTCCACCCAGTTTGAGCTTCTGGGCTGCTTTGTTTACCTAATCAAGCCTGGGCAATGGCGGGCGCCCCTCCCCCAGCCTCGCTGCCGCCTTGCAGTTTGATCTCAGACTGCTGTGCTAGCAATCAGCCTGGCGTAGGACCCTCCGAGCCAGGTGCGGGATGTGATCTCCTGGTGCGCCGTTTTTTAAGCCCGTCGGAAAAGCGCAGTATTCGGGTGGGAGTGGCCCGATTTTCCAGGTGCCCTCTGTCACCCCTTTCTTTGACTAGGAAAGGGAACTCCCTGACCCCTTGCACTTCCCAAGTGAGGCAATGCCTCGCCCTGCTTCGGCTCGTGCACGGTGCGCGCACCCACTGACCTGCACCCACTGTCTGGCACTCCCTAGTGAGATGAACCCGGTACCTCAGATGGAAATGCAGAAATCACCCGTCTTCTGCGTCGCGCGCGCTGGGAGCTGTAGACTGGAGCTGTTCCTATTCGGCCATCTTCCCTTTTAGCATTTCTTGTAGTGCATGTTTTGTAGTGAAAAATTTCCTCAGCATTTGCTTGTCTGAAAATGACTTTATTTCTCCTTCATTTATGAAATTTAGTTTTGTGGAATACGAAATTCTTGGCCGACAGTTGTTCTGTTTAAGGAGGTTGAAGATAGGATGCCAATCCCTTTTGGCTTGTAAGGTTTCTGCTGAGAAGTCTGCTATAAGTCTGATAGGTTTTCATTTATAAGTTACCTGATGCATTTGTCTCACTGCTCTTAGAATTCTTGCCTTCATTTTGAATTTAGATAGTCTGATAACTATATGGCTTGGTGAAGGTCTTTTTGCAATGAATTTCCCAGGAGTTCTTTAAGCTTCTTGGCTTTGGATATCTAGATCTGTAGCCAGGCCATGGAAGTTTTCCTCAATAACTGCCTCAAATTAGTTCTTTTTTCTTTTCCCTCAGGAATGCCAATTAGTCTTAGGTTTGGCTGTTTTACTAATACCATATGTCTTAGAGTCTTTGTTCATTTTTTTCTTATTTTTGTCTGATTGGGTTAATTCAAAAGCCTTGTCTTTGAGCTCTGAAATTCTTTTTGTTCTAGTCTATTGTTAAAACTTTCCACTGCATTTTGTAATTCCCTCAGTATGTTTTTCATTTGTCAAAGTTCGGATTAGTTTTTCTTGATGATATCTGTCTAGAGAATTTTTTTGTTCATATCCTGAATTGCTTTTTAAATTTATTTATGATGTTTTCACCCAGAAAGGTAATTTTGAATATTTCTGTGGCAGAATGTCACATAAAATCATGGAAGCTAAAATGAGTCTCTTCTGGGCAAAATTATTATAGCTATGGCATAATAGCTACATAAAATTTGATCCAGGCACTGTTCAAACCTTGTACCTTGTTAAACAAATAAAAGCATTACAACACAATATTTAAAGTAAATCCTTAAGATGCTAAAATATCTTTGTTGTTTTATTTGACATACCAAAATTGCTTTTCCTTCATTTCTCAGTATGAACTCATACAATCTGACTATATTAAAATTACATATATGTATATATATTATATACACATACTCAAAGTATAGAATTATTTTTATAGTCTTTTGAGATAATACTATATATTTTAATTTTTAAAAACTAGTATCTCATTTAAACTATCATTGTCCATGAAAAACCATTTGTTGGCATTCTAGTGAGAAAAAAGAAGGTATTTTAAATATATTTTACAGTTATGTGAATTTCAAACAATAAAATGACTTTCAGGATTATAGCTGAAAACTCTTAAGAAGGTGGCAAAAAAGGTTTAAGTTTTTTTCTTTTGTAACATGTATTATATATATATCTTGAACTACATTGCTAGTTGTGAAGTTTTAGAACAAAGTAATATCCTTTGTTCTTGTTTTGATAACAGAAAGGCAAGCAAGTATCTTGGTATTTGATAAGGTATAAATTCATGGTCTAGAACCCAACAAAATCTGATGTCATTTTTATTCATCTGATATATCTTAGATCTGAGAGCATATAAAGAAATGCACTATGAGGTATTATTCCTAATATAAAAGAGAAAAATTCCATTTTAGGATACAGGAACTGAGAGGGAACTGAGAGGCTCAAACTTGGGTGTTTTATTGGTGATATCTATCTCTCTAGAAAATTTTTCATTCAGACCCTCAACTGCTTATTAACTTTCTTTAAACATTTCTTTAACATGGGGGATGATGCTACTAGATTGTGAAGTCATTAGAAAAATGAGACAATATACTTGAAGCACCAACCCTCAATAAGTGGTAGCTATTCACATTTAGCCCAGCCTCTTCATTTGCACAATTTCTCCATGTTCATAGTAAGAGTCAGATTTTCTGAACTCAGCATTGGACACCTGCTGCTATTTTATGATTTATCGAGACTTCTCATTCTATTGTGTTAGATATGCATGTAATAGATCTCCATTACATTATTATTATTATCTACTACCCATGTAGTTCATCTCCATTACATTTTTATCATCTACATTGCTTTTATAGATTATTGAAACTTATACTTTTTATAATCAATATATTTCTTTTCTTACGTTTATAACTCTTCTGACAGTTGAAATTCAGATTTCAGGAAAAATCTAAAAATTCTGTATGAAAGCAGCTTAAGTGATCTAATGATACTTGGGAGTCTTCTTTTTCTTTGACTTCTGCATATACTATACAGAAAAATATCTTGAGGAAGTTGTCATTGAGACAGACTCACATTGCACTGGGCTATCAGTTATGTGAATGCCGCTTTTCTTTTCTCATTGCAGGTGACACAATTTCTTGCAACGTAACCTACCCTGGGAGGCATGGCCCTCCAGGTTTTGATGGACCTCCAGGTATTATCAATGAGAAGTTACTGTCTTATATACTTCCCAGAGTAAAAAAAAAAAAACCAGCCAGACAGATAAACCAAGAGTGAATCCTCAGACTAGTTAGGACATTTCTGAAGTTTTGAGGGACCATGGATAGGGGAAAACAGCATTTGTAGTAATTTGTAGTTGGGCCTCTAGTCTGCTGGTTTGAGAACACTCCAGATGGGCTTTTCAAATCTTTGTACAATAAAATTTACCTTGATTTGCTCACATATCAGTTAAAATGTCTGTCCCTTGAAAGTTTTTTTTTTTTTTTTGAGACGGAGTCTCACTTTGTCTCCCGGGCTGGAGTGTAGTGGTGTGATCTCAGCTCACTGCAACCTCTGCTTCCCAGGTTCAATGATTCTTCCGCCTCAGTCTTCCAAGTAGCTGGGACTACAGGTACCCGCCACCGTGCCCGGCTAATTTTTGTGTTTTTAGTAGAGACAGGGTTTCACCATATTGGTTAGGCTGGTCTTGAACTCCTGACCTTGTGATCCGCCCACCTCGGCCTCCCAAAGTGCTGGGATTACAGGTGTGAGCCACCGCACCCAGCCTGAAAGTTTTAAAACTGTATCTTCTTTCCTTTCCTGTGCCTCAAGAGTGAATCATGATCACTTGTTTATTGATTGTAAGTTTTACTTTCCAAGAGAACCAACATTTGATCAGAAACATTTGAAAAAAATGCCCAAATATCTCTGTCCTTGTTTGCACATTCATGCAACAGCTTCATTTGAATCAATCACTTATTTTTAGATGAATTAAATCCAAAATCTATCTAAGATATTTTGCCTAACTCTTCTTTGTTTCTTTAGAGTTCCCTACCCGTTCATTACTAGTATGAATAATGACTGACTGTTACTCTCTCTACCATCAAATTTTATGACAATAATGTGTAAATAATCTCAAAATCTCAGTGGGCTACAGCAAACACTTATTTTCTATCTTATGGGTCTGCAGGTTGGTTGGGTTTAGCTGATCTAAGATGGTCTCTGTTGGCTTAGAGTGTAGCTCCAAGTTAGGTTTGGGGTTGCAACATGCATCTCATTGCAAGGCCAGGCTTTTCTCATGTGATTGCAGAAATGCAAGAGGGCCAGCTCAGCTCACAGGCTCCCTCCACACCTCTGATTGGATCATGGGCATTCATTTCCTATTGCCCAAAACAAGTCACATGACCAAGCCCTGGGTAAAAGGGCAGGGAATTACACTCCGCCCACCACAAGGCAATGGCAAGAGTGCGGAAATATAATTCCGTATCAGCAGAGTGGAGAATTGCAGGTTGACGGATTGAACGTTCATTTTTACTTTTACTGGTCATGGGTGGATAAAAAAAAGTTTGATTTCTTTCAGCAGCTGTAACTTCGAGAGAAGTGAATACTCACATTTTAATTTGACAGTTGTGCCTCCATTGAAGTTTATGATTTATAAGTTATTTTAGCTGAGATAACTCCTTGTAGAAAATCACAGAAGGTTTAAAATAGATTCTCTAGGCCGGGTGCGGTGGCTCATGCCTGTAATCTCAGCACTTTGGGAGGCCGAGGTGGGTGGATCACGAGGTCAGGAGATGAGACCATCCTGGCTAACACGGTGAAACCCTGTCTCTACTAAAAACATAAAAAATTAGCCAGGCGTGGTGGCGGGCGCCTGCAATCCCAGCCACTTGGGAGGCTGAGGCAGGAGAATGGCGTGAACCCAGGAGGCAGAGCTTGCAGTGAGCCGAGACTGCGTCACTGCACTCCAGCCTTGGTGACAAAGCAAGACTCTGTCTCAAAAAAAAAAAAAAAAAAAATTCTCTATTACTTTTTGCAAGTGCTTTTTGCCTATACTTCATTTAAGGGCAAATTCAGTAAGATGCAGGGAAATAGATTTTGGTCTTTAATCTGATCCTTTCTTGTCAAGGTAGACACTGGCCACCACCTCTTTACCCCTACAAGGGCAGACAATGGTTGCATAGTCGTGTTTCAGACCTAGCATGGGAAGATACCAAAAAAAGTCACCTGAATGGTGGTACAAGTTCCAAAGGCTTTCAGGAAGAATCCTTCACAGGATGGCTTCTGAGAAAGTGCCTTAACAAAATCACTCCTAGAAAACATTTATTTGGAGCATATGACTTACAATATATTTTTGTAAATCGGGATAGGCAACATCCTTACTTCCATAAAGTAGAAATATTCTAAAAGGACTTAACATAGACTTAAAGAAAATCATCTCATTTTGTTCACATTAGATTTTGTTTTATTGAGTCTGTGTTTTGTTTTTATTATTGTTTAGGTCCGAAGGGATTTCCAGGTCCCCAAGGTGCCCCTGGGCTGAGTGGTTCAGATGGGCATAAAGGCAGACCTGGCACACCAGGAACAGCGGAAATACCAGGTCCACCTGGTCAGTGAGGTTTTTTTTTTTTTTTTTTTTTTTTCTGCTTTGGGAATATCTATCAGGAACTTTTTAACATTTCTACCGATGGATAATTTCATTGAGGAAATGGTCCAGGGATCCCTAGATAATAGGGAAATGGTGTTTCTTGATAGACCCTTAGCTATATTGTGATAACTTTCAGATTATAATTTTATAAGTTGCCAAGGCTCCTTACACCTTGAAGCATAAGTTGTGGGCTATTATTTGTCTATTATGTTGTTGAAACTACTCAGTCCAGCCAGAATGTTTGCCAGAGAAGGAAAGCAATTAGGGAAACATCATTGGCTTATAGGAAACACAAAGTTGCAGTTTCTCTCTCTACAAAAGGTGGCAAAACAACATTACTGTTAAACTGCTCTTAATTTTAGTAAGTACCCCTGTGTTTTTAAGAAAAGTATTTTTATCAAAGTAAGTCTTATATGTATTGGTTCTATACTTGCACATGTTATCATTAAAAATTTTTTTTTGTTGTTAAATAGGTTTTCGTGGTGACATGGGAGATCCGGGTTTTGGAGGTGAAAAGGGGTCCTCCCCTGTTGGGCCCCCAGGCCCTCCCGGCTCACCAGGAGTGAATGGTCAGAAAGGAATCCCGGGAGACCCTGCATTTGGTCACCTGGGACCCCCGGGAAAGAGGGGTCTTTCAGGAGTGCCAGGGATAAAAGGACCCAGAGGTGATCCGGGATGTCCAGGGGCTGAAGGTATGAGGGCTTTGCTGTCCTTTTGGTGCATAGAGCTGGCTCAGTTTTGGAACAGGTCACTGAAGAACGTTTAGATTATTTTGCTTTAGGCATGTAGAATATAAACAGTTTACCCAAGTGTTTTCCCTCATTTGGGGTGCTGGTTACATTTCAAATAACCTGAATCTCTAGCCTTGCCTTTGCACTTTATTGATTGTTTTCAAATGCAGGGCAGCTCACTGTGGTTCATTCAACTCAATTTGATTCCGCAGCTAGTATGTTGGTGCTGCAAAGGCCAAGAGCAGGGACTGTGTAACCTGTCTGGGGCTGTTGCCAGGTGGAAGGTAGGCAGGCCTGATTGTGAGAGGAAGAGTGGCTTAGAGGCTGGAGCTGTGAGCTGGCATCTGGGAACACTCTATGGGAGAGCCGGGTATGAGCTGAGCCTAGAGGACAAGCTGTCTTCGCACAAGAGACAGGGTAGAGGGACCTTCATTCCATTTGGGGTGGCAGGAGGGCATCAAACGCAAGAGAGGAAGATGGCCTGGACACTGATTCATATCCTTTTCTGAAATCAGTAAGGATCCTTCAGGATCCCCAGTGGAGTTTTTCAGGTTTTAATGTACTTAAAAATAACCAAGTGGGGGTGGGGCAGCTCATTAAAATTATTGTCTTCAGGACCCCAGTCTGAGGAATTCTGATTCATTATTTCTGGGGTGGGGCCCCACATTCTGAACTTCAGTGGGCCTCTTGGGTGATGGTGATCAAGATGTGAACCACAGATCAGATGTTTACAAAGAACATTCTGGTTCTTTTCTAAAAGTCGGTGGGCCAGTGTTTATTAGGCATCCACTAGAGTACATTAGCACAGGACACGTGGAGGAGAGGAGGAGAATTAGCACCCTCAAGGAGCTTGCATGGAAGTTTGTAAATAAAAAGATTCATATTGAAAGAAACAATTAATTGGAAAGTAACAGGTGAAACATAATGTAAGTCAATAAAAATAATGACCCAGTAATCCGACTATCTCACTTGTGAAAATATATCTAAGGGAAGTGTTCAATGGAAGAAGGTTATAGATATGAAAATGCCCTTGTAGTATTATCCACAGCAGAGGAATAATTGGAAAGAACAAAGACAGACACACACACACACATACACACACACTCTATCTCTCAAAGGAATACCATCCAGCCATTAGCAATTTAAATCATATTTGTAAAGACTGCAACAAACTGGAAAACATTTGCAGATTAATATGCAATCTGAAGCGCTCCAACAACTGAATTTGCACTGATTACTATTTTTAAATGTAAACATATGAACCAAAATGTAAAGAAAACATAGGAAAACAAAGTAGATTTTTGGGTTAGGGTGTGGAATTATGGGGGATGTTCTTTCCTGAAGATTATGACCCTGTCTTTCTAGTGAGTAGAAATTTGAGAATACAAGTGATGAAATCTCTCATAAAATGCAAATTCATACAGTGCAAACTGGGTTTGTAAATATTGTAGAGATTTGATGTAAAGCCTGATGCAAAGTTAGAGGTTAATTAAAATTAGGAAGAACCAAGTGGTTTCTTATTTGCATAGGCAACTGCAGTCCACATAACCTTATCAAGTAACTCACTTAGCAATGCGTTGTTTCTCTGTTCATAAGGAACTCATTACATCTATGATAAGAAAATCCACTCAAAGACTTAACCCATTTGAACACTGATTCAGGATGAAAATGTTCACCTCCAGTATTGATATGCGTGAACAATTCATCATGGGCCATCTGTATAGTTTTTTGTCATGAATGTCATGGATGTATTGTATCATTTCAGGGCCAGCTGGCATTCCTGGATTCCTAGGTCTCAAAGGTCCCAAAGGCAGAGAGGGACATGCTGGGTTTCCAGGTGTCCCAGGTCCACCTGGCCATTCCTGTGAAAGAGGTGCTCCAGGGATACCAGGGCAACCGGGACTCCCTGGGTATCCAGGTAGCCCAGGTAAGTGTCAAGAACTGTGAAGGGTCTGGGGCTTACCCTACTTACAATTAAATAAGCTCCCCTTTTACTCTTTTATGGATGCTGCCAGAAGCAAGAGTCCTGAGTCAGAGACAAAGGACTTCGTTACTCATGAGTTTCATGTTGGTTTGCATCACTTCCCCCATGTCACCCAAGTCTTATGGGGCAATGTAGTGGGCTAGTTGGCCACACACACAGTGGGTTGCATTACATGAGAGGAGCCCTGAGCCAAGGAACCACTGCTTTATAGCAACCTGTGAGAAAGCCTGCTTTTCCTATTGAGGAAAGTGCTATATCATTTATCAAGGGTGCTTGCTGCAAACACAAGCTTGAGAAGTTTCCCAGGTAAAGAGCATTAGGATCTTGCATTCTTGGCATACCCAGGAAGACGTAGGAACACAAGAGACCCCTGGAGTGTCTCCTAATACAAGGTGCAGGGAGGCTGCCTTAGTCCATTCGCACTGCTCTACCAAATACCTTAAACTAGGCAATTTATAAACAACAGAAATTTATTTCTTATGGCTCAGGAGGCTGGGAAGTCCAAGATCAAGCTGCCAGCAGATTTGGTGTGCCTTCCTTGTGTCCTCACAGGCAGATGGGGCAAACAGCTCTTTTGCACCTCTTTAATAAGGTCACCAATCTTATTCATGAGGGCTCTGCCCTTATGACTTAATCACCTCCCCAAGTGTTCACCTTTTAATACTATCACATTGGTGATTAACTTTCAACATATGAATTTTGGAGGGACACATTCAGAACATAGCAGGGGCTATTTTCAATATGATCTTCATTTCACTATTCACATTGTTTACTCTGTCATTTAAATCCCATTGCTTTTATCCAAATGCAGTAATATACGCACTTGAAAAATTAAAACCAGATTGAGGCAAAACTTTCCGCTACAGCCATATTTCTAGCACCAATAATGTTAGACACCGGCTCTGACTTCTTCTCGGCTGTAGAGCTTCAGGAAAAACCTGGAAAGTTTTCTTCTATTAGTTTCCCTCCACCAAGAGGAAATACAAATACATGTTTGTTTTTTCTTTTTGTTTTCTGTTAAAAATATTTTTTATAATCTACATTCATCCCTACTGGGAAACATTTACTCAAATGATCTGCCCTTCTATTTATGGCATCTAGAAAAATATATTCTTAGATTGATGGAAAGTTGCTACTGTTATTTTAGCCAACAAATATTGCTTTACTGTTGTTTAACGCATTGTTTAAGCTACTGTATATTTTTCCTGCTGTGTGTGAAGCCAGTGTTCAGCCTTCACACACTGTGGTCACTGTGGTTTGTCTTAGGTGCTCCAGGTGGGAAAGGACAGCCGGGAGATGTGGGGCCTCCCGGGCCAGCTGGAATGAAAGGCCTCCCCGGACTCCCAGGACGGCCTGGGGCACATGGTCCCCCAGGCCTCCCAGGAATCCCAGGTCCCTTTGGAGATGATGGGCTACCTGGTCCTCCAGGTCCAAAGGGTAGGTAGTGCTTTTTCCATGATGTCCTCCCATCTTAGAAACATGAAATCCACTGCCAAGTGAAGACTGGACAGATGACCACACAAAAAGAGTTAACTGTTAGTCTGGCTTTGTCCTTCCCTTAATGATGCCTCCCTTGCTCTTGTCCTCTGTATCGTTATTTCCAGTGGCGAAATGTTTCTGTACCGGTCAATGGGAAAAGGGGTTTGTAGGTGTTAGGGCCACAGAATTCATGAAGACTGGGTAGCACGGTAAACTCCTAGGGTCGGGAAGGGTGCATTTTCATTTTGGAGGGGGTCCCCACTCTCATCCCTACCCCCTGTTAGGGGATTAGGACTCAGACACATCAGGGCCCACACTTCAGGTCTGTAGGTAGGAAACTGAGGATGGGGCGGCAGAGCATGGAATTTTTATTTTATTTTTTTATTTTATTATTATTATTTTTTTTAGGAGACAGAGGCTTGCTCTGTAGCCCAGGCTAGAGGGCAGTGGCAGGATCATAGCTCACTGCAGCCTTGAACTCCTGGGCTCAAGTGATCCTCCTACCTCAGCCTCCTGAGAGGCATGTGCCACCACGCCTAATTTTTTTTTTTTTTAGGAGACAGGATCTCGCTATTTTAGCCAGGCTGATCTTGAAATCCTGGCCTCAAAGATCCTCCTGCCTTGGTCTCCCTAGTGCCAGGATTGCAGGTCTGAGTCACCGTGCCCAACTGAGCCCAGCTACTAAGTGCAGTGAGGTTGGCAATTGTTTACTTTGAATACAAACTCAGCGTTAGGCAGGAGTTTGCATCTGTAGATGAACTACGAGGAACACAATATATAAGAATCATACTAGCCTGTAAAATGTTTTCCTAGGGCCAGGCACAGTGGCTCACACCTATAATCCCAGCACTTTGGGAGGCTGAGGCGGGTGGATCACTTGAGGCTAGGAGTTTGAGACCAGCCTGGCCAACATGGTGAAACTCCGTCTCTACTAAAAATACAAAAATTAGCCAAGGGCGGTGGCTCCCGCCTGTAATCCCAGCTACTCGGGAGGCTGAGGAAGGAGAATTGCTTGAACTTGGGAGGCAGAGGTTGCAATGAGCCGAGATCGTGCCACTGCACTTCAGCCTGGGTGACAGAGTGAGACTCTGTCCACCTCCCACCCCTGAAAAAATAAATAACAAATAAAATATTTTCCTAAAACTTTATGCTCTCATTTCACCAGGACCCCGGGGGCTGCCTGGTTTCCCAGGTTTTCCCGGAGAAAGAGGAAAGCCTGGTGCAGAGGGATGTCCTGGCGCAAAGGGAGAACCTGGAGAGAAGGGCATGTCTGGCCTTCCTGGAGACCGGGGACTGAGAGGGGCCAAAGGTAAATAAAATACAGCCATGCAACATGCATTTGTTTCTGGTATTTGATCCAAACCTAGAAATGTGATCTCTGAAAAATAAAATAGGACTTGTCTGAAGCTTGGATTCCTCCTCCTTTTAGTTCTATGGTATTTGTTTTAGAATTTTAAACAAAATTCATTTTCTTTACCTCTTAATCTTATTACATATAGATGGCAAATGAATTGCTCTATTAATTGAAAAAGAATTAACAAGTGGTTCTTAATGCACTGATTTATAGCTTCTAGGTTTCAAAGAACTTTCTCACCTTTTGGGAAAGGGGGCTCTTGTTCTCCAACCTCTGTTTCAGTTAGAACAGAAGTTGGTAAGCTCTTCCTGTAAAAAGCCTGATAATAACAATTTCAGGCTTTGCAGACCATCTGGTCTCTGTCACAACGACTCAAGTCTGCTTTTGTAGCATGAAAGCAGACATAGACAACACAGAAACAAACATAAAATACAATTTTCAGTAAGATGGTATTTATGGATACTAAGGTTTGAATTTCATATAATTTTCACACCATGAAATATTACCTTGTTTTTGAGTTTTACCCCTCAACCATTTCACAGTGTAAAAATCATTCGCATCTCATGTGCTGTACAGAAACTGGCAGCAGGAAGGATTTGGCCCATGGGCTGCAGTTTGCCAACTTCTCAACTACCATGAGTCCACTTTCATCTGGGCCACGAGTAGAGTTTCCCCAAGCTTCATTTGAAAAAAAAAGTTTTCTGGCCAGGTGTGGTGGCTCACGCCTGTAATCCCAGCACTTTGGGAGGCCGAGACGGGCAGATCATGAGGTCAGGAGATCGAGACCATCCTGGTAACACGGCGAAACCCTGTCTCTACTAAAACTACAAAAAATTAGCCAGGTGTGGTGGTGGGCACCTGTAGTCCCAGCTACTCGGGAGGCTGAGGCAGGAGAATGGTGTGAACCTGGGAGGTGGAGCTTGCAGTGAGCAGAGATCATGCCACTGCACTCCAGCCTGGGTGACAGAGTGAGATTCTGTCTCCAAAAAAAAAAAAAAAAAAAAAGAAAAAGAAAAAAATGTTTTCTTTACTATGAAAAATAAGTTTTGAGACCAATGGTTTAAATATTATGTCCCCATCCCTGTTAAATATTTACTCCTACTCCTTAGTCCTGTGGCTCTAATGGGTGAAGGTAGTATTTCCTTTCCAGTGTTGAGAAAAAATGCTTGACAATTTTCAGACCCAAGGATTTTTGCCCTTAAGGCCTTTTGGGCAAGTAGCCTCATATTGAATTAAAATTACCTTTTCTTCTTAGTTGATTGATTCTACCACAATTTTTTGTTTTACTAGCTTGTAAATTATTTATGTGGAATCAAAGAATCAAAGAGTCACTCTTTGCTAGCTTAGATAAGTGATGTTTGCTGTGCTATTATGCTACTATACAATTATCCCACTAAAAATTAAAATTTGGACTAACGCCAGTGATGGGCTAGTAAACTAGTTCTTTGAAATTAAAAAAAAAAAGCACCGTGGTTTATAGTGTTTGCTGAGTGTCATGGCATAAATACTCCTGCCACGGCTGATTTAAAGTTAGCAATGGTTTAACAACTGGCTTGCAGGGTTCTTGAATTGTGGTAACTGGCACTCGTCAAGCTGGTAGGAGCCCACGCCTGCACATTGCTACAGCTGGCCAGTGTTTGCAAAATCAGGCAGAAGTACGGTATGCCCTTCCTACCTTTCAGAAGTCAGTGTGAGGGGTACCACATTGAGATAAGTGTCTGTTCTTTTAATATAAGGAAAGTAAGAGAGGATGGCTAGGAGGAGATATGGAACTGGAAATATGAGATGGGCAAATCCAAATTTTATAGAACAAAGCGACATTTTTTTAGACTGGAACTTTTCAAATCTGTCTTAACCTCAGTGAAGACCCCGACCAGTTTGGTTGAATTTGGCAAACATTCAGTGAGCACTCCTGGCACACCAGACTCTGTGGCTGGACAAATGGGGTCAGGAACGTAAAAGATGACTGACCTTCCTTTAGGAAATCAGCCAACAATGGTGACATTTTGTGATCTACATAAATAGAGCTTCGTAGGTTAAGTGGGAATTTGCGATTTGGGAGTGAAATGTAGTAATGGATAAATTATGTGTGTGATGTTCCTGTTCATTTTGTTCTTGCATAATTAATATCCATAGGAGCCATAGGACCTCCCGGAGATGAAGGAGAAATGGCTATCATTTCACAAAAGGGAACACCTGGGGAACCTGGACCTCCTGGAGATGATGGATTCCCAGGAGAAAGAGGTAAACACTTAAGAGTTTTTAACCATATCAAATAAGTTGACATTTTTACAGATCACATTTGTTAGGCAACTTTCCCCAATAACACTGAGATTAGAAAAGACTTTTTTTTTTTTGAGATGGAGTTTTGCTCTTGTCGCCCAGGCTGGAGTGCAGTGGCACCATCTCAGCTCACTGCAACCTCTGCCTCCCGGGTTCAAGCGATTCTCCTGCCTCAGCCTCCCGAGTAGCTGGAATTACAGGCGCATGCCACCACGCCTGGCTAATTTTTGTATTTTTAGTAAAGATGGGGGTTTCACCATGTTGGCCAGGCTGGTCTCAAACTCCTGACCTCAGGTGATCCACCCGCCTCGGCCTCCCAAAATGCTGGATTACAGGCGTGAACCACTGTGAGAAAAGGCCATTTTTTTTAGATATAAATAAACACAAATAAACCTTGTGGTACATTTTTTGCTTCTCCATGCTAAAATTTAGCTGAAGTTCCTGTGTACTCCTAGATTTGGATATTCTAAACTGGGATCAACCTGAGCTATACATAAAATACTGGTTTCAGGTTTGGTAGTTGGTTTTAAAGTGAATAGCGCAATGACTGTTCAAGTCATTGTGACCAGTGCCTCTCAAACTTCAGAGCACATTAATCACCTGGAGAGCTTGTTAAAATGCAGATTCTGATTCAGCAGCTCTGGGGCAGCCAGGTATCCTGCCTTTCTAACAGACACCCCAATGCCCATGCTAATGGTCCACAGAAACATTGCAGAGCGAGGATTTTTGACAACCCCATTTGTGTGCTCCTCCAAGGTCAGACTTAGTCTGCATGAGGTGCTCATCTTGGCTTCTCTCAGCTAGTTGTTAGAGGGCAAATATTTTAACTTTTCTGGGTAAGTGCTTCTTCATTTGTAAAATAAGCAGCGGAGGCAAATAATCCTGTGTGCTCCTTCCCACCTCTGATAGTCCTTAGATATTCCCAGGCAGCTTCTTTCATCAATGAGGTCACTGAAGCCAGAAATGATCAGGAAGCGGCTTGGGACAGCAATCAGAATCCTCAATACCTTTGGCTTTATCTCCTAAAAGTAGGACCAGGTCCCTCAGCTTAACTATTACCTAGCTCAAAATTTCAGCAGAGACCTGTAACACTTCCAACTTCATCAGGTGATAAAGGAACTCCCGGGATGCAAGGGAGAAGAGGAGAGCCGGGAAGATACGGACCACCTGGATTTCACAGAGGGGAACCTGGTGAGAAAGGTCAGCCAGGGCCTCCTGGACCCCCAGGCCCTCCAGGCTCAACTGGTCTAAGAGGGTTCATTGGTTTTCCAGGACTTCCAGGTGACCAGGTAAGGGGCTACTGCTTTGTGGGGGAAGAGACAATAAAACCTTTCTGTTCTTAGGATGTCCGTAAGGAGCTATAATTTGCCAGCGTATATACCATTGCCCTTTCACTGGCTTTTAGAATGTAAGGTGTAGCTCAAGGAGAAAATAGAGCCTTCTAGAAGGCCACGATGAAACTGACATTTCTGACCAGTGCTCCTGCCTGGTTCCCCTAACATAGAGTCATATAATCGCTATCTCCCAGCCTGGTTTAAACCACCCATGAAGACTTGCCTCATGACCACTGGTTTACTGGAATGAAAGTCGTCCTGAAAAATCACCCAAATCCTGTCTTTAAAGTCTTCCAGTTTCAGATATCACAGATTTTGCTTTCAATATATTTCGTCTTCACAACCATGAGTAAAATACCCTTTCAGAATCCAGGAGGTACAATACATGTAGTTGCCAACATTATACTTCTGGAAAACACGTAACTCACTATCCATCTTTTGGAATGAAATGGATTTGTAAAGTCTTTCATATGCTGTGATTTATAATACTATTTTATTTAGTATCAACTTGTTTATTTGTAATTTAAAATTCAAATTAGTAACACAATTACTGTTTCACAACCAAGTGTAGAGAATGGGATGCTACCAGTTGCGACTGAGAACTCTAATTCTGGAGAAGCTATATCAACTTTGAAAAACTAGATACATGTAGTGGGAGGCTTGCATGCATTTAAACTTTCGTTACCACTGCAGATTACAAAAACCAAATTAGTTACAGAAAATTACAACTGGATCGTGTTGTGCATGTGCCATTTGTATTTGAAATCTGATTAAGGCCTTTTGTTTCATTAAACTGTCAGGGTGAGCCAGGTTCTCCAGGTCCCCCTGGATTTTCAGGAATTGATGGAGCAAGAGGACCTAAAGGTATGGTTTGGAGATACAGAAGCCATCTGTCAAATGCATAGTCCCGAATGTTTATAACATTGTAAACAAGTGCCTTTTACATGATAAGCAAAGTGTATCAAAGAAACTGCAACACCCAAGGGGCTCTTGTTAGACAGTCAAACACTCAAGATCCAAATATTCTACAGTTGTCACTCAGATCCAAGGGTATCAGATAGAAAACAGCATGCCTGCAGGCTCTTCGTGTCTTCCTCCTCTGTGAGAGTCCCAGCAGCAGTCCATGGAGTGACTGCAGCCCCTCAAGTAACAGCTCAGTTGCAAGGAGAACAGATCCATGTCAGTGGGCCGTGCCCACTTTGGCTTAGAAACCCTATGTCCCGCAGGAGCCAGTATCTTTTCTAAGGACTTCATAAGTACAGCTTTTAGAGTCCCAGTTAGGACATAGAGGCTAAAGCCATGACTTTCCAGCAGGTGCTAAGAGTTCACTTAAGAAGTCCCAAGATAGATGTAATTTACAATTGGGTTTTTTATTATTATTATTATTTTTTTACTATAGCAAAATATTTTTTTCCTAAAGGGCCAGATCATAACAATTTTCAGCTTGTTGGGCCATATGGTCTCAGTCACAACTATTCAACTGTGTTGTTATAGTGTGAAAGCAGCCATAGGCTATATGTAAACAAAGGAGTGTGGCTGTTTTCCAATAGAACTTTATTTGCAAAATTGGCTGCAGGCTAGATTTGGCCCCACGGGCCTTAGTTTACCTTGTGTCAAAAACAGTGCTGCATTGTAACACACCTAACATTCTAGTGAAAGAGAGGCTTCATTAACCCTTTATTCAGACAAACAAGTAAACAAACAAAGAGCAGGATATCTTAGTTGCAATGTTTGCATAAAACCTTTAATAGTTTTACTATCTTGGTATACCATTGGGTTAATATTTTTCTTTAAATCTACTTTAAAATGATTTACCTTTTTAACCTTAGCCTTAGCGTAACTAGCTGTAAATTCACAGGTTAACATGCAGTTATCCTTTATTTTGATATAAGTTAAAAGAAATTTAAAATATAAAATACTAATTAATGAATGACCTACAATCCTCTGCCTTACTACTTTGAGAGACACTCTATAAATAATATACTAAATGCTATAACAAACATGACCTGTGTGGGCTTATTTCTTCAGAAAGAATAATATAGATCCCTTCTTGGGAAATGGTTACAAATGGAAAAAGTTTTATATTTGATTTTGATATTTTATAACTTTGGGGTTCAGAAGTCACTCCTTTTCTGCTTACCTATACATTTATTAGTCTCTTTACCATTCTTTCACAGTAAAAACCTACCTCTTCTCACTTCCTTCATGCTTGTATTGGGCCATGCTTAAAAGGAATTGAAATGCACTCAAAATACCTGGAGTCAAAGATGTCTCATGGATCCCACAGATAGGAGACATAGTTCTGCCAAAGCTAAAGGAACCCTAGCCCTTAGTCAATCCATGGTTTCTCACTTTTTCCCATGGTCTATTTTTTCACTTACCTGTCTACCAACTGGCTTCATCTCTGTCTACACAGTATCTTTTCTGGATATTTCTGGATATGTTGGGTTGTACTCCAATATGTTCTACATCAGGACAGCTCATGATAATGCTTTTGGTTTCTGCCCCAGTAGCCAAGGACTTCAAATTCTCACTTTCTTATTCCATCTTCTCAAGGAAAGACTTGTTTGACCTGGAATGGGCCAGAATCCCACCCCTCAAGCAATTGGCCATTATTATGAGTAAAATCAGATAGGAGAAAGACTTCCACAAGGTGCTGGTGGAACTCCTTTAGAAAGGAGTGTAAATGGGCAGTTACTATAAGATACATCTAACTTACCTCTGTAATTCTCTTGAAACCCCATCTATTTTCTTGCCTTTCCTCCCACTCCATTTTGAGTCCTCCACTTCAAACTGGCTCCCAACCATAATGTAGGTCCTTGTGTCTGGAAGCATTATGGAGTGACCAGTAGCTTTGTGGGACTGTGGGAGTCATGGCCTACAGTGGCTTTTGAATGTGCCATCTCTTGTCATCAATGCAGTATGCCTTTGTGATTTTCTTTTTGCAAGGACACTGAGTTGAGCTGCCTTATAAAAGAGCTTGAAATATGATTGCAGCAGTGAAAACAGTTACAATTTTTGATTTTGGTTTCTAAAACATAAGGATATAGCCACTCAATGCCAAATAATTTCTTAAATAGAAACCTAAAGTTGAAAATTTTTTCAGGACTTAAAAACTCAAACTTATCAATACCTGGAGATCCTTATGATTGTGATGTATTCTAAAACCGTGTGTGTGTGTGTGTGTGTGTGTGTGTGTGGTATGTAAATTGCATCTTGCATCTATATTTCTATTTGTTCTTATTTAGAATAAAAGTATTTAAAAACACTCTCCTAAAATATCTGAAGATAAGCTATACAAATACCATAAACGTTACTGTCACCTGTATGAGACCAAATTAAATTGTCTAAAGTAATGTCACATGCATTTTATCCCTTTCAGGAAACAAAGGTGACCCTGCCAGTCACTTTGGTCCACCTGGTCCAAAGGGTGAGCCAGGTAGCCCTGGATGTCCAGGTATAGCTGCATATTTTTCTTACTAAAACAAAAAAAGTAGTTTAGTTTGAAAAGCAGAACAATTACTTCTAGCTGGCAATGATCGTATCAATATTTTCTTACCCCTTTGTGCATTAAGGTATAGATAAAACGGGTTATATATAAACACTTCCATAGCATTTCTTGCCTGGCCTAGAAGAACACCAGGGTTACATACTAGGGATTCACAATCATTTTTCCATCATGGCTCATGTGACCGATGATGTTGACACAATAATAAACTCCCCAGGCATGCCCATATTTTGGCAAACTCAAAAATGAATATTGCAAACAATTAAAATCTGGACCATTTTGCACCCTCTATCATTTAAAATGATGCATTCGCAATAACCACTCACAATGACTACAGCTGCAGGTTGTCATTCCAGCTCTTTCTTTCTACTGAGAAAAGCACATGCCAGTGTAAGTGGTGCGCCATTGTTGAGCCATCATTGAATCTATTTTAATTTACTAAAAATCAAACCAAATCAAGCAAACATAAACCTCATCACCAACAAGAAATCTAAGTCATTTTAAACAGTATTTTGCTTCTCAATAATAATTTAACATGGAATCCTTCAGAATGGATTGTGATGCACCATTGAGTTCTTGTGACAGTTGAGGCCACAACTGGCTACATTAGATGACCCACAGCAGAAGGGGGGTGCCAGTGTTATGCACAGCTCCATGCTTTACAGGGAAAGGGAAACCATTTGAGTTCAAGCCGACAGAACAGGACCCCTAGAGGGGAAAGCAGCCTTAGGACAGAATGTTCTATTGGTTTAACTCATATATGTTTACATTTCAGAAAATGTTGCAGATATTAATTGGTACTCCCTTTCTGGACCCTATAGAAATGCACCAATATTTAAAATATGCATATCGCTTGACTTAGGAATTCTCTTAGGAATTTATCTGGAGTCAGTAATCAGACAAGTGTACAAAGATGCATGCCCAGGAATATGCGTTGTTTGAATGGAACAAATGTCCATTCACAGATGCCTGGTTAAATAAGTTATATCCCAGGGCACTCAGCCAATAGTGGTCAGGTTAGAAACCAGGTTTGTGTTTAGATGGGTACCTTGTAAATTAAAACACCTCATATCAATAATTTTGTGCATTATCTTAAAATTCCATCTGGCAATAGCTGTGTTTCATTTCATACAACAGAAAGAATATTAGATATTTTCTGAGCAGAACTATATGAGAAATTTTATTTTCTTTGTTTTTATACTGTAAGATTGCTAAAATGGAAGTCTAACAAAAACAAGTTAATACAGTGGCACAAACTACCTTTCCCACCTTCTTTGCTATGGGTCTTTCACCTCTGACATGAACAAATATATTTAGATATATATATATGTACATATATATCTAAATATATATATGTATATATGTTTAGATAGTATATATGTATATATGTATACATATATACATATATACTATCTAAATATATCTAAATATCTAAATATATACATATACACATATAAATATATACATATATACATATATACATATATACATATATACATATACATATACATACATATATATACTATCTAAATATATATACATATATATGTATATATATGTGTATATATATATGTGTATATATATATGTGTGTATATATATATATGTGTATATATATATATATGTGTATATATATATATATGTATTTTTTTTTTTTGAGATGGAGTCTTGCTGTTTCACCCAGGCTGGAGTGGAGTGGCACAATCTTGGCTCACTGCAACCTCCACCTTCTGGGTTCAAGCAATTCTCCCACCTTAGCCTCCCAAGTAGCTGGGACTACAGGTGTGCACCACCACACCAGCTGATTTTTGTATTTTTGGTAGAGACAGAGTTTTGTCATGTTGGCTAGGCTGGTCTCAAACTCCTGGCCTCAAGTGATCTGCCTGCCTTGGCTTCCCAAACTGCTTGGATTACAGGTGTGAGGCACTGTGCCCGGCCTAGACATAGTATAATATTTTAACTGAACTGTATAACTGAAGTATACATTTGATAGGGAAAATAGTTTTGAGGTCAGCATTATGGGAGTTCATGACAAATATCAAAGTGAGAAGCCTCAGAAGGGAAAAATCGGTGGCTCAAAGTCAACCTCCATTATTACTTCACCTGTGGTCTTGGGTAAGCTGAGAGTATCTTCTCTGAGCGTAGTTGCCTCACCTGTAAACTGGCCCTATGCATACTGCAGGATTGTCCTGAGGATCAAATGAAAGAAACTGAAACTGAAAATAACTATACAAAATAAAATGCAATGATCATCATTGTCATCATCACCATCATCAGTCAGCAAAACATGAAGACATTTTCCCATACTTACTGGTATTTTTATGTAAACCCCAAAGATAGGAAGATTTCATAAGCTCAGGGTAGTCCAAAATGGGGGCCTGTGATGTTACCTAGTATTTTAACTTAAAAATCATAAACCTGAGTGATTTTACACTTAGGCTGACTTTTTCAGAAAGTTTGCCTTGGCCAAATTTGCCTGTTCTCCTGTGGTTACCACCATTTAAATTGGCCCCTTTCCCATATGCCATGGCCTCAGCTTAGAAATTTTAAATTGTATTATATGTTATTCACTAGCACAGAGTTTACTTAATACACTATTTCCATTGACTGGAGAAGGCTTCATTGAACTTGAATGAGCATCATGAGAAGGCATGAATCTGCAGCTGGTCTTGGGATTATATGTGATTATCCTGGGTTCAGTCCTACCTACTCTGCACTCTATTCAGAGAGAAAATATAGTGCAAATTAACTCAGAAGTTCTGTTCTTAACACAACCCCACAAAATTCAGGAGACAAGTTTTTATTTTTAATATTTCAGTGTTTTCATTTGTAGATGAGAATAATGCTACTTTACTGTAGGAATGTTTTCAGGATAAATAAGATAATACATAGTGAGACTAATAGATGTTAAATTCAATCAGGGAACAGGTACAGACTAACAAAAGCTTGTTTCCTGTGTGCTATAATAAATGATGACTATAGCCCCCCCAGCATGGTTTGTAAATACAGAGACATATATTTTATGTGCAGATTCAACCAGTGATTTTCAGCACACACTATTGGTTTATCCCATAAACGTGCATTAAACTCATACATTGTAAATAAACACACGGGGAAATAGTCATCCTCTTTAGTAATCAAAGAAATGTAATTTCAAGTGTCTGAAATATCATTTTATCTTTAATAAATTAGCAAGAAAAGAGGCCAAAAAACTAAAATGTCCTCAGTAAGAACACGGCATGCTCTTGGAGCTGTGGGTGGGTTCCATATGGTGGTGTGAGTCAGTGCAGCACTTACTCCAAACTACTGGCAACCTGTATCAAGAACCAAATGTTGAATGGTCTGTTCTAGAAAACTAGAGAAGAACTGAATTGTGCTCTGCAGCAAGTCACTGTCATAAGAAAAGGACTGCTTTAAATTTTTAGAAATTGAAGAGACCTATCCATTAGATGTTATGGGTGATTCTGGGATGGAACGTGGTGTGGAGAAACCAACTGTGAAGGACATTAAGGGGATAATTGGGGGGATTCAAGTATGGGATGAGTGTTTGAGGGTATTAAGAATTGCTATTAATTTTCTTGGCTGCGAAATGTTATTTTGGCAATGTAGAAAAACGTTCTTATTTTTCAGACTTCTTACCTCCTGAAGTATTTAGGGATGGAATTACACTACGGTGTGATGTACTTTAAAATACTTCAGCATTTAAAATGCATTTGAAAATACCAAAATATCATGCTATTTATCCAGAAATTCTACTCCTAGGAATTTTTCCTAAGGAAACAATTTAATAGGAGAAACAAAATTGACAAGAGATATAAAGAGCATTATGGATAACGGCAGAGTTAGAGATAACTTAAATGGCCAATAGTAAAATAAATTGAATTAGTTAATTTAATTAAGATTGACTCAAAAAGCTACTGGCCATTCATTTAAAAATGATAATTAGGAAAACCAATATAAACTTGGAAAATTACTTATGATACAACACTAATTTTAAAAACCAGAATATAAAATTGTGGGTATTATCTGTACATGTATGTACATATGAAGAATTGTGTTAAGCTGGTGGGATTATGGGCATTTTGTTATCAGTTTTTCCTTAACGTTATTTTCCTTTCCAATAGAAACTATTTAAAACTAAAAAAGTAAGGATAGAAAAGAATAGGGTGGGCTGAACTTGGTGATTTTAAAGATTCACTGTCTCAAACGGCAACTCTGATGTTTGATCTTTCCTTCTTTAGGGCATTTTGGAGCATCCGGAGAGCAGGGCTTGCCTGGTATTCAAGGGCCCAGAGGATCACCTGGAAGGCCAGGGCCACCTGGCTCCTCTGGACCACCAGGGTGCCCAGGTACCTTGAAAGGAAATCTGGAGACTTCCTGAGCACTCTTGTGTCTCAGAGTGTTTCAGAAACCACCAGTCTTTAATTAGACCTAAATTCAGATATGGCTCTGCCATTTCCCAGACCTGTGACTTTGGATAGGTCACTTAAGCTCACCTATGCCTCACCTATAAGCTAGTGGGTTTCACTGAGTGACTTGGAGTAGATTAAGACAGCACCTGTAAAGTGCCTAGCATGGCACCAGACACAAAGGAATGGTCAGACAGATAGCAACTCCTTTCTTTTTAGTTTTTATTCTTTTAGAGAGAGAGGGCCTCACTCTATTAACAAGGCTGGAGTGTGGTGGCACAATCATAGCTCACTGTAGCCTCAAACTCCCGACCTCAGGGAGGCTGTCTCAGCCTCCCAAAGTGCCGGGATTACAGGCATGAGCCACTGTGTCTGGCCCAGATAGCAGCTCCTTTCTAGCCCTTTGCATTTCTCCTGCCATTCAGGATGCTGTTTTGTTTGTTTGTTTGTTTGTTTTCCCCTCCTTTAGACCTAAGGCAGATGTCACACTTACAGCACAGTGTTTTAATGGATACTATTCCTGCCAATTCAGAAAAAAAGAGAAAGTTTCAAACTATAGTTGGCAACTTCATTTATTTGGAAATGTATTTTCTCCTCCTGAATTTAAATGTATTTTTCTCCCTAGAGTTAAGATGTATAGGAAGAAAAAGTAATTAGACAGTGTTCTCCGTTACCCATATATTAAGAACATAGATGACTTTTGCAGTGAATGTAATTCATTTATTATCTGGCCATCTGCAAAACTTCCCTGTCATCCTCAGGTGATCACGGGATGCCTGGGCTGAGGGGACAGCCAGGAGAAATGGGAGACCCTGGGCCAAGAGGCCTCCAGGGGGATCCAGGGATACCAGGTCCTCCGGGAATAAAAGGTAAGTCAAAATGAAGCCCATCCCACAAGAAAGATGCAGCCCAATGAGGGCAAATTGATGGTGTTTTTTTCCTGTACCAGTGAGTGACCCTGCTCTTGGTTATACCACTCTTTTCCGTAGGTGCCATTAGCATCTTCCTACTCTTCCTTAGCCAGGGCTGCAGGTAGTGCCCATCCAGTCAGCTGACCTGCCTTCTACCAGGGAGAATGGTAGTGCTACCATTTTCTTTCTTTCTTTCTTTCTTTCTTTCTTTCTTTCTTTCTTTCTTTCTTTCTTTCTTTCTTTCTTTCTTTCTTTCTCTTTCTTTCTTTCTTTCTTTCTTTCTTTCTTTCTTTCTTTCTTCCTTTCTTTCTTTCTTTCCCTTCCTTCCTTCCTTCCTTCCTTCCTTCCTTCCTTCCTTCCTTCCTTCCTTCCTTCCTTCCTTCCTCCTCCCTTCCTTCCTTCTCTCTCTCTCTCTCTGTCTTTCTTTCTTTTTTCCTTTTCTTTCCTTTTCTTTTTTCTTTTTTTTTGATGGTGTCTTGCTCTGTCACCCAGGCTGGAGTACAGTGACGCGTTCTCAGCTCACTGCAACCTCCACCTCCCAGGTTCAAGCAATTCTCCTGCCTCAGCCTCCTAAGTAGCTGGGATTACAGGTGCACATCACCATGCCTGGCTAATTTTTGTATTTTTTAGTGGAGACGGGGTTTCACCATGTTGGCCAGGCTGGTCTCAAACTCCTGACCTCAAATGATCCACCCGCCTCGGCCTCCTGAAGTGCTAGGATGTGAGCGCCCGGTTGCTACCATCTTATTTCTGAAGGCATTTAGCCAAATGATTTTTATGATGTTCAGGCCCATTATTCATGTATTCCCTTCACCTATGGTTAAGCTCCTACTATCCTAGATTCTGTGCTAGATGCTGGGTGTACAGTTTTGAAGAAAATAGACCTGCTTCCTGCCCTCATGGAGCTGACAGTATGGCAGGAGAGAAAGACATTAATAATATATGTGGAAATGAATATATATTTACTGATCATGATAAGTGGAAGAGAAAACAATAAGGTGCTACAGATATAGAATAATTAGTGTTCATCATCTTTTTTCGATCAAGAATAATTTTTTCTGGGTTGAATTTCTTGGTCTGTAAAGGCAATAGTGGACTGGTTATAAAAGTCTGGTTATAATATAATATAATACAATACAATATAATATAAAATACTTGTCATTAATAAATCTTTATGCCCTCACATTCATCCATGGTATCAACCCCTCTTCAGTCCATTTCTTCCACTTTAGAAAAAGTACTTTTTTGGCCGGGTGGCTCACACCTGTAATCCCAGAGTTTTGGGAGGCTGACGTGGGCGGATCACTTGAGGTCAGTAGTTCGAGACCAGCCTGGCCAACATGGTGAAACGCCATCTCTACTAAAAATATAAAAGTTAGCTCTGTGGTGGTGCATGCCTGTAATCCCATCTACTCTGGAGGCTGAGGCAGGAGAATTGCTTGAACCTGGAAGGTGGAGGTTGCAGTGAGCCAATATCGTGCCACTGCGCTCCAGCCTAGGCAACAGAGTAAGACTCCATCTCAAAAAAAAAAAAAAAGAAAAAGTATTTTTTCTATGGGTATTTTTGAACATATCTTTAGCATAACACTTACGTTGTATCACATTTGTTTGGAGGTTTTTCTCATCAAACAGAGTATGATTTTTTAAAAAGCAAGGACATTTCATATACCCTTGAGACCCAGTCAATAACAAGTATATTGGTTGGTGGTATGAATGAATGGACAAATAGGAGAATGAATATCTGAGCTAGTAGATATGAGGTTGCAGTCCTTATCTGAACCAACAGCTGATGGTTCCAGCTTACTTGGTAGAGTCTTGTAACCAGGTTTCCTCTATTTCTTCTTCCTTTCTCCTTCCACCTGCCTTTGCTCATTGACTCATACGTATACGAAATCCTGGTAAAATAAAAAGTCCCTCCTTTCAGAAGGTACTGAGTTGGAAACCCCTTCTTCTGGGATTAATCCTTTTACTGTTTTGAAAATTCAAATACGATTTTCCCACACTTTGCCCTCTTCACTCATTGGATAGCTTTGAAATAATTCTAATTTTCCAGAAGTGGTAGTGTGGTAGGTATTACTTGGTGCAAGTCTGTGGAGACAGGAGCCATTTATGTTGAAGAGTTGGTATACTCATGTATTTTCACACAATCACATAACTTGATAGGAAAAGTTCCCTTCACAAGACATCTTTGTACTGTTCTCCGTCTTCATTGACACTTTTAGTAATATGAATTCCAGCAATTCATGATAAATTTAGGATTTCAGGCAAATGATCATTCTGTTATTTTGAAAGTTTCTGTGGTGATTGTGGCCATTTCCTGTCTCTGACCATCTCTACAGCCTTCATGGCGTATTCTTTGACACTTTTTTGTGTCCGGAAGACAGTTGGTAAAGAACCAAAAGAAAACATTTGTCATCATTAACCACTCCCACTTTTTCCTACCCTCCACTTCTTCCTACCCTCCCAGTTTAGTAACACAGCAAGGATTTTTAAGTGTCTTGGTGGCTTAAAAACATACACCCAATTTGGTCAAAATGGCAGGGCTCATGCCACTGTTGTTGATCTTTCTTTCCCTTGAATTTGTTTGCATTTATCACATAACTTCAGTATGGCATGCTATTACAAAACTAATAGCTGGCCGACGTGGTGGCTAATGCCTGTAATCACAGCACTGTGGGAGGCTGAGGCAGGCGGATCAGCTGAGGTCAGGAGTTCGAGACCAGCCTGGCCAACATATAGCGAAACCCCATCTGTACTAAAAAAATACAAAAATTAGGTGAGCGTGATGGCGGGTGCCTGTAGTCCCAGCTACTTGGGAAGCTGAGGCAGAAGAATTGCTAGAACCCAGGAGGTGGAGGTTGCAGTGAACTGAGATTGCACCACTGAACTCCAGCCTGGGTGACAGAGCAAGACTCTGTCTCAAGCAAAACAAAACAAAACAAAACTAATAGCTAATAAATTTGATCCATAACAAAATCACCCCAAAATTAATCTCCAATCACATCATAATTCCGTGCTATGAAATAGTGTGTTAAAAAGAGAAGGTGAGGAAATGAACATATTACTTGGCATGTTCATACCACCTACAGACAGATGTTGCAGTGGTGCTCCATCACCATATAGTGACACTGTTTCACTTCAAACAGCTCAGAGAACAACTGGTCTTTAAAAACCACAACACAAAACAAAACAGTGAAATACATTCTGAAAAGTTAAAACATCTGCAGTATAAATTCATTGTTGCAGCTTATCATGCTGATATAAAAATGAACCACACTCCAGCAGAAACACTTTGAACTGAGAAACTAAATATTTGCAGTATGTTCTAACTAAGTCAAGGGGACTGATTATCTTGTTTGAACAAACCAGCTGCTGAACTCAAAGCTGTTTGCTCTGCTAGAACAGGCCATATGGATTTTGCATCCTGCTTGTGTTCAATCAGATTTAAACTTTAACTTAAACATATGCTAAAAATGGCTTGATTCCAGCTACCATTGACTTTCTTCACATAATTACAAAAAACTACTTTAAATTTCAAATGGAACCAAAAAAGAGCCTGTATAGCCAAGACAATCCTAAACAAAAAGAATAAAGCCAGAGGCATCAGGCTACCTGATTTCAAACTATAGTACAAGGCTACAGTAACCATAACAGCATGGTACTGGTACCAAAACAGATATCTTGACCAATGGAACAAAACAGAGACCTCAGAAATAACTCCACACATCTACAAACATCTGATCTTCCACAAACCTGACAAAAACAAGCAATGGGGAAAGGGTTCCCTATTTAATAAATGGTGTTGGAAAAACTGGCTAGCCATATTCAGAATACTGAAACCGGACCCCTTCCTTACACCTTATACAAAAATTAACTCAAGACGGATTAAACACTTAAACATAAGACCTAAAACTGTAAAAACCCTAGAAGAAAACCTAGACAGTACCATTCAGGACATAGGCATGGGCAAAGACTTCATGCCTAAAACACCTAAAGCAGTGGCAACAAAAGGCAAAATTGACAAATGGGATCTAATTAAACTAAAGAGCTTCTGCACAGCAAAGAAACTATCATCAGAGTGAACAGGCAACCTACAGAATGGGAGAAAATTTTTGCAATCTATCCATCTGACAATCTACAAGGAATTCAAACAAATTTACAAGAAAGAAACAACCCCATCAAAAAGTGGGCGAAGGATATAAACAGACACTTCTCAAAAAGACATTTATGCGGCCAACAAACATATGAAAATAAAAGCTCATCATCAGTGGTCATTAGAGAAATGCAAATCAAAACCACAATGAGATACCATCTCATTGCCAGTTAGAATGGAGATCATTAAAAAGTCAGGAAACAACAGTTGCTGGAGAGGATGTGGAGAAATAGGAATGCTTTTACACTGTTGGTGGGAGTGTAAATTAGTTCAACTGTTGTGGAAGACAGTGTGGCGATTCCTCAAGGATCTAGAACCAGAAATTCCATTTGACCCAGTGATCCCATTACTGGGTTTATACCCAAATGATTGTAAATCATTCTGCTATAAAGACCTATGCAAATGTATGTTTATTGCAGCACTATTCACAATAGCAAAGACTTGGAACCAACCCAAATGCCCATCAATGATAGACTGGATAAAGAAAATGTGGCACATGTACACCATGGAATACTATGCAGCCATAAAAAAAGGATGAGTGCATGTCCTTTGCAGGGACATGGATGAAGCTGAAAACCATCATTCTCAGCAAACTAACACAGGAACAGAAAACCAAACACCACATGTTCTCACTCATAAGTGGGAGCTAAACAATGAGAACACATGGACATAGGGAGAGGAATATCACACACTGGGGCCTGTCAGTGGGTGAGAGGCTAGGGGAGGGATAGCATTAGGAGAAATACCTAATACAGATGTCGGGTTGATGGGTGCAGCAAACCACCATGGCACATGTATACCTATGTAAAAAACCTGCACATTCTGTACATGTATCCCAGAACTTAAAGTGTCATCATCATCATCATAAAATGGCTTGATTCCTAGACTTTAAGTACAAATGCCCTTTAAAAGGAGAACACCCAGTTCCTAGTTGGAAAGTAATATAAGATTGAAATAATGAAAACCTAAAGAATATTACCTGTAGCATGACAAGAACTGGAAAGAATATGGATTTTGTATCCATATTTACTGGTAGCAAGTAAAATGTTTCATAAGAAAAAAGAATCTGGAAATGGCTTTCCTCAGAAAAGAGATGCCATGTCCCTTAGAGCTATGAACATCATGGAAATATTCTCCCCCCGCTTTTTTTACTAGATTACTCTCCTCCTGCCCTTCCCCCACAGCACTTACCACACTGGATGTAATTGCCTGTTTGTTCTGTCAAGTCAGGGACAGACTTGTCCCGCATCGTCTTGACAGCACCTGCCAGGAGGTACATTTGGGGCAGACTCTGTGCATTAGGAAACCATATCTTACACCCTTAGTGGGCACTCACATATTTGCTGATACAAAAAATATTTAAATCTTATTTCAGAATCTTTGTTAATAAGAATCTTCCAGGTTTTTCAACCATTACTTATAGTCACAAAGATCTCTCTTCCCATCAGCTTTGAAGTTAGGGTGAGCAGCTGTCCCGTTTTGCCTGGGCCTGAGTGGGTATTTCAGGATGTAGAAATTTCAGTGCTAAAACCAGGAAGAAGTCGCAGGCAAACAGGGACACGTTGGTCACCCTATGTGTTAAAAGTATGAGCCCATATAAAAGCTCTTGGGTGTGTCGAGTAATGTTTTCAGGCTTTAGAACAAAATACAGCCTGAGAGTGGGAATGCAGTCATAAAGAGTTCGCTGGCTAACAAAGATGGGAGCCACAATTCCAGCTGGATTGGAGGTTACATTCACTGACTAGAGAAAGAGCACCCAGCCTGAAAGTGCAGTGTGCTGCAGCCTTAAATGATGGTTGTTTAGCAGGAGGATGACCAGAGAGGTGAATAAAAATTCCTCATTACCCAGAAATGTGCTTTGTTAGCCTAATTGCCTCTCATCTGCACTGTATATATTTTATGCATGAACAACTTTCTGATTTAGAGATGGGATTGATAAAAAGCTTTCAGTAAAAAGGAAAAATTACCCTTACAACCCTACTCAGATGTAGCTGCATTCAATTTAGAACGATAACATTGGGTCAGATAAGGGTCGGCCAGTTCAACAATGGCGAGAGGCTGGGACCGTGACAACCTAGGATCTGGATGTGTTGATGTGACAATGGAGAGCTGGCAGAAGCAGAGACATTCCACCCCAGCCAAGTCCCCAAGCCATCAATCTTGGTGACTAAAGCTGGAGATCAAAACATGTGGAAATAGTGAAGTGGTCCCCCCGAAAATTTATCATTTCAGATAGATTGCAATAAATACCCAGATTTGGCAGATAAAGAAGGTCTGTGTGTTCTTTTGGTGCAAACTTGAAACGTTGGCTCATAAAATAGGAAAGAGGATTGGAGAATAAACTAAGCCAGAACTGTAAAAAGTGGTTAGGAATAAGAGATTTGGGGAAAATAAAGATGCATTCCCATTTTTTTTTTTTTTTTGGTGCACGAGAATATGGCTCATTTGAACCAATCTAAATCCTAGATCTTAAAAGAATAATGACTGTCTGTTTCAAGTACTGATGATAAATAGAATGGAAGCAACTAACTGTGCCAGCTTCTAATAAGAATACACAGAGGACTTGCTTAAAATGAATAGACAATAATTAGCACTTGAATTATTTATATGCAAACTGATACCTCTAACTTCTGTAAATTATATTTGTCCTATAAATCTATTAAAGAAAGATATGGCATACAAATAAAAATTCTACCCTGCTCCTTTTTGTAGCTTTCTCCCTCATCCACCTTGTTCCATATTTTTTCATTCAGTCACTCAACAAACATTTATTGAACACATCCATAGGACCTAGTCTTGAACTCCTATTTACCCTTGAGCAGGGGAGACAGTCACCCAAAGACATGATTGTTTCACAGTGTGGGGTGGACATCAACAATCAAGGGGGTCCTATATCATGGGGGTAGGTGAGGGGCACCTTCTGTGTTCAACCTTATAAGCTGATGGTATTTTTATCCCAAATTTGAGAGATGTGACCCTACACTAAGTAAACAGGCTGGCTGTGCACCGAGAGGCTCTATACACCATGGAATACTATGCAGCCATAAAAAATGATGAGTTCATGTCCTTTGTAGGGACATGGATGAAATTGGAAATCATCATTCTCAGTAAACTATCGCAAGAACAAAAAACCAAACACCACATATTCTCACTCATAGGTGGGAATTGAACAATGAGAACACATGGACACAGGAAGGGGAACATCACACTCTGGGGACTGTTGTGGGGTGGGGGGAGGGAGGAGGGATAGCATTGGGAGATATACCTAATGCTAGATGACGAGTTAGTGGGTGCAGCACACCAGCATGGCACATGTATACATATGTAACTAACCTGCACATTGTGCACATGTACCCTAAAACTTAAAGTATAATAAATAAATTAATTAATTAATTAATTAAAAAAAAAAAAGAACAGCTACTGGGTGGAAGATCTACTGATGAGATAGGAAGTTTTCCAGGCTTGACCAGAGGCTGGGAAGAAGCTTCAGTGCTCGTAGCCATCAGTGGGACAGGACTTGTGAGAAGGCACCCAGCAGATGGCTCAGTGCCCTGGAGATGCTCGATAAATATTCCTTACCTGCTTTCTTCCTTGCCTCTCCTCCTCCAACTTTACCAAGGGCCATCAAGAAGTGTCATTTGAAAAGGCTCTCGTTCAGACAACTTCAACACAACTCAACATACGTTGATAAAAAACCTTAAAAAAAATTTTCCACTGGAAGTGTTTAGTGACAACTTCAGTCAAGCCAGGCTGGTGGACGGCTCTTTGGAGAACTAAACAGAAGGTTCTGAGAGAAGGCACAGGCATCAGTGGGGTAATGTCTGTTTACACAGACGGGAGTTTTCAGTGATCATCGCAAAATAAACTTAGGTTCTGCAGAAAGGCATCAGAATGGTTGTGAAAGAAGTGACTGCAAAGCAATAGCTGGAGCCACACTCGCCATGCAGGCCTGAGCATCGCAGGGCAAGCATTTGCCAGCATGCCACAGGCGCCATGCGTCCTCTCGTCTGACTGCATCTCCATGAGTAGATCCTGAAGAAACCAGGAGCCTGCAGCCCCTAGGAGGGTGCAGTGACCCCAAGCCTGGGAGGTGTGAGGCCTGGATTTGCTCCCATCCGATCTCTTTCCTCATGTAGGGTGATTTTATTGTCATAAAATCAAAGGTCACTTCCTATGCCAAGATTCAGTAATTCTAGACCATATCTGGTCACGATAGGATCAGAAACCAACAGCAGTACTTTAAAACCAAAGAAATGTTTGTGTTAAGCTGTCTTGGCAGAAAATCTTTACCGGATGAATGTGTTAAATAGTCCTGGGCCTGGGTTTCCACCCTGATGATGAAGTCCAGACGCTCAGAGCTGTTTGCTGGCCCCAGCAACGCGCCCTCTGCTGGGCAGTGCCTGCGTTTGTGGCTAGAGTGAGTACCGGTGGCTGGTCTTCCTTTGGGTCACAGGCCTGTGGTGTTTTTCAGGTCCCTCCGGATCACCTGGCCTGAACGGCTTGCATGGATTGAAAGGTCAGAAAGGAACTAAAGGTGCTTCAGGTAAGCACCTAATCGATTCGTAACAGACTGAGCTTCAGTCCATGGTTCATGAGAGAAAGTGGTACCCTCCCTGGTATTTCTGCACTTCATGAGATTTGGAGGCAAAACTGAAAAAAACTGGCTTAGGTTAGAGACACACTATTGGAGCTATTTTTAGTGCTGAAAATGACATATGAAAAGGACATTTGAGAAAACCCTATTTAAGAAGGAATGGTTGGTTAACAGTGTCTTTTGTTGGTATTGCTTGGAATTTTCTGTCCACTAAAAGTACTCTGAACAATTGAGCCAGATTTCAAAATGTTATCCTAACAAGTAAATAGCTGGGGATTTTAGAATTTTTGTATTAAGTATAGTAATGCTATGTTTGACCACATGGGTCAAATTAGTACTAATAGCATCCTTTTATGGCCACTGCTAAAACAAATTACCTACACAATTTGCTGTTATTTTCATACCGCAAACAGGTTAATCTTTGACAAGTGTATCTTGTTCTGTTAGTATAATGCACATTTGTTGCGTTACTTTCTCAGAAAAACCGCTTATGATCAGACAAAGTAGCTGAAACCTAACATGCAAATTTGAGTGACCCTGGGGAAGAGGAATTGTGCTGCTAGGTTTGAATTTATTGTTGGAGAGAGGTGAAATCTTTCTAGTTTGGAAGATCCAGTAATATAGTCACTTAAGATTCATTTAGTAGATCCTCCAAATAGATTAAATGTGTGTGCCTTCCAAGAAAACACTGATGTCCTTCCTTCCCAGTGTGAAATTCCACAATAGTTCTAATCATGCCAGTTTCCACCTCAAATTTCAAAGCAACTTATGCATAATTACTTATTGTATCTCATTTGTTTTTACTCTCTCCATTGTAGAGGTGGGAGGTTGGTATTGCCTCTAAGTTGTTGTTTTTTAAAATCTGGAAAATAACTATAAAAGAAATAAAACTTATGGCTGACCAGTGTGATAGGTCCTAAGAGAGAAATGGTGCAGACATTTGGATCACCACTGCAACCAGTTGTTGGTGTCTGCAGAACCAGCCACTCCTCTGCCGCTATTGGGAAGTGGTTCCTTTTCAGGCACTATAACAGGGACAAGAAAAGAGAAGATATAGTATTAATTCTGTTTTCCCCATTAAGGTTTGCATGATGTGGGGCCACCTGGTCCAGTGGGAATACCTGGGCTAAAAGGGGAGAGAGGAGACCCTGGGAGCCCAGGAATCTCTCCTCCAGGTCCTCGTGGAAAGAAAGGTCCCCCAGGACCCCCAGGTAAGCTGTAGCATGCTTTGCCCTTCTTTCAATAACTAAACCAAAACCTTCCAAATGCAATGAGGATAACATGTGAACATGTCTCTTCTTAGGGAGTTCAGGACCACCTGGTCCTGCAGGTGCCACAGGAAGAGCTCCTAAGGACATTCCTGACCCGGGTCCACCTGGAGATCAGGGACCTCCTGGTCCTGATGGCCCAAGAGGTATGAGAGAATCATGACAAAGGATGGCAGTGCTCCCTTTGTTAGATGCTGCCAGCTCTGGAGGAATGTGGGACCAGAGAGTGGCAGAATAGAAGCACTGAAGCAGCCCCCCATCAGCTTGGCAGGTCGATAAGTGGGACACAGTTAGGGTGGGACTTTGGGTAGTGGTGGGCTCTCAGGACCATATCCAGGACCAGGACTTGGCCCTCTCTTCAATTTCAGCTCTGTTAGACCCTCGTCTCTTCAGGCTAGAAACTGATAAGCAAGCGTTTCTTATCACCAGCTTGATGCTGACCAAATGTCTTCAGAAGTGGGTGGCAAGTGGGAATCGCACCCTCCTTGTTGGTCTCTAGCAACTGTCACATAAACCACTGGCACTAGCCCAGAGTGACAGGATGCAGGCTTGTGGCACACAAGAAACAGTCTCTTCATGTGCTGCTGACAGTACATGTTGTTTCTTTCATCACTTCACAGGGACAAACTTTGGTAAGGAAAGATGTTGGAAGTCATTACTAAGCTGACCAAGTAGGTTTAGGCTAGAGCTGGGTTGGGAGTTGGGAGAAGAGTGTGGCTCCGTGTGATATCTTGCTAAATGCAGGCAATTGCATTCATACAAGCTCTTAGAACTCTTCCATAAAGACACATGCCCATCATCTTTGAATCTTTAGGATTTTAGGGATCATACACTGAAAATAATAAAGCTCTCAAAAGTGCGCTAAGAAGTACAGAAGCTAAGTAGGAATATAATTGGGGTCAATTTATTCCTATTTGTGGGAACTTGTTTTCCATTAGGATTATAAATTTAATCGAGTGAACATTCCTTTCCCACCAGACATATTTCCTCAAATGCCTGTCTATCTGTCCATCAGTCTATCCATCCATCCATCCATCCATCCATCCATCTGTCCATCCAACCATCTATCCACATATCCATCCATCCATCCATCTTATCTATCCATCCAACCGTCTATCCACCTATCCATCCATCCATCCATCCATCCATCCATCCATCCATCCATCCATCCATCTTATTAAAGCAGTAAGATGGCAATGCAAACAAAAACCCAAAATGATATTTTCAACAGGAATGACTTTGAAGGGAAGGAAGGTTTTGCTTGGGTTCATTTTGTCTAACAGTTACCAACCCATTATCTACACCATTTCTCAACTTGGTATTATGATTCATTCTATTTCATTTCTGTTATCATTGACTTTCTTATTCTTCTAATTCTCTTTATTCCTTGCTTGCAAGTCATTGAATTGTTTTTCTTCGGAAGCTGTCAAGCAGCCAGTATACACATTCGTCTTTGACTAAAAGAATATTTTTGTCTCTTCTCTGTGGTCAGGAGCACCTGGGCCTCCAGGCCTCCCTGGGAGTGTTGACCTTCTGAGAGGGGAGCCAGGTGACTGTGGTCTACCAGGGCCACCAGGTCCCCCTGGCCCACCAGGCCCTCCAGGATACAAAGGCTTTCCAGGATGTGATGGAAAAGATGGCCAGAAAGGTATGAATGTTGTTCCGTTAAGTAATATGTGAATAACTTGGTTATCTTACCCTTGAGGGTCTGGGGTACTGTGCCGCCATTTCTATTTCCTATGCAAACAAAGTGACTACCTTCCAAAATGTCCTTATTTCCCCAAAGAGTCCTGAAGTTTGGGTCAAAGTTGGACAAGTAAAAGGAAGAAACACAAGTTCATCTTTAGCCCCTAATAATACTCTTGATAATCTTCCAGGCCAGAATTGAACAGTAGAAATGTAATGCAAGCCACATGTGCAATTTAAAAATATAGTAGACACATTTTAGCAAGTAAAAACAAGTGAACTTTCATACTTTATGTGATTTAACATAATATATTTAAATATTTTTATTTTAACATATAGTTAATATACATTTATCAATGAGATAATTGAGCTGATTGTGCAAACCTAATTCCTTTTGCAAATAAGCCACTCCTTCTTCCTGCTTTTGAAATCCCTTGTGTGTTCCACACTGACAGCACAGCTCAGGTTGGACTGGCCACATTTCAAGTGCTAACTAGCCATGTATGGTTAGTAGCTTCTGTATTGGACAGCTTAGTTTTAGACTGCTGACTTTGCTTTTTTATATTCCTGCAAAGATCCCGAATCACTGAATTTCCCCAGTATTTGAGGTTAAAATATTTATTTTAATCAATTTTTATCCAACTGCTAATATTTGGGGAGATCAGTTTTTGGTCACCAGAATTTCAGAGAATTTTTAGGTTCAAAGAAGCTTTTTGTTGAAAAAAGATGACTAATGAGTATCCATTTTAACTTCCCTATTTCATAAATAAGGAAGCTGGATATCAGAAAAGCAACAGTTGAAATTTGCAAAAAGAGCCCAGTAACGAGCACCTTGCCTGAGTTCTGAACCAAGTGTGAAATAAGGCAAAAGATTAGGTCACAGATAAAAATCACTGTGAGGCCGCCATGACTATAGTGCAAATGGCATCTGTGGAATTGTGCAGTGCACAGCCTGTAGAACAGTATGGAGCAAGCCTGTTCATCTGTATTAGCAATGAAATCAATTTTAGAGAATGTGGCTCAAATCTATGGGTAAGTAGGCTTCCAATGATTGAACTTCAGAATTGGACTGACGTGCTAACACTCTAGTCACCAAGAGGAAGGAGGAAGGGGCTGGCTAACACTCCTCCTCCTTAGTTACTCTAGGGAATAAATCTCTACCTGGACATGAAGTTCAGGACTGAGGAAATAAAACACCATATGAATACCAGTGATCTACATAAGGATACACAGGGAGTTAGAAATATTGGTGGAACCGCTAATCATGCTTCTTGACTCCCAGTCCAGAGAATATAAAGGCCAAACAGTGCTTCACTATAAAGAGAGTGAGTTTCCTCAGTTACCTTTTATGACTTACACAGTGACAAATATCTCTTAGGCACCTGCAGGAATATAGCAGTGAACAAATTTAAGTAGAGTTTCTAATCTCATAAGGACAGAGTTTCCGCTTGACTCAGTGGTTCATGCCTATAATCCCAACACTTTGGGAGGCCAAGGCGTGAGGATCCCTGGAGGCCAGTATAGTTCAAGACCAGCCTGGGCAACACAGTGAGACCCCCATCTCTACAAAAAAATTAAAAAATTATCTGGGCATGGTGGTGTGTGCCTGTAGTCCCAGCTACTCGGGAGGCTGAGGTGAGAGGATCGCTGGAACCCAAGAGTTGGAGGCTGCAGTGAGCAATGATTGTGCCACTACACTCCAGCCTGGGTAATGGAGCAAATAATAATAATAATAATAATAATAATAATAATAATAATAAATTTCTTTTATAAAGAGCATAGTTTCATGGAAGACAGACATGCACATGAAAGGATATGTCAGTTTAAATCCAGTTAAGTGTCCTGAATGAAGAGCTTATCAAAAAGCAACTAAACTTCAGTTGGGATTCCAGGGAAGGCTTCCCTGAGAAAATGAAACTGGGTCTTATCTCTAAAAAATGAGGAAGACATCATGGATGTGGAAGAAGTAAAGGAACATCACGTATGAGGAACTGAACTGTTGTGCCTAAAACTAAGAGAGTGAGGAGGAGAGTGGTTGAACTCGCCTGGGGAGGCACGTTGTTCCCGGATATTGAAAGCTCTTTCCTGATTTTTCCTTCAGTTCCAGTCCTTTGTCTCCAGAGGAAGTTTAGGGTTATAGGACTTCTTTTCATTGTAATTTGGTCTTGTCTTGATCATGGAGCCATTTCCTTAGTTCTTTCGGCCGATCATGTGTTTCCTTCAGAGGCAACCCGTCTAAGCCTCACAGAAGAAGGCGAGGCTAATCTTGACTCTCAGGCTAGCTATGCCCTGCATTTTGTTGGAGTGAATCTCTGAATTCAGTCTATCAAACTGTCATTGTTTTTATCTTGTCTCATTCCAGTGCCCTCATTTTTATGTTTTGTTTTTTTTTAAGGACCAGTGGGATTCCCGGGACCGCAGGGACCACATGGATTTCCTGGGCCACCTGGAGAGAAGGGTTTACCTGGACCTCCAGGGAGAAAAGGGCCCACTGGTCTTCCGGGTGAGCTTCCAACCTACATACAGCATTTTGTTTAAACATTTACTAAAATGATCATCGTTCAGAAAGTAGTTAATATTCTGAATTACTAGCACATTCTTATTATTTAAGCCCTTTTCTTATATTAAGAGTATATTTCTTTCAGGCCGCACTACAAAGTCTCATGTTTGGTAAAGTAATAATTTATTGTCAAAATGAAAAAGTTTGAAAATTAGGAGTTGATTTTTTTTTACTTTATTTTTTAATTTTTTTCTATATATATATATTTTTTATTATACTTTAAGTTCTAGTGTACATGTGCACAACGTGCAGGTTTGTTACATATGTATACATGTGCCATGTTGGTGTGCTGCACCCATTAACTCGTCATTTACATTAGGTATATCTCCTAATGCTATCCCTCCCCCCTCCCCCCTCCTCCCACTCCACAACAGGCCCCAGTGTGTGATGTTCCCCTTCTTGTGTCCAAGTGTTCTCATTGTTCAGTTCCCACCTATGAGTGAGAACATGCGGTGTTTGGTTTTTTGTCCTTGTGATAGTTTGCTGAGAATGATGGTTTCCAGCTTCATCCATGTCCCTACAAAGGACATGAACTCAAAAAAAAAAAAGGAGTTCATTTTATATACACATTTTTTTTTCTATTTTTTTTTTTTTTGAGACAGTCTTGCTCTGTCATCCAGGCTGGAGTGCAGTGGTGTGATCTCAGCTCACTGCAGCCTCCGCCTCCTGGGTTCAAGTGATCCACCTGACTCAAACTCAAGTATCTAGGATTATAGGCGTGTGCCACTGCGCCTAGCTAATTTTTGTATTTTAATAGAGACAGAGTTTCACCATGTTGGCAAGGCTGGTCTCAAACTCCTGACCTCAGGTGATCAGCCCACCTCAGCCTCCCAAAGTGCTGGGATTACAGGCATGAGCCACTGTGCTTGGCCCACATAGACTGTTTCTAAGGGAAATAAATATGTGTTCCTTCATGCAAGAGGCAAAGACTGATTTGATTATTATTTGTTAGGATCGTATATTCAATTCCGATCCCTGAATTTTCATTGATTTTCCTAGATGTTTTATTTAATTTTTTTTCTGTAAATTCCATTCGTTCCTAGGAAGGGAGAAAGCTATTCAGTTTAACTCTATAGGCAACACTTTTTAACCATAGGGTCAAATTACGACAAGGAAGAGTTGGGGAGAGAAGGGGCAAACAGACATGTGTATTTGAGATGGGCAGAAGTAATATCTTTCAAGATCCTAAATCAATATTACGGTAATGTGGCGTCAGTTCAGAATATTTCGCAGTATCCTAAATTAGCACTCTAGTCCAAAGAATAAATAAATAGCACTGCTTTATGATGTATCATAGGACAGGAGGAACAAGGGCTTATATGTTGATTCTTTTTTTTTTTTTTTTTGAGACGGAGTCTCGCTTTGTCACCCAGGCTGGAGTGCAGTGGTGCGATCTCGGCTCACTGCAAGCTCCACCTCCCGGGTTCACGCCCGTTCTCCTGCCTCAGCCTCCGGAGTAGCTGGGACTACAGGCGCCCGCCACCTCACGCAGCTAATTTTTTTGTATTTTTAGTAGAGACGGGGTTTCACCGTGTTAGCCAGGATGGTCTCGATCTCCTGACCTCGTGATCCACCCGCCTTGGCCTCCCAAAGTGCTGGGATTACAGGTGTGAGCCACTGAGCCTGGCCTATATGTTGTTTCTTTTCATATTTCCTTTCTATGCATACCCTATACTTGGCAAATTAATATGAAATTTTCAGAAGCTTTTAAATGGATAGAATTCCTACATGCATTAAATTAGAGGATATTTGCCAGAAGAAATCAACTAGAATTTTATATTGCTCAAGAGAGTTTCAAGTCATTCTAGAGATGAAAACTCCGTTACTAAATCATAGCTGCTCCTGTCAGTCACATTGATGTGGACATTTTATGTAAATAAGGTGCTGCCATTCTGCTTGTCATTGATGCTGCCTCAAATTATTATGTATGTTCTTAATCTATTTCATTTTTGTCCTAATCCACAAATTTAAAATCTCTTTCCACCCTGTGAAAATCATGGACTGGCCTCGTTTGTTGTCTTTGGATCCCTCTAGGTCCCAGAGGTAAGCTTTGCTATAAAATTGGTAATTTCCCCTCACTCTGGTTTCTAGTCATTTCTGTACTTGTCCTTTTTCCTCTGTATGTGTGAGCTAAACTTTGTTACATTTTTATAGATGGGGTGCTGTAAGGATATTAAGCTGCAGTGTTTTGCTTCCTCGTTACAGATATAGTAACCTCATATTAGAGCATCCTAACATTCAGCCTCATTATAGGTTGTCAAGGCAGTGTAGAGCCTTTGCTTATATAGTTTCAATTTGGGCATGAAGTATGTGGGCTTTCTCTGTCAAAGGCTATATAGTACATAACCAATGTAAGTTCCTTTTTTAAATTCTACAATATAAATACCTAGAGCATCCCTAAAATAAATGGTATATACAACATTAAAAAATGGGGCCTCACCTCCCAGTAAGGGGCTGTGACAAGCCTTTCCTATCACACCCTCAAGTCCATTTTCAAGGAGCACATTTCTTTGTGTGTTAAAAGGAAAATGTTCACTTAATGCTCTGCAGTGCAAAAACAATGTGTTATTTTGTGCCTGGCATTTTCAAAGAAAATCAAAAGCATTTCTCAGAAGAGAAAAAGAAAAATTGTGAATGCCTGCATTTGTTCTTTCCAGGCCTCTGTTATTAGTCCTAATGAAAATTGCTGTGAATATAGACACCATGTATTATTTTTAAGGTCTTTAGAAGACAGGCCTCAGCTCCCCCTTTTTATTTTTCAGTTTCTGACTTATTAAAAAGTAAAGAAAAGCAAAATCAAAAATGTAAAAAGTCCTGGTATTTTCAATGTTTATATTTAAAAATTAAACTGTATTTGATGTTTTCATTTCAATCCTGTCTCTCTGTGATTGTATGTATAAAGTCATTTCAAGAGAGCATCAAAATTCTAAATAGGAAGCACCAAACACATGCTCCCACTTTCTGAACTCCGTTCCCACTGGGAAGGGCCAGACATTACTCATGGAAAATAGAAGATGCCTCTATGCATCTCTCTCAAGTCACCCATAGTAGAAAAGCCAAGTTTTACATTAAACTGTACTTATTATAAAAATACATTTGGCCCTGTGTGGCTTGTGGTTTTATACCATATTTTACACAGAGTTAAATTCCAAATAGCTCATAAGAATTCCAGGTCATTTTACACAGGCCCAGTAAGTATTAGGAGACTAAAACTTTGTTGTTATGCCACATTTTGTTAAGGATTTTCTTAGTGCTTTATGATTGATGTTCCTGAAATTATTTCACACTTTTGCATACATTTGAAGAACACCATAGCTAATCAGATGATATCTTTTATTTTTATTTAATTTTTTTGGAGACAGAGTCTTGCTCTGCTGCCCAGGCTGGCGATTCCACCACTGCACTCCCAGGTTCAAGCAGTTTTCCTACCTCAGCCTCCCAGGTAGCTGGGATTACAGGCATGTGCCACCACACCTGGCTAATTTCTTGTAATTTTAGTAGAGATGGGGCTTCGCCCTGTTGCCCAGGCTGGTCTTGAACTCCCAAACTCAGGCAGTCCACCCGCCTCGGCCTCCCAAAGTGCTGGGATTACAGGCGTGAAACACCATGCCCGGCCAGATGATACCTTTTAAAATATGTTTCATTTCTTAGAATTTGTTACCCAGATATTGAGAGTTCCTGATGCAGTCTGATGAGGTGGTTAAGAACATGGGTTTGGAGCCAGAATGCCCTGGATTGCAATCCAGACTCTGCTGTGTGTAAGCTGTGTCACCACAGAAGTGTCACTTATTTGCCTGAGCCTGAGTGGTTTTTTTTGTTTGTTTTTTGTTTTTTTTTTTTGAGACAGAGTCTTGCTCTGTCACCAGGCTGGAGTTTAATGGTGTGATCTTGGCTCACTGCAATCTCCGCCTCCCGGGTTCAAGCGATTCTCCTCCCTCAGCCTCCTGAGTAGCTGGGACTGTGCACCACCACACCCGGCTAATTTTTGTATTTTTAGTAGAGACAGGGTTTCACCATGTTGGCTAGGATGGTCTCAATCTCTTGACCTCGTGATCTGTCCATCTTGGCCTCCCAAAGTGCTGGAATTACAGGCATGAGCCACCGCGCCTGGCGAAGCCTGAGTGTTCTTGTTCATACCCTTCTCATAACAGTAGCACATACACAGTCTTCTCGGGAGGATTTAATAGTAAAAGCATTCAGCACAGGGCCTGATACATGATAAAGCATTCAGTGAGCCTTAGCTGTTGTCATTATTGTTCAGTGTTATTATTTCTTATCCCTCTGTGATGTTTGCAGGATGACTGAATGAAGCTTTAGAAAAGATGTCTTAATGATGTGAAAGTAAAAGAAAAAAATCTCACATCTTTAGTATAGTGGTTTTCTTTTTTCTTTTTTTTTTTTTTGAGATGGAATCTTGCTCTGTCACCCAGGCTGGAGTGCAGTGGCACGATCTCAGCTCATGCAACCTCTGTCTCCTGGGTTCCAGGGATTCTCCTGCCTCAGCCTCCTGAGTAGCTGGAACTACAGGCACTTGCCACTACACCCAGCTATTTTTTTTTTTTTTTAAGTAGAGATGGGGTTTCACCATGTTGGCCAGGCTGGTCTCAAACTCCTGATCTCAAGTGATCCACCCGCCTCGGCTTCCCAAAGTGCTGGGATTACAGGTGTGAGCCACCGTGCCCAGCCTGTGTTTTTCAAAGTGAGATTCCCAGATCAACGCCATCAGCCTCCCTGGGAACATGTTAGAGATGTACATGGCCCCCTCTTCAGACCTTCTGACTCAGGAACTCTGGTTTCTAACAAACTAGCGACACAATTCTGATGTGCTACAGTCAGAATTATAGCTTTCCAACTGTGCTTTCAGCCCTAATGGACACTGGAATCATCGTGGGAGTTAAACAAACAAACAAACCAAAAACTACTGACACCCGGGTCCCACCCCCAGAAATTCCTATTTAATTAGTCTAGATGGGGCCCCAGTATTCATGAGTACTTTTGAAAAGCTCACCAGCTGAGTTTATTATGCAGCCAATGATGAGGACACTGCTCAGGCCACATCCTATTATCAAGTAAATCAGTATTTCTGGGAGTGGGACCCAGGCATCAGTATATTTCCATGACTCCCCTGGATAAGTCCAATGTTCACTCAAGGTTGAAAGTCACTGCTTCTGAGCCTCTAGCAATCCTGAAATTCTATGTTAGTGACTGACACTATGGAAACCCACGTGGCTGCAGTGTAGAGTAAGGACTCAGGGACACATGAAGCTGAGCTTTAGGAACCCACCAGTCCCTCTTGCAATGCTACCTGTGGCTGCTACTCCAGTAAAAAATGGCCCAGAGATTGGGCAATCCTGTGAGGGTCATCACGTTGCTGCATCATCCGACCTTCACTGTTTCATACTTCTGCATCCTCTGATACTCCATTCACTCATTCGGTCAGCCCGACATTCTGGAATTTTTTCATGTACCCTCCAGGGCATAAGACAAATTTCTGCCTTCATGGAACTTACATTGGATTGTTGAATCTTTACAAACATTTATACTGAATTTTATACTGAATTTGTACTAAATTTCAGTATAGTGTCAGAAGTCCAACTTTAACCAGAGACTGTAGAAGGAGCTTGTTCATAAGCACGTGCATCCATTACACAAGCGGTGATTCCAATTTCAGGTGAACCGGGGCCACCTGCAGATGTGGATGACTGTCCCCGAATCCCAGGCCTTCCTGGGGCGCCAGGCATGAGAGGACCAGAAGGAGCCATGGGGCTCCCTGGAATGAGAGGCCCCTCAGGACCAGGTATGAGCCGCATGCTGATTGTTCATTATTTTCATGATATATTGCTGAAATGAAATTCTAGATCTTTTATTTTGTAGCTTTTTATATGGAGCCTAAACTACTGAGGAGAAAGCATGTCTTTCCCTTTGCAATTTGTTTCTACCTTGATCCAAAGTACATCAATCATGGGCTAACTGGATCCACACATCCCTTCTATTATTTTATTTTATTTTATTTTATTTTTGAGATGGAGTCTTGCTCTGTTGCCCAGGCTGGAGTGCAGTGGCACCATCTTGGCTCACTGCAAGCTCCGCCTCCCAGGTTCACGCCATTCTCCTGCCTCAGCCTCCCGAGTAGCTGGGACTACAGGCGCCCACCACCACGCTCAGCTAATTTTTTGTATTTTTAGTGGAGATGGGGTTTCACCGAGTTAGCCAGGATGGTCTCCATCTCCTGACCTCGTGATCCGCCTGCCTCAGCCTCCCAAAGTGCTGGGATTACAGGCATGAGCCACTGCACCTGGCCCATCCTTTCTATTTTTATGTGGAACTCCTACTTAAATCTTTCATTCTTGGCCAGCTTTTGGATGTAGAGTTTTCAAACCTCTTAGCACAACATGGTAGATGCTCCATGAACAGTCATTAATAGCTGCCTACTTGATTTTGAGTTAAAAACAATTGAATTGGGGCTTGGTGGAGCGGAAACAGAGCCTGCAAGAAGGAAGTAGGAGCTGTTAGAGGAGGGATGGGGAAAAATAGGGTCTTGCTGTACGTTTTGGCAGTTACTACATGGTTAATCACTGGAGCATTGTTCAGTAACTGCCGGGGTGGCAGGATCCTTATTCAAGTATTTAAGCGAAACCATTCTTTTAAAAAGTGTTCTCCATTTAAAAAGTGTTCTCCAGCCAGGCGCAGTGGCTCACGCCTGTAATCCCAGCACTGTGGGAGGCCGAGGTGGGTGGATCACCTGAGGTCAGGAGTTTGAGACCAACCTGGCCAACATGGTGAGACCTTGTCTCTTACTAAAAGTACAAAAATTAGCAGGGCTTGGTGGCGGGCACCTGTAATCCCAGCCACCTGGGAGGCTGAGACAGGAGAATCGCTTGAACGGTGGAGGCAGAGGTTGCAGTGAGCTGCACTCCAGTCTGGGCAACAAGAGCGAAACTCCATCTCAAAAAAAAAAAAAAAAGAAAAAAGTGTTCTCCGAATGGTTTGTTTTCTTTCCACATATCCCCACTGCATTGGGTAATTTACAAAGATATTAGGGAGCCCAGGGCTGGGCATCTAGAAGTCACTGTTCTCTTTAGATCCATTGATAGTAGCTATGAGTCTAGAAAACTCATGGGCAAATTCTTTGAAAAGGAGGAACCAGGATGTTCTCTCTCCTTTCACCCCCCCTCACTGCCCCACTATGATTTGGACTTTTTTTGGTTCAGGGACACAGGAATTGGAAGCAGAACTGAATTTTGTACCACTTGTTTTTCTTGTGGTTCCCCAAAACCAAGAAGTTAAGTGCCCAAGAGATGTTCCTCTCAACAGGAGTCAGACTCGTTCTTAGGTGGTGACCAAAACAGCCCTGGAGCCTTCCTCAAATTAATTTGGGTTTTCGTTGTGTGTGTTTATTGCATTGCATCTGTGTTTGTGCACCAGGTTAATTGGGTGTTGGTTGTAGCAACTTTTTTTAACGGCCCGTGAGAACTGGGAATTGGGCCAGTCTTTATTTAACTCATCTTTCTTGATACTCCTTGCATGCATAAAGTTCTGTCAGTCGGTATTACTAGTCATCAACCTCATTTTAAAACCAAGCTGCCTTGTGTATATATTTGCAATATCCAGAGCTGGGTCCCTCCAACTTAAAAAAATAACTTCCAACTTGAAGACGTGACCTATAACTGGGTTCTGCAAATTCAATTCAGTAAGTACTTCCAGACTCCCTCTACTCTTTGTAAAGTATGCTACTAGGTGGTATGGGTGAGTAAGATGAGTAAGATGTGTTTTCCCCCTCCAGGGTCTCATAATCCCATGAAAGAAATAGCCAGCAGAATATAAATAACTTAAAGTAATGGTAGATTATTACACAATTCATGTTAAAAAGGAGTTGCAAGTTGGGTGTTGTGGCTCACGCCTGTAATCCCAGCACTCTGGGAGGCCAAGGTGGGCAGATCACCTGAGGTCAGGAGTTTGAGACTAGCCTGGCCAACATGGTAAAACCCCGTCTCTACTTAAAATACAAAATTAGCTGAGCGTGGTGGCAGATGCCTGTAATCCCAGCTACTTAGGAGGCTGAGGCAGGAGAATCGCTTGAACCCAGGAGGCAGAGGTTGCAGTGAGCTGAGATCGCACCACTGCACTCTAGCCTGGGCAACAAGAGTGAAACTCCGTCTAAAACAAAACGAAACAAAACAAAGAGTTGCAAGTCAAGGGTATTGGGAGAATGGGATGGTGAGAGGTTAATTCCAGTGTGGAGAACTACAGGACTGCTAGGACCCCAGTAAGAGCTGGTATTTGACTAGAGCCTTAACGAAAGGTTGGGCTTTGAGGAGCCAGAATTGTTCAACAGGGAGATGGCGGGAGCACAGACTGGGCTGGTTGGCCTAATAACCAGGCATCTAGGAGTTAGCAACATCCTTGCTACTGTAACTGTGGTCCTGGTCCAGGAACTAGCAGCAACTTTGGTCCCGCCCCAGACCTACAGAATCAGAATCTGCATTTTAACAAGGTCCCCAAAATAGTTGCATACATATTCAAATTTGAGACGCCCTGTTATATGAATGCACTCCTTAAAGATTCAGCTAAGAGTAGAACGTTTCTTAGCAAGGCAGTCCTAGCTGCAGGTTAAAATCACCTGGAGGATCTTGAAAGAATATTGGTACCTCGGCCTAATCTCAGACCAATAGAATGTGGAAGGTGGCAGAGCCTGAATGTTAACATTTTTCAATGCCCCCCAGGTGACTGTAGCAGGCAGCCAAGGTTGAAATGCACTGCTCCACCTCAACATCAAAATTGAGGCCAGAGGGATGGTTGGGGTCACCCACTGTGGTGGCTTTAAAAAAATAACCAAAGAAAGTAACTAGGAAGAGAAAAATATGTGAATGGGTCAATTCTTTACACTTGAACATGATAGTTATCTTTGACATGAACAAGAACAAGATTCTCTCTCCATAGACTATGAGCTTCTGAAAGATGGTCTAGTGCTTATGTGGCCCAGGTGTGCTTGCCTGTAATCTCTAATTCCCCTGACTTAGGGTTTCATGGGCTCATCTGCTGCACGTGGCCACAGGAGGGCCTTCCCTGGGTTCCTGTGCCCTCTCTTTATTGGAGCCACTGACCCTGCCTGCTGGAAGTGGGGACACTCCAAGGCCACCTCTCTAACACCTACATGATTATGATGTTTTTTAAAAAGTGCCCCGTCGTTCTGGTGAAGCATCGCCTTCTCTTCCTATGTTCTCACCATGTGGCCCAGCTTCCCTGGGGCTCCTTTTTGTCCTGTGCACCCACTCCCAAGCCCTTGCTTTCTTCTGGGGCCCCTCTTCTCTGATAGGAGCCTCTGGGTTCCTGTTACAAAGGACCTCTCTTCTCCGCCATGTATTCCTCGGCCTTGTCTATGCCTGCTGGGCACACTGGCTGTATTGCTCATCCCGTCCAGTTACTAAAGAGTGACAGGTATATTCTAAGGGCCTAATGCCAAACCCTGGCTGACCTGGGCCATCTGTAGGCCATGTTGCTCATTCTCTAGCATTTCCTGAAGGTATTTTTTCAGCAGGGTGTGAGGGGCCATATACACCACTCCAGCCTGGGCAAGAAGAGCGAAACTCCATCTAAAACAAAACAAAACAAAACAAAAGAGTTGCAAGTCAAGGGTACTGGGAGAGGTTAATTCCAGTGTGGAGAACTGCAGGACAGCTAGGACCCCAGCAAGAGGTGGTATTTGAGCAGAGCCTTAAGGAAAGGTTGGGCTTATATACCACCACCACATATACCACCCTCAAGATTGGGTGCTGAAAAGAAATGGCTGCCACTAGAAAGAACAATGTTCACTTAAAATGATGTTGTTGGTATCTTCCTGTTTTCCCTTCAGAATCTTCTCTTTTCTGCTCCTCTACCTCCTCCTCCCCTCCAGCCTCAAGTAGACAAAAAAGATAACTACTGAGTACTGGGCTTAATTCCTGGGTGATGAAATAATCATCAGTACAACAAACCTCCATGACATGAGTTTACCTATGTAACAAACTTCACACGTACCCCTGAACCTAAAATAAAAGGTAAAAAAAAAATTAAAAAATCTTTTCTTTCATTGCTAAGCTGATTTTGTAACCATGTGCTACAGCTGAGACTTACCTAAAAATGAACAAACTTCTGGCTCTTTCCTGCCCAATATGGGTGGATGACAGCCACACGAAGTGGGTCGATTAGTCCACCACAGGAGGCCTAATGCTCTTCTACACACAGATCTCTTTGATCTACAACTTTTCCTTCCAGGGCGGCCCTCAAAGGCTGAAGCTTCCTACAGTGAACTCAAAAGTGTTTTCCATTTTGTTTTGAACTGTTCCTGCCTAATGGATGTACCCACACCCTGTTAGGGTTGTGTTTCTCTTCAAGGCAACACTTGCCCTCTCAGGAGGTCATCCATCTAACACTGGAGGGTTTGTTTTGATGTTTAGTTTTATTCCTTAAAACTAATTCCAAGTAGGGAACAAGTCCGTAAGGTGGAAAGCTCTGAACATAGAGCTCAGGTTAATAAGAAGAGCCTTCCTTCCTGTTTCTCAGGAAATGTCTTCCGCCTGACAATTTCTCTTTGCCTCACCCTAAAGGGAGTAAAGCCCACGTGATAACGTCTGGTGTGAGGACTCTTTTTCCCAGATCTATAGTGATCTCACCATGAGTCTATACATCAGGAGGAATCCCTGCTGCTGCCTGTTCAGTGGAAGGGAGAAACTCCTAACCCATAAGCACTAAGGCAGCCCTTTCTAGAATATATTGCATGTTGGAATCATCTTGTTGGGTGAGACAGAGAAAGGAATGCTCTGAGCTCACTGTTGGGGCCCCATGTTCCTTCCAAGATAACTGATACTCTCTTGGAAGGTGGTGGAGTTCCAGATTCCACCAGGAGTGCCACCCCGGGGAGAGGTTTCTGCCCAGTCACCAGGAAGGGCAGGGCTCCTCTCACCCAGATGGGGAGGCGGGGATGTTTCCTTTCTCACCTACTGAATGGTAACCACATACAGCATGCAGTCCAGGACACTCTGAAATAATTCGTTTCTAATCCTGGGAGCACAAAAGCATAACAGGAGCATATCGGACACTGGGATGTCTGCACTGAGTGTAGCTCAACCAGCACAGGGCATGGAGGGGAGAGACTGGCTGGTCGTAGGGATGTAAGAAGAAGGGGACACTCTCAGGCAGGCAATATGAGGACGTGACTTTACAATCAGTGGGGCGTGTGGAACCGAGGGCAGGCAAGTGAGACATCTACCTCATTACCTGAACACTTCAATCCCCTGCTTCAGCTTTGGAGCCAGATGATCTTTGCTGCGACCACTCAACCCTGTTGCTGCAGCATAGCTGTAGATAACACGTAAATGAATGCCTGTGTTCCACTGTAACTGGGGTTACTAAAATGGGCAGTAAATGGCCCACAGGCTGTAATTTGCCAACCACTGTTATAGAGACCGTAAGAAGCTTGAGGGCAGGATATTGTCTTATTCAGTGTGATATCCATACACAGGCCTGGGTCATGGAGGGTGTTTGGTAAACATTTGGTGAATGAACACGTGACTCCTGGATGTAGCCTACTGTGTGGAGCGGTTTCTCAACCTCAGTGCTGCTGACATTTGGGGCCCGATCGTTCTTTATCCTGGAGGGCTGTTTGGTGGATTCTAGGATGTTAAGCAGCATCTCTTGCCCCTATCCTGCTAGATGCCAGTAATGACCTCTTCCTCCATGTGAGGACCCAAAATGCCTCCAGACATTGCCAAGTGTCTGCTGGGGTGAGGGGTGGGGTGGGGCGGTGCAGAACCACCTAATGTTGAAGACCATTTATGTAGGGAAGGATGTGGTAGGAGATGGGAGATGTACCTTTAGCCTATGGGGGAGGCATTTGGTGAAGGGGAAGAAAAAAACTTTATTACAAAAGAAAAAAAAAGGTAACTTAAAACTAAACACACTTTTAAAAGACACAATTGCCTGTATATTTTTCCAGTTTTATTTCTGCACGATCATCCTAGGCATACTTGTTGGCAAACTGTTCTTAACATAACCTTACTTCTATGTCATTGCGTATTTTCCTACAATATTATCTGTAGTAGCTGAGGAATATTGCCTTATCTGATTGTGCCATAATTTATTTAACCACTACCTTCACCAATTATTGATTGGTTTGCTGCCAGCTGCTCTGCTAGAAAGAAGTTAATCCAACAAGGCCCTGCTTTTTGGAGCCACAGGCTAGCAGAAAATGAAGACATTGAGCAAGTCAGTTTGGACATGTTGAGTGTTAATAAGGGGTAATGTGGGAATTTCTAACAGGGGAGCTGAACCTGGGGGTAGGGAGGGGGCGTCACAAGGAACATTTAAGGCTTTGGTTCTCGAGCTTCATGAACCATCAGAATCCCTGAGGAGCTTGTTAAAACACAGCTCGCTGAGGTCCCCCCCAGACCTGATTTGTTAGGTAAGGAGAGGGCTCTGAGAGTCTTTATTTCTAACATATTCCCAGGTGCTGCCGCTGCTGCTGCTGGTCCAGTAACTACTCTGATTTAAGGAGTTTCCACTTTCTCACTACGATAAGCAACTGGTAATGATATCTTACTTATACGCATCCCTGATTATCATGAAGAAATAGTGTAATGGATAAGAACAGAGGTTCTGGAAATAAGGGCTGGGTGTGGTGGCTCACACCTGTAATCCCAGCACTATGGGAGGCTGAGGTAGGCAGATAACCTGAGGTCAGCAGTTTGAGACCAGCCTGGCCAACATGGTGAAACCCTGTCTCTACTAAAAATACAAAAAAATTAGCTGGGCTTGGTGGCGTGCACCTGTAGTCCCAGCTACTCAGGAGGCTGAGGCAGGAGAATCACTTGAACCTGAGAGGCGGAGGTTGCAGTGAGCTGAGGTCATGCCATTGCACTCCAGCATGGCCAACAGAGAAAGACTCCATCTCAGAAAAAAAAAAAAAAAAAAAAAAGCCAGGCATGGTGGCCCGTGCCTGTAGTCCCAGCTACTCGGGAGGCAGTACCTTTAGCCCTTGCAGGAGGCAGGAGAATCTCTTGAACTGGGAGGTGGAGGCTGCAGTGAGCCGAGATTGTGCCACTCCACTCCAGCCAGGGTGATACAGCGAGACTCCATCTGGAAAAACAAACAAAACACAAAAGAAATAAAAGAGCAGAGATTCTGGAAGTAGATGACATATGTTCATAACTCTGGCTCTACCACATAAGCCATGACTCAGTTTCCTGATCTGTAAGAAGGGCTGATTGTGAGGATTATGTGGATTCACTAACATAAAAAGCACTTAGAACACAGCCTGACACAGAATAAACAGTACTTGTGTTTGCTATTATTGTTGTTTCTTTAAACTAAATTCCCTGAGTAGAATTTCTGGTTTTAAGAATAGGCAGAAATATAGGATTTTCAAAATATGCCGCCAAGGTCATCACCGGAAAGAGTTTTAAAGTTAAATCATCTAGAGCACTGGTTCTCAACGTGTGGTTCCTGGGACTGGCAGCATCAGCATCACCTGGGGACTTCTAGAAATGCAGATTCTCATGCCCCACCCCGCCCTACCAAGGCAGATGCTGATTTCTACCAAAGTGTGAGCCAGTGTTCCAGAATGTCATTGGGGTTCTGTTCTCAGGAGCAGTAGGACCGTGTCATTGCACTGTTTAGCCCTGTGTTTCCTATTGATGTTGCTCAGGTGGGTTGGAGGAGGAAGATTGAGTCCAGGGTTGCTCTAGGCAAGTTAGCTACTCTACTACTTGTGGACGCACAGTCGGGGCCTCACCTGGGGCCGCAGAGGGGCAGGGAGGGGCCTGCGTGGGAAATCTTCGATTCTTGCTAGCTTGCAACATCAAGTCAAACCTCCTTAAACCTCCATGCATCCTTTTCATGACAGGGTTGCTGCTTTAAGGGTAGAGGGTTTCGGTCAGCGTCTGTGTTAACACACTCATTTAATGGTTATCAGGCAAGGCTGGTCCCTCAGTAGGGTGGGGGAGGGAGGCTCCATGAATTCCTGGGTTGACTGGCATCCTCAGCTTTATCATCATCCCCCAGTCACTGGAGGGTGAAGGCAAGAAGCAACAGTGAAAGCCACTTAAGCAAGCCCCTTTGATTTAATGTTTGATTTTAGGCTACGTGTTGGTCTGCTCGGGCCGCCACAACAAAGTATCACTGACACAGTGGCTTAAACAACAGACAATTTTTCACAGTTCGGGATGCAGAAGTCCAAGATCAAGGAGCCACAACAGGGCTGGTTTCTCCCAAGGCCTCCCTCCGTGGCTTGCGGATGCCACCATCTTCCTGTGTCCTCACGTGGCCTCTCCTCTGTGCCATTCCAGGGACATGCATCCCTGGGGTCCGTTTCTGTGTCCAAATTTTCTCCTTGCATAAGGAGGCCAGTCAGCCTGGATTAGGGCCCAGCCTAAGAGGCTCATTTTAACAGAATCACCTCCTTAAAGGTCTTATCTCCAAATACAGTCACATTCTGAGATACGGGGACTAGGACTTCAACATATGAAATTTGGGGGTACACAAATCAGCCCATACCAGGCTACTCTGTGGCAGAGAGAGAGAGACAGAGAGAGAAAGAGAGAAAGAGAATAGAAAACAAGTAGAGACTGGAAACCTGGAGAAGGCTAGTAATTCAGGAAATTAGGTATAATAGCAATAAACTCCCTCAAAGACAATGATTGTGTCTGCTCCCCTGACCGAAGGGAGATGGTGGCTAATTATTTGAGGCCTTGACAAAAAAGTAACTGCATACTTAAAGAACCCCTTAAGGATTAACGCAATTGCTGCCAAGTCCCCCAGGTTATATCCAGAGCTCTGCAGCTTGTCAGGCGCAGGGTCTGGTGGTTGATGGCCTCTGCACTTGGCTCCCTTGGGCCTAAGTTTCCTCTCCACATGTGACTGCTCTGTGACTTTTATGAGCCCCAGTCTCTTCACTGGTATAACTGGCATGTATGAGTACCTAGTCATATGGCTGCTGAGAAGACTGAATTGGACAATCCACGTAAAGGGATTAGCATGGTACCTAGCACATTGTAAACACTCAGTAAAAAGCTATTTTAAAAAATTGCTGCACCTATCATGCTCCAGATTTAACGTGACCCCAAATGAAACCGATTAAGTTTCATTCATTTCTCCATCTAGGCTTTGAAACAATCATTATTAAGGAAAATATTTATTATAAATGCCATACATGTTCAGTAGTTTTTTTTTTTTTTTTTGAAGTCAAATATATGAAGACTATGAAGAAAATGTGAAAACCTGTCTCTCAACACCTCCCTGGTCTGGCTTCAAATCCTGGCCTAGCCCTTTATGGGATCACTGACTTTAATTAAGCAAATTATTTGACCTCTCGGGGCCCCAGTTACGCCAACTGCAAGTGGAGATAGTAAAATCCCAACTTCATGTCATTGCAAAGACTAAATGAGCTGATGCATTCAGTCAAAGTGGGAAGGAAGCCTGGGGCTGGCACACGGCTGGCATACGGTATAAGCACGGTAAATGCTAGCAGGTGTCATGGTTGCTTTCACCACCAGCATCATAAACTTTTGTGCAGGGTGCAAAGGAGAGCCTGGGCTGGATGGCAGGAGGGGTGTGGATGGCGTCCCTGGGTCTCCTGGGCCTCCCGGACGTAAAGGTGACACAGGAGAAGACGGCTACCCTGGAGGACCAGGTAGAGTTTCAGTCACTCCTCTTTTCTCTGACACTGTAAACCTTAGAGTTGTATACAAAATCTCTGATCTCTCAAGTGGCTTTCCAAACTGGATCCTATTCAGATCATTTGCCTTAGATGCTGACTCACCAGGTATCAGAGACAGAAACAATGAGAACAGAGTGGGATGCATCTCTTATGTTCTAACTGATGTTAAACCATCATAAAACCTAGACAAGGCCCTGCATCCTATTCAGTATTTTCCCAAACTGCTATACATCATCATCAAAGTCTTGGCCATTTCTGCAGTTCACTTTTCAAGGTCATGAAGGGACGGTCAGCCTGGTGGCTGTGGGATCACCCTTAAGAGGCTGTGATGAAGACCTCAGGGACGGTGTGTGTGTTCTCACCCTCTCCAAGTGGCCAAATCGCCTGGTTTCCTGAGTTCACTTCATCTTATCATATAGCCATTAGTACACTGATGTAGAAAACAGGGCTCTTTCTTAAAAGAAAAAAAATGGGAAGTGGTGTTGGGAAAGGGGACATAGGACTCTTCAGAATAGAAGTGTGAAACAATGCACCATGTAGCTCGTTAGGCGCATGGATCCAAAGAGCCTGAGACACAATCCCATCTCCAGAGAGTCCCTGGCCAGGGATGCAAACTCCTGTACCAGGTTAGTAGTGAGTAGAAACGAATGAGGAGGGCTGGGTGAGGTCTGTAGCAAAATGGAGCTTTGGCTAAAAGCTGCAGCGCAGCTCCAGCCAATTATAGTCTACAGAAATGTGGGCCTACACTCTACACTCTCTTCGTTCAAAATATCAACTTGTAAAATCCTTACAGGTCAAAACACACGAGCAGGCCTGATTCAGTCCACAGGCTACCACTTTGTCGTCTCTGGTTGACAGTGTAGATGGGGAGAGCCTGCCAGTCTTGCAGAACCAAGGGTAGAACACAAAAAATACCTTTTGGTTTCAATGTCTAACTTCACCTTTTGCTCTTGGCAATTAGAAACAGCTCCTGGCCTTCTGCAATAGTTCAGCCCCTTAGAGGTGCCGAAGGATACAGACCCTGCTCACGTTCTCTAGAACTGTTGATTTCCCATCTGCCAACAAGAATGCTAGAACAAGGCCTTCCTTCCATTTCCCTCTCTTCTCGAAGAGGAGAGCCAAACTTGTAGATGTGGATCCCAAGCCTTTGGCTTTCTCAGAATGGAACTGATAATATGCTGGAACCAGGGAAGAGGTCTGGGAGGTGTAAGAAAGACCGACTTTGGGGAGCACTTGCTCAGCAGTTCAGTCTGGGGAGTCCACACTTGGGGTGTGTCATTACACTGTCCTTGTTCTTTTCTTCCCAGCGTATTTCATAACTTAACTTTTTGTTATGCTTATTGTTTCTTATTTCTCTCTCTTCCTCAAGTGTAATGCAAGCTCTATGAGGGCAGGGATTTTCCTCTGTTTTTTGTCTTTATGCTAATGTAGCCCAGGCATCTAGGAGTTGCTTGGAACAAATACTTGATGAATGAGTTGTTCTATGTACTGCAGCTGTGTAGCTGTGTACGTTCCAGAAGGCGAGGAGGGGCTGAGTCATGCTCCCCTCTGCTCCCTGAGTGCTTAGCACAGTGCCAGAACAGAGGTGCTTAACATATTTGTTAAACCAAACCCCCTAACCTGCCTTCAATTTTTTTCCTTTGTTCCTCCAGGGCCTCCTGGTCCCATTGGGGATCCTGGGCCCAAAGGGTTTGGCCCTGGATACCTCGGTGGCTTCCTCCTGGTTCTCCACAGTCAGACGGACCAGGAGCCCACCTGCCCCCTGGGCATGCCCAGGCTCTGGACTGGGTATAGTCTGTTATACCTGGAAGGGCAAGAGAAAGCTCACAATCAAGACCTTGGTATGGATACAGGATCGCCCATCTCCATTGCCTGAAGAGTAAAATTTGGGGTTAATTTTACTGATTCATCAGCACCTTAAATGATCACTAACCTTATATGGGATTATTCTTACTTTTAAAACAAAAACACTAGCATGGTCATTCTCAGCTAATCCTTTAAACTTATGATCCTATGAAGTGTCAAAGAAGCTCATTCTGGCTATAATTATTATCTGGCTATAATAAGTATATTATTATTATCTGGCTAATAATAAGTATATTATTAGTTTTATAAAAATGATTCTTCCTCAGTAAGTTAAATGTAACTCTGTTATGAAATGTACTTTTTGCTTCCAAATGTAAATTAACCAGAATGTGGTCAGTTCCTGTACTTACATGTAAAATGGTGCAGCCACAGCACGCTGATGGTTGTGTTACGGCACTTGCCAGCATCAACTCCCTACCCTACTCCAATTTAAATTACAGAACTTTATTTTGAGGGTCATCTTTTGGTGCTCCTTGTCACTTCTCCGCTCTCCGCTCTTCCCCTCCCCTACCTTCCCCTCCCCTCCCCTCTTCTCTTCTCTCTTCTCTTCTCTTTTCTCTTCTCTTCTCTTTTCCTCTTTTTTTTTTTTTGAGATGGAGTCTTGCTCTGTTGCCCAGGCTGGAGTGCAGTGGCACAACCTTGGCTCACTGCAACCTCCACCTCCAGGGTTCGAGCGATTCTCCTGCCTCAGCCTCCTGAGTAGCTGAGACTACAGACTTGTGCCACCATGCCTGGATAATTTTTGTATTTTTAGTAGAGCTGGGGTCTTGCGGCCAGGTAGGTCTCGAATATCTGACCTCAGGTGATCTTCCCGCCTTGGCCTCCCATAGTGCTGGGATTACAGGTGTGAGCCACCGTGCCCAGCCCTTGCCAATTTTCAATAGTAGATTTGCAAGCTGCGGGACTGATTTCAAGTCAAAGGCTTAAGTACCTGGCTGCCGGGAAACACTGTCTTTCCAAGAAAATCATGGTTAGAATGGAAGGTGCAGGAAGGATATGCTGACGGGGACAGTTGACGGTGAGGTGCTTGCCATTGCTCTCACTAGGCAGTGACCCCAGCTGTTAAAAAGGGTAGTCAAAGAGTGCAAGCCTGGGCTGGCAACTACTTGTACATCCCCTGCATTTCTCCCTTGGGTTTGGCCATGGCCTTTCCCATCACAAGGGGCTAGTTTCTTTGAGCACAGGAGAAAGGAGGAAGTGATGTTTAATATCCTGAATCTGTTTCCTTCTCTCCTTCTCTCCCTCTGCCATCAATTTCTTTCCTGCCTGGTCTTTGTACCATCATCCGTCTTGCTTCTCCCACCTTGGTCTAACCAGAGCACACATCTTAAAACTCTGCAGAACTCTTGGGATAAAGTCCAAACTCCTTAACGAGATTGACAAAGGCCACATCCAATGGTCTGATTTATCACTGGACACTCCTGAGACAGACAGTGCAGACACCCTCTCCTCATAGTCCCTGCACTGAACATGTCTGAGTTCTCTGAGCTCCACGATCCCTTATCTCCAACCCCCTCTGACGGTATATCTCTTTTGAGTAGTCACTACCACCATCTCCAAGCCTGGCTAAATCCTCTTCATATTTCAAGTCCTAACTTAAAATCACATATTCCAGTTATCCTTCCTTGAGGTCCCGGATCCCCACACTTCTCATTCTTAGGGCTTGTTGTGCTGTATTTTCATTGCTTGTTTGCTCATCCAGTTCCCTGCTAGGCCATGAGCTTCCTGAACACAGAGATGTGCTTGGTGCCCACCTCCAGCACCTGGCCCCCTGCTTGGCTCGAGTGAGGGATGAGGGGATGAGGGCTGGCCCACAGGACCAGGGAGGTGTCAGAAATGGCTTCCTCACCACAGAAGCAGGCTTTGGCGAGGGCCTCCAGATTTCAGAACACGTATCTGCAAAGGCCAGATGGAGGAAGGAAGGGTCTGGGAACACCTACATGGGGTGCTTGGACACCAGCTGTCTCTTCTTCCCTTCCCAAGGTCTGGCAGGGTCTTGCCTTCCCGTATTTAGCACGCTGCCCTTTGCCTACTGCAACATCCACCAGGTGTGCCACTATGCCCAGAGAAACGACAGATCCTACTGGCTGGCCAGCGCTGCGCCCCTCCCCATGATGCCACTCTCTGAAGAGGCGATCCGCCCCTATGTCAGCCGCTGTGCGGTATGCGAGGCCCCGGCCCAGGCGGTGGCGGTGCACAGCCAGGACCAGTCCATCCCCCCATGTCCGCAGACCTGGAGGAGCCTCTGGATCGGGTATTCATTCCTGATGGTGAGTCCCGTGCCCTTGAAAACCCTGGCTCATTCACCATTTCCTAACACCTTCTCCCGCCATTTCTCTCTGGATTGGACAGTAATTCTGAGCACTCTGCGCTTAGGACATAAGGTTACGGGGACTGTTGCAAACCATAGCCTGTTGGGATGCAGGGCCATTATCTTTTAAAAACACTTGTGATTGATTTTGATCACATTGGTAGAATTTAGAAGATGAGTTTGCTTCAGCCATCGGTGAAACTGGAGCCAATTTGTGTGCATACTTACCATGCTGAGTACGACTCCTTTTCAGCGCTTGTATTTTGTTCTTTATGGAATAATCTAAGGAAAAATGTTAAGATCAGACCCAAACCTGGGTGTGTCCCTGATTGGGTCTGGGGTTGTCTGTGTGTGTCTGAGCCCTAATTCTCTCTTGTTTTCTGGGTAGCACACAGGAGCTGGGGACCAAGGAGGAGGGCAGGCCCTTATGTCACCTGGCAGCTGCCTGGAAGATTTCAGAGCAGCACCATTCCTTGAATGCCAGGGCCGGCAGGGAACTTGCCACTTTTTCGCAAATAAGTATAGCTTCTGGCTCACAACGGTGAAAGCAGACTTGCAGTTTTCCTCTGCTCCAGCACCAGACACCTTAAAAGAAAGCCAGGCCCAACGCCAGAAAATCAGCCGGTGCCAGGTCTGCGTGAAGTATAGCTAGAGAATGCGAAATTCACCAACACGTGGCCAAGAGAAACTTCCTAGGGGGCTAAGACTTCCTAGACTGTGCTAAGAGATGTCATGGTGCTCATTTTGGACTCCCTTTCAGTGGTTCCTTCTGTTTTGTCGTGGTTATTCCCAGAGTCCTCTGGTTCCTTACACATTAAGCAAATGCTGCACAGATGGATTTGTTTGGACCTCCCAATCTAGGGAGCCTAGATACTCTTATTTTACTGAGGATGATCGAAGAACTGGCTTTACTTAAAAATATGCTAATTCTCAGAAAGGCAAGTAGATGATAAAGGCCAGATTACAAATTACATTACTGAAAACTTCATTCTTGGGTTAACAGTATCTCAAACAATTGAAGTCAATTACTCTATAATACAGTGGGCTTCTGGATGGATTTTATAGGAAAAAATAAACAGGTCAATGAATGAAACTAGAAAGCAGAGATTTTCAACATTTCAAAATGATTTCCTCTGTAATCTATTTTTCCATATACTTTAAATAATGGTAAAACCATGACGCAAAGAGAGATTTTTTTTTAAAGAAGAAAAAAAAAAATTCACACTGCCAGCGTTAACAGTTCCTTTCAAAGGAGAATGAATCATGATGGCAGGAAGGCCCACAGTCGCCGTATTCCAGAGATGCGACATTAGCATAAACACATCACAGATGAATATAAAACATTATGTTCTCTTCTGCATTTTTCAGAGAATAGAAATGCCTACTTTGGCAACCCTTTTGAAAAGTAGCAATTATGGAAAAAAAATATTCAATAAGAGATTAGGAGCCTAAAAGCTATTAGTGAATATTAAGGTAGTTATTCACAAAAATTGACTCCCCATTGCAGTGAACTTCCAGACAGACTGCTTTTCCCCAGTCGGGGTCCGGCGTGTCACAGGTGCGTGCGTGCTAATGGGACTGACGCTACATGGGGCTCACTCAGGCAGGCACGCGCTTCATACAAAGCATCTCACTCCCCTCCCCAGGAGAGCCTGCACAGCTTCTTGCACTCACAACGGACACTTTGCTCCACACACATAATGGCAGCTCACACAGGGACGTGACAGAGCTATCATTATGCACTTGGGAGAAAATTAAGGGCCGATTTAATTAAACTTAGGTAAGAAGATTCATTTAAGTCAGGGTTACCCCATCAGGAGGACATGGCACTATCTTTAAACGAAACAAAGACAATTTATAATTTGAATTTTATGCTCCCGTGGTTGGCTGTTACAGGAGCATCCCATTTTGCCAATTTTAAAGACATTCTTATATTTCATATCAGTCTTGTACCAAGGCAACAGTTTGACATTTGGCATTAGTATTTTCTAAAAAAGTTTAGAATGTGTGTCAATTTATAATGATTATTTTTTTCTGTAAAGCAAAAGATCCCTTTTTCTGTTTTGCTAGGAATTTGGTGATCTAATCCTAAATTTAAAAGATTTGTTGGAAAAAATTTTTAGGAAACTCACCTTCCTCATCTAAAAGAAAAAGGCATTTTAGAGAAAACTAAAGAAATTTCTCATGAGCGTGACACTCATTTTAGTGCTTTGTTTCCGTGCACTTAAAAATAATTGAGAAGAAAAACTCAATTAAAATTTTGTTTATAAGAAATGTTTTCCTTGCCAAACCTTGATTTGTAATGAGCTCTTATATGCAGAACACATTTCAAATGAGTTTTGCTATGGGCTGCCCCCAGGGTGGCAATTTATTTTAAGAGTATTTTCTGGTAAAAAGAAAAATGTGTATTTTAAGATGAAATATTTTCTTGATGTAGCAGAATATTTCCTAGTTCATTTGACCCATTTGATATTTTTTAAACCATGCTCTGGCATGTTGAATATTTTTGTGCACCTAAAACTTAAGCCAATTTCAATCTTATTTGTGATTACCTTTCTCCTTCCCAAAAAGCTTTATCTATTACCAAAAGTCAACCCTCCTAAAAGTTCAACCTGTTCATCTTGAACTTGGCCTGAGAACATTTTCTGGGAAGAGGTAAGGGTGACAAATGGAACATCAGAAACGTATCTTGCTTGCTAATTATTTTAAACACTTTAATGTTGGTATTAGAATATTATCTTCATAAGTTAATAAATAAGTAAAAAAAAAAAACCCACACAAAGACAGGCTAAATTATGTAGACAGTTTACTCCACAGTGAGCTTGGGAAGGTATCAGACTGTTCAAAATGTTAGTATTACAAGAGCTGTCTCTAAATGCAGCATTAACACTGCCCTCTAATTTTACAAAAGTATTTTAAAGGATCAAAAGGGCGGAAAAATAACTTCTTGGAATAGAAGATCCTGTTACCTTAAACCATTATTTTCTTCACCTGGTTATATATCAATGTGCCTTCAATTACCCTTTCTCTGTGGAGGTGATGAACAAAGCTTTTAAGTTGTTCTCCTAACCCATTATTGGAGATGATCCTTATCAAACCCTTCTCTCCCTGCCTCCCCACCAACCTTGTAGACTGGAACGTGCCTAGATTGCCCTAATGGGAACTGTTCTGTTCTGTGCCCGTGCTGGAAATCTGGGATGCTTCCTTCTGGGTTCTGATTCTCAGTGAGTGGAGCCCATTCATCCAGGCAGGTTTCCATGCTATGAGTGGCCCTTTCGTTCTGCTCTCACACTCCCCACATTGAAAGCTGAGTCATCGCTGCTTTGGATGGCTACCTCCTCTTTAGCCCCGTGCCCGTCTCACACAGCCTTTGTTTTCCACCTCCACCCTTGCAGTAGGCATCTCCCAGTTGGTGCCTTAGTTTCAAATCCCAGTTGCCATCTAAGATCCACCCAAACTTGATTTTGTCACCCTCTGGATTAGAATCCTTCTGTGACTCCGCTGCCCATGAAGTCCAAATGACTTCCTATGGGGTGAAAGGTCCAGTGGGGACTGTTCGAGGGTTCCCTCTAGGAGTATTTCCTGTCATGATGAACTGTGTGCAGCTCTGCAGACACTCCCAGCACCTCTTCGACTTTGCTCCTGCTTCACCAGTGATGTCCTCCCTGGGGTCAGTTTACCCTGCGTGGGAGGTGAATTCCCTGGGGGAAACTTAGGCTCCCTTCTGCTGCTCTTGTGCAGTGCACGGGGCTGTCCTCATTTTCTCCGTTCCCCATTGCTTCTTTAATGTCTCAGTGCACTTCCTTCATTCCATTGCCAAAATGCAAGCCCCTTGAGGGCAGGGACCATGCTTGACTCGTTTTTGTATGCCTAATGCCTAGCACAGAGTTGAACACATTACTGCCAATTCATTTTTTTCAATGACAATTCCATAAACATCATTAGGCATTAGGTGTTCAGCTCTGCATATAAGGTCTTCATCAGCAAGACGGTTACAAGTATAAACCATTTCCTATTTCAGAATATTTTAATATTCAACATATTTGTATACCCACATTCTCTTGTTACAATTATTGCCAGAAAGCCAATTGATAAGCTTTCAAAATGGGCTTATCACACCCCTCCAAAAATAGATTTTTGTTTTTTCTATAAACAGAAATTTCAGAAATGAGATTTGAGAGATCCGACTGAGAAGACCCTTCAGTAAAATGTGACATGACTTACCTTATGCTGTAATCTGTATTCCCTCAGGATTTAAGAGCTTCCTAGCATAAAATCTTTGCTAAACGTTTGTGTACATGTTATTGGTGCTCCGAAAAATAGTCAATGGAATGGTGCACTACAATTGGGCTTTATCATCTTATTTTGAACCTCGTGTAGATTACAGTAAAGCAAACCATTCAGTGTGTTCCAGGAAATTATATTAGATCTGTGTTTCTATCAGCTCACTGGAATAATCTGATAATTGTTACTTTTACTTGGTATGGCTGCAAGAATAGTGGAAAGAAGAGGACTTGAGAGTTGGTCGAACCCAGGTTTGAAATCTGGCTTAGTCATTTTTCAGCTGTTATCCTGGGTGAGTTTTGCCAACTTTCTTAGCTTCATTTCCCTCATTAATACGGTGGGACATAACAGCTACTCTTGCATTGAAAATTAAGTTAGATTACCTGTCTAGCATACCCATCATCATACACTTACTATGGTCACATTTTGTATTTAAAATAAACTAATACGAAAAATATTTCTTTTTTTTTACACAGAATTATGATTCTCACAGGGTATATAAATTACTGATTAGAATTATTTATATGTGGCCAATTCTTAATGTCATTGGGAATGCTGTTTCATTTCAATCCTCAAAGTTACTGTAGCACAGAAAATATCACAATTTCCTGCAGGGACATTATCAGTAAGTTCTGCAGGGAACAAACAATTGACATTAAAAATCAGTACTCTGCAATTGTCACTGTTATCATCTGCTAGAAACTCTGCATAATGCATTTTAAACCACCAAGGCTGGCTGCCACATCCATGTGAAATGCTTGAATTTTATGGTGCTTAAATATTTAATGATTCATGGGAAAAATGTGAAATGTGTCTAATAAATTGCATCCCTTTCTCTAACCTCTGGTTGTAAAGTTAAAGACTTTCAGCATGTAACTTTTGCAAGATGCCTGGTCTGCCATTGGCACTTAAATATTTGTTGTATTACGATTTATAATATGGTTCATTATATATAAAATTCTGTGATGACTTCCAAAAACAACTGTGTTTTATCTGGTGCATTTATTTTCTTTCAAGCCAATGCGGGTTTACTTTTTTCTTCTAGCTTACATTGTAATGTGGCTCACACTTGTGGAAGTGTGAACTGCAGAAGGGAAGAGTGTAGGCTGGAAAGGATGAGATTCAGAGGCTCTTGGAAACACTGTTCTATGCACAGTGATGGCGCGCAGAAGAGAAATGAAAGCAGGCCTCAGGGGGAAGGTCTGTATCAACCCCACGGGAGCTGCTTGGGCAGTGGTCAGTGGGCATGGGGCTTACACCCTCTTGGCCTCAGCTGTCTCATTAGTTGAGTGAGAATAAGACCATTTGCTTCACAGCATTGTTGGGAGGATTCAAGGTGTGAAAGTTAACTACAAAGAGATTTATGAAACCAAAGATATTGTTACTTTTAACCACTGTGACTTGAAGTCAGGAGTTAGTTAGGTATTGATTACATTTCTCTTTATAGCCAAACAACATGGGGGTAGGTGGAGTGCAGATATTCAATAACTGCTTTGTGGCCTTTTTTTTTTTTTTTTTTTTTTTGAGACAGGGTCTTGCCTGTTGCCCAGGCTGGAGTTCAGTGGTACAATCATGGCTCACTGGAGCCTTGAACTCGCAGGCTCGAATGATCCTCCTGCCTCACCCTCCCCAGTAGGTGGGCTACAAGCATGTGCTACTGTGCCTGGTTAATTTTTAATTTTTATAGAAGCAGGGTCCTGCTCTGCTGCCCAGGCTCGTCTTAAACTCTTGGCTTCAAATCATCCTCCTGCCTCAGCCTTCCAAAGCATTGGGATTACAGGCATGAGCCACTGCACCCAGCCTTGGACTTACTTTTAAGTAGGAAGGAACTTCATTGGTATTTGGGCCAACCTTTTACCTGATAGAGAAATAAGGGTACTCAACTAACAAACATTCCCTGACCGTCTACTATGTCACAGCAGCAGTATTGGCTCTGCTATATATGCTTCCTCTCAACCCTACAGCTGTCCTATTTTGCAGACAAGGAAACTGAGCTTTAGAGAGAATAACTACTTTAAGGTCATACAGTCACCATCTAGTAGAATCCAAACCCTCGTCTGTCTGTTCTAAAGATAATACTTTTATCCTTTACTCCATTACCTCCCAGCGGCTTTCCCCATTCGTGAATTGGTTAGAAAATAGAGGGTCTCACATAGAGGTGTCCTGGATTGCTCCTGTCACTGCAAAGCCCCTTGTTTTACGGGTTCTAAGGTAGCCCATCCAGCTCAGCTTGGAGACTGTCTCAAGCTGTTCTGGAGGGAGGGGGTGAGGAACCCATGAGGACAGAGCTATTTTGGGGGAATCCCACAGGCCTTTATCTCAGGGTCAACTGAAAACCAGCCATGTCCAAGGTGGGCGGATCATGAGGTCAGGAGATCAAGACCATCCTGGCTAACATGTGAAACCCCATCTCTACTAAAAATACAAAAAATTAGCTGGGCCAGGTGGTGGGCACCTGTAGTCCCAGCTACTTGGGAGGCTGAGGCAGGAGAATGGCATCAACCTGGGAGGTGGAGTTTGCAGTGAGCTAAGATCGTACCACTGCACTCCAGCCTGGGCAACAGAGCGAGACTCTGTCTCAAAAAAAAAAAAGAAAAAAGAAAAGAAATGAAAACCAGCCGTGTCTCCTGTATTAGTCCATTTTCATGCTGCTGATAAATTTTCATACCTGAGACTGGGCAATTTACAAAAGAAAGAGGTTTATTGGACTTACAATTCCACGTGCCTGGGGAGGCCTCACAATCATGGCGAAGGTGAAAGGCACGTCTCACATGGTGGCTGACAAGAGAAGAGAGCTTGTGCAGGGAAGCTCCCCTTTTCAAAACCATCAGATCTCGTGAGACATATTCACTATCACAAGAACAGCATGGGAAAGACGTTCCCCCATGATTCCATGAGACCTCCCACCGAGTCCCCTCCCATGACACGTGGGAATTCAAGATGAGATTTGGGTGGGGACACAGCCAAACCATATTACCTCTGGAGCCCCTAGAAACCCAAGGTCAGTCATTTAGGGCAACTGCTCTGAGCTGGAGAAAGGAGGATCTGAAGGCCCTTACTTGATGCTCAGTCACTGCAGCACCAGCCAACTTAGTCATTTTTGTTCTCCCATTTGCCAGCAAGGCAATTCCTTCATACATTATCTCTAGGGGGTAGCTTGCATCCTCAGTGATTATATACTTAGTGGTTATAATTTTATCAGCCACAGATGAAATTCTCAACCTGTAATCATTTTTATGTTTGATAAAAGTAGGGAAAATTGTATAATGAGGAGTAAGATGTTCTTCTGGTCCCCAAGCAGTCAGTCTGCTTTACATGCAATAAATGGTGTAAAATGCACTTGTGCGCACTGAAATTTGAGAAGTACTTTGGTGCCTATAAACCACAGGGGACCTGTTAAAATGTAGATTCTGATCATTTGGTCTGGGGAGCAGGAGTCTGAATCTGTAGAAGCTTCCAGGTGCTGTGGGCCCTGGGTGCACACCCTGAAGAGCAGAGAGGTTGGCCTTGGTGCTCCTCTATAACGAGAGTCTGAAGACCTTGTTCAATTCCATTAATAATTATCTGCTACTAAGGATATGCAAGATAGATTTAAATTGTTGAGGGAGAGGATCTTGTAAAGAGATAGTATCTCAAGGTCAGAGGCAGGCAATAACTTGAAAGAATCTCAAATAAATATCATGAATCTCTTAAGTTACAAACTTTCGTTTGATTTTTGTTTTTAGAATTTTCATCCAGGCACTAAACAAGTTATCTAAGGGGGAAATAGTGAGAGAAAGACACAGTAATTTCACAACTTCCTGGCAGAAACCCTCACTGGAGGTGGCTGAGCAGTGTTTTTCAAAATACTTAGAGAAGGGATCCAGTTTCGCATCCAGAGAGCCACACAGCAGAAGTGTTGTTTCTAGGGTTTTGCTTGTGTGTGTCCCAGATTCCAAGAGTCTCTTTAAGCCACATGATGCCATTGATTTTATGACACTACTCTCTTCCCAAGCAGCAATACCTATTATGACCAAATTTAATGATTTCTATTATATTAGCAACATTTTAGTTTTTCTAAAGTATAAATCACATATCTAAATCTGCCAATTCATCTATCATCTGATCGAGATGTTAAGATCATTCTCTCTCTGCCCCTAAATACCACAGAAGGAAAAAATGTTAGCACAAACACATCCAACGCAGACCTGTAAAAAGCACATGGCAAGATTCGGTACTACTCACAGGGACTCCTTGGTGACACTTCTTGGTCGTGTGGGAATCTTGAGCTTTGTGTACCAGGTCACAGCATTCGATGCAGTGGGACATGTCTTCAGGCTGACAAAGGCCCTGAAGTCTCTATTTCTACCAGCAAATGCTTTCCATCATTCTTTCCTTGATGTGATTGATTCAAGGGAAAAAAAAAAGACCTACAATGATATCAATAAGCACCAGGCACTAGTGTTTATGTGCGCCACTGGTGACAGTATAAATGAGCTTCTCTTTTTGTTTCAATCCACAAGTATTTATTGGTTCTGACATTCCAGACAACGTACTGCTCAAGGCACTGTGAGGAGAGACAGAGAAACAGATGGTCCCTGCCCTCATGAAGCTTACAATTTAAAGACAAAGACATTCTCTCATTGCAGCATAACCAGCAATTCCAAGTGGTATGTGGAAACTGTGTAGATGTGGTTGTGTCTGTTACAGGATTCAGATGGGGGCTGGATGAGGAGGATCTGAATGGGCCAAGAGAGAGGAAAGAGCTGTTCCATGTAAAAGCACAGCACAGAATGTCACAAGATCAGGAACACTCACAGCCTGAGCAGTGAGACTAGTTACCAGCCTCTGTGATGGATAAATGGGGCTGAGGTCCAAAGGCTGGTTGAAGCCCACTGTTGAGGCTAATGACTTTGACCTTTATCCTTTGGCAGCAGAGAGCCAATGAAAGGTATTTGAGATGCTGAGTGGCATCATGAAAGTGAATTTTGGAAGACTAAGCTGGAGTTATGTAGAATTGAGTGAGGAGGTATTGTTAAGTATTGAACAGAGCAAATAATTGAGATACTGTGACTCTCTAAGCTGAGAGTCTGTGATTCTAAAATAAAATACTAGCAGCCATGAAAAAAAAAGAGAAGAAACTTAGGGAATGACTGCAATGATTCATGGGAAGGGAAAGGAAGAAGTTATATATATATTTTTTGACTAATTGAATGCTATTCTTTACTGAATACTGAATCTCTCAAGAAAAACTAAGACTGGGAACAAGGAGGCCAGGTCTGCCAGCTACCCCATTCTCGCCCTGCCTTGCAGTGCAATTTCCAGGGTAGGGGGAGGTGGTCTTTCTCATCCCTTTAGCTTGCTTACTCCCCAGGCAGCAGAACATGTGCCAAATAGATAGACAGGATCTAGTTCTACTCAAACTAGTTATTTACTGCAGCAGGCAATTTAAAAGGATGGAGGAGGTCTGAACAATTATGTACAACTTTGGAATCACAGGCAATACATTCAGAGTCATTAAGAGGAAGCAATTTTAACTACTGCCTCCTCTTCAGAACCAAGTAAAGATTCTGCATTAAAAGGTCGCTTAAGTTGACTGACCACACCAAACTGTGGGAACCAGGGGCTTAACAGACAATCAGGGAGCTACTAATAAATAAACCAAATTAAAAAATTAGCTCTAAGTGCTTATTCCCTACTAGAGATAATTAGTCTAATACACTTGCTCACTTGCTTTTGTCTTTCTCAATCCAATTCCAGTTTGTTGGCATAACTTTAGGGATTCCTTATTGTAGAGGAAAATAAAATAAAATGGACATTCCAAACATAAGCACTTGTTACAGGCAAGTCCATTAACTAAAATAATTATAATAATTTCCAGAACATCTTTATTGTTGTGCTAAAGTAATTGGTTTACATTTATAACTAAAATGACCTTTCTCACATCACTAAGATGTTCCACTCCATCAACAGCCATGCGTATCACAATTTTACCACCCAAAATCTAATCCCGTGTCTTTGTATCTGACAAGTCAAACAGAGCAAGGAAGTACTACTAGTGGACTCAAGTGATATAAAAAAATAAAAAATAAAATACTTCCATATACAGTGACTGGACTCTTAATACAATGGAAAAAATACTTTGGTGAAACACTGACATTTAGTGAGCCCCTATCGTGAGCCTTTGGGGTTGGAAAGGGGAGACGGGGAGTGAGTGGAAAGATAACTAAGACTCAGGCCTCATTACAGAGTCATTCACAATCCATGTTCCCACGTAGAAGGCACACCTTTGTGTAGCTGTGCACAGTTAATAATAGGGGCAAGATGTGTTATAGCAGAATTACCAAATGCTATAAAAGTGGCATGAAACAAAGAAGTTACTTCTAATTGGGGTAACGGGAGTCAAACTTACAGAATTTGGGAGAGAGCAGTAACATTTAGCTTGAATATTTTAATTTAAACACATTTAAAGCTTCTAGACTCACAGGTACAATTTATATTATAAAGAAGATGTAGTTTTATATCAGTTATAAATTAACCAAAGGAGCTCAGATATTACTGGGCCAGCCAGGAGGCCAAAGAGCTCCCAAGGCTCCAGTGGTTTTCTTAGCTCATTTCCATGCAGGTGTCAAGGCCTCTTCCAGGTAAATTCAGATTGGATTTGGACACAAAACTCCATGGTCAATGTGCTCCAAATTTGCTGAATGTATCAACGGAAAAATTGATAAGACAATACCACCAAAATGTTAACCCTGGGTACCTCTAAGGGTAGGGCTACAGGTGACTTTAAAATTGTGTATGTATTTATTTGTATTTCTGTTTATATTGTGAATTTTCTCAATGGACACATAGTATTTATTTTTAAGTCTGTTTTCTTGACTATATGTTATTAAATATGTTTTCCTGATTGTAAAAGTAACACACACACATAAACACATCTTCCAAGACAGTAATATAAAATTATAAAAATGAAGAAAGCAAAATCCCATGTACTCCACTCCCAAAGATAACCCCTGCTAAGATTTGGGTATATTTCTTTCCAGATGTTTGCCTTATGCATCTGGAAGGCATATCTATTATGTGCATAATCAGAAAACTATATAAGTTGTAGATCAAAAAAGGAAGATCTTTTCCTGCTTCTCTCTTTTAAAATATCTCTGTTGACAGTAAGACATCAGTGATCTTCTGACTTTGTCCTTTTATTCATGGAACACAAGCACCAGGAAATGCCTTAAACGACTCAGACAGACAATCTGTGGATTGTAACGTGGCGGGGCCCAAGGGCGTGTTTTGGACATTTGGCTAGGACAAGTGGCTGGTACAATGGCCAATTAAGAGGCACTTTTATGAGGAAAAACATACTTTCTGCAAGATAGATCTCTAGTGACCGATCCACCAAATGCCTTCGCTCTACTCTGTATGTGGCATCTGCTGCTACTTTGCTGATGCGTTAAATGATGTCCTATCTCCTGGACACACAAGCTGCCACTGGGAAGGGGCTGGGAACCTACATTGCTGGTGTCACTGATACTAATGGTGTGTGTAGGAGTCTTCCCCACCTTAGGTCTTTCTTACACTTCTTCAATAAGACTTTCTATAAAGGCAGAGCAATACCAGAGCAGAGCGAAAGCCCTGCAAACACCAGCCAGACGCAGGGGCCCGAGGAGCTGAGGAGCTGAGGCGCCGGGGTTGGGGAGAGTAGGACAACATTCGGCCAAGGCAGCCACATCCTGTTCCTGGACAGCCACAGTGGCAATGCGCCAGGAGGACGCGGGGATGGCTCCACACCCGCTGCCAAGTCAAACACGGGGCACTCCAGGCAGAATGAGGGACTAATCTTCCCGACTGGTGTAAGTAAAACCTCCTGGTGAAGGTCACAGTCTTCAAAAGCAGACCGAGGCAGAGGCATCGCTGAGTCAGCAGTGAGAGATGGGAGCGTGGAAACTGGTCTCTTCATGGAGGAAGTGACCTGTTTATGAGCAAGAACAAGGCCAGGAGAAGGCCCACTCCCCGCAAGCTGTGAGTTGACTCATAGGGGCCATGGGACTGTCCCAGGTGATGTGAGCGATCTGGAGCAATACCGGTGTACTCTGCTTTTGTTTAAAATGAATTAAAATGAATTAGGGGCTTGGGGAATGAGCCAAATGGGCAATAATTACACGAATAGGCCATGTCTTCCCAAGATGCCACCTCACTGGCTATCGAATCTGTGAAGCCGCTGTCTCCTCATTTCTTCTGGTGAGAGATGAAACCCGTAGGGTGGTGGGCTATTTCTGGTATTTCCTGTAGTGAGAAAGCCAAAGGAAAAATCAATCATTCTGACGTGACAAGGCATGTGTACCCTAGGATTCCAAGGGAACAAAGTGATAGCTTGGGTGTCATCTTCATTTTAACACAAAACAGAAATATAACAAAGATTTTTCAACTTCAGCTGTCAGTACTAAATTTCAACGTCAAGTAAATATTTTTAGAGTGGTTCAGCCATGAATCTGATTTGACTCATTTTGAGGCTTCTTGATAATCTTCCCACTTGTATTTTTCCTTCCATCGTGCTCCATAATTTGCATCATTTAGGCTTACACAGTATCTCAAGGGCTTATTGTCTTTTTTTTTTTATGCCCATATATAACTTGTTGCCACCTTTACTAACTTCCCCACCAACTAGGCTGGTTTGGCTTCTTCTGATCAGCCTTTGGGTGCTCCTTTTCTTCCCTCTAATGTGCCGCCTCCTGCCCCAATGTGGCCAATAAGAATCATGCGTGATTGAAACACACAAGCAACCACTGGAGCAGAGTTACCATACTGATCAATATCTGGGCAGGTAAACAAAGATGTAGGCATCATATTTCAAGATCATATGAAGGACTGTGGAAATCGTTACTGAAAAGAGTTTCTTAGGGATGCAAACTTACCAAAAACACAGTTTGTAATGATACAAGAATTTCAATCACTACATAAGAAAGCATTCTCCCAGGCATCATGAGTAGTAATAAAGGGAGAAAAATACATAGTCCTTGATCTCAAGGAACCAGCAACCTAAAGGTAATGAAAGAGCTTCAATATTCCCCATGAGGAAACCAGGAAGACACATCACTGATAGATACGGGTAAGTAGAGGTTTACTTCTAAGCATGGGGACCAAAAAGGCTGTACCTTTTCACTACTATAGCTCTGCTAACCTTGGTAATTTGCACTGAAAGGCTCTCTCCCATCACCTACATCAACCAGAAGTCTTACTCACTCTTGTAATGCTAGGTCAACCCCGATAGAACCAATGGAAGAACTCTTCCCAATTCAAACTCTTCAGCTTTCGGCACCTTCCGTTTGTTTGTCTTCATTCAATCATCACCACATCCTGCCAGATGTGTAGGCATTTCTGCACCACTCTGTTCTCTCCTACCAGGATCATAAGCTCTAAAATGGTAGGGGACCCCCTGACCTATCTCCCTCTCCCCAGCATCTGGGACAGTTCTGAACACACAGTAGCTGTTCAATAAATATATGGACTTGACTCAACAGCACCTGCTTATGACTTCCAATGCTGCCCAGTGAGGTTCTGACACAACTCATTGCCCATGAAGGGAACTGCATGGAGGAATTAGAAGAGGCAGACTGGGAAGGTGCCCGCAGTCCAGCTCTCAAAAGCAGCAGCCAGCACACATGGCCTTGGACCCATTTGCAGAACCCAAATGTTCTGGCAGCACTAGCCTGGCTGGGAAGGGAGGGTGGGCAAAGCACAGTTAAGCCAGGAGGGAAAGCAAGTAAACAGTGGATCCCTCTTGCTCATTGCCCAAGAGTGGCACCTTTTCAAAGATGTGTCCATCTATGCATAAGCTGACATGGCAACTGTTAAAACCATAGTGAAAAGATGTTAGAGAAAGCAGTGGGAAACGGAGTCCGTCTTTTCAATCCACAGCTGAAGTTTCCGTTGTCAAAGAGAAATTCAAAAAAGCAGTCAAAGCCAACCCCTTTTTTATATTTTTGCTTCTCTACTGATGAAGATCCCAGTGCTTCCCCATAACTGATTCTCCTTTCCTGTTGAGAGCATGGGAGAATTATACCTCCCCAACCCCTGGTACCCTTCCTGACTAGAACACCCCAAAATAAACACCCCAAAAAACGTTTTTGCCATATGTATTTGTAAAGGAATCTCTCTTTGTTCAAAATGGTAAATGCTTTGAAATTACATATTCATGAATCAAATCACCAGTAGTTGATTGCTTAAAACTGTTTTATATGATGAGATCCAAATTCTCCTTTGCCTTTAACAGTTGTTTTTAAAAAGACTGGTCTTAATTGCACTTGTGAGTGCAGGCCAGGACTTGACACCTCATTCCAGATGGCCTGGGAACTCTGTTAGAACTAGCTGAGGGCAGAGTCAGAAGCAAGCTCGACGTGGCACCCTGACTCCAGGCCACAGGGCAGAAACCCATGGAGGCTGAAAGACTGCTGAGACTCCCAGAGGGAAACACAGAGTCCTCTGGTGTTTTCTTTAGCGTTTCTTCAAAAGAAAAAGCCCGCAGATTAATAATTTCCATGAAGGGAACTGCCTGGAGGAATTAGAAGGGGCAGACTAGGAAGATGCCCGAGGTCCAGCTCTCAAAAGGAGCAGCCAGCACACACGGCCTTGGACCCATTTGCAGGGCATTCGAGGAGAACCAGGGCTGAGCCAACCAAAGAAATGCCACATGCTGAAGTAGAAAACTCATGTCATGAGAAGAATAATCATCACACTCTTCTTTATAAAGCCCTTTCAAGGTACACTTCTCCACTTAGCTTTCACTCCCAATAGAATCATCTCAGTTTTGCAGAAGAGGAAACAGAGGCTCAGAAGGTGTTAGGGACACATCTGAGGTCACTGAGCTAGCATGAAGAACAGCGAACCTTCTGAGTCTTTTCCCACTTCCCCACGTGGCCATCGGTTCTCACACCGCAAGTGTTCAGGGTTGCACCTCTCACCATTCCCGCCCTTCCTGCCCAAACCCAGTGTCCCTTTTCTTCATGGATATGGACATGTGGGAAGCTCACTGCTATCTGAAAACAGAAAAATAAGAAGTTCCAGTCTAAGTTCTCAATTCTGTGGGACTCTGCTGATATCAAAGACGTAACTCTAAAGTTCCCACGTGGGTCTCCTTAAATTCCACTGGCTACTAGCATGGTTCGGCTTTCTAGAACCAAGAAGACCTTGGGTATAACAATACAACCCAAACCACAATAATGCCCGATTTGTAATCATGCCAGCTCTTAAGGGTATTTTAAATCCTTCCAACTCAGTGTTATTGATACAAAAGCCATCTTACTCTCTGAAGAATGGCCGAATTGCTTTGTTTCCAACTCTGAAAACTACACTGTTTTGAATATGAGTTGATCTGAGGAGAATGTTTTTAAGCATAAAAACTTATTTCGAAGAGAATCACAAAGTTGATGTCAGCCCCTAACCTACACCGACTACTGTGTGTGTGCTCTGCGTTGGAGCCACACTCGGCACAAGGCTTCCTGGCTGTCCACTCAGTCTCAGGTACACTCTGTCTTCTACTTCCCCACCTTTGCATTCATGTGTCAAATTGTTTCTATAGTTTCCACTTGTGTCATATGATCTACTACCTCTCTCCTTAACCTCCAGCATCCTTTGCAGGCTTTCTCGAAGGGTCTTATCTTTGTGTTTCTGATATGTACTCACATTTGTTCAGCACACAGGAAAGAATCTGGACAAGCTTCCTTGGGGTGGTAGGAGGTGTCCCCATGAGTGTAAAGGAAAAAGTATTAGTAGGGAATTAGGAGATAGTTTCCCAGCTCTGCCTGGGACTCGTGGAGACACCCTTCACAAGATGCTTCATTTCAGCAGTGTCCAGTTGACTCATACGTGAGAGGAGGCTACTGAAAAAGGGGACTTCCAGGGTCCTTTCCATGATTCTGAAGTTTGACAACCTGTGATTAAATCCCAACTCCTCCACTTTTTAGCTACACAACCTTGAGCAAGTAGGCTACCCTCTTGCTCTTGGTCTTAGTTTCCTTATCTATAAAATGGGAATACTGAGTAGCTCCTTTGTTGGGTTGTTGAAGGATTAGAAGAGATAATGCATATAAAATGATTAGCTGAGTGCCACATGACAGTAAATGCCTGCTGAACATTGGATGGTATGATTGTTCATCTCTAACATCATCAAGAATCATGTGCTAAATGTCTATTTGGTTCCTATCATTAATTAACTCTGTATAAGAGATATACAAAATGGGCTGGGCATGGTGGCTCATGCCTGTAATCCCAGCACTTTGGGAGGCTGAGGCGGGCGGTTCACGAGGTCAGGAGATTGAGACCATCCGGGCCAACGTGGTGAAACCCCGACTCTACTAAAAATACAAAAATTAGCTGGGTGTGGTGGCTTGGGCCTGTAATCCCGTGCTACTTGGGAGGCTGAGGCAGGTGAATGGCTTGAACCCAGGAAGCAGAGATTGCAGTGAGCCCAGATCTTGCCACTGCACTTCAGCCTGGCAACAGAGTGAGACTCTGTCTCAAAAAAGAGATATATAAAATGACAAAACCAGTGACTTCTTAAAATACAGAGCTCAATTCTGTTTGCAAACCCTTTGGCAGTGTTTTGTACAAAGTGTTGAGTTGCTAGTTACTAAATATCTGTCTTCTGAGAAATAGATATAAAAAGGTAATTAATGACTTTCATTAAGCAGCACGCTTTTGTCACATGAAGGAGCCTCTGGGTGACTGACAGAGCTGGAGTGTCCAGCCAAGATCTTCTTTTCTCTGCTTAAATCATACATTGGACATTTACAGGCCTGGGTGAAACGGCCCTGCTCCAAAGAACTTGGTAGAGAATATGAGTATTTATGAGCCTTGCCTCTGTGTTTTTGTCAATGGAGGTCAGCCCTCAATTTTACTCAAAGAAGCAGTGAGCATGCTTCAAAGAACCTCAGGAATACTTCCCGTGTTAAGATGATTTACCTCAATTACAGCACCAGTAGTAAGATCATAAAATTTATTGATTTGTGGTTCTTGATGAAAAACTGTTCAGTCCTCTACCCTTATGTAAAATGCAGTAGCCTCTGCATTTTACATCTAAGGGAAGAGAAGCAATTTTGTCCAGATAAGAATTGCTAAAAGGAACACCATGAGTTGATGGCCATTTTCCCTACCGTTCGCCATCCATGTAAATAGAGATGTTTGATTTGCTGCTATTCATAGATCCTGCCCATGATCTGATGAACGCACTATGCCATGCAGTGAAGTTATACTGGAGTCGCAGGATAGCATAGTATCTCTCCCTTAAATTAGGGAGCTAAAGAGGCAATCACTTTTTTTCTAAACCAGGAAACCTCTAAATAAATCACCAGTGTTCTCTGGGATTTCTATTGTCAGATGAGGGCAGCAGCATGCGACCCATGTTCTCTCTTTCAAGAATGTTACTTTATTAGCATTCCATGAACTGCAAAGCTCCCAAAATGCCTCCCCTGAAAGGATGGTTGTTAAGTCATTTACCGTCAAAGACCAAAAAGGCCTGAAGGGACCCCAGGTCTAACAATTTAGCAAGACATGAAAAGGGGAGATGCTTAAAGACAGTAACCACACTTTACTTTTTGAGTCACTAATTATAATATTCTCTCTTTATAAATAGTGTGAAATTAACTTAAAATGGTATAACTTTCATACAAATGGAAATTTCAGTTTTGGTTTACGAGAAAGGTAATATTTAGATGTGACTTTAGAGAGAAAACATTCGCATTTCTATCCTTCAATCAATCAAGACTGCAACAGTGGAGATTCCCTAATGCTGAAATAATATCTGGAATCTCAAAACAAGAAGCCTTGAAATGGAGATCTCTGTGATTTACAGTGGTCAGCACCCTGCATTGTGAAATAGAGATCAACTCAGCCCCTAGTTTACCACTTTACCTGTTGTACTTTTCTCTCCCCTCCAGTTGGTTAATTTTGGAGACCCTTAATGAACAAAAATGACTTAAAATCAACAGGCCATAATCCAGTTAACAATCGAGTAAGCTATAACATCAGGTCCACTATGTCAGGTCAGTGTTTCCTGCAATATAGACAAGATATGGTCAGACTTCTAGAATTCCCCCACCTCCCAAAAAAAGAAAGAAAAGTCAAAGAGACAAAGAATATTTGTGGGACAATTGCTACATGCTCACTCTGTTTACTGCTCCCCTACCCCTACACCTTGAAGTGTATAACTTGATTCATTTTCACAAACTGGACATGTGAGACCAATATCCAGATCAAGATATGAGGATATTTCTGAAAATACCACAATATTTCCTGCACTTATAAGCCACCACAAGCCCCCTTCCAGTTACTATACCCCGTTACCCAACAGTACCCATGATCCTGATTTCTAACTATAGATTTTTCCCCTATTTTTGTCCATAAGTGGATCCATACAATATGTATGCCTTGTGAGTGGCTTCAATTTACATTATGCTTGTGAGATTTATCCACATTGTTATAAGTGGTTTCTATCCTACTTATCCCTCCAAGTAGAATTTCTTTGTCTATTTTACAGGTGAGGAATTGAGGCTTAAAGATTTTAAGCAACTTGGCAAAGCCAAATAGCTGGTCAGTGGCTGAGTCAGGAACTCAAACCTAGATCCCCGCCTATTCTCCTTCAGACATGAGATGTTCCAGTTGTCTTCCTCAGCCCCTACATCAGCATGTGTAAACCTCCAGAATGTATTATTGCCTCAATTACGACTTGGAGACAGGGTCTGTTTAAAAGACAGCAGAAACAATGCATCTTCTGCCTTAAATAAGGCTCACTGCAAATAGTAAGGCTTTATTTTGGATAACTGGATGCATCTAGAATTAGGATCTCCTTTGACAAGGAGTAAGGTTTGGCAATAGATAGGTCTAGCTGCAAAAGTCAGCCTTGGTAGTTAACTCTCAAGTATTTTCTAAAATAGAGAACAGTTTGTAACTTCTTACAGGAATAATTCTCTATGCTCGTTCTATCTCTTAATATATCTATATCTATGTATATGAGGTCTGTAAAATGATAGAAAAAGTATGAAAACCCTTCGGAATATTAAAATCCTACCTTCCTCTCAGAAGCTCCAGGGCCAATGTGTCTGCTCGGAGGGGCAGCTGGAGCCCCCGGCCTCTTCTGATGTTTCTGATGCAGATTCCACACCAGTCCGCAGAGAGGGCCAGCCTGGCACAGTGCGGGCAGCTGCTATCCACCTCGCAAGGCCTGAGTCTTTGCTCAACTCCACTACAGGGACCCTGCAGCCTCAAAGGATTCCTTAGGTCCAAACTGCGGCCTGCTTCAGGCTTCCCAGGCATCTGGGTCCTTTGTCTGTTCTGACCTTTATCTTGGGGTCCAGGAGACTTGCCATTGTCTCTTTATGACCTGGTTTTCCTGCAGATGTTCAGGTGGGGCACAGTGGAAGGGAAGGACAGGGGAAGAGACTTACAGTGGCCTCCTCAGGGCCCTGATATGAGTCCTACTCCCAACCTCTTGCTTCTTGATCTTGAGACTGTCTTTGGGTAAGTTTTAATTACATTATTTTAAAAAGAAAAGAGTAGTGAGGGCAAGAGTGTTTAAATGATAATACACTGAGCTCAAAATAGAATAAAATATTGCCTCCTCCTGAAACACACTGGGTCCTGGCCCTGCTGCTTGCCACCTGCTATGACTTTCATCCTAAGAGAATGGTGGCAGCTGGATTCTCCCATTCTCAGCTTTTTAGCAGCCCTGGCCCTATGCACAGAAGTTTCCATCAAACAGCAACCATTGCCCAGTTTGCTGCAGTGGTCCTTAATCTGAAGTGTGCACAGAAATGAAGAACCTGTTCAAAATGCAGATTATTGGATCCCCTCCACCCCCTCACCACAGATTCTGATGCAGTAAGTGGTGGTTGGAGCCCAGGAACTTCATTTTAACGAGCACCCAGATGACTCTGTTGCAGATAATATATCAAGTCACTGAGAAATGCTGTGGCAAATGAATTCACTTCAACCAGATGTGGGTTCATATCTGGGGTCCACCACGATCTGGCACAGGTCACTTCCCTCCCTGGGCCTCAGGCCCCTCATCTGTACCCAGAGGGGGGCCTGGACCTCTGACTCCCACACAGAGGTTCGAGTGTCCATGATTGTTTTGTTCCCAGTGAGACACAGGCGTCAGGTGGTGGAGAGATGGGAGAGTGCAAATGTGTCACACCAGCAACCTGCCTCATTGGCCAGCTGCCTGAGCAGCTTCTCTGGAGACTGTTGCCTGTCCTACCAGCTAGCTGCTCATGACTTTTGGCAGCTGGGCACAGAAGCAGCCATGCTATGCTCCTTGGCAATGTCCTCCAACACATTTTGTCTCTCTTCAGTGCCGTCCTCCCATCCCAATTTTTTTTTTTTATACTTTAAGTTCTGGGATACGTGTGCAGAACATGCAGGTTTGTTACATAGGTATATGTGTGCCATGGTGGTTTGCTGCACCCATCAACCTGTCATCTCGTTATAAGCCCCAGATGCATTGGGTATTTGTCCTAATGCTATGCCTCCCCTTGCCCCCAGCCCCCAACAGGCCCTGGTCTGTGATGTTCCCCTCTCTGTGTCCATGTGTTCTCATTGTTCAACTCCCACTTATGAGCGAGAACATGCGGTGTTTGGTTTTCTGTTCCTGTGTTACTGTGCTGAGAATGATGGTTTCCAGCTTCATCCATGTCCCTGCAAAGGACATGAACTCATTCTTTTTTATGGCTGCATAGTATTCCATGGTGTACATGTGCCACATTTTCTTTATCCAGTCGATCACTGATGGGCATTTGGGTTGGCCCCAAGTCTGCTATTATGAATAGTGCTACAATAAGCACACACGTGCATGTGTCTTTATAGCAGAATGATTTATAGTCCTTTGGGTATATACCCAGTAATGGATTGCTGAGTCAAATGGTATTTCCAGTTCTAGATCCTTGAGGAATCGCCACACTATCTTCCACAATGGTTGAACTAATTTACACTCCCACCAACAGTGTACAAGCATTCCCATTTTCCACATCCTCTCCAGCATCTGTTGTTTCCTGACTTTTTAGTGATCGCTATTCTAACTGGCATGAGATGGTATCTCATTGTGGTTTTGATTTGCATTTCTCTAATGACCAGTGATGATGAGCTTTTTTTCATATGCTTCTTGGCCACATAAATGTCTTCTTTTGAGAAGCATCTGTTCATATCCTTTACCTGCTTTTTGATGGGGTTATTTTTTTCTTGTAAATTTTTTTAATAAACTTTTTATTTTGGAATAATTTTAAATTTACGTAAAAGTTGCAAAGATACTGCAGACAAGTCTATTCCCTAAATGTTAACATCTTACAGTACATTTGTCGAAACTAAGAAACCAACATTGATACATTCCTCTGAACTAAATTCCAGACATTTAGATCTCACCAGTTTTTTTCACTAATTTCCTTTTTCTGTTCGGGGTCCAATCCTGGAGACCACAGTACATTTTGTTACCAAGTCTCCTTAGTCTCTTTTGGTCTGTGGCTCTTTCTGAGTCCTTTCTTGACCCCCATGACCTTGACAGTCTTGAGTGGTAGCAGACAGATATCGTGAAGAATTTCATTCGGTCTGGTTTGTCTGCTATTTGTCCTCATGGTTAGACTGGGGTTATGGGTTTTGGTGAAGAATACCATAGAGGTGAAATGCCCTCATCACATATCAACGTGCTGTCAACATGACTTATCACTGGTGACATTAACCTTGACCACTTAGATAAGTAGTGCTTTCATCAGTTTTCTCCACTTTGAACTTTTTCTTTTTAAAATGAGTTCCAAGGGAATAAAGCTTTGGCCTTTGCCACTAAGAGTTACCTGGATAAACTGGAAGAGGTAGGAGTGGGCATCTCAAGGTGGCTTTGTCACTCTTGGGCATGAGTAGGATATAGTGGTCTGGAATCATCCCTAACCTTGCTGGGTTCTGCACCCCTCATTCCAGGTGAAGTGGGGTCTGCTAACGTTGGTGTGGGTGTGTGAATCACCAGGAGGGCTGTTTAAGAAATAGTTGCTGATTGGGTGGGCTTCCCACAGAGCCCAGGCCGCTGTAGTTTTAATGAGCTCCCGGGTGACTCCGATGTACATCAGCCTTTGAGAACCATTGAGCTACAGCTCGGATTTTTCTTGCAACTGAACATATCCACCCGAGTTTCATTCTGGTATTTATATCTGCCAGCAGGTGGAACCAGAGGCCTATGACATTAAATCTGCTGAAGAAAACTAGGACAAATTCCAGTCAACAAAGCATTCCGCATCGTAAGCAGAATTAGGGTTATTTTGAAACAGATGGGCGCTACAGAGGCTGCTGCATTGAATATTATGGAGTTGTTTATTGTCTAGATGGCCCGAAACCCAGGAGTTATTTGCCAGCATCTAGCAGTTTCTATGTCATATCAGAATTCTTCCAGAGCAGAGGAGACTGACAAGGCACTGGGAGAGATATAGATACAGATATGGATATGAATGTAGATAGTTTAACCAGTTCTAATCCTGAATTTCCTCCTGCTATTGTGCATGCTGCCTCGTGTTAGTGAGTGCTTTGCAGGAATGATCCGGAGCCTCCTAAATATGCTAACTCCAAATCAGAGGAGATAAACAGACATAATCTATGGTAATAAGACAATCAATCCTGGATGCAGTAATACTCAAAATGATCTATGTTAGGCCTAATCAGGTGGTACTGGTTACTGGCTCACATTTTCACTCAAACCCCCCACTTGTACTTGCCCCCAATCCTCCTCTTTGCTTCTGCCCCTCCTCCCCCTCCCCCACCCCAACCCCCAGGAGAGCATCAGAAGGGCGGAAGTGAGATAAAAGGCCCATCTAGCTCTCATTCTGACTGTGCCTGATGCCTGGTTCAGAGTGCACACTGCTGTCTAAGGACACTCAGAACTTGGTTTGACTTGGGGGTTTCTCTGGCCTAGCACTGAGTGAATGTACAAGACCAGGGCTTATAAATTGAGTATTCCATGAGTTCTAGGAATCTGCAAAAGTCTCCAGCACCAGTGGTTCCTTTCAGGAGAATATTTCTAATTCCTTAGCCTACGACCCCAGGGCGTTAGCTGTTGCTGTTCTGCCTGGTCCGCCTAGGCTCAGAGAGGTCACGAAGGCTGTCATGGACTCAATATTTGTGTTCCCTCAAAATCCATACGTTGAAGTCCAAACCCTCAATGTGATGGCATGTGGAGGTGGGGCCTTTGGGAGGTAATTAGGTTTACATGAGGACATGAGGGTGGAGCCCCCGTGATGGCATTGGTAAACTTATCAGGGAATGAAGAGGCCAGAGCTTGCACTCTCTGCCAATGTGAGGTCACAGTGAGAAGGCAGCCATCTATAATCCAGGAAGAGGGACCCCACTATAACCTGATCATATTAGTACCTGGAACTTCTAGCCTCCAGAACCGTGAGAAATAAATTTCTGTTGTTTAAGCCACCGGGTCCATGGTAGTATTTTGTTAAGGTGGCCTAAACTGACTAAGACAGCATCTTTGAAGTTGGCAGCTTGGCAACTGGTAGTTCAGCAGGTGCTGGCTGTCACAGCTGCTGGGCAGACCCCCAGTGATCAGAGCGGTGAACAGATGTGCTTTCTGGTGGAGAAGAAAGCACATCTTTCTTGGGACTCTGTCCTAAGTGGTGGCTTCATAATTGCCGGAGACAGCAGCTCCCTCCCTCCAAGGGACACAATGCCAGCTGCATGGCTCACCCTCCTATACGAGCAGGGACAGTTCCTCCATTCACAAATAACAAGATCCCCCACACCATTGCGTTTTGCCCAGGCTCTCAAATCTTCTGTTCAGCTAAAGGTATAAAGAAGCATTTTTGATAATATTTAGACCTGTTTTATTTTTTTCTCACTCCCTTCCACTTGAGTTTCAAACCAGAGAGATGGCCCAATTTCCAGTCCTTCAAACCAAGGATCAAGGGAATGTTTTCATTGACTTTTGAAATCAAAGACCATTTGAAATTAGCCAACATTTCCCTCAGAAACCTCAATCTTCTTAAAACACTCCTTAACCTTTGCACGTGAAAAAAAGTACAAGTAAACATCATCCCAAGCATTCAAGGAATAAGGAAAAAAAAAGACAAGCCAGTGGGAAAAGAACTTTGAAAAGGGACAAAAAGTTGGCAACTTCTGCTGAGAACAACCATCCCCGAGTGGTCAAGTTTAGGTCACCCTGGACAACTACTGCAGATAACCATGTGTCTTGTAAAACAAGGCTGTTGGGCCTGGGAAAAGAAATGGATTGAGGTGGCTGGCCCCTAGGCTAGGTGGCCTGACTGACTAGCAGCAAATAAAGTGAACCACATAACTGGCCCCAGGTCCCACAGCTACCCAATACTTCCGTGCCACATTCCCGCAGAAAACACAGCATGCTTCGAAGGGCTAAATACTAGATGCTGGATTTAGAACAGTGATTCTCAAATCCACGTCGGGGAGCTTGGTGAGAGGCAGATTCTAGGGTTCTAATGGAAGATTCCAGATCAATGTCTGTTGGGGGACCCAGAAATGTGCATTTTTTAACATGCACCTCAAGTGAGCTGGATGCCCACATGCCCCACTTTGAGAAACTCTGATCACAGGAATGCCATAGTGTGTTCTGTGGTTATGTTTGCCTTTGACCATTTGCACTAGCATGGCATTTGGTTTAGTACAAGTAGGTTTCTGGTGACATTTACTATGAGTCAAAGACTGGTAGTTTCCTAGGTTATGCTATGCTCAACCTTGGATGATGTAGATTTTAAAAGATAAAAGTGCAACCCAGCTATCCTGAAAAACACAACAAATACAATCGTTAGTTAAAATTCTATTTGTGATGACACTGGAGTAGAAGAAACTGGCCCAGTGTCACTCACCCAGTCCTAGGAACAAGGGAATTCACCTCTGGATCCCTGGTGCCTGGTACATAGTGGGTGCATCATAAATGCTTGAGGAATGAATGAAAGAACAAGCTAACACACCATTAGGGCAAATTTCAATTTCTGGCCTCAGCCACTAAATAGCTCTCAAATCCCGAGACACAAATAGTGAGGAACAGGTGAGTGGGGGCTACAAACTCATATACTTTGGAACACAATTCAGTCTATTTGTTTTGTCTATGAAATTCACAAGCTTTGCCTGGGCTCTGGGGTTCTGGCCACATTAAAGAACATTCAGTAGCTAGAAACAGGCTGAGATATGAGATGTATTACATCTATTGATGCTGAATGCTGTCTTAAATGTTTTAAAAGTTCAACTTATCTTTACTTTTTAACTACCATAAGCCTGATTAGTATATAACTACAGGTCCAGAAATACCAATATCAATGCATAATTACAAAAACAATCCCTGACCTAGGATATTGTCCCTGAGATTATCTGCGGCCTAGGAGAACACAGTGGTCCAAAGCCCTTATTAAAGCTGACAGCCACCTGGCATCCATCTTTTGCAGGTGGAACTAGAGGAAGACAAACTGCTCTGAGAAAAACCTGCAATTAGAGTGAGTTATGGCTGGTATCAAAGGTAACCAAATCATTAGGGGCAGGGCTGAGGGAATCACTGGGAACCTCCCAGCCCAACCCTACCACATGTGAGGCCTGTGGCCAGATGTGTGCTTGCTGGGCAAGAAAAGAAAAGAGGGCGGGGGGAAGTTGAAAATATGTGAAAGAGGAATGATATACTTATCAAAAGTATGATAGCCATGAATTTTGAGAGGCAGCAGCTTGTGGTTTAGGAAACCAGGGTGGGCTTCTCCACAAAGGTCTAGATAACTTGGACCATGAGGGCGATGCAACCTTTATCTGTTTGGAGTAGATAAGCTCCATGAGATACGTGGCAGTGAGAAGCCATCTGGAGAAATGCACAAACAAGCAGGAGCCCTTGCTCTCTGCACCCCAGAGCTGAGAAATTCTTATGTGGGTCAGAGTTAGCCTAGAATTGTGGTGGCTGGGAAGCCAGTTTCTGTGATGTGAAAAACTGTCTGAGAAGTATGATGGTCATTTTAAAACCACGCCTGTTTCTGTATTTGATGGCATTTAACCCTGAGTCTAATTAACCACTTTTTGTGTGTTCTTTTAGGTCTGATTAACTCATTATCCCTCTCCCAAATCCTAATCTTGTTCCCCATTAGAGAAAGTGTGTGTGTGTGTGTGTATGTGTGTGCATGTGGATGAGTGCATGGATGTGTGTGCCTGCATGTGTTTGCATGAGTGTGTGCTTGTGTGTGCTAACCTACAGAGGCAGGAGACAATCCTGTGACTGAAAACTAACATCTTTTTTTTTTTTTTGAAGTTCAATGAGCTCCTTTTTTAAAAAATTTTTTGAAGTTCAATGAGCTCCTTTATTTATTTATTTTTTATTATACTTTAAGTTCTAGGGTACATGTGCACAATGTGTGGTCTCGTTACATAGGTATACATGTGCCATGCTGGCCCGCTGCACCCATCAACTCGGCATTTACATTAGGTATTTCTCCCAGTGCTATCCCTCCCCCATCCCTCACCCCATGACAGGCCCCAGTGTATGATGTTCCCCACCCTGTGTCCAAGTGTTCTCATTGTTCAATTTCCACCTATGAGTGAGAACATGCGGTGTTTGGTTTTCTGTCCTTGTGATAGTTTACTCAGAGTGATGGAAACCTAACATCTCTTACAAACAAGCCCATCCAGCCTCAGGAAGGCCAAGGAGTGTCTCAGACTGGTTTTACACCCTTGAAATGGCCTGCCTCAGTCTCAAACTGAACTAGAATTAAACTCAGAAATTATTTTAAAATGGTCTCTGCTACGGAGAGATATTCAATAACAACAAAAAATGAGTTATTCCTACATGCCTATTAATAGACATTAATTATTTATAAATTCTAGTAAAATAAAACATTTTATGAACAGAAAAAGAAAACTCCAGAACTAAATTTTTTAAACATCAATCCCAAGTTAGGAACCTAGAATTAGGCTCATCTTGGGTAACTGAAGATTTAGATAAGGGAAGAGGAATATGTTGCTCTCTGAACTTCATTGGAAGTATCTAAATATGTGCTTTGGCCAGATAAAAAGCTAGCAGAGAAAGGACTATATGGTTTTAAGACCATAAGGAACCCTACAGATTTAATTAAGTGTGGATGGGAGACTGTGTATGAGATGCATCCAGGATGACATCATAAATATCATGCATTTCCAGAACACGAGGGGTGTCTTCAGGATGGTAGATCTGACTTGCTCATGTCAGAGATGGGAAATGGAAGTTCAGAGAAGGTAAATGGTTTTCCTAAGAGCTAAGAGGCACAGAACCACACCCCAAATCTCCCGTTTTCTCTTCCAGGCATTTCATTCTGCTTAGAACCTTGCTTACCAAATCTGGAGTGGATACCGGTGTCTTACAAAGCTGCCCTTCTGCTACCTCGCTCTGGTGGGGAACGAGAGTAGGGCATGGGTTCTGAATCAGAAAGAGCTGAGGTTGAATACTGGCTTTGCCTCTTATTTTGTGTCCTAGGATAAGCTACTTTATTCACTGATCCTCAATTTTCTTATCTGTAAAATCTAGCTCATGGGTGTGTTCTGAGGACCAAATGAATTAAAGGATATGAGCACCTGGGTCAAAGCAATGAAAGGTAAGTGGTGCTGACTGTTACACTAATGACCCCCTTTCCAGGCTGCCCTTCTCAGAAATGCCCCCACTATCCCTCTGGTTAGTCACACAAGCCCAGACCCTAGAGTCTTCCTTGACACCTTCCTCTTCCACTCGTCCTGTCCCCAAATTCAATCCATCAAAACCTGTCATTTTAACCTGAACATTCCCAAATTTGTCCATTGTTCTCTATCTGTCCTGTCACCAACTATGTTTGAGTCACCTGTATCATGGGCCTAGACCAGTGCCTAAACCGCTGTGATGGTTAATGTAGGTGTGAACTAGACTGGCTTGAGGGATGACTAGATGGCTGGTGAAGCAGTGCTCCTGGGTGTTTCTGAAAGTTGCCAGAGACTGACCGACATTCAAGTCAGGCGACTGAGAGAGGAAGATGCGCCCCAATGTGGGTGGGCACCATCCAGTGGATTGCCAGTATGGCTAGAACAGGGCAGACGGTAGAAGGGTACCCAGCCTGCTGAGTCTTCTTGCTCTTCCTCTCTCCTCCTGTGCGGGATGCTTGCTTCCTCTCCTCCTGCCTTTGAATATGATGAGCCAGCCAAGTAAAACGGGCTCCTAGAGAATCTCCAACTGACCTGTGCAATGGGAGGATGGGGTGGGGTCTCGGGAAGTTCCAGCCATTTGCAGGGGGGAGGAGCCTGGCCCCTCCTGTTCCTGGGTGGTGACCTGGGATTCAATTGGTGAGATGGGGGCCTGTTAACAGGAACCATCTTGCTTTGCTGAGTTTTTTCCTTTTTTCACCCAATAAATTCTGCTTTTCTCACCCTTCTATGTGTCCATAAGCCTTATCTTTCCTGGTTGTGTGACAAGAACCTAGTTTTTAGCTGAACTGAGGAGAAAGTCCTACAACAATGAGACTGCAGTTTCTTCAGCTCTTGGACACTGGGACTTTCAGCAGTGGCCTCTTGGGGGCTCTTGGGCCTTGGGCCTCAGACTGACGGCTGCGCTGCAGGTTTCCTTTGTTTTGAGGCTTTTGGACTGGGAATGAGCCACACGAATAGCTTCTTTCTTTCCCCAGCCCGCAGATGGCCTATCATAGGACTTTGCTTGTAATCACTTAGCTGATTCTCCATAATAAACTCTTTTTTATACATACCTACATCCTATTGGTTTCTGTCCCTCTGAAGAACTCTAACACAACCCTAAACCATTTCCCCACACTCGCTCCTGTCTTCCTACCAGCCATTCTCCACACAGTAGCTGGGAGAGCTTTTCAAAAACAAACATCTCTCCTTGCTTCATGTCCTCTAGCTCTTGGCTCAAACACAACTTCTCCAGGGAAGTGACTGTGTCCTCTGATCACCCCCAGTGAGGGTCCTTTGCCTGAAGCTCTCACAGGATCCCCTCCCTTCACAGCACATGATGCCATGGTTAGTGATTACTCGTGAATCTAATCATTTTGACAGCGTGCATTCTCACTGCGTTGTGAGCTCCATGGGGGCAAGGACAGTGAGGGTTTATGTCCACATTCTATGCCTGGGGATGAACAAATAAATGAACAAATGCAGGAATGGAAGGAGGTGTAGAGTGCTAAATATTGCCTTCATTATACAGATGTAAAGACTGAGGCTCGACGTAGGTGGGCAGTTTCTTGAGGTCTCACACCAGAAAACGGTATGGTCCATATGTCCAGGGGTCAGATCCAAGCCCAGCACTCTTCATATTCCGCCAGTTTGCTTTGGACACCAGTACACACATGTTTCCCTTTACCATCCAACCTTTCTCTACTCCAACTAGTGGCTTGGCAAAAAATTAGAGATTTTTAATGGGGGGCTAGCAGGCTATAGGAAGGGTTGTAATTGGTACATGGAGAAAAAAGAGTACAAATTGAATATTTGAATTTTAAAAAAAAGATGATCATGAAAAGGCACAAAATGTGTTGCTGTTTAGTCCAAGTGTAACAGCGTTCTAGAATTGTTTCTATGGATCTGAAGACAGATTAAGGGCAAGTGACTTGGCAAAAGGCCTAGACCTGTTTTCAGATAATTATCTCACAGTAGAAAAAAATAAGGGCAGTACAAGCTCCAGTGAGGACACTACACCAACATGACAGATCTAAATGGAACATACTTCTATGAGTCATTTATAGCTTTAAATACTATAGAGAAAAGAATGCATAAAACATGCCCAAACAGCCTCTTTTTGATGTGGTGAACTCTTTTAAAACCACATTGTTCAAATTTACGTTAAAATGCAAACTCTTCATGTTTACAATGGTACTATTGGAGGAACTCAATATAAAAGTACAACTGTTACATTCCAAAGACAAGACTTAGAACAATAGGCCAATTCCCAGTGTGAATTTATGAGCTGCTAAACCTCAAAAGATTTCTTCAATTAGCAATGAAGACTCTTGACATATTTGCAGCCTGATATAGGGGCTGCTCTTTATATAATTTGGGGTGTATCAGAACTTTTCCTTACTTTTATTTACCTCGGATGACAACTATTATGCTTCTCCCTGTGCAGCGTTTGATCCTGCTAATTATGCTACAGGGCCAGGATGGTGTTTCACGGTTCACCATTGCTCCTGGGGCAGGCTACAAATTATACATAATGCACTGCATTGTAATTGCTGCATTGTGAACTTTGCTCGCCTTTCCAACACAAAATACCGACATCTAAGTTGTTTTATTATTAAAAACCATAAGGGATTCTTTTGGATTATAAACATCTGAAGACGTAACATTCTCATGAATTCCAGCCGGCTATTTCGGACACTCAGTGGGGCAGACAAGGCTGAAAAGCAAAGCAAATACACTTCATATTTGTGTTTACAGAAAAAAAGGAGGCGGCAGTCATGAAGGCAAGACTGTGTTAAATGCAAAACTAAAGGGAGGGGGAGCTTGCCGAAGGGGAGACACAAACTGAACTGGGAAACCAGAGACGCGAGACATCCAATGATGCTCCTTGACTTCTCTGGGCCTCAAGTTCCTCATTTCCAGAACAAAGGCACAGAAACAAATGACCAAAAAGATCCCTTTTTCCATGAAGACAGGCATTCATGAGAGCAGTGGCTTGTTTCTGAGTCTCACTTGTGAGGCCAGCCTTATCCCAGCCTGAAGGGTAAACCAGGAACCCGAGTCTTGTGCCAGACAAGAGGCCTCTGCCATCCACCCTGTTTGTTTGGGGCCTCTAAGAAATAGATAATGGCTCTTTCAATGGGAGGAGGGGGTCAAAATAAATGAAGCCTCAGTTTTATATATAAAATGCCACCAAGTGGGGAAAAATATCAGAGCAGTATTGTGGTCACTGAAATTTATCACTGCCCTTGTGACCCAGGGCCAAGAGGCCTCACTCCAGACACCTACCCGATAGGCCCAAGTCATAGTACCTTGTGCCTGCAGCACTTAGAAGCCACACCCAGGCCCCGTTAAGGTACTCCTAACCCTCCCTTCTCTCCTCCTCTCAAAATGAGACAATAGCCTGATGTGTGAAGTTGGACTGGGGTCTCTTCTCTTCCTCTAAGTGTTCTAGATGAGCTTAAGGTAGCAGCAGCACCACACGGAACTGTGTGCATTCTTCATCAGTATACGGTGGTGAGTCTCCTACACAGTGAAGATGGGATAGTCAAAGAAGAGGAAAAGGCAGGGGAGGGTTTCCAGGTAAGGAGGCGTGGGTAAAGCTCACACATTTTGATAATTTACAACAAATTGTTACTATATTGGGGTACTGCTCCTTTGATGTTGCTGCATGTCAAAGCAGCTGAAGCAGACGTCTCGACTTGGACTTGGGAAGTCACTGACTAGACATCCTCATTTCTCTTTGTCTAGTGGTGTCTCCAGGGGGGTGGGCATATCCAAGATCTAGTATGACCAGAGGACACAGACAAGGTGACAGAGGACTTAAGTGACAATGGACAAGAGCTCCACACCTGGACTGCCCCAGAAGCCCTGCTTGGCTGCTAAGTTTGGGCTGGCCTTGAGGGAAGAGCAGGCTGTGCTCTCACACCTTCCAAGTGTCCCTAGTACCAAAAACTTGGGGCTTTGTACCTCTGCTCCAATCCATACTGCACATAGTCTCCAAACCAAACAGCCAGGACTTGTGACCAGACAGGCCCTGCTATGCTAATGGGGGCAGGAGACCTATTTTCAACTGGAACCATGAGTGTGACTGTTCCCCAGATCTAGATACAGAACACAACAACCCTGGGGCCACTTACATTACTCCTGCAGCCAAATGCACTCAATCAGAACCCTCAGAGGGACAAGGTAATCTTGCCTGCTATCTATTGGTGACAATGAAATCTTGCTTTTGTGTATTATCTCTTTTCAAACATTTTCTAAATAATCTGTAGTTCCTAAGCATCATCATAACTTTTAATATGTCAGTACACAAGGCAATACTTAAGGAGTTTATGTACAAATCATTGTCGAAAATTCCAAGCCTAACAGATTTTAATGAGTTCCTTCTGCATGTAGAAATAAATGTATTTCCCTGCATTGGACAATAGTTTGACGCCATCTTTAAATCCAAGCAGATTCCCCTCTTCTGTACCAAACTGCCCATTTCATTAGGAGGGCTAATAAGGTTTTCTATCATCTGAGTAGGACTGGCCTGGCTTCTGGGTGGCCCGAGGGGGAAATAAGAATGAGGAAAATCAAGAAGTTGCTCCCTCTAGGAGTGGGGCCCTCCCTCACCCCATGGCCATTCTGAGGAAAGCAAACTGTCATTGAGTTCGGGCCTCCCTCACCTCCAGCTTTATTGAGGTCTAATTGACAAATAAAATTGTATAAGTTTAAGGTGTACAACGTGATGATTTTATATATGTATTTATAGATGTGTGTGTGTGTGTTTGTGTGTGTAGTGAAATGAGTACCACAATCAAGTTAATTACCTCAGGGGCATCGATTCCACCTTTTCTACATGGTCCTGTTATGAAGAGTTTCTCTTTATTCTCATTTATCATTCTGGGGCACCATATTAAATCTTGGGAGGCCCTAGGAGAGCTCAGATCTGAAAGATTTTATATTAGAAATGGAACTGCCAACTAAATGGAAGGAGGAGCTGGTGGTTTTAAAAACATAATTTCCTTGCTACCCACTAAGAGTCCCAGTTCTCTCCACGTACCAAGGAGTCACTGCTGCTGATTCACGTGTGGCCATCAGAGCAGTGGAACTAGGCCTCATCTGTGCCACAGGAGCACAGCCTGGAAGAGATACATGGCCTGAAAATGGTAATGGGAGCACCAAGATCTCCAGGATGTCCCTGAGCCACGCACTGGCGAGGTACCTGAAAAGAGTGATCTCCAATTATACGATGACACCGTGAGCACTGTATGGTTCACGACTCTCAGCACTGTACAGTTCACGACTCTCAGCCTGCAGGGAGTATCCACCCTGCTCTTGGGTGCGGGACACTAAAGAGGATCCTGGTGCCTGGAAATCTATACAAATCACTTCCACAGGTACCTTCCCATTTATTTTAGAACCAAACCAGAAGAATGTAATAACTAGATGTCTCTTTTGTACATCCTTGTTCAACGAAAAAGTGACTCTAAAGAAGTTAATACCTTGACAGTCAGGACTAAAAAGAGCAACACCCAGGCCGGGCACGGTGGCTCACGCCTGTAATCCCAGCACTTTGGGAGGCCAAGACCTGTGGATCATGAGGTCAGGAGATCGAAACCATCCTGGCTAACACGGTGAAACCCCGTCTCTACTAAAAATACAAAAAATTAGCCAGGCCCAGTGGTGGGCGCCTGTAATTCCAGCTACTCAGGAGGCTGAGGCAGAAGAATGGCGTGAACCCAGGGGGTGGAGCTTGCAATGAGCCGAGATCACACCACTGCACTCCAGCCTGGGCGACAGAGCGAGACTCTGTCTCAAAAATAAAATAAAATAAAATAAAATAAAAAAAGGGCAACACCCATACAACACTCTGGGCTCAAGTCCCTCTTCAGCGGAACCTTCCCACATTCTATGCACAGGGCAGAGAAGACTCAGAATGCTAATTATTTCTTTGAAGTGTTACACCGAGTGCTGTGCAAAAAGGAATCGCAGGTGAGACAAACGCCGGCCATCTGTCAAAGCCTGACAAACTGGGTAAGGAGGCAAGCATGTGGAAAGGCGGTGAGGGGCACTGGGCCTCTTACCCACAAAACCCTCAAGCTCATTGCAGAGAGGCAGCCACTCTGCTATCAAAGAGCCCATGCGAACGAAAAGGAGATTCTCAGGGGTGGGCAGCCAGGAGGATGAACAGGCAGAATCACAATTCTAACACACAGTAGCCTTACTCATGGGCTCCGGAGTTGTTCTAACGCTCACAGGAATGCTGCAAGAAAGATACGACCTACTTCACTTCTGCTAGTGAAGGAGGCAGGTCAAGGCTCTTCTCATCTGGTTTTCACTTGCTCAGACAATAACAATGATAACAAAATGCTTGCTGCTTCCAAGAATGAACATCTCCATCTGTTTACTCTTGATCTAACTTACCTTTGTCTCTGGAAGAAAACAATTCAAACATAAAATGTTAGAGAGGTCCTTGCTAAGGGGACTAGGCAGGGAAGAGAGTGAATATTACATCTAGGAATCATTTTATGAACTACTCCTAAGGCAGTAGAGCTTTGCTCTTGATCAGTAAACACCAATCTTAGAATGGGGGCAGTTGGGTAAATGGCAAAGCCAATGAGGAAACAGAGTGGAAAAAGGAACAGGCAAACACTCACTTCCCAACTTTCCCAGATAATGAGCCCAGACATCTCCCCCAGGCACCCACTTCTTGGTCACCAGCATCTCTAGCACAGGAAAATGTCTTAAACAATTTTTTTGAGTAATGATTTCCTTAACTTGATGCCAGGCAAATCTCATTCTTTCTCTGGGAAGGATATACTTTGGGATTCCTGCTACAAATTAAATGGTTTGGATGAGTTTGGAAGAAGATCATTTAAGGACAATCAACACTATATAGTTCCGTACACACACATACACACTGCAAAAAGGAAATACTGAAAGTGAACAAGAACCCCGAGGCTGAAGTCCAGGGAGGAACTTCTGTGAGGAAGGATGGCAGCCACAGGGCACAACCCAAACTCAGGTAGGGCTCTGAATCTCTACTTTGAAGTCCAGGCCTACCAAGAAATTAAAACATAAATATAGAAAATCATATAGCAGTGGGGGAACCTGCATGGTTTTTTGTTTTTTTTTTTTTTTTGCTACAGGCTTCCTTCCTTTCTTTAACTTTAGTTGATAAATGGAGGGATTGGGCCTTCTAAATACATGTGGTAACTTGTGTACTTACCTATAACCCAACCAAAAACTGACAGAAACCAAAACATTTCAAATAGACTTCATGAAAGGCACCCTTAAACAGCAAGAGCTTGGCCGAGTGTGAGCAGAGAGCCCCTGGACTCGAGAGACCAGTCTGTGCCGTTCACTGTTGTGTCACTATCATAGGTGTCTAGTCATTATTTGCTGAATGACTGACTCAAAAAATTTCATAGATGGAGGGCAAGTTCCACCATTTCCAGCTCCTGCCTTGACCCAGAAGCTCCGTCCATGAAGCAGCACTGCAGGGTTTTGAGTGTGGCCCACGTCTGCCCTGGTGCCATCTAGTGACCCTGGGAGTCCAGATGAACTGGGTGGAGCAGCCTTCCCAGGCCCACTCATATGGGCAGACCCCTTTTTCCAGGGGGCATAGCAGGGCTGAGAAAGAGGAGGATGGCTCTGCTCTTTAGGTAATCCCTGTCTCTCTCTTCCCTCCTCTCATTTAGCACCTTTGTGTTTCTTTCTTAAGAAGTGGGCTTTTTCCATCAATGATTGACTGGATAAAGAAAATGTGGCACATATACACCATGGAATACTATGCAGCCATACAAAAGAATGAGATCATGTCCTTTGCAGGGACATGGATGAAGCTGGAAGCCATCATTCTCAGCAAACTAACACAGGAACAGAAAACCAAACACCGCATGTTCTCACTCGTAAGTGGGAGTTGAACAATGAGAACACATGGATACAGGGAGTGGAACAGCACACACCAAGGCCTGTTGGGAGTTAGGGGGCAAGGGGATGGAAAGCATTAGGACAAAGACCTAATGCACGTGGGGCTTAAAACATAGATGACGGGCTGACAGGTGCAGCAAACCACCGTGGCACATGTGACCTATGTAACAAACCTACATGTTCTGCACATGTATCCAAGAACTGAAAGTAAAATTAAAAAAAAAAAAAAGTGGGCTTTTGCTTTCTCTCTAGTTTTCTATCATGTTCAATAAGTTCCTTGCCACCAAATTCTAGAGCTTTGAAGAAAGGCCACAAAGATCCACCTTTGGATTAAAAAAAAAATCATATCTCAACAAAACACACAAATTACATGACAGATAACTTAGAGCAAATGTCCAGTATTCTAAAGAAAACAAACCAAAAGAAACAACAGGCAAAAAACACCTCTCTGATTTTGTCAAGAAACTTGTCTGAATATTTGAATGTTAGTAGCCACATTTATCCCATATTTGCAAGGCAAAAAAATAAACTATAGCAACTAAACAGAGAGAAAAGAATGGATTATGACCTGAAAGTGGCTATTGCTGCTTCATGAACTTATCAAAAGTCAAATAAGCTGGTAGTCTATTCTTTCTCATGCCTTAGCTGTAACAGAGAAGAAAACTGGCTTGGAACAAAACAATGAGAAATGGGGAGGAACACACTTTGATACACAGCTTGAAGATGCCCGTTCTGCTTCACTGTGATGACAGTGCAAAGGAAATGAGCCCGCTAAGGGTTCAGACGTCCTTCGACACCAGACTTTGCCACTTACTTGTACTTCACTTATTTGTTACTTCTTCTATTCCTTCTCTCACTCACTTGGGCATTCACCAACAAGCATTTAGTAAGCACCTGCCTCGGTTCTGCCACAGGTGTGAGGAGGGAAACAGGAGTGAATGAGAGCAAGAGGCGGCTTCAGCCACTGTAGGGACAGCACTCAGGGAGGGTGAGTTTTTTAAAGGCCCATGAAAATGTTCCAGACCTCAAAATAATTAGTTGGTTCCAAAATGAAACAGAAACTATAAAATTAAAAGTAGTAAACATTTAATTAAGTGTCTACGAAATGTACCATCTCAACTATTTATAACTCAACTCACATATATGATGATATATATTATACACGGGATCTGTGGGACAGATAGGAGATTGCGTATGTTTTAATACACTTGAAATGATGTGGGGCAGGGCTTTCAAAAGTAAAAGTCCACGAAGGTCCTCAAATGTCCCCACATGATGGGCACGATATCCCTCCTCTCCGAGGCACACACCAGCTGCCAAGATTGCCTTGTGAAATACTGAAGAAAGTCGCATCCCTGAGCCTCAATTTCTTTATGAAAACAAACAAAAACAATGGTCCTCAAGGCAGTTTTGAGAATCAAATAAAAAAAGTACATTGGAAAATATTTCACAGGCTGGCAGAGATGAAAAGTAAAATTGTTAACTCCTTACATCTTTATTCCTCCAGGTGGTGAGTGCCTCTCGCTATGTTTGATGCTACACACCTGCTGCCTGAGCAGCCCCTGAGAAGAGAAATGGACCTCTACCAGTGCCTAAAAATAAGGCTGCTTCCGTGCCCTCTGGCAGCCAACAGATGTTCACGATGGACAAATTCACACACAAACCAGGATGCTTCATGTACAGATAAAACTTGGTCCATATCATGAGACTCATATCATGAGACAAAGGTTAAAAAGGGGGGAAAAAAGCTTATTTTAGTAAAAAATGAAACCATTTTTCAATTAGTTTCAGTTCTAAGCAGACACCGTCTTCTGTTTGTCCTAAAAATGAGAAGCTGGAGACAGCTCCTCAATTCAGTTTTATTTCTCTCTTTTGTTGGCACTTTAAGAAACACCTTAATTCTCCCAGCTAGCAACAATAGTAGGTAAAAGGGGAAAATACATTCAATTCTGGGAAGAAAGGATCACATAGCACAGTGCAGAAGTATATCCTAGGAGGCCATGTGATTTTATTCTTTGTCATTTTTCTCTTTTCCCTTTTCTTCTTCATGGACAACCATTTAAGGAATGCGGGGGGAGAGGGCTGGGATGACGATGTGACCAGGTTAAAAGCAGCCCAGGACATAAAATAAAAAATTAAGGGGGGGGGGACAGTTGTAAACTTCTGAAAATAGAAACTGCCTCAAATGTGTTATTCCAGTACACCAGACCCTCCTTCTGAGTTCAAGATTCCCTTTGTGCCTCGCCACAGGATGTGTTAAGATGATATACAGTGTGTTTAAATAAAACAAGAAAACAAACCAAGAAAAATTTAGCATTATGAAGAATGAGAGTCTACTAAAAATACTCTAAAATGACTTCAAACATGAAATCACATTTAAAAAATAACTTTTTAATGACTTAGGCATAAGTGACTCAGGAACATATGGATTACATTTCCTTCAAAATGCATATGGCTTTAACAATTGGGGGAGATTTGTTTGGTTTGTAGGACACAGTTCTGAAAAGGAAAGAAGTCTGTCAAACGGGACTCACGTTTTCTGGTGCTTTCTTTGGTGACGGAGTCAATTGGCCTTAATGGCCATTACCTAAGAAACTTGGAACAGCTTCCTTGGATGTAGTTTAACTCCCTTTCCCTATTTAGGCAAAGTATTCAACACATTTATAATAAATGACTCTCCTTCACCCCTAATATCTCAAGCATCAAAAACAGGTCTACTTCCTTAAAAAAAAAAAAAAAAAAAAGGCTGAGCTGTCTTAGCCCAGAGCAAATGGCTATTGCTGCTTTGTGACAGTTGGGCACAGACTTATATACAGGGATGTTTTTCATTCTTTTAGCCCATTAGGAACTAAGGTCAAGAGAATGTCACTTTTTTTTTCTTAAAAACACAAATTTTAGACAAAGTCTGCAACAATCAGGCTCTCTGTTACCGGCCGAGCCTTCGGTTTTTATCACACCAACCTCACACTCTCACCAATGCTACTGCCACCACCACCATGACTATAAAACACCTCAGTGTTCTGACATGGGAAGAGTAGCTTCTGGTTGGTGGAGCCCATCTCACATTAGCCAGAGACAAAGCAACACCTTGTTTATCCCGGCTTGGCTTTTGGCCTGTGTCCATGACTGGTCCATACCTTGGACACATGGATGGTTAAAGAAAGAAAAAAAATCCCTTAGCATTCACAATGTTTAACTGTTTCCAAAAGGCACCCTCAAATATCATCTTCTTCCATCCTGGAGGACAGTTATGACAAGTACTGAACCCACTCCTCAGATGAGGAAATTGAGAGCTGAGGTTCAGGGAAAAGCCACATAGCAACAACTAGCCATTCTGCAAACACCGATTATACTTTCATGCCTTGGCTTCTTTTATTGTTTCCTTTGGCTAATTTTTAATAGTCACCCCCTCTAGAATGCCAACTGCCCCACTTAAAAATTCCCCATTTTCAAGGGTCAGAACAAATGGCACATGTTTCGGAGAGAGTGCGCAAACATTCAATCTCCAAGTGCGATGCTCTTTTTTGTGTGTCAAGTGGGCTAAGCCACCATCTCAGGTTATTCAATTAAACACTAATCAGGGTGCTGCTGTGAAGGCATCTGGTAGATGTGATTAAAGTCCATAATCAGCTGACTTTAAGGGAGATTATTTTAGATAATGTGGATGAGCCTGATTCAATCGGTTAAAAGGCCTTAAGAGCAGAGCTGAAACTTCCCTGAAGAAGAAGAAATTCTGCTTGTGGACTACAGCTTCAGCCAAGTGCCTGAGAGTTCCTGCTCACCCTTCCTGACGGCCTGCCCTACAGATTTTGGACTTGCCTGGTCAGCCTCCACAATCACATAGGCACTTCCTTGCAATAATAGCTCTTAATATATGTCTCCACTGGTTTTGTCTCCTGGTTGAACCTTAACTGATAAACCAGGTAATATCCCCTCTGGGTTCTTCCAGTTTATACAACTCTTATATCATTTCCAGCTTATTGGTGGTACTGTAACTTCTTTGTAGGTAGGCTCATGTCTCCTATCTTTGTAAACTACACAGCACTAAATATTTGCTGCAAGAATTAAATTATGTTATGCAAGAGCAGGACAGAGGGTGTTTCACCCTCCTATGAGATAAGTAAAACTCATACAAAATGCTCATGAAGAGATATAACTAGCAAAAGAGAGTCATGGCCTTAGAAGTAATTTTACTGAAGAAATATTACTGTCACCTACCAACAGGTTACAGAGTTTCTCTTCATTGTACAGGACAGTCCTGTGCCTGCAGGGTATTTAACATTCCTGGGCCCCTGGCACTGAATGAAAATTGTAACCCCTCTACCCTGACTCCTATCATTTCAACAACCCAAAAGCCCTCTCACACACACATTTGCAAATGCCTCTTGGGGGTGTGGACATACTACACTCTTCTCTAGTTAAGAATTACCTTCTTTCCACTATAACAATTAAAATTTATCAAGCTACAGACAGAAAAATTACTACAACAATGACTTCTACAACGAGTTGTAGAATTACGGATCAGAAAAGTGGAATTCCACTAATAGGTTATCATGAAGGCCAAAAAGCCATCACATGCAGAAAGTTAGAGGTGGGATAAGGGAGGGGGGAGGGATAGCATTAGGAGATATACCTAATGTTAAATGACGAGTTAATGGGTGCAGCACACCAACATGGCACATGTATACATATGTAACAAACCTGCACATTGTGCACATGTACCCTAAAATTTAAAGTATAATAATAATAAAATAAAGAAAAAAAGAATTCTCAACTTCAGATATTTTATTCAGGCTGATTTATATAATCTCTTTATTAATTCAACAAGTACTTAACAGCCCTCCTATAAGCCAGACACAGTTTGTTACCAGATCATGGGAAAAAAGCTAGGAAGATTTTCATCAAGTATGGAGGGTACACTTGGGAGATCCTGACTTGAAATATTTGTTATGTGGGATTTATGCAATTTACTCTTGGGAACGGGGGCCACTTCACAAAGAGTTGGTCCATCTTCTATAACAGGTTCTCAGATGATTTCCAGATCTGCATCACAGCATCATCAGGGAATTTGTTAGAAAAGCAAATTCTCAGACCTCATCCCAGAACAACTAAATCATGAACTCTGAGAGTGGGACCCAGCAATGGTTCTCAAATTTTATTGTACAACAGAATCATCTGCAGAGCTTATTAAAACACATAATCCCGGGTCTCACACGCAAAGCTTCTGGTGCAGTAGATCTCCCATGCTCCCAACCTCCCCACAACCCACCCCACTCCCATTTCTACCAAAAAAAAAAAAAATTAAAAAGAATGTGGTGGCCTATGCCTGTAGTCTCAGCTGGCTATTCAGAAGGTTGAAGTGGGAGGATTGCTTGAGTCCAGGAGTTTGAGGTCAGGGTCCAAAAATATGCATTTCTAACAAGCTTCCAGGCAACACTTTTAGAACCAATGCTCTAGATCTGCACTGATACAATGGCCACCAGGCACACATGGCTATTTAAATTTATATGAATTAAAATTATGTATCAGGCACACATAGCTATTTAAATTTATATGAATTAAAATTATGCATAGCTGAAAACTCAATTCCTCAGTTGCACTAAGTTGTATTTATTTCTACATCCTCACCTCCTACTATCCATTTGTAAATACATTCCACATGCTCAGCACTTGTGGCTAGTGGCTCCCATGTTGGACAATGAAAACACGAAGCATGTCCGTTACTGCAGATACTTCTACTGAACAGTGTTGCTTTCGGGCTACTGAGGAGGCCCCTAGGAGGATCCCTTCTATATAGTTAGGTACCATAGGCAGAGAAAACTGATACCAAGGATGAGCCTTACGGTGAAGAGTGCAAGGACAGATGGTCCAAATTGCAGGCATTTCTTGTGATTGACCTGCTTCTCACCTGGGGAACTCTCCATAGCTCCAAGATGAGTAGCATCAAGGATCTATTTATTTAGGAGAGTAGTTAACTACTCACCCAAATAATGCTGGAAAAACTAGCAATTTATTGAGACAATCATATGGTTTTTATGTGGCGAGTCACATTTATTGATTTGCGTATGTTGAACCAACCTTATACCCCAGGAATGATGCCTACTTGATCATGGTAAATTAACTTTTTGATGTGCTGCTATATTCAGTTTGCTAGTATTTTTTTGAGGATTTTTCTGTCTATGTTCATCAGTGATATCGGCCCATGTTTTTTTTTTCATTGTGTCTTTGCTATAAACTTCGTGCTTTTTCAAGCAATTGCGGTTCTCCTGTCTAGCCCGCTGCCACTGGACTATGCTGTAAGTCCTCTCTATAAACTCTATGTCTTGCTTACTGGCTCTGGGTCTCCTCTGTAGCCTCTCAAACATGGTGCCATCCCTAAAAGTCAACAGGGCTCCAGGATGATGGCACATGGAGCTCTACTAATTCTCTCAATGTATACACCTCTGAGACTGAACTCTAATTCCTGTAAACCTGAACTACTTTCAACTTTCCAGTGGTTTTGGCCAAAAACCTTAGTCATTCTTCACTTCTCTCTCTCACAATTGCAGGCATTCTGTCAAAAAATCCTTTCATTTTACTGCAAAATGTGTCCAGAAGCTGACCTCTTCACACCTCCTCCACAGCTACTAAGTGGAGCCGCAGTCCTCTCTTGCCTGGATTACTGCAATGGACTCCTACTGGCCTTCTGCTTTTACCCTTGATGCTTGTATCAGTTTCCTAGGGTTGCTATAACAAATTATTGCAAACTGAGTTCCTTAAAACAACAGAACTTTATTCTCTTGCAATTTGGGAAGCCAGAAGTCTGACATCAAGGTTGTTGGCAGGGTTGGTTCCTTCTGGAGGCTCTGCAGGAGAACCCATTCCATGCCTCTAGCCCAGCTTGGGTGGTGCTGGCCATCCTTGGTGTTCCCTGGCTTGTGACTGTTCTCCAATCTGTCTTCACATGGCTCATTCATCTGTGTCTGCTTTCTCCATTTCTGTCTCTTATCAGGACACCTGACCCTAACCCAGGATGATCTCATCTTGAGATCCTTACCTTAATTACCTGCAAAGAGCCTTATTTCAAATGAGGTCATACTTGGAGGTTCTGGGTGGTCATATCTTTCAGAGGATAACATTCAACCCACTATGATGCTCTACAAATTATTCTCAATACAGCAGCCACAGTGGTCCTTCTAAGTTGAGTTAGATTATGTTACTCCTCTGAGCAAAACCCTCTAATGGGGTCCATCTCATTCAGAGAAAAATCAGAGTCCCAGATGGCCTAAAAGGCCCTGTGTGACCTGGCTCTTATTTCTACATCCTCACCTTCTACTATCCATTTGTAAAGAACAGTGGCTTTCACTAATGGATGTAAAAAGAAGTGAAAGGATTTGAGATGTATCTTGAGTTACCATCAAGAAGGCTTGGTTACTCACTACGTCCAAAAGGCCAAAAGGAATGAGTTGCAAAGGTATAAAAGAATTATAAATTCAGTTTGTACATGATGCATCTGAGATGTCCTTGAATATGTTTATTTGTAATTTTAGAGGCTCAGAAAGAAAACTGGGCTGAAGAGATAAATTTGGAAGTTGCCAGCATATAAATAGCAACTAAAGCCTTGGGAGAAGAAAAGAAGAGCTACAATTAAGTCATTAGGAAGGCTGATGTTCAAAGGTAAAGTGGAGGTGGGTGGGCCTGCAAAGAAGACCCAGGAAAGAGACCAGACCATATTAGGAAAGCCAGGAAAGTGTGACATTGGGAAAACAAGAAAGAAAAAAGGTATGGTTTCAAGGAAGGAGTAGTTAACTATGTTAAGTAAATTTGGGGAAGGAAAGTGACTCCAGGCCTTAGCAACATAGAGGGTGCAGGGGATCTTAGCTAGAACTGTTTTATTGGACTAATGGGAGTAGCAACATGACTGTAGTAGTAGAGGCAAGATTCAAAGTTGAAGAGGACAATATGAATGTAAATGGAACGGGGAAGGATGGTTACTGAAAGGCTGCTGTGTGTTACTGCATACTCACTTGCTCTCTTCCTCTCTCTCTCAAGATAGGAGAGGAGAGAGACTAAGAATATCTTTCAGTGTTGATGGGAGGGATCCAGTAGAGACTGAGAGGCTGAAGACACAAGGGAAAAGGGGATACTCAATGACAAAATATTTTTCTGAGAAGCTGGGGTAGGTGGGTGAAGGATTAGCTTTTGATAAGGGAAGAAGACTTCCCTGCTCAGTTGTCAGGAAGGAAGGAGTTAAGTAGGGGGTGGTGAGTACAGAATAGGTTCGTTTGTAGTTTTCATGATGGGAGGTTGGGGGCATTGCCTAGGGGTGGATTCCATTTTCTTAGGGAGGTCTAGGATAGTTGAGAGGTTAATGTGCATGTATGATAGGCTCAGTCTGCTCTGCTGAGTCATGTTCTCTAATAAGGCTTAGCTGCCAGATCCACATTCCAAGAAGCCTAGTGGCCAGGCTCACTCAAGTCTGGGATTTTTCCAGGTAAATGGAAGAAGGGTGAGAAGCAAGGGCATGGAAGGTATTTATATGGACCAGAAATCTAAGCAGTGGAGGGAGAAGAGCAAGACCACAAAGTAAGGAATCAATGAACTGGAAAGGAAGACAAAGAACACTGGGAGTTGATTACTCAGAACACTGGGGTCACCCGCGAGTAGTCAAAACTTCAAATGTTAAATCCATGAATATGAAGAGCCCAGTGTATCTACTAACAAAAAGAAAAGTAAAGGGGTTTTAGATAAGCTACTTTACTACCAAGCACAACTCTACTTTCTATCTAAGAGGACCAGAGGGAGCTTAATGCTGAAAAAGTAGGAAGGAAGTATTGTAATTCAAGGAATATCATTCCAAATCTGAGTTCTGTATCATGATGCCTGGTAAATGATTCCAAGAAAAGGTGCTTTACTGATTTTGCTACAGCTGCTATAAGTGTTCTATATAGAAGTTTTACTGGATTCTTTTTTTTATCTTAAGTTACTCTCAAGCATAGCGGTTCTCAACCAGGGGTGATTTTGCTCCCCAGGAGACAACTGGCAACATCTGGGGACACTTTTGGGGGTCAGAACTAGGGGAGAGGTGCGCTTGCGTCTAGTGGGTAGAGGCCAGGGATGCTACTCAACACTGCACAATACACAGGGCAGTCACACTCACCTCGACAAGGAATCAAGGAATCATCCAGCCCAAAGTTCCAATAGTGCCAAGGTTGAGAACCCCTGCTCAAGAACAAAAGCACTTGAAAAAGTAGGCTATTTACATCCAAGAGAAGAGGGCTCAACTTTGGATCAAAGTAACCAACCATCTTCAAATTTTCTGTACCATAAACCTACCAGTGGCCTAAATAAGACTATCTTTATTTTCAGAAAAGGCATTAAAATAGGTAGAAACGTACAAGCTTTACATGTAAGAAAGCATATGGTATGTACTTGATGCCTTCCTCCTCCCTTGTCTGCCTTTTCTCATTTTCTTGTTTCTTTCCAGAAAGATTATAATCTGTGTTCTTTACCAGTTCCTGCATACTGGAAAATTAAATTGCAGCCACAAATTAATTTCAGTAAAATCCTCTTGCCAGAAGTAAATGTAAAAGCCTGAAGAATTTAGTAAGATGGCCTTTTGCCCATATACAGATATGATTAAAGACTAGACTGCGATTAAATTCTGAGCAGAGTAACATAATTAGCAAATTTATGAATGGGTCTCCTTTTCACAGTTCTGTCAGGGCTAATTACTTGTATTAATTAGAACTGTCAACACATGAATATGCTTGTTGAAGCCATTTCCTATGGTAAAATATGAGACTTGTAAATATCAAGGCACTTGGAAAGACGCAAAGACTTTCATTTATTAGCAACTCTAAATGATGCAGAACCACTGACTGCACAATGAGCCTTGGGAATTGACTGTAAATAGATTCCTAGTTAATGAATTTGCTATTTTTTCTTTCTTGCTTAGGCATTAGTCTCAGTTCAGCCTTTGGATGAAGTGTCCAATATATCACCACTTTAGAAAGACTGCAGCAAGGATAAGGAAAGAATTCTACAGGTTACTGGAAAGAGTAGCTCGGATGTCTAAGCTAAGCAGGAGGGAGTTCCCATCTCTTCTCTGATTGGTCTGAAATGGGCTTAAAATGAATTTTAAGAAATGATGAAGTGATAGGGGAAAGACACCGGAGGCATTAGGAACGACAGACTGAACATCAATTGTAACTCTATGTGAACCTGAGTAAGTGGGCAAGTTACTTAGCGTCTCTGCACCTTCATTTCCTCACCTAAAAAATGGGGATCACAAAAATGGAGACAGCAATAGAACCTGTGACAGGTTACAGTGAGCCTTATATGAGTTAATATGTGGAAAGCAGGCAGACCAGTGCTCAGTGCGAGGTATGCACCAGCTGTTACTGTTTTCATATTATCATCATCTGGATGGGGGTGGAAACACAGACAACTGAGCATTCCTAAAATTAGATATAGGGGCAATATACAGAGTGATTAAGAGCTCTGGGGTCAGTTAGGGCTTGGTTCACACCTTGACTCCATCACTCATTCCGTTTCCTCTCTGCCTTAATTGCAGCTTACTTCATGAGTTCTTGTGAAAAGTAAATGAAAAAAAAATGCATGAAATGTACTTGATATTCCTGGTACATAAAAGGGACTTGCTAAATGTTACTGCTTAAGTATTCATTACCATTATTATCTTTTTGGAGAAATTTCCAAAATTGATTGAAATAGAAGTAAAAAGAACGATTTCTATAAGTGACCTAAGTGATGAGAGAAAACATGTGGAAGAGGAGAAAGAGAAAGAGGTAAGAAAAGGAAACAGACCCAGTGCTTTCCTGGTGCCAGTGCCCTCCATCTCCTATCTCAGGTAGGCATCCCAGCTGCCCCACGAGGAGGGTATAATATACCTCCCTACCCACAAAATACCCATAATCCCTCATGACCCCGTTCATGGAGAAGGAGAGGCAGAGCTGGGATTCCAACTCAGACCTGACTGACAGCAAAGCCCATGCCATGTTGAGGTTGTGAAAGCAAGGCTTGCAAAGGGCTTCCTTCATCACAGACTGAGGGGAATACAGATTCTAGGCTCTTTCTGCCTACTCCCCCACCCCTTTTTACGCTTTACATATATTTAAAAACACAGCAATGAAATTCTTAATAGGCAGTGCTTGCTCTGGATGGCTAAATCTCACCTGATAACTCCCATCAAATAACTACCATAAAACAATTTCAAATGAAGGTCAGTTAGCAACCATCTACAAAAGGAGAATTTTTTTGTTGTATGCTTATTGTACAAGGTCCTTCCAGATACTCGAATCTCTGACAGTGGAAAGATGAACCCCCTTATGAGTGCTGCAGGGGGCATGAAGGGAATGGCTGAAGAGAGTGACTGCTAAGGTCCCTCCCAACTCAAACATCTTATTTCTGAATATAGCGAGATGTCAATATTACAGCTTATTTCAAGTGGAAATCCACTTCTGTATATATATTCATTTACAGAATTAGACATCTAATAAAATAAGTTGATAACCCCTAATTTTGCCTTGAAATCAGGCCACACCTTAAAAATCAATTTGGTCAAAATTTTAGAGCATCGAAATAACCTAACACATACAAAGAAAATTAAGTTGGAGGATGTTCTGGATCCTTTCACAAACATGCCCAGTTAAATATAAAGTAACAGAAAATCCACAGTTGTTCCTAATGACATGTTGGTCAGCATTCCAATGCAATCAGTTAAAAGAGTGAAATTCTCTTATGCACAGAGTAAGCTGGATGTGAAGTGATGCCAAAGTAACAGACTTATCAACACAAGAAAAGATGTTCAACATAATTATTCATTAGGGAAACATACATGAAAATCACAATGAGATGGCACTACCATCGACTTGATTGGCTTAAGTTAAAAAGACTGACCATAGCAAGTGTTGGGGAGGATAGGGAGGACCTCGAACTCTCAAACACTGGTGGAGAGAATGTAAAATAGAACCAGCACTTTGGAAAACAGCTTGACAGTTTACTAAAACATAAATGTGGCCGGGCACGGTGGCTCATGCCTGTAATCCCAGCACTTAGGGAGGCCAAGGTGGGCAGATTACAAGGTCAGGAGTTTGAGACCATTCTGGCTAATACGGTAAAACCCCATGTCTACTTTAAAAGTACAAAAATTAGCCGGGCATGGTGGCAGGTGCCTGTAGTCCCAGCTACTCGGGAGGCTGAGGCAGGAGAATCGCTTGAACCCAGGAGGCAGAGGTTGCAGTGAGCCGAGATCGCGCCACTGCACTCCAGCCTGGGCAACACAGCGAGACTCCATATCAAAACAAAAAATAAACAAACAACAAAAAAAAAGTAAACATACACTTTCCACATGACCCAACAATTCCACTCCTAGGTATGTACCTAACAGTAATGAAAGCATATGTCCTTACAAATACTTGTAAATGAATGTTCATAGCTGCTTTATTTGCAATAGCCAAAAACTGGAAATCCAAATGTTTATCAGGTGAATGGATAAACAGATTATGGTATATCTGTACAATGGACTAGTACTTGGCAATGAAAAGGGATGAACTATTAACACACATAGTGATATGATAAACTCCAAAGTAGCTATGCTGAGTAAATTAACTCAGACAACAAAAATATATGTGGTACGTTTCTGTTTATAAAAAAATGTACAAAATGCAAACTAAACCATAGAGACAGAAGACCAGTGGCTGGTAGGGGATAAGGGTGGAGGAGAGTAGGAATAAATTACTAAGAGGCAGATGAATCTGTTGGGTGTGATGGCTATGTTAATTATCTTGATTATGGGTTATATATCAATCAAATGATAAAAATTAATCTTTACAAATTTTTTGAGAAAAGAACAGACTTCATTTCATATCCAAATTAATAACTGTATAGCTTGCTACGTGTTATACGGTGCCTTCTTAAACACCATCTCACTTGATCCTTACAAAAAGAAGGTATCATTATTCCTAGAACAACCTGTGTACTACAACCCAGATTTCAGTTATGAAACCGAGACTCAATAGGCCCCACAATTTGTCACTGCTTTAATGAGATTTATTGGTTATCTGTTCGGCTCCTGAAGACATTTAGATTTCTGAGGCTGCTCTATGCTAAAGAGAACTATTACCAGTCAGATAAGGCAGCTCCGGGCATATACATTATGATCCTTGAGGTTTATCGCGCTAACCAGAGTATGGTTTTATAAAATCTTAAAATCCTTTAAGAGATCTCAAAAGAGCAGAAGGGGAAGAAAAAATGTCTTATGTCTAGCTCTAACTGAATCAAGGGAATGAACTCAAAGAGGGATTGGGGACTGGGTATCCAACTCCTGGAGTCTGTGAAAAAGAAGATATGTCCCAAGAACCTGGCGTCTTTAAAATTTCAATATTCCAGATTTACACACACACACACACACACACACACACACACACACACACACAGAAAAATCCTTCATCCTAAACTCAAACTGCTCAATTTGGAATACCATATAGTAAACTTCAGTTTTTCTCCTCTATTATTAGGATGATATACCTACTTTAAGAAAAAATAATTGCTTCATTGAGATTTTACTCAACAGCTTCATTGAGATTTCATTTCTATACTACACAATTCGCCTACTTAGAGTGGACAATTCAATGCTTTTTATGATATTCACAGAGCTGTATAATCATTCCCACAATCAATTTTAGAACATCTTTATCACCCCCAAACAGAAACTCAATGCCTATTAGCAATCAACCCCTATTTCTTCTCTCACTGCCCACCCCACTACCTTTAGGCCTTGGCTCCACCAATGCACTCTCTGTCTTCATGGATTGCCTATTATGGCCACTTCATATGATCGAATCATATAATGTGGCCATGTGTCATTGGCTCCTTTCACTTAGCATACTACTTTCAGGTTCATCCACATTGTAGCCTGTATTAGCACTTTATTACTTTTTAGGGCCAAATAATATTCCATCGTATGCATATACCACATTTTATTTATCAATTTGATCAGCATTTGGGTTGTTTCTACTTTTTGGCTATTATGAATAATGTTAAAATAAATATTCACATACAAGTTTTTGTGTAGGTATATGTTTTCATTTCTCTTAAAAATTGGTGATTAATATATTCAGGTTAAACTGTATGTTTAACCTTCTGAGGAACTGCCAGACTATTGTCCAAAGCAGCTATACAATTTTACAATCCTATCAGTTTTGGGTGAGGGTTCTAATTTCTCTTTATCCTTGCTAGCCTAAGATTGCCTTTAAAAATAATTACTATAGCCATCCTAGTGGACGTGAAGTGGTATCTCATTGCGGTTTTGATCAGAATTTCCTTGATGGCTAATGGTGTAGAGCTTCTTTTCATGTGCTTATGGGACTTCTGTACATCTTCTTTGGATAAATGTCTATTCAGATCATTTGCCCATTTCTGAGTGGGCTGTCTTGTGGTTATTGAATTGTAAGAGTTCCTTATATAGACTTGATAGAAGTCCCTTATCAGATACATGGTTTGCAAATATTTTCTCCTAATCTGTGATGATCTTTTCACTACTTTTTTTTTCCTTCTTCTTTTTTTTTTGGGTGGGGGCGGTAGAGAGTAGGTCTCACTTCAAGACTCAGGCTGGTCTTGAACTTCTGGCCTCAAGCAATTCTCATGTCTTAGCCTCCCAAAGTGCTGAGATTGCAGGCGTCATGAGCCACTGTGCCCAGCCTCTTTTCACTTTTTTGATAGTACCCTTTGTAGCACAAACATTTTTTAATTTTGATGAAGTTCAATTTATCTATTTTTTGTTGGTTGTTATTCTCTTGGTGCCTAATCCAAGGTCATGAAGATGTCCATCTATATTTTCTTCTAAGAGTTTTCGAGTGTTAGCTCTTACATTTAGATTACTGAGCTGGTTCCACACCAGATCCTGCATGTTACCCACTGTCAGTAGTAGCAAGCCATATCAAGTACTTTATGTGCCTTCACATCGGGCCCTTTGGTTATTTGTGCTTAAAACAAGACTGGAATCTGGGGTGAATTTCATCCTACCTTTCTGCCCCCATGGGCAGTATCACTAAAATGAATATAGAATCGATTTTTGCTAAGATCTATTACAAATGGGAAATTCCATAAACTTCAAAGATACCTCATTGAGACCACCAATCAAGAAATATTCTTATCTTTTTCAACCTTGAAGTGGTAAGTAAACAAGAGCACAGAAGCAGGTGTGGAGGACACACATAAGCTAGAAGGACAGAGGAACACAATAAGGGCTGATTTGGCCTTGAAACATCACATTGCCAAAGAGCTGGTCTAACTGCCAGAAGCCATGCAGGTCAATGACACCATGATCCCTCTGTCTCTGTGTCATGCTTAGGATTCCTGCAGCTCACTGCCTCTGGCTAGTGTCCTTTCCTTTATCACTTGCTGCAGCTTTTGTCATTTGTCCTAACGTTTCTGAGCACTAGGGAGACAGATCTTTCTGTTAGCATTTCTGGGCAAGAGGAAACCTAATAATTAGAAGATTCTGGGCCCCAAGTCATTTCTCCACTCGGAATTCTAACAAAGATGTCAGAGTACAAAAGATGTAGCCCAAACATAGACGAACACTCACAACAACAACAACAACAACTTTTATCTTCCCAGCAGAATGTGTGACCTACACCCTGAAATCATGAGCAGGAGAACTTGGGGACTGGTGATGATAGGTAACACCTGATAACACCAGGCTTGCATGTCTCCTGGGGAATCAGTCAAATATGGAACCTACTCCTGCAGCTATTACTAAAGACACAAGGGCCGGGGGGACGTGTCTGGAGAGGCCAGATGACTGGCTAGCAGAGGGGACTACATCAATGCTAATAATATGTGACTCTAGGGAGAAGGCAGAGTGGGACTGCGCGCCTCAGGATGGAGGCGGGCACGGCTTAGTGGGGCGTGGGAGCAAGTTGAGCAAGTCCCACTCACTCACAGTGGGACTCCCAGAGGGGACACCAAGAGATTGAGAAACAGTGTGAGGTTCAATGGTACTTTGATAGCACACAATTTGAATTCCACTCACTAATCATACAATCTGTGCAACTCATTTCATCTTTCTGTGTATTGGTTTCCAAATCTCTGAAATGGGACTTCATAGGGCTGTCATGGGGACTGCAATATATGAATCCAAGTAAAGCACTGACCCTGGCATCTGCGTGTGCTAAGCACTCGGTAGATAATCGTTACTTGTTAGGGACTAAATCATGTCCCCCCCACCAATTCATTTATGGAAACCCTAACCCCCAATGTGACTGTATTTGGAGATTCGGCCCTAAAGAGGTAATTAAGGTTAAATGAGGTGATAGGGGTGGAGCCCTAATCCAACAGGACTGATGTCCTTATAAGCAGAGGGAGAGGCTCCAGGGATGTGTGTGCACAGAGAAAAGGCCAAGTGAGGACACAGTGAGAAGACAGCCACCTGCAAGCCAAGGGGCAAGGCCTCAGGAGAAACCAAGCCTGCTGGTGCCTTGATCCTGGACTTCTAACCTCCAGAATAGTGAGAAACAAGCTTCTGTTGTTTAAGCCACCCAGTCTTTGGTATTTTATTATGGCCTCCCTAGCATGCAAATACATTACTGTGAACAGCAAAACCAAGATGGGAGGACACAGCTGGGCTGACATGACTTTGTGGTCCCATTCTCAAAGATCAGTGACCCTAGATGCTAAAAAGCTGCATATTGTACAACAAAGAGTAACATCAAAACAACATTCAGAAAAGCTGTATATGCCCCTGGGGCAAGGTGAGAGTGCTTAACCTGCTCTGACAACTTTTAACAAGCTTTAATGCAAAACACCGCAAACTTTCTAATTAGTGACTTGCTACCTTACGTGGTTCCAGGATCTTGCAAAACAAGCACATGGATCCCTTGACTGAGGTTTGGGAAGGGTGTGCAAACAGGGCTCCTGTCTCCCACCTTCTGACACTACAACTGCATCTCCCTGACGATATCATCAAGATGTTAGGCAGAGCCAGGCAGGGCATCCAAAAGAAGAGCTCACAGCCCCCTCAGCCAAGTGACCCTCCCTGAGCCCTCAAGGTCCTGTGAGTTCTTGGCCCCAGTCTACTGCCTGACTCACTGCTTGGCAACTTCTCCTGCTTTCAGTACCCTCAAGCACACCAATCTCTCCCCCACCTCGATACTGTAGGAAGGCAAGTCCCTCTGGGTGAACGCTCCCCACTGTGCCTGCCCCCACCCCTAACACATCCCGCCATACGTGTATGAACATGTATTATATGAACATACTCTCTCCTTCTCCCTAAGCACTGCCCCCCTTCACTCCTTCTCTTCTTTTAGGCCTCAACTTAAATGTTAATTATCGTCTCCTTAGAAAGGTCTTTGGTGAACCTTCACCTCCCTAGTTTCCTCTCCCATTCCCATTACTTTTTCAACCATACCGATTTATTTTCTTCATAGCATGGCCTCCAAATTTAACTACCTTTATCAATCCATCTGCCTATTTATCCCTCTGTGCATCTCTTCATCCTCTCTCCCGTCTCTTTCTCTCTTTTTCTTTATTTTTGGTTGGTGGGGGTCGGGGGAGCAGTGGGCAATGATATTTAATACCAGATGAAAAGTTGAAAGAACAAAGCAACTTGTTTGCTAGCGGCTAGAAATCATTAGTTTCTTCTAATATTTTTATTGTCACTAAAGTCTATTTGTATCATGGGAAAGCTAAAAACTATTACTTTGTTATAAAATAATAAAAACAAAACAAGGGATTATTAAATCATGGGTTCTTAAATCCATAAGCACATTCTCTTGATCATAGTAGGTACTCCACAAATTCTTGTTGAAAAAAATGAACCTATGGTCTAAGAAATATCAATATTCAGAATTTAAAAAAATCAATCACCCTCACTATTAATAATTAATCACTTCTTTCCTGCAAGGGAAATTATAGATGATAAAAACTCATCTATGTATCTCTGTTTCTCTCTCCCCTGTCCCTGTCTTCTTTATTGTCCAGTTTCTCCACTCAGGGTTTGGGTGCCGTCTGTTTTATTTGCCATCCTCTCAGCACAGCACCGGAAACATGGCAGGTATTCGATCAACAGTCGTTAAATGAATGCAAGCTATGACCACCCAGGAAGAAGAGCAGGTGACTTCCGTTTAACCTCATCCTGTGCTTCAGAAGCCATGGCAGGAGGAGGATGGTGCCACCCACCCTCTTCCCACATGTGAGAGCAGCCAAAATAACCAGGTAACTCATGTTAAATGTAAAATGGCAGAGATGTCCTGCTGCAGTCTTCCAACACCTGTTAGGTTGTCAGCTTTCATAATTTGGGTCTTAAGAACGCATCACCAAAATGATCGCTGGAACCCATTAAAACTTAAAATAAGTTTTAAAATAATGATCTTCCCACCTCTCTGTAGTTGTTCACAGATGCTTCTCAAAGCGAATGTAAGTACCAGAGGATCTTACTGACAATCCTTTAAGGTAGCTGGAGAATAGCTCACGATGGTCAGCACGTGCCTTACTGCTTCCTGAAGAACTTAACTTTTTTGATTGTATATTATAGTTAAAACAAACTTAGGTGATAAGGTAGAAACAGCTTTGAATGGGGAGTGTAATGATATAGATTCCAGGATAAGCCCAGGGATTGAGAGGCCATGTGGCTCTGAGCTCATAACAACCTCTCTTTCCAGGGTGCAGAGTGCCAAGGCAGTCTGGGCCAGGCCATTTCTAAGGCCTTAGAATAACTATATTACTGAGAACTCTGTGTAATTCTTCTAGGGCCAAACCGCTGCCATTTGGCTCTCAAACTAACATTTTTCCACAATTTCAAAAAGTGTCAGCTGAGCTCTCCTTAAATGGCACAACCACACCGTTGGGTTATAATCGTCTCTAACTGGTGCTCATGTGAACTGCAACTTTCCTAACCACTAAAGACCTGAAAAAAAAATTTCATTCCTCTCTAATAAGAAACATGTTAAAAGGCATTTTTCTGAAAGGAACACAAGCAGTAATCATTAAAATTCACCGTATTGTGTTAACATTCCTCAAAAGTAAAGACTCAAGCCTAAAGAATACACAAAAAACACGCTATTTTACATTTTCTTAATTGCATCAATTCCAATAAGAACTGGAATGTGATGAAAGTTGGTCTTAATGGCTTCTTTTTTCATCATGGAGACAAATAAGGAAACCATTACCACTTTCCTTTCATCCATCCATCCACCTGTCCCATCCCACCCCATCCCTAAACATTCCCAACCATCTGCTGCCCTTCTCTTTGGTTAGCATTAGTTTATAGGTAGTAGCTATTTTTGTTGATGCCTTACTAGTTCCCTCCACCCCCTCTCCCTCCCTCCCTGTCTCTCTTTCTTCCATTTGACCACATTCCCTGAGGGCAGATAATTTGGTTCTTATCTTTCTTTACATGAGGTGGGCATTGGGGAGGGGAAGAAGCTATCTTCCTCATACCTGGCACAATATAGGTTTTCTATATATTTTTAAAATTATGTATAAAGCATGGAGGACATCCAGTGGATGATACTATGTGTACCTTCAACTTAAAAAGAAAAAAGAAGTCAGGCCGGGAATGGTGGCTCATGCCAGCACTTTGGGAGGCCAAGGTGGGCAGATCACATGAGGCCAGGAGTTTGAGACCAGCTTGGCCAACATGGTGAAACTGAGTCTCTACTAAAAATTCAAAAATTAGCTGGGCGTGGTGGCATGTGCCTGTAATTCCAGCTATTTGGGAGTCTGAGGCATGAGAATCACTTGAACCCGGGAGGCAGAAGTTGTACTGGGCTGAGATAGTGCCATTGCACTCCAGCCTGGATGACACAGCCAGACTCTTTCTCAAAAAAAAAAAAAAAAAAAAAACCAAACCAAAACAAAACAAAAAAAACAGGAAGCACCCACTACCTTCTGCTACAGCTTTTTGGGAGATACAAAAATAAATGTGGGCCTCTCACTTTGATTCTCAGGGAACTCTTCTCCTAAGAGGAGATGAGGAGATAAAGACCTGTTAGTATCACCTGGGGAGCTTATAGAGCAATTCCAGTGCTTGGGCTGCACGCTACCATCTCTGTGCACACTCCCTCACCCCAACTCCACTAGCTACAGATTCTGATTTGTTCTGGGGCCAGAGCACTGGCAACTGTACAAAGCTCCCCAAATGATTCTAATAGATAGCCAGGGTTGAGAACAACCAAAATTTCTGAGAGAAACATCTCCTCTAGTTATTTAAAACTATTAGCAAAGTATATCTTTGGTCTTTCTTGAATTGTAGTCCTTGGATACATGCACAATCTCCATTAATTCACTGAAACATGTCGGACAACAAAGGTTATTCTCTTTTGTTCAGAAATCACCTAAAGACATTGCAACTATGAATATATTTAGTTCTTGACATGAGCTGTATCTTACATAAAAGTTCACTCTCCTTTATTTATTCTTAACATCATCTTTAAATTCTGCCTTTCCATTGAATTGGAAGATTATATAGACAGTTAGCTGTTAACTGTGGGTTGGAAAACATTTGGGATTTCATATTCCCTGGCCTTTCCCCGATATCTACTGAAGACCCTGAAAATATTCAATCATGAACTCTACAGTGAAGTTCCCATAGGAAGCTTAAAGTTTGACCAAGAAGTCATTAATAGCCAACACTTAAAAAAATTAATTTGAAAACTTTTCATGAATATTTTACAAACAAAACTCTAATTTGCTAAATTTTCTAATTTCACTTCAACAGGAATGAGTATGAGAACAAAAAATATGAGTTAACTAAACTATTGAAGTACTGGTAGCATTTAGCAGAATACTAATATTAATAATAGTATTATTATGTTATTGTTATTCGCTGAATTGTATATCCTCAAAATTCACCTGTGGCAGCCCTAAACCCCAGTACTACAGAAAGAGACTGTATTTGGAGATAGGGCCTTTAAAGATGTGATGTAGTTAAACGGAAGCCATTAGGATACCCATAGGCAGAAGGGCAATATTAGATTTTTATCTCACACCATGTACAAAAATCCACTTGAAATAGATTTAAGACTTAAACATAAGACCTGAAACTGTAAACCTACTAGAAGAAAATGGAGGGGAAGAGCTCCATTACATTGGTCTGGGCAATAATTTTTTAGATATGACCCTGAAAGCATGGTCGACAAAATCAAGAATAGACAAACAAGATTACATAAAATGAAAAAGCTTCTGCACCACAAAGGAAACAAAGTGAAGAGACAACTGATGGAATGGGAAAAATTTCATGTCTGCAAACCATACATCTGATAATGCATTAGTATAAAAAACATAAGAAACTCAACTCAAAGGCAAGAAAACAACCCAATTTTTAAAATGGACAAAGGACCTGAACAGACATCTCTCAAAGGATGACATATGAATGGCCAACAGGTATGTGAAAAATGCTCACTAAATATCAGGGAAATGCTAATTGAAACCACAGTGAGGTATCACCTACCTCACACTTGTTAGAATGGCTATTATCAAAAAGATGAAAGATAAGTCTTGGAGAGGATGTGGAGAAAGGGGAACTCTTGCACACTGCTGGTGGGAATATAAGTTGGTACAGCCATTATGGAAAACAGCATGGAGTTTCCTCTAAAGGAACTGAAGTCAGTAGGTTGAAGAGATATCTGCACTCCCATGTTCATTGAGGCATTATTCACAATAGCCAGTAATCAACCTAAGTGTCCATCAACAGGTGAATGAATAAATAAAACATGGTAACATATACACAATGAATACTATTCAGCCTTAAAACAGAAAGAAATCCTCCATGTTGTCATTTCCAACAACGTGGAGGAAACTGGAGGACAATACATTAAATAAAATAAGCCAGGCACAGAAAGACAAATACTGTATGATCTCACTTATATATGGAATCTTAAAAAACTGAACTCACAGAAGCAGAGAGCAGAAGGGTGGCTACAGAGCTGCAAGCTGGGGAGACCCTGGGTCAAAGGGTACAAAATTTCAGTTAGACAGAGATCTATCTATGATACAGTGACTGTACAACAGTGACTACAGTTGATAACAATGTATTGTATTCTTGAAAATCATGAAGAGTAGATTTTTAGGGCTCTTATCACAAAAACTAAGGATGTAAGGTAACTTATGTTAATTAGGTTGTTTAGCCATTCCACAATAGATATGCATTTCAAAACATTGTGGAGTACGTGAAAAACAGATACAATTTTGATCAACTAAATAATTAATTTTTACAAATAAGGCCATTAGAGTGATCCTTAAACCAATCTGACTAGTATCCTTATAAGAGAGGGAAATTTGGATGCAAAAAGAGACACCAAGGACACGTGCACAGAGGAAAGAGCATGGGAGGACACGGGGGAAAGGCCATCTGCAAGCCAAGGAGAGCAGCCTCAGGAGAAGCCAAACCTGTCGGCACCTTGATCTTGAACTTCCTGCCTCTGGAGATGTGAGAAAATACATTTATGTGTTTAAACTACCCAGACTGTGGTATTTAGTTATGATGGTCCTAGCAAACTAATATAATTATTAATCAAATTATTAATACAAATATCACTATTATTATGTCCTACCAATACAATATGAAAGGCAAAACAATGTAACAATAAAGTACATAGACTGTGAAATGAAACTGACTGGGTTCCATCCAGTCTCAGCCCTACCCTTTATTAGCTATGGGACCTATGTCAGCCTCCCAGCAATGTCCACATCCATGTACACACACATATACAGGTCACTTACAATGCTGCTGGTATACATGCTATGACTCACTTAAATTCTTTGCCCCCAACTTCCCCTAACCTAACAGAGTGGTCTTAAAACCCAGATTTTTGCTTAGGATTGTCTTGGCTATACAGACTCTTTTTTGGTTCCATATGAAATTTAGTTTTTTCTAATTATGTGAAGAAAGTCAATGGTAGCTTGATGGGAGTAGCAGTAAATCTATAAATTACTTTGGGCAGTATGGCCATTTTCACGATATTGATTCTTCCTATCCATGAGCATGGAATGTTTTTCCATTTGTTTGTGTCCTTTATTTCCTTGAGCAGTGGTTTGTAGTTCTCCTTGAAGAGGTCCTTCACATCCCTTGTAAGTTGTATTCCTAGATATTTTATTCTCTTTGTAGCAATTGTGAATGGGAGTTCACTCATGATTTGGCTATTATTGGTGTGTAGGAATGCTTGTGATTTTTGCACATTGATTTTTGTATCCTGAGACTTGGCTAAAGTTGCTTATCAGCTTAAGAGGCTTTTGAGCTGAGACGATGGGGTTTTCTGGATATAGGATCATGCCATCTGCAAACAGAGACAATTTGACTTCCTCTCTATTTGAATGCCCTTTATTTCTTTCTCTTGCCTGATTGCCCTAGCCAGAACTTACAATACTATGTTGAACAGGAGTGGTGAGAGAGGGCAACCTTGTCTTGTGTTGCTTTTCAAAGGGAAGTCTTCCAGCTTTTGCCCATTAAGTATGATATTGGCAGTGGGTTTGTCATATATGGCTCTTATTATTTGGAGGTATGTTTCTTCAATACCTAGTTTATTTTATTTTTTTTTATTTTTATTTTTTTCGTTTTTTTTTTTTTTTTTTTTTATACTTTAAGTTTTAGGGTACATGTGCACATTGTGCAGGTTAGTTACATATGTATACATGTGCCATGCTGGTGCGCTGCACCCACTAACTCGTCATCTAGCATGAGGTATGTCTCCCAATGCTATCCCTCCCCCCTCCCCCTACCCCACCACAGTCCCCAGAGTGTGATATTCCCCTTCCTGTGTCCATGTGATCTCATTGTTCAATTCCCACCTATGAGTGAGAATATGCGGTGTTTGGTTTTTTGATCTTGCGATAGTTTACTGAGAATGATGATTTCCAATTTCATCCATGTCCCTACAAAGGACATGAACTCATCATTTTTTATGGCTGCATAGTATTCCATGGTGTATATGTGCCACATTTTCTTAATCCAGTCTATCATTGTTGGACATTTGCGCTGGTTCCAAGTCTTTGCTATTGAGAATAATGCCGCAATAAACATAAGTGTGCATGTGTCTTTATAGCAGCATGATTTATAGTCATTTGGGTATATACCCAGTAATGGGATGGCTGGGTCAAATGGTATTTCTAGTTCTAGATCCCTGAGGAATCGCCACACTGACTTCCACAATGGCTGAACTAGTTTACAATCCCACCAACAGTGTAAAAGTGTTCCTATTTCTCCACATCCTCTCCAGCACCTGTTGTTTCCTGACTTTGTAATGATTGCCATTCTAACTGGTGTGAGATGGTATCTCATAGTGGTTTTGATTTGCATTTCTCTGATGGCCAGTGATGATGAGCATTTTTTCATGTGTTTTTTGGCTGCATAAATGTCCTCTTTTGAGAAGTGTCTGTTCATGTCCTTCGCCCACTTTTTGATGGGGTTGTTTTTTTCTTGTAAATTTGTTTGAGTTCATTGTAGATTCTGGATATTAGCCCTTTGTCAGATGAGTAGGTTGCGAAAATTTTCTCCCATTTTCTTCACAGAATTGGAAAAAACTACTTTAAAGTTCATATGGAACCAAAAAAGAGCCTGCATCGCCAAGTCAATCCTAAGCCAAAAGAACAAAGCTGGAGGCATCACACTACCTGACTTCAAACTATACTACAAGGCTACAGTCACCAAAACAGCATGGTACTGGTACCAAAACAGAGATATAGATCAATGGAACAGAACAGAGCCCTCAGAAATAACGCCGCATATCTACAACTATCTGATCTTTGACAAACCTGAGAAAAATAAGCAATGGGGAAAGGATTCCCTATTTAATAAATGGTGCTGGGAAAACTGGCTAGCCATATGTAGGAAGCTGAAACTGGATCCCTTCCTTACACCTTATACAAAAATCAATTCAAGATGGATTAAAGATTTAAACGTTAGACCTAAAACCATAAAAACCCTAGAAGAAAACCTAGGCATTACCATTCAGGACATAGGCATGGGCAAGGACTTCATGTCCAAAACACCAAAAGCAATGGCAACAAAAGACAAAATTGACAAATGGGATCTAATTAAACTAAAGAGCTTCTGCACAGCAAAAGAAACTACCATCAGAGTGAACAATACCTAGTTTATTGAGAGTTGTTAACATGAAGGGATGCTGAATTTTATTGAAAGCCTTTTCTGCATCTATTGAGATAATCATGTGGTTTTTGTCATTGGTTCTGTTTATGTGATGAATTATGTTTACTGATTCGTGTATGTTGAACCAGCCTTGCATCCAGGGATGAAGCCAACTTGATCGTGATGAATAAGCTTTTGATGTGCTGCTGGATACATACATTTCAGAACTTGTTATTGGTCTATTCAGGGATTCGACTTCTTCCTGATTTAGTCTTGGGAGGGTATATTCCTGTGTCCAGGAATTTATCCATTTCTTCTAGATTCTCTAGTTTATTTGCTTGGAAGTATTTATAGTAGTTTCTGATAGTAGTCTGTATATCTGTGGGATCAGTGGTGATATCCCCTTTATCATTTTTTATTGTGTCTATTTGATTCTTCTCTCTTTTCTTCTTTGTTAGTCTGGCTAGTGGTCCGTTTTGTTAATCTTTTCAAAAAACCAGCTCCTAAATTCATTAACTTTTTGAAGGGTTTTCATGTCTCTAACTCCTTCAGTTCTGCTCTGATCTTAGTAATTTCTTGTCTTCTGACTTCAAACTACACTACAAGGCTACAGTAGCCAAAACAGCATGGTACTGATACCAAAACAGATATATAGACCAATGGAACAGAACAGAGGCCTCAGAAATAACACCACACATCTACAACCATCTGATCTTTGACAAACTTGACAAAAAAAATTAACTCAAGATGGATTAAAGACTTAAACATAAGACCTAAAACCATAAAAACCCTAGAAGAAAATCTAGGCAATACCATTCAGAACATAGGCATGGGCAAAGACTTCATGACTAAAACACCAAAAGCAATGGCAACAAAAGCCACAATTGACAAACGGGATCTAATTAAACTAAAGAGCTTCTGCACAGCAAAAAAAACTATCATCAGAGTGAACAGGCAACCTACATGATGGGAGAAAATTTTTGCAATCTATCCATCTGACAAAGGGCTAATATCCAGAGTCTATGAGGAACTTAAACAAATTTACAAGAAAAAACAACCACATCAAAAAGTGGGCGAAGGTTATGACAGACACTTCTCGAAAGAAGACATTTATGTGGCCAACAAACATAGGAAAAAAAAACCTTATCACCGGTCATTAGAGAAATACAAATCAAAACCATGAGATACCGTCTCATGCCAGTTAAAATGGTGATCATTAAAATGTCAGTAAAAAACAGATGCTGGAGAGGATGTGGAGAAACAGGAACACTTTTACACTGTTGGTGGGAGTGTAAATTAGTTCAACCATTGTGGAAGACAGTGTGGTGATTCCTCAAGGATCTAGAACCAGAAATACCATTGGACTCAGCAATCCCAGTACTGGGTATATACCCAAAGGATTATAAATCATTCTACTATAGACACATGCAGACGTATGTTTACCGCGGCACTACTCACAATAGCAAAGACTTGGAACCAACCCAAAGGCCCATCAACGATAGGCTGGATAAAGAAAATGTGGCACATATAAACCATGGAATACTATGTAGCCATAAAAAAGGATGAGTTCATGTCTGTTGCAGGGACATGGATGAAGCTGGAAACCATCATTTTCAGCAAACTAACACAGGAACAGGAAACCAAACACCATATGTTCTCACTCATAAGTGGGAGTTGAGCAATGAGAACACATGGACATAAGGAGGGGAACATCACACACCCGGGCCTGTCAGGGCGTGGGAGGCTAGGGGAGGGATACCATTAGGAGAAATACCTAATGAGAATGACAGGTTGATGGGTGCAGCAAAGCACCATGGCACATGTATACCTATGTAACAAACCTGCACATTCTGCACATGTATCCCAGAACTTAAAGTATAATAATAATAATAATAATAATAATAATAATCAGATTTGATCTTGTTTCCACTGTCCTCAGGATTAAACACAAAACCTTCAAACACATCATACTGAGCCCTTCACAACTTGATTCCTACTTATCTCTGCCCTCTGATAAATTGCAATCCTCCCCACAAATCTCCCCATGAAAAATACATTGTAACCACAACCAACCTAGTTCCTCCAACAGACTGTCTCCCTATTCCTGGGCTTTTATCTATTTTCTTTGCTCCCCTCGCTCCTCTATGAAAATCCTTCACTAAGGTCTCATCACATTCAAGGGGAAACAAAAATCCATCAATAGACCATGGCCAGGAACTCACTAATTCAAATTTGGCATCAATACCCAGATTGTCCAAAACTTAGACTTTAAACATTGATTTATACAACAAAGGATGTTCACTACCTAAGTATTCTGTCAATCTTTAAGCCAAATAAGGTGACAGAAAATATTATAATATCACTACAGCCACTCAGGAGGAAAATCTATGAATTCTGAGTTTAGAGTGAATGATATCCCATTTGTATACCTCTCTTTTCTGTTTGCTGTAGGTATAATTTTCACTGTATTTTTTTAAGTGTTAAGTAGTTGTCTATTCGTGTAACTGCAAACAGCAGAGAAAGACACGCTTTTCAGAACACAAGTCTCGGCATTTTTAAGGAGAGTGCTCCTGCGGTCTCATTATTCTGCCAGTTAATTGACAGGACAGAACGTCCTAATTGCTTATTAACTCTGACAGTGTCCCCCTAGCCTGGTGGCAAGGTCTAAGAGACACAGAACGCACAGCAATTGTACAACCGCTGCTCCTCTAGGGGCACAGAGCCTCAGGTTCAAGCAGCTACAAAACAGCAGATGTTTTTATTTTCGTTTTAAAAAATCCTATCTACAATAGAGTAGAATTTGGTAGTAGGTTATTTTCTCCTTAGAGTAATAAGATGAACCACACTGCTGATTAAGTATTATTTGCTTGGGCCAAAACATCCTGCACAGCCATTGCATATGGAAGTCATCCTTGGTTTAGATTGAATCTGCCAAAATGACAACTGATTTAAGAGGCACTCAGTGGTCTTTCACTTCCCCCTGTCGCTACCACCAGCAAGACTATACTGAGCAAAGGCATAACAGAAACAAGCTGTCAACACAGGCCAATGGCCTGTCAACAATGGCCACTTGGATCCCTTCCTCAGAGCACACAGAGAAATCCAGAAGTCCACTGCACAGGTGGGCCTACAGACCAAGAAGCACTGTTTATGTGGTTTTGTAATACATAAAACTTTAAAATAACAATGAGCAAATAATGAAGGCTACCAAAGGGGGATGAAATGCAGCATAACCTGACAAATGTCACAATCTCAAAGTTATATGCAAAATAGGCCTTACTAGGCCTGCGTTATGTAAGTCAGGGACTTATTTCCCTCCTCTCCAAAAAGCATGCTCTAGACAATAGTAAATTACTTGAGGTTTAAAATTTATCTTTGTCATAGCACAGTGTGCAAAAGAAGGGCCTTACTAACCCCCAGAGACCCAGCTTATTTAAAGACACAATGAAGAGAGTAGGTGTTCTATATAGATGTCACTTCTAGAGTACACTTATTAAACACTATCTCCTGTAATGTCCATGGGCTACATTTTATTTTAGCATCACGCTAGCCAGAAGCAAGTGGTTCCCTTTTAGACTCATTGAGTTGAAAATCAAAAACTACTGGGCTTTGGATTGTTCTGGTTTGATCTGTAAAGAATCCCGATGCAATGATTCAAGAGTCACCTCATATCATGATTTGTTTCACCTGTCTCCTATGACTGCACACTCAGGCCATCTGCAATTTTTCCAAAGCAAATAATTAGAGTGTAATTTTAATCAGTTTAATATTTATAGTAATCTTTATACTTTTGCACAATTTGGGCCAGGTATCTATTAAGGAGATCTTTGGTCCTCTGATTGAGATTAGTGAAGATACACAAATACGTGACTCTCACATCTGGCTCTCCATAACTAAGTACAACACGATTATAGTTTTGAATCACTGGAGAACTGCCATGAGATGACACTAGACCACCTTGAGGCTGTTTGTGACTGTATAATAAATGGAAACCAACATATGACTCTTGGTTTTTCTCACCAGCAACACAACACAATATAATGGATGGGAGAATGGGTATAACTGTAAGATTGTTTAAGAGAGGCAGAGCGGACAACAGCGGAAATTCTCATGTGAATAATTCCCACTAATAAGTAACTGGAGTAATGGGAAATAGCTCAACATAAAATTGTGATGTCTTAAGGCACACTTAATGCAAGCACATTTATTCTTTTCTATTATGAATCATTTCTTTTCTAAAAGGAAAACTATTAAAGACAAATTAAGTTCTATTTAAATTAACAATGCAAATATCCTTAATTCAAATGTCACTAATATTTAAAAATTAAAAAAAATCCAAACCAAACAAACAAAAAAAACTTAGCTAAACATATATGAATAGATAAAGACAAAAGTAAGATAATTGTCATTGCTATCTCTGTAAATAATGCAGTCTTTTTAATTTAGCAAAGAATTATCAATAGTGGCCACACATACCTCTGAGTTTTCAGTTTTCTGAATTCAAGATGATCACAACGGCTGGGCACGGTGGCTCACGCCTGTAATCCCAGCACTCTGGGAGGCCAAGGCGGGTGGATCATGAGGTCAGGAGATCAAGACCATCCTAGTTAACACGGTGAAACCCTGTCTCTACTAAAAATACAAAAAATTAGCCGGGTGTGGTGGCGGGCACCTGTAGTCCCAGCTACTCAGGACGCTGAGGCAGGGAGAATGGCATGAACCCGGGAAACAGAGCTTGCAGTGAGCCGAGATCATGCCACTGCACTCCAGCCTGGGTGACAGAACGAGACTCTGTCTCAAAAAAAAAAAAAAAGATGATCACGACAGCCAATCTAACTCCAAGAATACAAACATCCTCCAGCTAAGTTACATGGGCCAATTATATGACAGGCTACAGACTTACAAGAAAACCATGTTAATCTCTACTTAGTTAACTGACAATTCAGTAGCAGCCTAGATATACTTTTTCTGAGGAGGCTATAATATTGTATAACGTAAAAAGTGTCCCAACTAGGAATAGAGACATCTGGCCCTCTAATCTGATATTTACCACTTAGAATGTGACCCTGAAAAAGTCATTTGATTTCTCTGTGCCTCTGCCTCACAATCTAAAACAATGAAAATAATTTAAAATATTTATTTTATAGGGTTCTGCGTGGGTAAGTGAATCTTCTCAGCATAGTCATTACCACCTAATACTCATTAACCTGGAAGGAATTTCACCAAAATATTTACAGTGCTTTCCTCTAGGTGCCTGTGTTATGGGTATGTGCATGGATATAACCCAAATGCGAAGTGGCTTTTCTATGTTTGGTGAAATTATAGATTACTTTTTTGACTTCTTGCTGGTTTGTATTTTCCATAGTGTATAAATATTACTTTCAAAATCAAAACAAATGCTAGACAACATCTAAAAGACCAGAATAGATGAGCTCAAGTACCATTTTCATCTCTCTCAGGCTCTCAGCATGGTCCACCTTGGGACTACTTGGAATTCAGGTGGGATTTCTAGAAAAGTCAATTCCCATAGCAAAACAAAACCCGAACTGCACGCTCATCACAGCACGCATATAACAAGTGTTAACACACATATATCAGAACTGTTTCTCACACTTCATCACCTACTTGTCTCCTACACCTCCAAAGGCCAGGTGGACTTGCCCCTGCCAGCAGGAAAAGGGCTGAGAGTCCATTTGCAGTCAAGCCCAGAAGGCTGAAGGCCGATGGAGAAGTGCACTTGAGGTTCAGCTCTAGGGAGACTCATGGGAGCCCTAGAAAATGTGAGTCCAGGCCGGTCGGGGTGGCTCACGCCTGTAATCCCAGCACTTTGGGAGGCTGAGGCGGGTGGATCACCTGAGATCGGGAGTTTGAGACCAGCCTGGCCAACAGAAACCCCATCTCTACTAAAAACAAACAAACAAACAAACAACAACAAAAAAGCTTTGCTGGGCATGGTGGTGCATGCCTGTAATCCCAGCTACTAGGCGGGCTGAGGCAGGAGGATTGCTTGAACCTGAGAGGTGGAGGTTGCAGTGAGCCGAGATCATGCCACTGCACTCCAGCCTGGGCAATAGAGCGAGATTCCATCTCAAAAAAAAAAAAAAGGAAAAAGAAAATGTGAGTCTAATCTAGCACTTTCCAGAGAGGTTCTGACTCCCAGGCTGCCCACAGACCAACCTAGGGAACCAACCTACTTCACATCTGTATTCCTAGGGCAGGACACTGTCAATAGTAATCCTGGTCACAGTTAATGGGCCAGTATACTGTGACAGAGAATTAAGCCTCTTGTTTTCTCTGTTTCCTGATCTGAAACCAACGTGTCAGATATGATGACCTCTAAGTTTGCTTTCAGTGCTAGCATATTACAGTTCTATTTGAAAACAGTACTGCCTATCTCACTCTCCATCATCTATCTACTTTAGAAACAATTTGAATTACTTTTTAATTAAAATTTTTAATGAATTATAATAATCATATATAATTGTGGGCATATAATCATGTCATGAGATACACACACACACACAAGCAAATAAATTAAGCAAATGATCTTAGTAATATATCCCTTCCCAAGACTTAAATGGCAGTTATACACCTAATATTTTTAACAACGTGGCTCTTTATAAATACCAAAAGAGACAATTCATAATTGAAGATATAAATATTAAGACAAAGCCTTTTAAAATGTTACAGACATGTTTGATGCGTACAATTAGATAGTTTCTTTTGGTGTGCAGAAGCTCTTTTAGATCCTTTTTTCAAGCGTCACTTTTGTTGCAACTGCTTTTGGCATCTTCATCATGAAATCTTTGCCCATAACTACGTCCTGAATGGTACTGCCTGAGGTATTGCACCAGCCTGATCGAATCCCAACAATTGCCTAGGTTTTCCTCTAGGGTTTTTACAGTTTTTGGTTTTACATTTAAGTCTTTGATCCATCTTGAGCTGATTTTTTTATAAGGTGTAGGGAAGGGGTCCAGCTTTAGTCTTCCACATATGGCTAACCAGTTCTCCCAGCACCATTTATTAAATAGGGAATCCTTTCCCTATTGCTTTTGTCAGTTTTGTCAAAGATCAGATAGTTGTAGGTGTACACAGTCTTATTTCTGGGTTCTCTATTCTGTTCCATTGGTCTATGTGTCTATTCTTGTGCCACTACCATACTGTTTTGGTTACTGTGGCCCTGTAGCATAGTTTGAAGTTGGGTAGTGTGATGCCACCAGCCTTGTTCTTTTTGCTTAGGATTGCCTTGGCTATTTGGGCTCCTTTTTGGCTCCATATGAATTTTAAAGTAATTTTTTTCTAGTTCTGTGAGAAATGTCAATGGTAGTTTAATGGGACTAGCATTGAATCTATAAACTGCTTTGGGAAGTGTGACCATTTTCATGATATTGATTCTTCCTATCCATGAGCATGGAATGCTTTTCCATTTGTTTGTGTCCTCTCTGATTTATTTGAGCAATGGTTTCTGGTTCTCCCTCTGGAGGTCCTTCACTTCCCTTGTTAGCTGTACTCCTCGGCATCTGTAGCAACTGTGAATGGGAGTTCATTCGTGATTTGGCTCTCAGCTTGTCTGTTGTTGGTGTATAGGAATGCTAGCAATTTGTGCACATTGATTTTGTATCCTGAGACTTTGCTGAAGTTGCTTATCAGCTTAAGAAGCTTTTGGGCTGAGACGACGGAGTTTTCTGGATATAGGATCATGTCATCTACAAACAAAGATAGTTTGACTTCCTCTCTTCCTAAATACCTTTTATTTCTTTCTCTTGTTCGATTGCCCTGGCCGGAACTTCCAATACTATGTTGAATAGGAGTGGTGAGAGAGGGCTTCCTTGTCTTGTGCCAGTTTTCAAAGTGAATGCTTCCAGCTTTTGCCCATTCAGTATGATATTGGCTGTGGGTCTGTAATATATGGCTCTTATTATTTGGAGGTATGTTTCTTCAATACCTAGTTTATTGACAGTTTTTAACATGAAGCGATGTTGAATTTTATTGAAAGCCTTTTCTGCATCTATTGAGATAATCAAGTGATTTTTGTCTTTAGTTCTGTTTGTGTGATGAATTATGTTTATTGATTTGCAAATGTTGGACCAGCCTTGCATCCAGAGATGAAGCCTACTTGATCCTGATGGATAAGCTTTTTGATGTGCTGCTGGATTTGGTTTGCCAGTATTTTGTTGAGGATTTTTGCATTGATGTTCATCAAAGATATTGGCCTAAAATTTTCCTTTTTTGTTGTATCTCTGCCAGGTTTTGGTATCAGGATGATGCTGGACTCATAGAATGAGTTAGCAAGGAGTCCGTTTTTTTTTTCTTTCATTTTTTTGTAATAGTTTCAACAGGAATGGTACCAGCTCTTCTTTGTATCTCTGATAGAATTCAGCTGTGAATCCGTCTGGTCCTGGGCTTTTTGTGGTTGGTAGGCTATTTATTACTGCTTCAATTTCAGAACTTGTTATTGGTCTCTTCAGGGATTCAATTTCTTCCTGCTTCAGTCTTGGAAGGGTGTATGTACATGAATTTATCCATTTCTCCTAGATTTTCCAATTTACTTGCATAGAGGTATTTATAATATTCTCTGATTATTGTTTGTACTTCTGTGGGGTCAGTGGCAATATCCCCCTTATCATTTCTGATTCTGCACAGCAAAAGAAACTATCAACAAAGTGAACCAACTACAGAAGGGAAGAAAATTTTTACAAACTATGCATCTGATAAAGGTCTAATATCCAGCATCTATAAGGAACTTAAACAAATTTACAAGAAAAAAACAACCCCATTAAAAAGTGGGCAAAGGACATGAAAAGACACTTTTCGAAAGAAGACATACATGTGGTGAAAAATCTATGAAAAAAACCTCAACATCACTGATCATTAGATAAATGCAAATCAAAACCACGAGATACCATCTCACATCAGTCAGAATGGCTATTACTAAAAAGTAAAAAAATAACAGCTGCCGGCGAGATTGTGGAGAAAAAGGAATGCTTTTACACTGTTGGTGGGAATGTAAATTAGTTCAGCCATTGTGGAAGACACTGAGGTGATTCCTCAAAGACCTAGAAACAGAAATACCATTCAACCCAGCAATCCCATTACTGGGTATACACCCATAGGAATATAAATTGTCCTATTATAAAAACACATGCACGTGTATGTTCACTGCAGCACTATTCACAATAGGAAAGACATGGTATCAACCCAAATGCCCATCAATGATAGACTGGATAAAGAAAATGTGGTACGTATACACCATGTAATACTATGCAGCCACAACAAAACCGAAATGATGTCTTGTGCAAGGACATGAGTGAAGCTGGAGGCCATTATCCTTAGCAAACTAACGCAGGAACAGAAAACTTAATACCGCATGTTCTCACTTATAAGTGAGAGATAAATGATGAGAACGCATGGACACACGGAGATGAATAATGCACAATGGTGCCTATTGGAGGGTGGAGGGCAAGAGGAAGAAGAGGACCAGGAAAAATAGCTAGTGGATTATAGGCTTAATACCTGGGTGGTAAAATAATCTGTACAACAAACCTCCATGACACACGTTTACATATTTAACAAACCTGCATTTCCTGCACATGTACCCCTGAACTTAAAATAAAAGTTAAAAAAAGAAAGGAATTAGAAAGGCTCAAATTAAAAAAGAACAAAATTTTATTCACTGAAAATATCAACTATTGAGTTTATAAAACAAAGTCTAGTGTCTGCAGCTCAAAAAGCGGGTACTATTTTATTTTTTAGTACAGATACATAGTATAAAAACTTGTTCACACCCTCAAGTTTTGTTGAATGAGAACATAAGATTGATTGCTATTGTAAAGTACTGTCTGATGTATCTTTTCCAAATTAATACATTTTTATAAAAATCACAAGAGTTTGTGAATCAGGCCTAGAAAGTAAGTTTTCTTCAATTATATGTGATCTCATTAAATACAGAATATACACATCAAAAACTTCTGAGGCTAAAAATTATATGAATAACTTGAGTATCTAAATCACTGTATTATAATCAACTTCGTTTTCTGTAAATTCTTTCATAACTTAGGGAATCATGGTTGCTGAAGTAGAGAATGTCACATATTGATAAGTAAAGCAATGACCTCACTTGAAGTCAAAAGTTACTATATCTCTTTCCTAAATCTAATATATTGCTTAGCTTAACTGAAATAGGTCATTTAAATCGCTTGTCATTTGGCAGAAAGAAGAATATTTTTACCTTGATAGTAATGAACAAGATTTATTCATTTCTATAGCCTACAGTACTTAACCGCCTAAAATGCTGACACATATGAAGGGCTCAAATAAGGTTCTGTTGAGTAGCAGAATGAATGACGGTACTGAGCAACATCATGAGTGTGCAAAGAAATATTTCTGAAATCATTAAGATTTGGTAGCCCAAAACGTAGTCTCCATCAGTTGTGGGGGATATGGGTAGAATTAATTCATTACATTTTTCTTTACGCTTTTATTGTTAAATCTTCTCATCAGCATCCAAATAATGCCTTTCAATAAATGATTATTATGGGGGTAGGTGGTAGAGAAAAGATTACATATAAATTAATTCACAGATAACTAGTAAGGTCAGTTTCCCAAACATTTAAATTCCATGTATCTCTCTCTCTCTTTTTTAAAGCAATGGCTGGGCTTCAGTTAATATTTTAAATTATTGAACCTAATTTCATAGATTTGAAAAAGTATAGGTAGATATAAGTACAATCTAAGATATAAGTACAATTTTATAGCACTGTAAATGTAGATATAACCACAATCTAGATATAAGCACAATCTGTTGTAAAATTTCACATCTAGATACATTCTCAAATATCAAACTTTTATTCACTGAAATGAAAACCTTCAATACACACAGCAGCAAGTAAGAATCAGTAATCTAAAGCAAGTGTTGTTTTGCATTGAAATTGCTTTTAGACAATCTGGCAGATGGTACTTTTTTATTACATAGAAAGTTTTCCTGGGGGAGAACATACCAAATTACTTTTTAAAAAAAAGAAGTTAAGTGGTCACACAGAATTAGTCGTACATCTCTGTCCTGGCTATAATGTTTCTGCTATGCCAAGCAAGGCAGCAGTGAAAATTTGCATACATTAAAAATTGCCAATTGCATTATGCCTGCACTGGGCCAATAAAGGCTTGTATAATCACGCAACTGAATAAGGTACTACCATCTAATACATGTGTTTATCAAGTTAGATCTGCTTTATATAGCTGTTTGAATTTATCTTTCAGAGATCTTTCATCTGTAAGCCCTGAGACCTGTATGTCAAAAACTCACATTCCTGACATCTCCCAAAACTCCCATCTCTTTTTAGCTATGTTCTCCTCAGAATCATGGAACTGGAAGAGACTCTGAAGCATAACCAATTCGATTCCTTCATTATAAAAAAAAAAAATAAAACTGAGATCTGATCAGATTCAGTGACTCACAGCACAAATAAAGTTAGTTAATGGTTATGCTAGGAATGAAACTCAGGTCACTGAAATTCCCATCGTTTTTTCTTTGTAACACACCATCAAAGATGAAAAGAACATCAACATAATTTATCCAATTCTTTACAAAAATTGCCACACAGTAAGACAAATAAATGTTACTTTTACATACCTTGATGTTGCATCAGAAAAAAGAAAAATGTACAACTTAATTAAATAAATTATCTCCCCTTTTTAACTTAAAGCGTATCTCAATTGGTCCCTATGAATATATGATTGCTCATAAACAGGATTCAAAGGGATCATTAAATGCTCTGTTAACAAAGCACTACATATTAATTTGAAATCTAAATATTTTTTCTAATATGGCTTTCCCGGTTTTTACATCTAGAGACTAAGAAACAAAGCAGCAATCAGTTTCATTCTCAAGCCAAGACTTTTGTAGTATATTCCACCATAGTTTCATATATGCTACCTAGCAACCTCAACTGTGTAGTGCAGAGCTGGGGGTGACAATTCTGCTTGATTTTTTCACAAGACAGCCAAAGTGTGATTGTGGCCATTTGCCTTTCAGAAGAATCTAAGAAAAGAAGCACAAGTTACTCCACATGTCAGTAAGGATTTCCGGCTTCAACCAGTACCCATGCTGCACGCTGGCAGATAGAAATTGAAAAGGACAGAGCTTTGTACCCAGCACCAACTTAACCTGGTGGCAGGCTATTTAAAAAAAAAAAGAAAAGAAAAAGGCATAAATTATGCACAGAGGGATGTGGGGTTGGGGGAGAAAAAAAATGCAAGGAGCTAATGTTCCTAGTTGGCATCTGCCTTTTGACTCAAAGAAAAACATGGCTCCTTTCCAAAATTTTTCTATTACTGTGGTATCAGCTGCCTCTTGGATTCATTTATAAAAGCTGAGACTGCCAACAGAACAAGACAAGATTTTTGTTAGTAGTAGTAAATGTTCAAGCCCCTTGAAATAATATAAATTTCAATATTTCTTCTACAAAGGCAACTTAGGCATTATTATTCCTGGCATGATCTTTAGGACTTGTAATTATGGCCAGGTACTATTATGAAATACGATAATAGCAAATTCTGAGGTTAAAAGTTGCTAGCTACCTTGATTTTTCAATGTACCCTTACAATTTATTTAACTAAAGAAAAGTTTGAGAGGACAGTCATGCATCACTTAACCACAGGGATATGTTCTGAAAAAATGTGTCATTAGGCAATTTTGTCATTGTGCAGTCATTATAAAGTGTAGTTACACAAACCTACATGGCATAGCCTACTACACATATAGGCTATATGGTATAGCCTATTGCTCCTAGGCTACAAACCTCTATAGCATGTTTCTGTGGTGAATACCATAAGCAAGTGTAATGCAATGGTAAGTATTTGTGTATCTAAACATAGAAAAGGTATAATAAAAATATAGTTTTATAATGTTATGGGACCACTGTCACATATGTGGTCTGTTGCTGAGCGAAACATTATGTAATGCATGACTATAAATAGTACTGGATGTTTCTCTGGGGTACTGGCATTCTTTCTACCAAATGAGCTTGTTAGTGGGTCTTTTCAAAACTCAGTATTATTGGTAACTATTACATTAACTCCTTAGTCTAAAACCTTGGAATCCAAGAGAGATTTACCCAGACTTTTAAAAAGAAACTATAGTTTCTATCTATTTCATGATGGAAAAATCCTCTTTATGTAAGAAAACAAAATTGATAAATAGTATGCAAGAAATGATAATTCAAACCCCAGTGAAGAATAAGGAATGCTCCTAGCTTCCTCTTGGGATGTAGAAAGCTGGAAAGGGCATCACTTTCATCCTTATAAAAAACATAAATGCTACATAATCCTTAAATTAACTTGTTTTTTTTAATTGGGCAGCCTCCCAAGCCAGAGTAGGCTCAGAGAGACTACCTAATAACTTTTCTTGAACCCATCAAAGACCTGAGGTAGCAGATCAGCCAACTAAACAAATATAAATCTAAAATGACACATGAGCACTTCCTCACCTAGGACAGTCTCTGCTGGACACCAGTGAAAAAATTTCGGCCAAATTGTAAGAAGATTGGTAAAGGCTGACTGTAAGCCAGCAAGGGAACCCAGAATCCCCGGAGGGCTATGATATAAAGAAATTCACACCCACTTTCAGGTTTTCTCAGAACCTCATCTGGTCTCACAAGAGAGACTAGGGAGAGTCCAGAGAAAGCATCCTTTATCACTATGGTACAGTCCTGTGGGAAAAGAACAGCACCCACTCCAGGAAATGTATGAAAGGCTGCCCAGATCCTTCTCCCCTAGATAGCCTATGGAATAATGCCTTACATGCCTGAAAGAAGAGCAAAAACCACTGAGAGGGTTTGGATGTGCCCCCACCCAAATCTCATCTTGAATTGTAATCCTCATAATCCCCACACGGTGGTAATTAGATCACAGGGGCGGTTTCTTCCATGCTGTTCTCGTGATAGTGAGTGAGGTCTCATGAGATCTGATGGTTTTATAAGCCTCTGGCATTTCCCCTGCTTGCACTTACTCTGTCCTGCCACCCTGCGAAGAACGTGCCTGCTTCTCCTTTGCCTTCCACCATGATTGTAAGCTTCTTGAGGCCTCCCCAGCAATGTGGAACTGTGAGTCAATTAAACCTCTTTTCTTTATAAATTACTCTGTCTCAGGTATTTCTTCATAGCAGTGTGAGAACGGACTAGCAGAACCACCATTTCCCTTGGGGAGCTAGTGAAAACATATGGCAACTTTAAGAAGGGAAAAGGAAGAAAAATAAAACATACCCTCTAAATCCGGGGGAGGGGCAAGAACACTGAGAAGGCCATACTGCCAAACCCAGGGGCACAGTAACTGCTTAAGACTAAGGCTTAATCAGGACATACCCATAACTTGCCTCTCACCACCAGACTACAAAGCATAGAGCAACAAGTAATTGCACTATACTACCGGGAGAGGGACAAGGGAGTGGAAGGAGAACCTATCCGAGTCACAGCACAAAACGAGGACCTGAAACTGAAGTTCAAGCAGATACCGAGAAAAACCCTCTGGTAAATCATGCCCATCCTTAAAATAAGGTGATGGTAAAGGAATTTGAAGTCTTTGATGTGTCCAGAGTAACTATTGCAACAATAGGTATTCAGTATTACTCATAATTATCACAGGTAATTCAAAATACTAACAGAATTCATTAAATCGAGGAGACAATCAGTAGGGATACAGAAGTCCTAGAAAAAACTATCAGCTAAGTTCATCTAAATAACATTTAAATAGAACATTCTATCCAACAACAGCAGAATACACATTCTTTTCAGGTGCACGTGGCATTTTTACCAGGATGAAGTGTAATACAGCACAACCAGGTGAGATTTATCCTGGGAATGCAAAACTGCTTTGGCTTTGAAAATCAAAGTAATATAGTATGCTAATAAAAAAGAAAAACTATATAATCGTCTCAACAGATAGAGAAAATATTTTTAAAATAGCAAACCTCATCCTACAAAAAAACATAAAATACTTAGGTATAAATCTAAGAAAACATATGGAGGATCTGCATGTTCGAAACTATAAAACACTGGTCAAAGAAATCAAAGAAGACCTAAGTACATGGAGAAATATACCATATTCATGGATTGAAAAACTCATTGTTGTTAAGATGTTAATTTTTCCCAAACTGATCTATAAAGTCAAAATCTTGGGATTTTTTTTTTCAGTAGATATCAACAAGCTTCTTCTGAAATTCATGCAGAAAGGCAAAAGATCTAGAATACCCAAAGTAATTTTAAAAAAGAACTAAGAGGATCCATGCTATCTGATTCCAGGATTGATTATACAGCAAAAGAAATCAAATCATTTAGTATTGGTGAAGGACAGATTTCCACATAGATCAATGAAAAAAATACAGAAAGTCCAGAAATAGATTTTCAATTTTTTTTATTTCAGTAGCTTTAGGGGTACAAGTAATTTTTAGTTACATGGATGAATTGTATAGTGGTGAAGTCTGAGATTTTAGTGCACTCATCACCCAAGTAGTGTACATTGTATCCAATATGTAGGCTTTTTAATCTCTCACCCCTTTCTCACCCTTTCCCCTTCTGAGTCTCAAAAGTCTGTTAAACCACTCTGTATGTCTTTGCATACTCATAGTTTAGCTCCCACTTATAAGTGAGAACATATGGTATTTGGTTTTCTATTCCTGAGTTATTAATACTTAGAATATTGGCCTCCAGCAGCCCCATCTAAGTTGCTGCAAAAGACATTATTTCATTCTTTTTTATGGCTGAGTAGCATTCCATGGTGTATATATATCACATTTTCTTTACTCATTGGTTGATGGACACTTGTTTCCGTATCTTTGCAACTGTTAACTATGCTGCAATAAACATATGCATGCAGGTGTGCATAATGACTTCTTTTGATATAATGACTTTTCCTTTGAGTAGATAATCAGTGGTGGGAATGCTGAATCAAATGGAAGATCTACATTTAGTTCTTTGAAGAATCTCTGTACTGTTTTCCATAGAGGTAACTAATTTACATTCCTACCATCAGTGTATAAGCATTCCCTTTTCCCCACATTCACACTAACATCTATTGCTTTTTGACTTTTTAGTAATGGCCACTCCAGTTGGGGTAAGGTAGTATCTCATATTGTGGTTTGAATTTGCATTTCCCTGATGATTAGTGATGTTAAGCATTTTTTTCATACGTTTCTTGGTCATTTGTATGTATTATTTTGAGGAATGTCTATTCATGTCATTTGCCCAGTTTTTGACAGGTTTATTTTTTTTTCTTGTTGATTTGTTCGAATTCATTGTAGATTCTGGATATTAGTCCTTTGTCAGATACATAATTTGCAAATATTTCCTCCCATTCTGTGGGTTGTATTTTACTCTGATAATTATTTCTTTTGCCATGCAGAAACTTAATTTAACTGGCTCCCATTTATTTATTTTTGTTTTTGTTGCATTTGCTTTTGGGGTCTTAGTCATAAATTCTTTGCCTAGGCCAATGTCCAGGGAAGTTTTTCCTAGGTTTTCTTCTAGAATTCTTATGGTTTCAGGTCTTAAGATTTAAGTCTCTAATTGATTTTAATTTTTTATATGGTGAGAGATAGGGATAGTTTCATATTCTGCATGTGGCTGTTTTCCCAGCACCATTTATTGAATAGGGTGTCCATTCCTCAATTAATGTTTAAGTTTTGTTGAAGATCAGCTGGTTTTAAGTATTTGGCTTTATTTCTGGGTTCTCTATTCTGTTCCATTGGTCTTTGTATCGACTTTTACAGCAGTACCATGCTGTTTTAGTTACTACATCCTTGTAGTGTAATTTGAAGTCAGGTAATGTGATGCCTCTGGATTGTTCTTTTTGCTTCGGACTGCTTTGGCATTCAGGCTCTTTTTTGGTTCCATATGAATTTTTGGGTTATTTTTTACATTTCTGTGAAAAACAGTGTTAGTATCTTGATAGGAATTGCATTGAATATGCAGATTGCTTTAGGCATTATGGTCATTTTCATGATATTGATTCTTCCAATACCTGAACATGGGACATACATTTGTTTGTTTGTATCATCTATGATTTATTTGAGTAGTATTTTATAGTTTTCCTTGTAGAGACCTCCTTTGTTAAGTTTATCCCCAGTTTGTTTTGTTTTGTTTTGTTTTTTGTTTTGTTTGTTTGCAGCTATCATAAAAGGGGTTGAGTTTTGGATTTGATTCTCAGCTTAGTGGCTGTTGGTGTGTAGCAGTGCTACTGATTTGTATACATTAGTTTTATAACCTAAGACTTTACTGAATTCATTTATAAAATCTAGGAAGTCTTTTGGAGTCGTCTTTTGGGTTTTCCAAGCATACAATCATATCATCAGCAAACAGAGACATTTTGACTCTCTCTAATTTGAACGTCCTTTCTTTTTCTTGCCTGACTGCTCTAGCTAGGACTTCCAGTAATGTGTTGAATAGAGTGGTGAAAGCGGGCATCCTTATCTTGTTCCAGTTCTTAGAGGGAATTCTTTTCACCTTTTCTCCCATTCAGTATGATATTGGCTGTAAGTCTGTCACAGATAGCTTTTATTTTGTTGAGGTATATTCCTTCGATTCCTAGTTTGTTGACATTTTTTATCATAAATGGATGCTGGACTTTAGCAAATGCTTTTTATGCATCAATTGAGATGATCATATGGTTTTTGTTTTTAATTCTGTTTGTGTGATGAATCACATTTATTGACTTGTGAATGTTGAACCATTCCTGCTACCCTGGGATGACACTCATTTGTTCATGGTAAATTATTGTTTGGATGTGCTGTTGGATTCAGTTTGCTAGCATTTTGTTGAGAGTTTTTGCATCTACGTTCATCAGAGATATTTGTCTGTATTTTTATTCTTTTGTTATGTCCTTTTGTGGCTTTGGTGTCATGGTGATACCGGCTTCATAGAATGAATTAGGGACGATTCCCTCTTTCTCAGTCTTTTGGAATAGTTTCAGTAGGACTGGTACCAATTCTTTGAATGTCTGGTAGAATTTGGCTGTGAATCTGTCTGGCACTGGGTTTTTTTTGTTGGCAATTTAAAAAATTATGGATTCAATCTCACTGGTTGTTATTGGTCTGTTCAGGATTTCTATTTCTTGCTGATTAAAGCTAGGAGGGTTGTATATTTCCAGGGATTTATCCATTTCCTCTAGATTTTCTAGTTTGTATGCATAGAGGTGTTCACAGTAATCTCAAATGGTCTTTTGTATTTCTGTGGTGATGGTTGTAGTGTCTCCATTTTCATTTCTAATTCAGCTTATTTGAATCTTCTCTCTTCTTTTCATGGTTAAGATAGCTAACGGTCTATGATTTTGTTTATCTTTTCAAAGAGCCAACTTTCTGTTTCATGATCTTTTTTGTTGTTGTTGTTGTTGCAATTTCTGTTAATTCTGCTCTGATCTTTGTTATTTTTTTTCTTCTTCTAGCTTTAGGTTTAGTTGGTTCTCATTTCTCTACTTCCTTGACGTGTGACATTAGATTGTCAATTTGTGATCTTTCAGACTTTCTGATGTAGGCATTTAGCCCTATAAAGTTTCCTCTTAGCACTGCTTTTGCTGTATCCCAGAGGTTTTGATATCTTGTGTCACTATTATCATTTATCTTGAAGAATTATTTAATTTCCATCTTGATATCATTGTTAACCCAAAAATCATAAAGGAGCAGATTTGCTTAATTTCCATGTATTTATATGGTTTTGTGGATTCCTTTTAGAACTGATTTCTAGTTTTACTCTGCAATGGTCTGAGAAGATATCTGATATGACTTCAAGTTTTTTACATTTTCAGAAATAGACTGATGTAAACATATTCAATTGTTATTTGAAAAAAGTACAAAGGCAATTCATTGGAGAACTGATAGTCATTTTTACAAATGGTGCTGAAATATTTGGAAGTCCACAAGCAAAAAACAAACTTTGGTTCATACCTCACATCTTATATAAAAACTAACTCAAAATGGGCTATATATCTAAATGTAAATTTTAAGACCATGGAACTCCTAAAAGAAAATGTAGCAGAAAATCATGGTCTTGGGTTACATCAAAAGATTCTTAGATACAACACTAAATGCTTGACACATTGATAAATTGTGCTTCATCAAAATTATAAACTTTTGTGCCACAAAAGATACTTTTAAGAGAATGGGGGAAAAAGCCACAGACTCAGGGAAAATATTTGCAAATCACCTATCTTATGAAGCGCTTTTATTCAGAATATATAAAGAATTCCCTAAACTCAAAGATAAGAAAACAAACAATCCAATTAAAAGTAGACAAAATAATGGAACAGAAACTTCAGCAAAGAAGATATATAGGTAGTCGATAAACAGAAACATCATTAGTCATTAGAGAAATATAAATGAAAACTGCAACCTCACGCCTATTTGAATGGCTAAGATAAAAACAACTGAAAATACCAAATGCTGGGAGAACCGAGAGCAACTGGAACTCTCATATACTGCCGGCAGGAACGAAAACTGGTACAAACACTTAGGAAAACAGGCAGATTCTTATAAAGTTAAACATAAATTTACCATATATAATCCAGAAACCCTACTCCTATGTGCTTACCTAGGTGACATGAAAACTTATATTTACACAAATTCCGGTACGTAAATTTTTATAGCAGCTTTATTCATAAATGTCAAACCTGGAATCAACCCAAATATCCTTCAACTGGTGAAAGGATTAAAACAAAAAAACAAAAAAACAAAAAAAAACTTCTGGTATATCTATACACTAGAGTATAATTCAACCATAAAAGAAAAAAAATTATCAATATAGTTAATAGAAAGAGATGAATAACAAATAAACTTTGCTCAGGGAAAGAAGTACGACCTCTCAAAGCTAAATACTGTGTGATTTCATTTATATGACATGCTGGAAAAAGCAAAGTTAAGGAGATGGAGAAGAGAACAGTGCTTGTTGAGGATTAAGGGTCAGAGTAGGTTGACTACAAAGGGAGAGTGATGGGTAATTTTCTGGAGTGATACAACTGTGCTGTATCTAGATTGTTATGATAAACCACTCTATACTTCTGTCAAAGCTCACATAAGTGTACACCACACGGAGTAAATTTCACTATAAATTTTAAAGAAATAAAAATATTAACAAGGAACCCAAAGAAATAACTGATAGGTGATCAGTTTTTATACAGAAGTGCATAATACAAGACTAATATTTAGCCTTGTAAAAAAAGATCACCAAAGACTACAAAAACCATTACTTGAAAGGTTTTCAAGTAATTTTTAGGAAACAGGATATTCATATGGTGACATAGTATCACTTCATGTGGAACTTGCAAACAGCAAAGGGAAAAATGTACCTTTGCAACAGAGAGACTTGTCAGTCACTTTCTGAAACTAGTAACCAGGTATTAGTGGTATGGCTTGACACAGTGTATCTCCTGACCTGATGCAATCTGAAGAACACAGTGTTACCTATGACATTTTCTTGCTAAAAATGTGTAACCCAAATCCAATTAATCAAGTCCTCAAATGTAAGTGCCAATATATACAGAAATACACAGAACTAACTATTTAAATACACCACAAAGAAATAATAAGACACCTACCATTCAATGAGACTGGTGTCCTGAAAAATTAAATCATAAAAAGGGCACGGTATGGTTTTTATATTAAAAAGAAATAATCAAATGCAACATCAGAACCTTGAAAACCTGACTATAAAACATACTCTTTGAGAAAATTAGAAAATTTCATATTTGGACTAAATGGTAGGTGTTACTAGGGAATTCCTGCTAATTTTCTTTGATGTGGCCATGATGTTGTAGATAAGTAGCACAATGGCCCTTATTTTTTTTTTTTTTTTATTTACTTAGTAGACACGGGGTTTCACTGTGTTAGCCAGGATGGTCTCGATCTCCTGACATCATGATCCACCCGCCTCGGCCTCCCAAAGTGCTGGGATTACAGGCGTGAGCCATTGCACCTGGCCAATGGCCCTTATTTTTCAAAAGATACACATTGAAGGATTTAGAGGCAAAGTAACAGGATGTCTCCAACCTGTCAGAGGGTTCAGCCCAAACAATTCTAGTTTCTCTCTTCTATCCTCCCTCCCTCTCCTCCTCTTCCCTTTCCCCTCTGAAACACACACACACAAACACACAAACTCTACATTCAAATAAATTTGGGAAATACTGCAAACCATACCTCCTTGAATATCCACAATGACACTGGTATGCTACTTATGATTCTAATTAGCTCTGCAATTAAGAAACCAATTAATTACATATTTCCCAAGCTTATTTGACCACAGAATTTTATTTTGAATGAATGTTTTGAACAGCACACGAAACTAGTTTCAAGGAAACAGGTCTAAAAAGACTCTTGAAGTGCCTTATACAGTAACTAACAATGGCAAAGGAAGCAGCTTTATAAAAATTTATATTAATTTGAATTTTATTTTCCTTTGAAACCATTGTAATTGTCTAAGTGTAAGAATCAAGAAGACATTTGTCAAAGGCCGTTTTCATTTTTTTTTCCTAAGGAAAAATATTTGGTTTGAGTTGGCTTATTTTATAAATTTCTGGCCATATGGTACATACTATTTTGTGCCTTACGTTTTTTCATTCAGCAATTATGTTGTAATCATATTTTCATGCCACTAAATTTTTCAAAAATGTTATTTTTAATAGATGCCTAATATTTCCATTTTACAATGAAACCACAACTGATTTAACCCTTGCACACATTGTTGTGCAAATTTCAATGTATTTAAGTTTTTGTTACTAAATTTAATTAGGGAATCAGTAACTTAAAAACAAATATTGGACCATCTCTCTATTATTTCCTCAGGCTAGATTCCTAGTCAAGGAATCACTGAAGGTAAGCCTCTTGATTATACATTTCCAATGTGTTTTCCAGAAAGGTTATACCAATTTGCATTCATATCAGCAGCATATAGAAATGTCTGTTATCACTACCAACATTAAATGTGGTGAGATGGAGGGAGGTGGAGCAAAACGGCCAAATAGAAAGCTTTACAGATCATCCTTCCCAGAGGAACACCAAACTGAAGAACTATCTGCAGAAAAAATCACCTTCATAAGAACCAAAGATCATGTGAGTGATCACAGTACCTGGTTTTAACTTCACAACACTGAAAGAGGCACTGAAGGGAGAAGGAAAGATAGTCTTGAATTGCCAATGCCACTCCTCATCCATCCCCTGGTAGCATAGACAGAGAATCTGTGTACTTGGGGGAGGGAGAGCACAGTGATTGTGGACATCCCATTGGAACTCAGCACTGCCAGAAAGCAAAACTGGGCAGAACTTAGCCAGCACCCAGGGAGTGAGCATTTAGACCCGCCTAGGCCAGAGGGGAATTGCCCATCCCAGTGGTCAGAACCTGAGTTCCATCAGGCCCTGACACCATGGGCAAAAGTGCTCTGGGGTCCTAAATAAACTTGAAAGGTAGTCTGAGTCACAAGAACTGCAATTCTTGGGTAAGCTCTGGTGCTGTGCTGGGCTCAGAGCCAGTGGACCTGGGGGACATGCCTTCCAGTGAGACATCAGCCGGGACAGCCAAGTCAGTGCTTGTGTTACCCCTCTCCCAACCTCAGGCACTGCAACTCGCAGCTCTGGAAGAGACTATTTCCCAGTGCTTGAGGAGAGAAAACGGAAGAGTAAAGACAAATTTGTTTTGCGACTTGGATACCAGCTCAGCCACAGTAGGATAGGGTACCGAGCAGAGTCCTGAGGCCCCTATTCCAGGCTCTAGTTACCAGACATCATTTCTAGACGCACCCTGGCCAGAAGAAAACCTTCTGCCTTGAAGAGAAAGACTCAATCCTAGCAGGATTCATCACCTGCTGACTAAAGGGCTCTAGGGACCTGAATAGGCCACTGTGGTAAACAGGCAGTACTTACCCCATGGTATCTGGGTGAGACTCAGAGACATGCTGGCTTCAGGTTTGACCCAAGCACATTCCCAATATGGTGGCTTTGGGGAGAGACTCCTTCTGCTTAAGGAAAGAAGTGAGGAAAGTAAAGGGAACTTTGTCTTGCAGCTTAGGTACCAGCTTGGCCACAGCAGGGTAGAGCATCAGGCAGGCTCTTGGGGTACCTGATTCCAGGCCTTGGCTCTTGGAAAGCATTTCTGGACCTGAGCTGGGCCAGAGGGGACCCCACTTCCCTGAAGGGAGAGATTCCCATTAAACAAATTTGGCAAAGAGATTGAAATAATTAAAACAAATCAAGAAGAAATTCTGGAGTTGAAAAATGTAATTGACATACTGAAGAATGCATCACAATTGACCAAGCAGAAGAAAGAATTAATGACCCTGAAGACAGGCTATTTGAAAACACACAGTGAGAGGAGACAAAAGGAATGAAGCACACCTTCAATATCTAGAAAATAGCCCTAAAAGTGCAAATCAAACTGTTACTGGCCTGAAAGAGGATGGAGAGAGAGAGGGATAGAAGTAGAAAGTTTATTCAAAAGGATAATAACAGAACTTTCCAAACCTAGAGAAAGATGTCAATATTCAAGTACAAGACAGTTACAGAACATCAAACAGATTTGACCCAAATAAGACTACCTCAAGACATTTAATAATCAAACTCCCAAAAGTCAAGGAAAAAGAAAGGATACTAAAAACAGCAAGAGAAAAGAAACAAATAACATACAATGGAGTTCCAGTAGTTCTGACAGCGGACTTCAGTGGAAACCTTACAGGCAAGGAGAGAATGGCATGATATATTTAAAGTGCTGAAGGGGAAAAAAAAATTTATCCTATAATAGTATATCCAGCGAAAATATCCTTCAAACATGAAGGCAAAATAAAAAATTTCCCAAGAAAAGCTGAGAGATTTCATCAATGCCAGACATGTCCTACAAGAAATGCTAAAGGGAGTTCTTCAATCTGAAAGAAAAGGATGTTAATGAGCAATAAAAAATCATCTGAAGGTACAAATTCACTGGTAATAGTAAGCCACAGAAAAACAGAATAAAAGGACACACTGTAATTGTGGTGTGTAAACTATTCATATCTTGAGTAGAAAGACTATAAGATGAACCAATCAAAAATAATAACTACAACAATTTTTCAAACGTAAACAGTATAATAAAATATAAGTAGAAACAAAAGCTAAAAACCAGGGGGACAAAGTTAAAGTGTAGAGTTTTTATTCATTTTCTCTTTGCTTGCTTGCTTGCTTGTTTGTTTATGCAATCAGTGTTAAGTTATCAGTTTAAAAAAAGGTCATATTAATTTCAAGCCTCATGGTAATCAGAAATCAAAAAATATACAACAGATACACAAAAAATAAAAAGCAAGAAATTAAAACATACCTCCAGAGAACATCACTCACTAAAAGGAAGGCAGGAAGGAAGGGAAGAGGAAAGGGAAGACCACAAAACAACCAGAAAACAAATAACAAAATGGTAGGAGTAAATCTTTACTAAACAATAATAGCATTAAATGAAAAAAGACTAAATGACACAGAATAGAATGAATATAAGGTCCAATGATCTGTTGCCTACAAGAAACACATTTCACCTATAGAGAATGAAAATACATATAGAGGCTGGGCACAGTGGCTCTCACCTGTAATCCCAGCCCTTTGGGAGGCCGAGGTGGGCGGATCACAAGGTCAGGAGATCGAGACCATCCTGGCTAACACAGTGAAACCCCGTCTCTACTAAAAATACAAAAAATTAGCCGGGCGTGGCAGCAGGCACCTGTAGTCCCAGCTACTCGGGAGGCTGAGGCAGGAGAATGGCGTGAACCCGGGAGGTGGAACTTACAGTGAGCCGAGATCACACCACTGCACTCCAGCCTGGGCGACAGAGTGAGACTCCGTCTCAAAAAAAAAAAAAAAAAAAAAAAGGAAAAAGATACTTAATTCCAGTGGAAACCAGTAAAGAACAGGAGTAGCTATGCTTATATCAGACAAAACAGATTTGAAGATAAAAACTATAAAAAGAGACAAAGAAGGTAATTATATTATGATAAAGGGGTCAGTCAATTCAGTAAGAGGATATATTAATTATAATTATATATGCATCTAACACGGGAGCACCCAGATATATAAAGCAAATATTATTAGAGCTTAAGAGATCGATCGATCCCAATACAATAATAGCTGCAGACTTCAACACCCCAGTTTTAGCAATGGAAAAGTGTTCCAGAAAGATGCTCAACAAAGAAACATAACACTTAATCTGCACTATAGACTAAATGGACCTAATAGATATTTACAGAACATTTCATCCAACAGCTGCAGAACACACATTCTTTTCCTCAGTACATGAATCATTCTCAAGGATAGACTATATGTTAGGCCACAAAAAAGTATATTAAAAAGTTGAAAAAAACTGAAATTATATCAAGTATCATCTCTGACCACAATGGAATAAGATTAGAAATCACTAAAAAGAGGAATTTTGGAAACTAGACAAATACATGGAAATTGAACAATATGTTCCTAAATGACCAGTGGGTTAATGAGGAAATTAAGAAGGAAATTCAAAAATTTCTTGAAGCAAATGATAATACAAACACAACATTCTGAAACCTATGGGATACAGTGAAAGCAGGACTAAGAGGGAAGTTTATAGCAATAGGCGCCTGTATCTAAAAGGTAGAAAAACTTCAAATAACATAATGATTCATCTTAAACCACTGGAAAAGCAAGAGCTAACAAAACGAAAAAATAGTAGAAGAAAAGAAGTAATAAAGAGTAGAACTAAATGAAACGAAAAAAACAATACAAAAGATTCATGACAAAAAGTTGTTCTTTGGAAAACATAAACAAAATCAACACACCTTTAGTCAGGCTAAGAAAAAAGAGAGAAGACCCAAATAAAAATGAGATTAAAAGTAGACATTAAAACCTATTCTACAGAAATTCAAAGGACTGTTAAAGGCTACTATGAGCAACTGTATGCCAATAAATTGGAAAACCTAGAAGAAATGAATAAATTCCTAGACACACACAATTTACCAAGATTAAACCATGAAGAAACCCAAAACCTAAACAAACCAATAAAAAGTAATGAGATTGGTGCCATAATAAAAAATTTCCCAGCAAAGAAAAACCCTGGACCCAATGGCTTCACTGCTAAATTTTACCAAACATTTAAAAAGGAATGAATACCAATCCAACACAAACTATTTTGAAAAACAGAGGCAGAGGGAATACTTCCACACTAATTCTATGAGGCCAGTATTATCCTGATACCAAAACCAGACAAAGATATCAAAGAAAACCACAGGCCAATATCCCTGATGAACATTGATGCAAAGATAATAGCAAATTGAATTCAACATATTAAAAAGATCATTCATTATGACCATTTGGGATTTATCCCAGTGATGCAAGGATGGTTTAACATAAGCAGATCAATCAATGTGGTACACTATATCAACAGATACAAAACCATATGGTCATTTCAACTGATGCTGAAAAAGCACTTGATAAAATTCAACATTCCTTCATGACAAAAAACCCTAAAAAATGAGCATAGAAGGAATACACCTCAACACAATAAAAGTCACATATGACAGACCCACAGCTAGTATCATGTTGAAAGGGGAAAAACAGAAAGCCTTTCCTCTAAGATGTGGAATATAACAAAGATGCACACTTTCACCACTGTTATTCAACATAGTACTGAAAGTCCTAGCTAGAGCAATCAGCCAAGACAAATAAATAAAGGGCATACAAATTGGAAAGGAAGAAGCCAAATTATCTTTGTTTGCAGGTGGTATGGATCTTATATTTGGAAAAACCCACCAAAAAACTATTAAAAGTGATATATAAATTCAGGAAAGTTGCAGGATATAAAATCAACATACAAAAGTCAGCAGCATTTCAATATGCTAACAGCAAACAATCTGAAAAGCCAAGAAAGTAATCCCATTTAAAATAGCTACAAGTAAATACAAGTATTTATTTACAAGTTTTTATTTATTTATTTATTTATTTAAATACAAATATTTAAAATAGCTACAAGTAAAATAAAATGCCTAGGAATTAACTTAATCAAAGAAGTCAAAGATATCTACAATGAAAACTATAAAATATTGATGAAAACATTGAAGCAGACACAAAAAGTGGAAACATATTCCGTGTTCATGGATTGGAAGACTCAATATTGTTAAAATGTCCATACTACCCAAAGCAAACTACAGATTCAATGCAACCCCTATCAAAATACCAATGACATTCTTCACAGAAATAGAAAAAGTAATTGTAATATTTACATGGGACCACAGAAGACCAAGAATAGCCAAAGCTATCCCGAGCAGAAAGAAGCAAACTGGAAGGATCACATAACCCCACTTTGAATTATACTACAAAGCTATAATAACCAAAAGACCATGGTACTGGCATAAAACCAGACACATAGATCAGTGGAAGAGAACAGAGAACCCAGAAACAAATCCATACATTTATGTTGATCTCATTTTCAAAAAAGGTGCCAAGAGAATACACTGGGGGAAAGGACAGTCTCTTCAATAAATACTCCTGAGGGAACTGGATATCCATATGCAGAAGAATGAAACTAGACCCCTATCTCTCACCATATACAAAAATCAATTTGAAATGGATTAAAGACTTACATCTAAGACCTCAAACTATGAGTCTACTAAAAGAAAATGTTGGGGAATCTCTCCAGGACATTGGATTGGCAAAGATTTATTGAGTAATACTCCACAAGCACAGGTCAAAAAGCAAAAATCAGCAAATGGGATCACACCATGTTAAAAGCCTTCTTTACAGGAAAGGAAACAATCAACAAAGTGAAGAGACAACTCACAGAATGGGAGAAAATATGTGCAAACTATCCATCTGACAAGAGGCTAATAACAAGAATATATAAGGAGTTCAAATAGCTGCTTACATATTGGATAAAACCTAATAATCTAATTTTTAAACTGTGCAAAAGATCTGAATAGACATTTCCCAAAAGAAGGCATACAAATGGCAAAAAGGCATATGAAAAGGTTCTCAATATCACTGATCCTCAGAGAAATGGCAAATCAAAACTACAATGAAACATCATTTCACTCCAGTTAAAATGGCTTTTATGCAAGAGACAGGCAATAACAAATGCTTGCGAGGATATGGAGAAAAGGGAACCCTTGTACACTTTTGGTGTGAATGTAAATTAGTACAACCACTATGGAGAACAGTTTGGAAGTTCCACAGAAAACTAAATGTAGAGCTACCATATGATCCAGCAATTCTACTGCTAGGTATATGCCCAAAAGAAAGGAAATAATTATATCAAAGAGATATCTATATTCCCATGTTTACTGTAGCACTATTCATAGTAGCCAAGATTTGGGAGCAACCTAAGTATCCATCAACAGATGAATGGATAAAGAAAATGTAGTACTTATACACAATAGAATACTATTCATCCATTAAACAAAATGAGATCTTGTCATTTGCAACAACGTAGATGGAACTGGAGGTTACTGTGTTAAGTAAAATAAGCCAGGCACAGAAAGACAAATTTTGCATGTTCTTATTTATTTGTGGGAGCTATAAATTAAAACAAACTCATGGAGATAGAGAGTGAAAAGACGGTTACCAGATGCTGGGGTGGAGGATGAGCAGAAATGAAGATGGTTAATGGGTACAAAAAATAATTAGAATGAGTAAGATCTAGTATTTAATAGCACAACAGCGTGATGAGAGTCAACAATTTTTTTTTGTACATTTAAAAATAACTAAAAGAGTAGAACTGGATTGTTTGTAACACAAAGAAAGGACAAATGCTTGAGGTGATGGATACTCCATTTACCCTGATGTATTATACACTGCATGCCTGTATTAAAATTCTCATGTACCCCATAAATATATACACCTGCTATGTATCCACAAAAATTAAAAATTAAAAAAAATAAATGTAGTGAGATGAACAAACTAACTCTTTGCTAATATACAGCAAATTATTTTTAGATGCACACTGGTCACTTATAAGTCTTTGGATTATATGTTAAAATTATTTTCTATTTTCCTAATAGGAGTTAGTATTAATTACTTCATTGCATGAGTTTACATGCTGATTATATTAATTCTTTGTCAAAGTTTTCAATGGTCTATCTTCCACAATTTTTTCATTACTTTTCTGTTTAGAAAGTCCTATATTCAAAAATCATCAATTAACTATTAACTTTTATGATTTCTTTTCTTTTTAAAATTATTTATTTTTATATTTCATTCACCGTAATTCAAAATCCTAACCAAGGCCACTCTGTTTAAGATGTACCAAGTGGCCATTTGAGAGACAAACAAGTTCTACATACTTTTGTGATTTTTCATGAATGGAAAGAAGAGACTGTTTTAAATTCTGAAAATACATGTGTAGGAGGAAGGAAAAAAAGGGAAGAAAAAAACCTATGATTTTGTTAAAATAAAAGGTCAGATAGCAAAAGTAATTCAGCACAAACTCTGGATCATTTAGTCTTAGCAATCTTCTACTGTGAGGAGTTTTAGAACGTAACTCCATACTCACAAAGTAGAAGCTAGATTTTTTCAAACCAAGCAACTAGTTAGACAGAGGTAGAAACAAAACCCTTGGCTTCAAAATAATCCCAGAAATACTCTTCTCACCAAGCGAGTCTTATAGCATCTGATGTGTAAAAATCTTTTTTTTAAAGTAAAAATTATTCATTTCTTAACTGAAATGTTTTAAGGGTAAGAAGAAAAAATATAAAATAATTTAAAATAGGGGTAGTAAAACATTTTAAGTTGTTTCTATTTCTGTTCAGTATACTCTCGAGTTATTTTTACAAGAAGTTTTTTTAAGAATAAGATTTAAATTTATGAAAAATCAACACTACTATCAGATGACTTTCTGAAATCTCTGAAGGTAGCCTGTGTCTTTTTTTCTTTTTGCCTGTTAGTATATATTTCAATACCATTTACTGTTAAACAGGAAAAATTAATATTAATGACTTATATTAACTTAATAATAAATATATTCTTCATTAAGGAAACATCTCAAAAATCTACTCCAACTTTCTTCTGATTCCCAAAATGTAAGCCCTTCCTTTGTACCTAGATTCAAGTCTATAAAATTGCTCCAAAATCACCAGGGCCATCAGAGGGTGCTTTCATCTGCAGATCTTCCATGCTCATGTCTCTGAGCCCAAATTACTGAGGGAAGTCATTATTTTCTTTCTCTTTCAAAAAAGACACCTGTACTACTAGTACTAACTTCCTGTATAATTACTGATGGGGGCATATAGCAACCCTTTAGAAACAAAACTACAAAAGGTAAGCTTGTCTTCTTGCATTTCCTTTCTCTTACTACATTTAACATGGGAGGTTTTCTATGTCTCACATTCAAATATTCTCACTCGGGCTGCCTAATTTTTCCCTGATTTTCCATCACTCTTTATGAAGGCTTGCTACTTTAGAATACACATTTTCTTAACAGAAGATAATAATCAGAAGATGTCTCCCAAATATAAGTCCAAATCTTTCCTATCATGCTGTGTTCTTTGGCTCTTTTGACTTTATTTGAAGTCAGCCTTGAAGGGGATAGAGATAGGCTGTATGAAGTCCACGCTGAGAAGTTTTGCCCTGCCCTACTTGTCCTGTAATATTTCATGGATAGCCCAGTGGTGATTAAACCTGTGTGTACAGGAATAACCATGAGAATTTGTTAAAAATATAGGCTCTGGGGCCCTTTCCCCAGATTTCAGGATTCCATAGCTAAGGCATGCTTTTGAATGACTGTGATACTGGCAGTCCACTGACTATATGTGATACAGCGATTACAAAAATGGCTACAATTCTCCACCTCTCCCTCTATCCATAACCATTGCATGTGACTTTGCGGTTCCTCCAAGAGGTGGAGACTATCTCCCTATCCCATGAATCTGAGCTGGTCTTGTTACCTGCTTCAGTAACAGTATACAGAATACAGTGGAACTGACATTGTGCCAGCATAAGACTTGTTTATTTCTGCACTCTCCTGTAAACCTTATGCTGTGGCCTGGTGAATAAGCCCAGGCTAGCCTGCTGGCTGAGGAATGAGGCATGGCGTAACACCACCATTAGTCAGGCAGGCATGTAGAAGAAGCCATCTTAGAGCAGCCAGACCCCAGCAGACCAGCGCAGACACCTTAGCTCGCTAGCCAAAATCAGCTAAGCCCAGCCCAGCTGCTTCACATACTCATGAGCAAGAACAAATGTTTACTGTTTTAATCCACGAGTTTCAGGGTGATTCTTAACACAGTGATAGATTACTGATACATCATCACAGTTCTGAAACTCTTCACCTGAGAAATACAGATTTATGCCTTCTTCTCCACCTTCATAATTTAGGCTTTCCTTTCTTGTTCAGGTTACTGCAATATAGTCTTCCAACTTGTCTCCCGCTTGTTGTCATTCCCCACCTCCATGCACACTGTTGCTACTAAGACTATATTCCTTAAAGTCAGAAATTATATTGTCATAATTTATGTACTCTCATCACCTAGCATAATGCTTGGTACCTGATTGGTGCTCAATCTTCTTCGCAGAATGACTGCTACTACCAGATTCTTTTAACAGAGCTCTGACCACATCAGTGTCCCATGCAGAGCTCTACTGGCATTTATACCACACACTAAATCCACTTTCCACTTGGTCTATTTAATTCTAGGACCCCTGCGATCCGGACCCAGCCTAGCTTCCCACTCTTCTTCCCTTTCTTCTCTTATTGTCCATTCAAAAGTGAGGGCTGGCAGAACATGACCCTAACTTCTATGCTGATATTCAGACTTCTGCAGAGAATGCCCGTCCACAGCTCTTCAAGTTCTACACATTCTTGAAGGTCCAACTCAAATGCTATCTCCTCTGTGAAAATCTGATAGTTCTAGGTATGAAAAAGCTCACCATCTTCTCCCTACGTCTAACACTTAGCTTGAGCCTCTCTTAGTCACCTGATGCTAGGGTTACCTGTGTGGTATCACATCTAGTAGGCATATGCCCAAACACAGATTGTTAACTTTTTGAGGGTAGTTTCCAACTTTTACCACTCAGTGTTCCCTATTGTACCTACCATTGTACATGAAACATAAAACTTTAACAAATGCCCTTTAAATGAACAGTTGATTTTTAGTCGCTACTCAAACAATAAAAACAGTAATACCCAAACTCATAATCCAAACCTAGAACAAACATGGCAAAATATATACAGTGTTTTTTCAGATATCGGTTTATAAAAGAATCTCCTGGAAAGCCTGTTCAAAACACAAATTTCTAGGCTCTACCCCCAGACAGATTGGTTCAGCAGAAGTCAAATCTGAGCTTGAATTCTTAGCCTATGTGATGCTGAGGGAGATTTGTCGGAGGTTTATGGGCAATATTTTGATACTTAGTGACACTGAGCCTTCTTTACAAATATGAATTCCAAAGAAAATCTCTCTTTTTTTTATCATGCATCTAAGAATTTTAAGTTTCTTGACTTTAATGCCAAAGCATCAAGTACAGCAGGACTATAAAAAGAACCACTTTAACAATACATACACAGTCTGGCACCTTATTAGCTTAGGTTGCTGGGAATATGGCATCACACCCCATTCTTTGTAATCACAATCTGCACACAGTTTTCATCTACATATCCTTTTTCTGAACTGTTTAAAATTTAATTTGCTACAAATAGCTCTTTTTCAGACTACCTTACCACATGAGGTATGCTTTAAAATAACTGAAGGGCGCAAGACTCCTACCTCGGTCCCAGAGGCTGGCTTGTAATGCTCTCTCGAGCTGTTCTTCTTCACTCAGTCCTGCTGTGTACGTGTCATAGTTCCTGGGTGCTTCTTCATAGTGATCTGGCCTGCCATGCGGATAATAATCCTGATATCCAGAGCTGCCTAAAGGCACAAGGAAAAGGTTCTAGAACACAGCTATGGACTGTTGTTTTATACTTCCTGTTTTGTATAAGCAAAGACAAGCGAGTAAGGCATAACATTATTTTAGGTATAATAATTATCCTCAAAATAAGAAAAGATGCCAAATGGTGATTGTCTTGTTACTGTATCCTCAGTGCCCACCATGGGGCTGAACATGAATGAGTCCTTATGTGCTAATGAGGAAAGGAGATATTAATTCAGAGGGTAGTCAGAAGTCCTGGGGAAGAGACTGGAATGAGCTATTGACATATGGAGTGGATTCTTTCAGCTTAGAGCTATTCAATACTTGGAGAGTTTTCAGTGAAGTCCTGGCTTGAGTCAAGAGAATGGTGGAAACAATAGCTAATAAAGCCTTATTGTCTTGTTGCTCTGTACAATAAGGGGCAGACCAATGTTTCATACAGATCCCACAGAATACTTCAGACAATACCAACATTAAGATGCAGCCAATTTCTCTGTAATTGTAATTCTATGTCAGAGATTATAGCTCCCCCCCAAAAAAAGGTTTCTAGATAAAACAAGAAAGAAGAGACGACTTCAAAAAAAAATGGTTGCTAGATAAAACAAGAGAGAAGAGATAACCTAGTCATTAAATAATGCTTTAGGTACCAAACTTAGGTACACCATTAATAAAGGTCAATAACAGGGAAAAGTTCATTTTTGGAAGATATTTCCATTGATCTTTTCAGTTTGAGTTTATTCCTTACATTTCCTTTAACTGCCAATAGTTAGAGAATTTGTTTGGAAGAGATTTTTGTTCCCCACAGAAGGTTACCAATCTCATTCTGGCATAAAGAGAGAGAAGTAAAATAGTCTGTTTGATTTTTTCTCTTCTTTCCTGCCATTATTATATTCTTTGAAGTTGATGTTTCAAATATTTAAATAATGTGGTTTGGGTTGTTGATGAAGATTCCTAACCTTTGCTATGAGTCTTTGTGACAGATCTCCATATTATCCCACAGAGTACAGCAGTACAGGCCTGAGTTGGAGCTTTAATAAGGCTACAGAAAAAAAACACAATCCAGCCAAAAGAGGAACACTGAATGGCAGAATTGCATTAATTGAGATTTCATGCTCAGAATTTTTGATAGTTGGTCCTGAGGCTATTTTAAAATTTACTGTTGTATTCTTTATGAATATTTTCCTAATATGCAGGATTAAAAGGGAAACTGTAAATCAGCACTCTAGTAGACTTCATTTTCATATAAACAACGAATGACAAAACACACTAGTTTTTTATATAAATATTGGTCATGAAAAGTAGTTGTGTCTATTGATATTTTTAGAACAGCTTTATTGATATATAATTGACATCCATACAATTTATCAACTTAAAGTGTACAACTCAGTGGTTTTTAGTATATTTTAGAGTTGCACCATCATTACCACAATCAATTTTGGACATTTTCATCATCCCCAAAAAGAAATCTGTACTCTTTAGCTAACAATCCTCACCCTCCCATCCCTTCTCCAGCTCTAAGTAAGCACTAATCTACTTTCTGTCTCTACAGAATATGCCTATTCTGGATAGCTCATATAAACAAAATCATGTAATATGTGGCATTTTGTGTCTAGCTTATTTCACTTAGTATATTTTCCAGGTTCATCAATTTTGTTACATTTATCGGTACTTCATTCTTTTTTATGGGCAAATAATATTCCACTGTATGGCTTATACCACATTTTGTTTATCCATGTGTCAACTGATAGACATTTGTATTATTTCTACCTTTTGACTGTTATGAATAATGCTGCTATAAACATTTGTGAGCAAGTTTTTAGGTGGACATATGGTTTCATTTCTTTTGAGTATATACCTAAAAGTGGAACTGCTGCGTCACATGGCGATTCTGTTTAACTATCTGAGGAATCGCCAGAATGTTTTCCAAAGTAGCTGTACCATTTTCTATTCCTACAAGCAGTGTATGTGGGTTCCAATTTCTCCACATCCTCACTAACACTTGCTATTATTTGCCTTTTTATTCACAAACATCCTAGGGCATATGAAGTGGTATCTCACTGTGGTTTTGATGACTAATAATGCTGAGTGTCTTTTTATGTGCTTATTGGCCATGTGTGTATCTTCTTAGAGAAATGTCTAGCCAGATCTTTTGTCCATTCTCAGTGATTGTGAAAAAACTCTTCTAACTTGATTCTATTTTACTGAACGTCCTTGAAAGTAAAAGAAAAAGGAATGATTTAAATAAACATTAAATAAAATGGTTTAGGATTTTGGAGACTAATTCTGAAAAGCTTTGCCCCAGTGCAGTAAATATTAATGAGGATTTACTAAATACCTCCAATAACCCAACTTTCATATTTTCTCTCACCTGTTTCCCATGTCAAAATATTAACATTATTGATATTTAGAACAGGAGAAGGAGACAAGTACATTTTCCAAATCCTCACAATGGCTTAAAACTGAACTTGGATCTTACCATTTTAAATATGAACATTTATTCTTAAACTGGTCTCTATCCAATAGAATCAGAAAAATTTAGCCCCCATTGCTGCACTGGGGAACACCCAACCAGCCAGTTTCAGACCTTGAGAGTAAAGGAGACTGTGGTAGTGTTTTTACACATCTTACTTTTCATTCCTTATTAAAAAAAAAAAAAAAAAAAAAAGAACTTTCACATGAGGACAAATGGTAAAAACATAATTAATACATCTTTTCCACAAAGAATCAAAGAAAGTGGCAACCATTCTGCAACACTAATAGAATATTTATAGAGACGTCACTGAATAGCATGGGATGCTTCAGCAATCCCTGCTTAGAGAAACTGCCCAATTCCCTATGAATGCCAATTATTTTACTGGAATACAAAAAGTATATTGGGTAATTTCCCACATGGCTCATTATCACTTTCAAACCCATGTGGAAAGCCATTCTGTTATGTAAGATCTACGCAGCATTTCTACCTATCCACCCCCAAAAATGCTCAGTTAATTCAAAAGCCAAAATAACCCAAGGTCTCTGAATATTTGCTCACCACATAGAAACTGTATATCTACCTAGAGTTTTAATTGCCAGATACACATGCGATGATTTGAGGCAACATTTTCTTGATGTAGAAAAACATTTTTATTCATGCTATTTCTTATTTTAAAATAATCTGGCAGTTCTTCAATGAAATAAAGTCAACAACTCTAAACATCTGAATATTATAAAAACAAATTTGGTACTTGTCAGACAAAATATGGGGAAAGAAAATGGGAAAGTTTTGGTGCCTTAAATCAGAAAGACCAGTGTGGCTAAACGTTCTATATCGTCAATCATAGATCATCAACAGGACCCAAAATCTCATCAGTATCTATTATAATGAGAACAGATCTCCTCCCGTAGGACCAAAAATTTTCTATGGATGTTTCACTGGCCCAATCAGATGTTTTAAAATCTTCATAATAAACATTCCTGGAAAAACCTAGCAATCAAACAATTAAGATAAATAAATTTAAATTATGTCCTGAGAGGAATACTAGTTTAATTTTTTTTTTTTAGTTATATACTTAGGCTCTGTAGTAAAAGAAAATCTGGTTGTCATTATTCTATTAACTACTCCATCTGTTCCTTATACACATACCAGGATTTCATGGCAAAGGAGATCAAGAAACACCACCAAGATTAGAAAAATTGGTAACAGCTTTTTAAATATTCATGCGGTTCTTTGACCTATAAAGACTTTTCCAGCTAAGGACAGCCATATTAAGAATAAATCATTACTTGTAAGATATACATATGCTCTCATAAAAGTTCCCTAGATGACCATTAGCATAGCCACCTGGCCTTAAGTAGCTCTGCCTTTGAAGAAATCCAATCACTTCAGAGAAAGGCATATAACTATAGTAATTTTACAGAGGTTAAAAGAGGTAAAAAGGGCTTTTTATTATTTTTGCCCTTAATTCTCTGGTCTGTGTGACTGTGCTTCTTCCACATAAGAAGGAAAGAAGCTGTTCTCTTCAGTCCTCTTTTTTAAAAAATAGAAAATAAATCGAGTGCAAAAGAGAGAGAAGACAGTAAGTAGAACTGCCCTATTTTGTAAGGTTAAATTGGCAGAGTGTCAATCTCATATCCTTACACAGTAGAAAAGGCAGGAGCTAGGAATAAGATTCTATTGGAACACACCTATACCCACTTGTTTACATATTGTCTCTGGCAGCTTTCATGCTACAAGGACAGGTTAGTTCCAGCAGAGATTATATGGCCAATAAAGCCCTTGATGCCTGAAATATTATCTGTCCGGTCCTTTAAAGAAAAGGCTGCTAGTCTCAGCTTTAAGCTATAGTGGTCCTCAATTAATATAAACAGAAACACATCTTAGTCCATTTGGGATGCTATAACAAACAGCCATAGACTGGCTGGCTTAAGCAATAGAAATTTGTCACAATCTGGAGGCTGGAAGCTTGCGATGCCAGTGTGGTCAGTTCTGGTGACGACCCTCTTCCAGGTTGCAGACTGCTGACTTCTTGTATCCTCATGTGGCAGTGAGGAAGCTAGAGAGCTCTCTGAGGTCGCTTTTATAGGGACATTAATCCCATTCATGAGGGCCCTACCCTCATGACCTAATTTTTTCCCCAAACTCCTACCCTACTAAAATCATCACATTAGGGGTTAGGGTTTCAACGTATGAATTTGGGGACGGGCACATTCAGTTCACTGCATTAAGACATGAGTGTTCCAATGGCCATGGCTAACACCTGGCTGCTGGGCCTGATCTAAAATACTACCGTGTAGCCACCCCAGACTGGAATGCAAAGGCTTTAGCCTAAAATAGGTCTTACGCTTTTAACAGGAAGTCTTTTCTATCTATTTACACAGATACTTAGAAAAATACATTCTTCCTCATTAAGTCACATGGCATTTGTTAGAGGCATGCCTATTTTAGCATCTGACGGTATGCAAGGGTTCCTGAATATACACAGGATGGGCCATGGAGAACTATACACCTAAAACCAACTTTTAACACTTTCCCAGCAGTAGAGTCTCAGACTGAGACTTAAAGAACCAAGGTCTAATATGAATCTTATCACACATGAGAGACCTCATACCAATCATACCATGTTTTCATGCCTGAGTTACCTCCTTCCCTGGCCTTCCCTACCAACCCCCACAAATATGCTCCCTAGGCTACCCTCCATCTAGCTTCCAGGTGTGTTAGAGGCACAGTTACACAACATGTGAATGACCCTACCACAGCAGAAACTAGTAGTATCCTAAAGTACTCTGTAGAGCTGAACACTATAATTTTAAAAATAAGTTAAAATTTATTAAATGAAATACAGTGCCTACCTGAACTATTAAAGTAGTATTGCCGTCCTGGGTAACCAACACTGGAGGAAAAACCGCCTAAACGTAAAAGAAATAAACATTTTAATGGCAGCCATAAAGCTTTAAATGCTAATTGTTCCAGTAATTAGAAAGTTCTCTGGACAAAGCCCAAGGTCATTTCAAATGATTTCTAAACACTTATTAAAATAAACTCCCTTTTGTTTGGGGGCCAGCCCTAACTGGAAAAGAGTGTGTGTGTGTCCCTACAGGGAAAAGAATGTGTGTGTGTGTGTGTGTGTGTGTGTGTGTGTGTGTGTAGTGGAAAATGAAACCCTAATTTACACTCACTGAAGTTCCTTAGTCTTTGCCTGCCAAAGTACCAAGCCTCGGCTTTGATGTCTCTGTACAAGCAGAGACACTCTGGCTAAATGGAGAACCTTCCTCAAAGAAGGTGTTAGGAGAGCCATCCTCCCTACCCTTCCTAGGGGACTTCACTCTTTCTTGTCCCTACAGAAGGCAGTAGGACTGTCTACTCAGTCAATTTGGCACGGCTGAATGAAATGAGAGAGGGAGGGCCAAGGGCCACACCCTCAGGGTGACCCTCCTCTTCCAGGAGGCATCAGACAGCAGCTTCCACATGCTGGGTCGTTTTCCATGGGGTTCCTGTGTCCTTCAATTCTCAGCTCACAGAAAAAAGGCCGAGTTCGCAGGCTATTTGCAAATTGCACTGAGTGTTCTAATTTTCCTATTTAATTTGCTATTGTATTTATTACTTTGAAAATGGAGTGGTGTAGAAATAAGTCACCACTTATTTTTTAAGGCTTTTAAAACTAAGAGTTTAAATATTATAATTAGGGGAAAATCCTCTTTAAAAATTAAACAAAGCACTTGCTTAAATTTCATAACATGTCTGCAAAAAGCTTTACTAACCGCTTCATCATGAGACACAGAAAAAAGAAACAAGACATTAAACTCCCGAGAATCATCTCTTTTATCAGTACTAATGAGTATTAAATTGTATTGAAAATACAATAAAACTGGACATTTTCAATAAATGAAGCTCCCACTGCCTCCTCTAAGTACGTACAGTGGAAACACATTAATAAGCAAACGTGGGAAAATGAGGATCTGCTTAAATGCAACACAGCCTGTAAAAATCAACCAAAAGTGAACACGACCTGCTAATAAAGGTGCCAGTGCAGTGCCTGGAAAGCTTTCTACTATCATGAATATTATATGGTTCTCAAGAATACCAGTCATCAGCACAAACTGTGAAACAAATTATTTATGGTTCAAGAAAAGGTAAAATAGTCTCAGAAGACTTCCCATGAATAAAAGATGAAATAGTGGAACTCAGTCTATAAAACAAGTGTTTGCAAACCAGTTTTCTTACAAGTCAAAATGAGAATCGCATTGAAAATTAAGAGGTCTAAAAAATACAAGTATTTCTAAATGAAATATTTTCATTGAGTATCAATTTGAAGGGAAAAACAAAATTAAAAAAAGCAGGAGCTAAGCTTCAAGCAATAACAGACTTGGTTTCGCCATGCATGAATATATGGCTCATCCACCAAGGACCCGGTCATCAGTCTGAATTCTTTAAAATACTGGCCATGCACTTCAGTCCAGGCTTTGTTTTCTTTTTCACCTTTGCCTTGCACGTATATTAATTCATGGACTATTATAGAAGAATGCATTATTTTAAAGGCACTTTAGTTCTCTGCATTCTTTAGGAAATCGTGGTTTTCTGCGGGTAGCATTAAGGTTGAGGGTATAAATATATACTGATATTTGTCCCCTAAGAAAGTATCAGATTCGAAATTTAAGTTTGCAGCCTCTTTTGTGGAGCAATGTAAGGAACTGCACTGGTTGTTTTACCTTTCGGTTTAAAAAGAAAAACAGGCATATTAGGGAATTCTTGAGCTGAACCACAGGGAAACTTGGGGTTGCTTCTGTTCACATTAAAATTAACATGAACTTCCAAGCTGTTGTCATGCCAAAGGTGTTTTATTCTGTACCTGCACATGCTTCCATGATTTTCTTCAGAGGCCCTTGAGTGTACATTAGTCCAACAAGAATCCCAGCCAGATGCCCAGCGAAGGAAGTCCTAGGAGGGAAGGAGACCCTTTGTGAGTGTTTGTTCTGCTGCTGATTAGAGACATTCTGTCTTCTCATTAGCCCAGTGCATGTCAAATAGTCACAGTCTGCAGGCTTTGTTCCACATCAAGTCTTTTATGCTAAGCAGCATTTAACTCAGTCCAAAGAACAACATCTCCTACCTTAAAAAAAAGTACAATGAATAACAACCACCACATGTTTAAAACGCAACACCCCTCCTTAACCAGGGGAAGTGGGTTGTCTCCTCCAGAGCAGTGGAAGCATTTGGTCAAGACAAGTCATTACATCGCTTTCCGTTTTTTTTCTGTACCTCTTATCACAAAACATAAATAAAATCAGTTTTCTCTGTTTGGCATTAAATCTGGAATTATCCAGCCATTGTGAGGGATGATGTCTATCTGTGTTATGGCAGGGCAGACTGCTGCAGTTTTCTACACCATGGATGAGTGAAGCAGAGAGCAAGTGAAACTCAGCAAAAGGAACTGAGATGCCCACCTGCATCCACCAAAGTTGTCTTCATGTGTATGTTTCAGTCACTCAGAACAAAGAAACATACATTTAAATTTCAAACTTGAAAGATGAGTTAGGGCATGAAAGTGTTTGCGTTAGGGCATGACAGTGGTTTAACTCTTCTTAAACTGGCATCTAAAACCAGCAATTACTTGTAAGATTTATTTTCAGAGGTCTACTTTGACCCAAGTGGCAACACTCTTTGTGGAGTTCCCTGGCTGAATGACCTCCCAACCAGCCTGAGTTTAAGAAATTACTGGCGATTCTCAAAAACCTCTGCTGTTACCACAAAGGGGGGGGTCCTACACAACGAGTTGTTCTTTAAGCACTTGACCTCAATTTCCAGCTGCCCGCCACCCTCTAGACACCCCCGCGCACACATGCACACATCCACTAGCACCTTAAACTAGACTTTTCTGGGGTGCCACTCCCACTTCCCGTTTGTAATGCCTCTCATACCCCTCCCAGCCTTCCCATTCCTACTGCCACAACCATGCTTACTGCCATCTGGACTATTTGGAAATGCCCAGTGTTGGGCACAGAGTGAACCCCAGATGAATGTGTGTTGAATGAATAAAATAAATGAAAGAAAATCATCCAGCTGGTCTCCCTGCAAGCCAGCTCTTGCTCTCCAGTGCATCCCACACACGGCCATCAGTTATCCTCCTGAGGCAGAAGGCAAGTGGTGTCATTGCCATCCTCTGAAATCCACTGGTTCTCACAGAATACTCCGGTGTGTGTTTAAGCCCTTCCAACACTTGGCCTTGCCCATCTCTGCAAAGTCAGAGGGTGGAGACCTCATCGTCTACTACCTCCATTCCCACATGCCCCACTGTCACATCCCCCAAGCACTCTCTGACCATAGGCTAAGCCAAACAGCACCTCTGTCAAAAAATGCCACCCCAGTTGAAGAGCCGTTCTTTCCTTCTCCTGCCTCCCCTCAGAGCTGAGGCTCCTACCTTATTCTGGCACGAAGCCAGTCTGCTGGTGGCACAGTACTTACACGTCTGCCTGCCTGTCCGTCTCTCTCTGTCACACACAAACTCCCTGAGGGCAGCAATGGTGTCTCATTCATACATTATACAAAATTAGAAGCTTAAAAAAAAAAAAAAGCCAAGCAAATGAACGCATTCCCACAGCCTGGAATAGTGACCTCTCATTCCAGAAGGTGGGAAACTGAAAGTTATGAAAGAGCCTGATGGAGACTCCAAGAACATAGCCTTTATGTGGCTTTTACATATGTATTCCAAACACCCAGGACAGGGCCAGGCACATGAGAGGCACTCAAGGATATGTTGAGTAAATGGCTCAAGTGTGCCAGGACCGTTTCACCAAGACCAACAGGAGGTAAGTTAAAACCACTAGATGTTCAGCTCAGGGTGCTTGCTGAGCCACGGCAATCACAGAGCTAAGAATCCGCCATTTGGTAACCTACACGAGACTCAGAGTCAAAACCAATACATTTCGCCTACTATGGCAGCAGCCTAGGGGAGATTCCCTGAAACACCACAAGCAAGATGGTTCTGAGTAATTTTCTTTGTCTCCAAGCTATGAAAAGACTCGCTGGCTCTCAGGAAAAGAACATGCAATGAGGAACACTTGAAAGAAAGAGACAAACAGGAGCCTTGTAAAGAGAACAGCATTGATGCTTGTTCCCATTAGCTGACTAAATGACACTATTGCCCAGACAAGCCCTCACATACATGCACACGTGCTAAAAGTCATGGCACATGCATGCGCGTGCACACACACACAGACACGCACACACACCACATACACGATCATCCCCTCAGGAGAGCATTATTTTCATCAGATATATCTACTGAAACAGGAGTTCCCTGACCCCCCTCCCCCCCCGCTTGCAGGATGTGCCACAGTGGTGTAACTTGTCTGTTTGGTGACCGTGCATGCTTAAACCCCTTACGGGAAGGGGAGCACACAGATGGGCAGGTGCAGGAGCTGGGATGAGTGCCCCTAGGCTTCAGCCTCACGGCAACGTCCAGGGGTGTGTATCTGCGACTCCTGAAACCCAAGTGGGTGTGTGTTACAGTGCGCTCTTTTAACCTTGCGGTCCACAGGCAGCTTAAGGGTTAGACAGCTCAGTGAACCCTCTGCCTTTCCACAAAGGCAGAGGGCCAGTGTGAAAGTTTTCTGTTTCCCTGTTTCTTCTCTGGCATCCAGGAAAAATCAGATCACACGTGGACTTGAAGGATGAATGTGGGGCTTTTATTGGGTGATGGAGGTGGCTCCCAGTGGGATGGATGGGGAGGTGGAAGAAGGATGGAGTGGGAAGATGGTCTTCCCCTGGAGTTTGGCTGTCCAGTGACATATCTCCTCTCCGATCATGTCCAGGTAAACTCCCTCTTAGCATTCAGATGCTCCTTCTCTCTGTTGCGCCGTTCTGCTATTCTTCTGCTCTTCTGTTCATCTCCTTGTCTCCTTCTGGAGCCTGGGGTCTCAGGTTTATATGGATACAGGAGAGGGGGGTGTGGTGGGCCAATAGGCAGCTTTTGGATGCAAAAACAGGAATGCCTGTTCCCATTTAGGGCTGTGGGTTTCCAGGCTTGAGGGTGGGGCCTTTGCTGGGAACCGCCCTCTTCTACCCACTGTTTCTGCCTCCTGTCCGTGTCACTACTTCATATAATAAAATTATGGGATTGAACATTTTTTCCCATTTTCTGGCAAGAATAGTAGGAACTATGCTTTTAGCTCCCCAGCCAAGCTAAGAAATTCTATAGTCACCCCCCATTATCTGCAGACCCCCAACTGGATGGCTGAAACCACAGATAGTACTGAACCTTATATATACTATGCTTTTCTCATCTCATAATCATAACAGCTACTAAGTGACTCACGGGTGGGTAGCAGAGACAGCATGGACACACGGGGCAAAGAGATGATTCACGTCCTGGGTGAGACGGGGTGAGATTTCACCATGCTATGCAGAGCAGTGTGAAATTTAAAACTTATAAATGGCTTATTTCTGGAATTTTCCATTTAATGTTTTTGGATCAAGGTTGACTGGGGCTAACTAAAAATGCAGAAGGCAAAATCACAGATAAGGGGGACCACTGTACTTATTTTATTCTATGCTCAGGCTCAGTACAATCGGCCACCTATTAATAGTTGTAAAAATGACAAAGAAAGTGGCAGTTTGAGAGATACAAAGAAGTGGCCAGGACCAGTTAAAAAAATAATAATAACTTCAATTTAGATGAAAAGAATATAATAATATTGGTATTTCTGAAACTCTGGTTTCAAATCAACCTTCATGGTGAAGCATATATGATATAAAATAACATAGAAGGAAGTTTCAATTTAAAACTTCAACCTATTAAACAATTAATCTTGAATCTCATTTACAATTTAGAGTACAATACAGTGAAATGAATTTCTTATCTATCTCTAAATGGTTTTCAGAAGTTTGAGTTATAATCTAATTGCCCTAATATAATTTCAAATATCTAGGGAAGGGAGGCTGGCAGTCCGGAGAACTCATTGCGTCATCCTCCAACATTCAGCATTTTCCACAAAAGTTCCATCTCAAAAATTTAACTGGTCTTGTTTCATTTAAGCTTTATAAAAGTGTTCAATTTTAAAATAAAAATGAGATTATGATCTTATTCAATCAAAACTGAGAATCTCTCAACATCACACACATAAAAAAACAGGAGAATGAATTTCACCAATGTAAAAGGAATATAAAAGTCATTTTAAGAGGTAAATTAACTTTCTCCATGCCCTTGGTAACCATTTGACAAATCACTTCCCTTCACCCTCTAAGAGATACCCACATCCTGAGCGAGAAGATAGATGGACCTGCAGACAGGGAGAAAACTGAACTGGGAAGGTGGTTCTCACCAGTCCTAGGGTTAGGGCACTTTACCCCTGAGCTGGGGGTGCTGTGGAGACAGAAAGAAGCCCTGGGCTTTGGGGGAAGATGATCCATCTGAATGCTCTGATCAGTGGCTGGGATCTACCTTCAAACGTAACAGCATCAAAACCAGACAGTATTGTTACAATCATAATTAGATGTGTTAAACAGAAGTTGTGAAGCTTGTGGTCTCTGAATAAGCCTGTGGCTTCATTCTGTTCTTAGCTCCACGTGGAAGATGCCATCCGAAGCAGCATTCAGGGACAATCCTGCAACTAGGAACAACTTCCTGTTGACCTTACTAGGTCTTAGGCTAGGACTGGGGATTTGGTTATGACCTACCACCCTCTATCCTATTCAGAGTAATTCCTTCTGGGACAGGACCACCACCAACTCTACATCCATGACCACAGCAACTACAGTAAACGGCCTGACACTAGCACTCAGTACGTAACTATCAGATGAGAGGAAGAGTGGAATTTCAATTACACATAAAATACATGTATCTAAAATACACTGTATTAAAAAAATCACAAGTTACATTTGTATGTCTCTTTTAGAAAAATGTCTAGTCAAGTGCTTTACTCATTTTTCAATTGGGTCATTTATTGCCAATGAGCTATAGTTCTTTACATATTTTGGATATTAGTCCCCTATTAGATATATGGTTTGCAAATATAGTCTCCGTTCTGCTGGATGCCTTTTCATTTTGCTATTTCCTTTGATATGAATGGGCAACAGGTACATGAAAAGCTGCTCAACATCACTAATCATCAGGGAAATGCAAATCAAAACCACAATGAGATATCACCTCACATGTGTGAGGATGACTACTATAAAAAATCAAATGATACAACAAGTGTGGGCAAGGATGTAAAGGCAACACTGATACATTGTTGGTGGGAATGTAAATTGGTTCAGCTATTATAGAAAACAATACAGAGGTTCCTTACAAAATCTAAAAATAGAAATACCATATGATCCAGCAATTCTACTTCTGCATATATACCCAAAGGAACTGAAATTAGTATTTCAAAGAGATATCTGCACTCCCATATTCATTACATCATTATTCACAATAGCCAAGATAAGAAAACAACCTAAGTGTACATCAACCGATAAAGAAAATGTGGTATGTATACACACACACGCATACACACACAATGGAATTTTTATTATTCAGCCTTAAAAAATAAGGAAATCCTGCCATTTAAGACAACACGGACAAATCTAGATGGCATTTTCCTAAATGAAATAAGCCAGATACAAAAAGACAAATACTGTATGATCTCACTCATATGTGGACTCTAAAGAAGTCAAACTCATAGAAACAGTAGAACAGTGGTTGCCAGGAACTAGGGATGGGAGAAATAGGGGGATGTTGATCAAAGGCTACAAACTTTCAGTTATACGATGAATAAGTAAGAGAGCTAATATACAGCATGGTGAGTAGAGTTAATAATAATACATTACATTGTACACTTGAAATTTACTAGGAGAGTACATCTTGAGTGTTCTCACCATACACACAAAAATGCTAACTACTTGAAGTAACAGATATATTAATTAGCTTGGTCATGGTACTCACTCCACAATGTGTATGTACAACAAAAGATCACATTATACACCTTAAACATATACAACATTTATTTGTCAGTGATGCCTCAATAAAGCTGGGGGGAAAATACAAGTTGCACATGGTCACCAGTTAATACTTGTTTTAGCAGGAAATCTCACTGGTATAGATAATGACTGAACACAGCCTCCCCCTGTCCACCCCACTACATACGCTTGGACAGTGTATTACACAAAATATATGTTCAATTAACAAAACAATAAATATATTATTATATCCTAAAATTGGTAACTTAAAAGCTTTATTTCTTCTGTTAGCTTAATAGTGACTCTCTTTAGAAAAATCGTAACTATAATCAAATACTGACTGTGATACTGACATACAGTCACAGGGGCCAGGCACACCACTGCTGCCTTTAGCTACACAGATCATACAATGCACACTCAGACTACAATGAGAAGAAAAATAATTTTTCCAGGGTCACAGTGATTCTGCAAGGTAACCAATAACGTCACGATTCAAATTCAGATCATGTATCTCAACTTGAGAGCAAGGTAAGTATTGATGTAATTTCACTTTAATAAGGAACAATAACTTAATCCAGTAGTTCTTAAACTAATTCAAATTCCAAGTACCTTTAAGCGCCTGATGAGAGCCAACAAGCCTGTCTTCAGAAAAACTGTGTATACACAAAGTGCGTTACCTGTAATTTTAGGATGTTCATAGATACCTTGAACTCCATCCATGGACCCCTTCTTAAAAACCCTTGATTGAGGTGAATAATTCATCACAAACAAGAATTTCAGACATCAGCACCAAACCAAAGTAATTCTGTATTTAACTGGAAAACATCTTGCTAGTACTCAAATCATGGCGGCACAGAGGAAGCCATTTATTCTGATTACTCAAGTTCATTAACTTATTGTCCAAATTCCTTGTTGTGTCATTGCTTCTGTAATGGTGCAACCTATTTCTGGGTTCAGTTTCCTCCTTGCCAAAATACAATGTTTCATAGTTCTTTCAGTTAATATTTGAGAGTAAAAAATTATCCTAGTCTCTGTATGTCCTAAAAGGTTTTTATTTCAGCATCCTATTTTGATGACAGGTATAGGATCTACTGCTGCTGATAATAAATGTACTGTCAGTTGGAAAGTCATTCCTCTGTAGGCAATCTGTCTTTTTCTTCAGTTTTCAAAGATTTTCTCTTTATTTTGGACATACTGTCTTTATACCACAATCACTGTAGCTAGTTGCAGATTTATTTAACCTGCTAAGATGTGCTGTGTTTTTCAACATGAGGTCTCATGTGCTTTTACAATTCTGAAAATCCTCACCCATTATTTTTTGTCCAGTGGACCTCTAGATATGCAGCACTTGTGTATTTCCTGACACAGAGGGGGTGCTCAATATATGTTTACAGAAAAAAATTTTAATAAAATATGAAAGGGTTACAATCAAATCAATGTTGCTATACATTATTTATATGGGATAGTGATAGTAGAAAGGCAATTTTGGAGCAAAACTAAGATTAAGATATTATTGTGGATCTAAGTTATGCAAACTAAATACGAATATTATTAACACCAACAGACAGTGTTCTTTCCCATCAAGCCAGCTTAAGCTGCTCCTCATCCATTTAAGAGGCTATTGTAACGCTGAGTTAAGTGGTTATGCAAAATGTTCCTGCTCTCATGTGCCACTGTGACAGAATCAAAAACTGGATCTGTGACTGAAAGCTGTGACAAGCTATAAAGGCCCTCCTCTATTAAATGGCAAATTCTTTCCACAGTTGAAGAGGTTGTCCTCTCAAGCATAGCTCAGAAAGCAGAAAATGTAATACTCTAAGACATAATCTCACAATGTATGCAGAGCAAATGACCTCATTAAGGACGCAACTTGGAGACACAGTGTTGGACAAGGTAAAGGAACAAGGTAAGGTAAGAGGCAGTCAGCTAGAAGTGGCCTATTGTACTCTCCACGATTTCTTCCTGTAAAAGCAGTTAATAGCAGGTAGGGGCTGCACTGATCAGAAGCTCTGGGGTTTGGGGATCTTAATAAATGGTCCCAGATTCGCAGTACTAGCAATGAGATGTAATACAAATTTTTCAGGTTTTTGAACACTAAGGCCACTAGGAAAGATTCTGACAGGATTGCTTCTTCTTAACAGAAACTGTTTTTAAACTTCTTGTTTTCTGTCCTTGATGCCTCCTTCAACCATGATACCAGCATGATTGAATGACCTGGTCTACATGCTCTCTACCATGCATCCCTTGCTCCCTGCACCTTTGTCCTCAGAAGTAAAACCTAGCCATCTTCCAATATTATGTGCCCCAAAGGCAGCTATACTGACAACGCACCCTCTACAATCCATGATGATTTATTAAACATGGCACCAACTGCAGACACGGGGATAGAAGCTGACCACTGACATTTACTTGAGGTCCAGACAAAAAGAATCTGGACAAAAACAAGGGTATTGCAATAGCAGAAGCCTCTTTTACAAAAGAGCTTCCAAGATAACAGACAATGTTTAGCAATTCCTTGGCTCTCAATTCCATGTCCCTACGCCTGCTAATAAGACAATTCCCTGAGCTGGTTCAAGTAGGTCGCATTCTGCCATGGCTTTGAGGTTTGTCCCCTCCAAAACTCATGATGAAATTTAATCCTCCTTGTAGGAGTATAGGGAGGTAGGGCCTAATGGGAGGTGACTGGGTCATGAGGGCAGATCTCTCATGAATAGATTAATGTCCTCCCTTGCGGGTGAATGAGATCTCACTTTTAATAGTTCCCGCCAGGGCTGGTTTTTGTTTGTTTTGTTGTTGTTGTTGTTGTTTTGTTTTTTGAGACGGAGTTTTGCTCTTGTTGCCTAGGCTGGAGTACAATGGCGCAATCTCGGCTCATTGCAACCTCTACCTCCTGGGTTCAAGTGATTCTCCTGCCTCAGCCTCCCGAGTAACTGAGATTGCAGGTGCATGCCAACACACCCAGCTAATTTTTGTTTGTTTGTTTTTTTAGTAGAGACAGGGTTTCGCCATGTTGGTCAGGCTGGTCTCGAACTCCTGACCTCAGTGATCCACCCGCCTCGGCCTCCCAAAGCGCTGGGATTAAAGGCATGAGCCACCACACCCGGCCCAGAGCTGGTTCTTAAAGAAAGCATGGCACTGCCTGTCTTACTTCTTCCTCTCTCGCCATGTGGTCTTTGCACAAACTGGTTCCCCTTCACCTTCCACCATGAGTGGAAGTAGCCTGAGGCCTTCAGCAGAGGCTCAGTTTTGAACTTTCCAGCTGGTAGAACTGTGAGCTAAATAAACCTCTTCTCTTTATAAATTACCCAGATTCAGGTATTTTTTTATAGCAACACTAAATGGACTAAGACATATTCATTCATTCACTCATCAAATATTTAGTGACTATTACACTAACAAGACAAACAAGGTCCTTACCTCCTGGAGCTTAAAATCTAGAGTGGAGGAGACAGATGGACAGACAGACAGACAGACAGACAGACAGACACACACACCTCAAACTGTTAAGTGTAAGAAAGCAAGTCTACTTTACCCAGAACTGTCTGGGATGGCTTCTCAAGGAGGTGTCATTTAAGTGGCACTGCAGGATCTGGAGCTAGCATGCTCAGAAGTGGGAATGGAAGATTCAGGCAGCTACAAGCACATATGTAGCAGCTTGAGGCAGGAAGAATTTGGTATTTTAAAACATTCAGATGGCCAGGCACGATGGCTCACACCTGTAAACCTAGCATTTGGGAGGCCGAGGCAGGTGGATTACCTGAGGTCAGGAGTTCGAGACCAGCCTGGTCAACATGGTGAAACCCCATCTCTACTGAAAATACAAAGATTAGCCAGGCATGGTGGCACGTGCCTGTTGTCCCAGCTACTTGGGAAGCTGAGGCAGGAGAATCACTTGAACCCCGGGGACAGAGGTTGTAGTGAGCCGAGATGGTGCCACTATACTCCAGCCTGGGTGATAGTGGGGACTCTGCCTCAAAAAAAAAATTTTTGAGATAACTAATAGTAAGCAAGAAATATGGGCACAGGGTGCTGCACGGATTTAGAAACTCACGGTACATAAGGCCTGTGTGCCATGTGCCTTATGTGCCATAGTAAAGAACTTGAGTTGTTTTCTAAGTACAATGGAAGGCCACTGGAGGATTCCAAACAGGAGCATTTTTAGGAGTGATCTATTCCACCTGCTGAGAGAACAGACCCTAGAGAAGTAAGAATGGCCAAATTAAGCAGAAGACAGGTAAGGAGAATAATGTAGTCCCGGTAAAAGATGATGGCAGCTTGGAAGGAGGTGGTGGCAGTGGATTACAGAAATATTAATACTACTACAACAGATCTTGATAGGACTGCTTCTATTCCAGGGAAGGGTAATAGATAGATCTGGGATGTATTTTGGAGGCAGAGATAAAAGGACTTGCTGATGGACTCAGTGTAGAGGGTGAGGGAAAGGAAGAAATCTAGGCTTCTGGCTTGTGCAACTAAATGGATAGTGGAAGCATTTACTGAGATGCAGAAGATTGGGAAAAGGAAAGGCTAGGGTGAGAGACAATGCAAGAACTCAGTTGTTTTCTTTGCTTTGAGAGGCCTATGAGACAACAAAATAGAGACATCTAATCAGAAGGTAACTAGGTCGCAAGTTGGAAGCTGAGAGGGAAGAATGATTCAAAATGTTGCTCCCATATTTCATGTGTTGATTCCTAGAATAATTGTATACAGTTATAATGTTACATATTTATACATATAACATATTATGCAGACACACAAATATACATAAACATATCTAAAAACAAGATTTAAAGGAAATACATAAAAAATATTAATAGATAATATGTGGGGAAGGTAACATCCCTCTTATTTTCCAAACTTCTTATAATAGTGTTTCAGTAATTTCATTTATTTTTAAATGCAAAGGGAAAAGACACCGAGCAAGGCTCTCATTTTAAGAACAGTACTTCTCTCATCAATGTGGTGGATAAGCCTAAATAGTTTTGCTGTTGCTGGGGTGAGTTGTTAAGAACACCTTCCTCCATTTGGCACAGGCAAGTGTTTCTAAATAGTGCTCTGGATGAAAGTCATAATCATTAGCTTTGCAGTATTACTAAGCTTCTTTAGGATCTGTGTTGCTATTCAAATCTTCAGAACAAAATGGCAGGTTGTCCTAAATTAAATAAAAGCAAAGGTAAGTGAAATCACACAAAATAACTGGACAAGAATCTCCCCCGACTCCCTTAATTGGGCACAGAGGTTAAAGAGTCAGTGAGATTCTGTGAGGTTAGTGTTCTTTTCCTCAGACACTTCATGTAACCAGACACATCCTAGAGTTCCCTACCCTGTATCTTCTATATTCCATGCTGAGTAGCTCCCACCGACCACAATCCTCTCCATCTTCTCTGCAACACCCCTTCCCACCCACACCCCAACCTCTTAGAAAAGTGGTCAGGAGCACAGCTACTGGGGTGAGACTGCAGGGCTGACTGCTGCTAGGCAGCAGGAGAGCTCAGAAAGGTTCACATGGCCTGCAAAGGTGTTAGCCCAGCAGTCTACCCCATGGTTGCCTAGCTCAGGCTTCACCCTGGCTCATGTAACCGTGCCCTCATCTAGCCCATTTTCACCACTGTGACAAGCGTGTCTGTCTAACCAGCAAACCTGATCCTAGCCCAGAAGCCCTTTGGTAGCTCCCCAGTGTCTCTACAATAAAATGCAAGCAAGATTTGTTAGGCTCTTCATGGACTTCTGTCTGCCTCTCCAGCCTTCTCTCTCCCTTCTGCCAGGGCTCAGCCCTACCACACCCTGGGCTCTAGCCACTCACCAACGCTAAGCATCCACCCTTCAGGACTTTGTATGTGCCATTCCTTTTGCCCTCCATGTCCCCCAGCTCCTGATCATCCCGGGCCAGTGTGACCACACTCCCTCAGGACTTGGCAGAGGCTGCTCCTCTGGATACTGCAGTGGCCTCTGTGCTCCTCTAGCATGCTAAAGTTTCCCTGTCCATTGATTTGTCTGACATCACCCTGCTACTTAATCCGGTGACTTTCAACCCAATCACACCCAATACCACCTTATAGCCTAAATATTTTGTAATGTTCCTTCTTGAAATAAAATTTGTGAATAACACATCTTGTACACTTTGTGTACACAGACACATATACAAACACACAATCACAAGTCAACATAATATCCTAGCTAAAAAATAAGAATAAAAAGTAATAAAATAAAATATTATGAATTATAGGCTGGGTGCAGTGGCTCACGCCTGCAATCCAAGCACTTTGGGAGGCCGAGGCAGGCAGATCACTTGACATCAGGAGATCGAGACCAGCCTGGCCAACATGGTGAAACCCCATCTCTACTAAAAATACAAAAATTTGCCATGTGTGGTGGTGCACGCCTGTAAATCTCAGCTACTTGGGAAGCTGAGGCAGGAGAATCACTTGAGCCCAAGAGGCAGAAGTTGCTGTGAGCTAAGATGATCTCAATGTACTCCAACCCTGGCAACACAGTGAGACTCTGTCTCAAAAAATAAAAATAAAAATAATATGAATTACAAATGCTCAGGCACACCACCAGCAGGAGACATATAAAGTAGCCCTTAGCTTGCACCTCTGTGTGGAATCCTCATAAATATGGGAATAACGAATGCAGGTGGTTACAGATGCAGGCTTTTTGTGACTCAAGTACCACATTCAAGGTTCCGTGGGTAATGTGAGTTTACGTGAGGTTAAAAAACTCTTAATTCCAAATAAAGCAAAGTACAACTTTCCCTCACTTTACATTTACAATTTAATTTATTAATATAATTTTCCTGGAAAAGTCACTGTATGTTAAATCCATGTCCCCCCAAAAACTGCTCTTTATTTGAAAAGCACACTTAGGTTTTAGGCTCAGATAACCACAAACAGGTTTTTCATTTACAAGAATGTCCTTTCGACAGACTGGGGGTCAGTAGTGCTGTGTGTAGAGGACTATTTTTATCGTGGAGGTCTGTCCTGTAAGCTGTGAGACAGCTAGTACCTTTGGCCCCTGCACCCCAAATGCCAGTAGCACCCCTGCTAATCATTAGGATTACTAAGAACAACCCTGCAAATTTCCAAAATCCCTCCTGGGGACAAAGCCACCCATCCCAGTGGAAAACCACTGGCTTAGCACACAAAATATGCTTATTAAATGTTTGCTGAATTGATGACTTTTAATCATGAGGCTTCGAAACTATTTCTTTTCAAAGTACTTCTCATGTGACTATACTATGCAAAAATTCCAAGGATTCCAAGTCAATCTATAACATATTGAACTGATACGCAATAAAAGTTCCCACCACAACTGAAATGCACATGGGGAGTTGAATATTTGAAAGAGGCCATGATCACTTCCACATTGTACTGTAGCAGAATAAATGCGACTTGGCACATGAAAAATGCTCTGCCATCTGCTATTACTATAGACAAAAATATTTCTGGATACCACATCAATGATCATTTGCACAATATCTCCAGAAAGTAAATATAAAATGAAAGAGAAGTTCGACTGTTTATAGCCTGATTTTAACATGTGCTACTGGTATGAAGCAAATAGATATTCCCATGAGTTCAGTCTTTTGGAGGTATTTTCACAAGCAATGCCATAGCTAGAAATTCCATGGCCCTATGGTAGATGGACTCTCTGACTTATTGATCTTTGTTAAAGGAAGTTCATCATACAGACACATGAAGAAGAAAAGATGGCAGGAAATAGTCTCAACTGGAACTGTGGAAATGCTGTCTACTGTATTTCCTTGTACACATCATAACATGAATGAATGCACTGCCCTTCCCAGGTTCTACTCTTGATCTGCTGGTTCTCAATCCTGGCTGCACTTTAGAATCCCTTAAAGAAGTTTTACAATTTACTGCTCCTTGGGCCCTACTCCCAGAAATTACGCAACGTTGCTCTGGGGTAAGGTCCTGACATTGGTTTTTTTTTCTGTTTAGTGATTTTTTTGAAATGTTGTTTTTAATTCCCCAGGAAATTCCAACGTGTTCAGGTTGAGATGCATTGATCTTCACCCAAAATTTGAGTTCTAATGGTGAGATTTCAGTTGCCATATTGGGCCAATAAGAAAAACATTTCGAGAGTAGGCAAGACTACACCTCACAAATTACCCCATAGAAGTGGCATCTGTTTCCCTTCTTGGTAAGTTGGTCTTACTTATTCTATTCTACTGCAATGCTGCATAAGAATTAAGTATAGCTTTGAAAATGCATGCAAGGAAACATGAACTTATTTCAAAAGATTCACAAGTTCTTTGTACTTATAAAAACCTGATACCTCAAGTCAGTGTATCGCATGTACAAAAAGTCATATGCACATGGCCAAAGATGATGAAAGTAAAAAGTTAAGATAATCCCTGAATTCCTAGAGCCAACATCAAGATTAGGACAAAAACTGCATTGCAAAGTTAGCCCATAATTTCAGAAAAAGTAAATTCTGCTTGTGGTTAAATCTGGTATGAATAAAAATTCTGACTATGAAAAACAGACATGCCCCATCTACTACATGACTCAGAGACCTTAACATGCCATCAACATCACATACTACTCTGTAGCAGCTTTACTGGTATGTCTGTAAGGCACAGTTAATGTTAAACAAACAGCATAGAAATGCTAGCTAGAAAGTTCTAAAATCTGCCCATTTGAGCTGAATCTGCTTATGCAATACAAGCTGCTAGGCTGAACATTTGTGAACAAAAGTCACCCTAGTGAAGCCAGGTGACCCCTATGGGCTCATCTCAGCACAGTGTCACAGTCAAAGAAACACAGCCCCACCTCCAGTGGAGGCTCAAGAGGTGCAGATAGTCCCTCAGCTTCCTGGCAGCCAGAGCACAGGCATGCGACCTGCACTGGCCAATCAGATACCCTTTGTATCTAATACAAAGTCTAGTGATGACAGTCCAGTGAAGCACTGACCAATGGCAACAAGCATCCTGCCAGTTCTTACAGGTTCTTCCAGCCCAGGTCTTCAGTATTCTCAAAAATATTAGAAGCTATCTGATATCCTTCCGATAAGTCTTTTTATGGTTCAGTTTGCCAGAGTTTATTTCTAGGGTTTCCAACCAAGAATTCTATTGGTTGGGTACAGATACTTATACAAATGCCAGGGAGACAGTAGCTGCATTTTCTCTAGGATTGCTAGCATTAGGATGTAGGAGCTGCTGATGTCAGCTCTGTCACCATGTGGAGAGAACTCTTCTGAGAATGAAACTGGGCAGACAGACTTTCAGATGACCCCTGGTGATCCCTGATTCCTGGGTATTCACTCCTTGGATAACCCCTCTGCCAATGAGCATAGGTGGAACCTGTGAATTGTTTCTAATCAACAGAATACAAGTCACTTCTATGATTATGCTATTAATATTACATAAGACTGTAATTTCTGCCTCACTAGCAGACTCTTCTTTGCTGAAGGAAGGTACCACATTGTGAGCTGCCTTAGGGAGAGAGTCAAGTGGCAACGAACTGAGGGCAGCCTCCAGCCAACAGTGAGGCTCTTAGTCCAACAACACAGAAGGAATTGAATTCCTCCCACAACCACAGGAGCTGGCATTGGAGCCTTCCCCAGTCAAGCCTTCATATGAGATTTCTGTACTGACACCTTTGTTGCAGTCTTGAGAGAGCCCGAAACCAAGGACCCAGATAAGCCATACCTAGACTCCTGACCTATTAAACACTGTGGGATAGTAAATGTGGTTGTTTTAAGCTACTGGATTTGAGATCATTTGTTACATAGCAATAGATAACTAATACAAAAGCCAAAACAGGCGTTGGGGGTGGGTGGTTAGTGAGATAGAGCCAGGAGGGAGAAACAGAATCCTAATGACAGTAAGAATCTGAGTTTCATCATATCTGAAGCTCCTGGAACCTTAAAGTACACCATTAGAAATTTTAATAGTGTCCTTTTCTTTGATCAGGTTTGCTTGAGCTGGGTTTTTTACTTTTTAAAAAAATTTTATTTTAAATTTTTATGGGTACATAATAGGAATATATATTTATGGAATATATGAAATATTTGGATATGGGTATACAATGCTTAATAATCACATCAGGGTAAATGGGGTATCATTCATCCAAGCATTTTAAAATAACTAAAAGAGCATAATTGGAATGTATGTAACACAAAGAACTGGGTTTCTTTAAATTGTAACCAAAGGACTCCTAGCCAAGGTGACAAAAGATGACAGAGGCATTATAGAATCCAGCAGGCCTCAATCTCTCAAAGAGCATTTGGCTAAACACTCTATTTCAGCTCCAGGGTAGGCAGACCACAGGTGGAATGGAGGACCTGATGATTCTAATAAGAGTCAAGAAGAATGTTACTACACTGAAGAAATACTAATGCAGATGTTCATCACTGAATGAATTCCCAGAACCTTCTAACAGATATAGCTCCATTCCTCATGTGCAGGAGATAATAAAAATATTGTAAGAATTAAAAGAGAAAATACATACTAAAGAATCCTGTAGAATGGCTGACACGTTGCAGGTAAACAAAATGTGAGTCAAAACTCAAACATCTCACTGTTTTAAAAACAGACACACTATTTTTAAGTACTCACTTATTAGGTCTTTTAAAGGGCTCTCTAAAATCTGTAGTTATTTTATTCAGTAAATTGTCAGCAAACACTTTCAAGGGGATTCCATGATTTACACAGTTCTGGAAGACTTGGACGTGCTCTGACTGGCTTGAGCTTTAGCAACCCTCACCTTGTACCTGCAGGTGATGGGTCAGGGACACGGAAATGGTAGCACCCTGCCCATCAGCCAGACACAGACTTCAGCATTTGTCTTGTGCAATCTTTTAATTTTCCCAACAAGTCCATGACATGGGTACTATTATTGGTCTCATTTTACAGATGAGAGACTGATACTTAGAAAAGTAATTGAATCAAGGGCCTAGGACTATGAAGTACAGAGCTAGGAGGAAGAGGGAGTGGCACTCAAAAAAGTGTGCTGAAAGAAGGAGAATTCAATAAGGAAACCATTCCCAGTACTTCATCCCTGATGGATATACCTTCGGCTGGCCTTTGCTCGGCATCTATATGTCTGGAAAAGTATAATTAGGGTTTATAATCTGTAATGCAGAACATGAGAACAAGCAAAAGTCTGACTAGAAGCCATATAACTGTTTATGGAAACACAAGTCTAACAATATGTTTTGACCCACAAAACACTTTGAGAAAATGAAATCTACTGATTTCTAATTTGTATTCCTCAACAAAACTTTTCCAAAAACACTACATGCCTTCAAGTCTGCTACGAGGTTTTGTTTCACCAGATAGTTTTAATCTCCTTTATTATTTTCTGAGATCTTTTGTTATCCTTTTCCCCTTCAACCCTTATTTTACTGTTGGTTCTTAGCTGAACTTTAAGAAAACTCAATCGCAACTAACGTGAAAATGTATAAAACCCTGATCAAAGGGGGACCTCAAGCCATTGTTAAAAATAAAGATCTCTGAAGAGGACCCTGAAATAATGCAGAGCACATAAAGAACACCTCTCTCATTACTTGGGCAGTCCACCTCTAGCCGAATGGGTGACAACAGCTCTGATGAGTCCCTTCAGACTGAATAAGCAGAACAAGTCAGTCCAGCAGCATGGGAAATACCACGACAAACCATGTGTGTTAAACAGTACACAGTCAGCATGCTCAAGACCCTGGATAGCAATCACAGGCAGTGCACTCAGAGATGCTGAAGTGGAATTTATGAATTTTAAATGAACGTTTACAGTTTCTTGGGGCAAATCTTTAAAATTACTGCTGCAAGGTAAAAAGCTTTGAACTTAATGTTCCCAGACACGTTTTCACCCTTTCTGTATCCAACTACAACCCTCTCTGTGGCAATTCCTGCAAATACACCTTAAATCACTTGCCATGGAAGTTGTTTAATTCCTAACGTGCAGATTCTCAGACCAGAGATTTGATAACTCCTGATCGTGACTAACACAATTGTTATTCATGTAAAATACCTGATTGAGGAAAACAAAACCAAATTGTAGACATAACAATAATGATAAAAAAGAAAATGTGTCTCCCTTTAGAAAAACCAGAGTTCTTCACTGCCCTTTGGCAAAGAAAGAAATGTACACAGTACTATGCTTTACACATAGCCTTTTCACAAACATAAGTTTTTCCCTTGCCACACCTTAAAAAGAAAAAAAAAACAAGACACAAAGGTCAGGATAAAGATGAGAATTAGGACAAATGAGTCAATGAAAAATGTGGTAAGACTCATAATAGTCTGATCCTTAGGTTTTCACTCCCAATTAGACACTCTAGACCTTTTTTACAGGAGTCACTGGTGGTTTGGATTTTTAAGTTTATAACTAATATTATTAAAACTGAATTTTTGAAAAAAAAAAACCTCACTGAGATTTCATGATCCAAACAGTATTTAATACACAATTTTTTAAAGTCTGAATTTTTGATCTATTCTAATTTCTGTAACACTATCACATCTGAAGTTGTAGATTTTATTCAGTAAGTTCTTACCCAGAGAACACTCAATTATAGCATCCGTTTGTCGAGGGCTTATGATCCTGTAACTTTTGAGGGAAAATTCCTCAGTGTAATTAGGGAGGGAAGTTTAAATATTCCACCAATGCTGCTCACCAACTACGTGGCTGTATGGGCAAGCACTAAGGAATCTAACACTTACTCACTAGAAGTAAACTATCTTCCATGTCTAACATGTCCTCACTTCCGATTCAGCAGCTCATAGTAGGGAAGAAAAGGGAAGGAGGCCACCCTGAGTCGGCCATCAAGCTGTATAAACCAGACAGGACTTCTATTAGAAAACTACTTCACCATCTGCATACGTGTTGTATCTGTTTAAATGACTTTAAGGTTATTCTTTAATGGAAAAATACCAAACATTAGTAAACAATAAATTTCCATCAACACTACATTGGTTATTAGTAAAAAGATGGATCAGATAGTATTCATTTTTAATTCATAGACTCTACTTGCACATTCAATACAAAAGAGCATTGCAAGTTTATAAAGTCATTTTTCTGCTGCCTGCATAGTACTGAATTATTTAAAACTCATTTGAAAAACACACATACACCTGACAGTTTTTAAAATACTGTTTGACAAGAGCATTTTCAACATCTATAAAAATATGTGCTAGAAAAGCAGATTCTGTACACACTGTCTTTCATTAGCAAGTCCTAAAGTATTTTTACCTACTGGTGCATCACACTTCACAAAACTGCCTGAAAGAGGAGGAAATGTGACCCTCTGTTGAGAGTTCAAATTACTTGGTATATATCACGCAGTGAATTTATACCACCCTTTAACTAAAATTAACTGGTCCATCAAAATCTGTTCAATGTCAGTTACACTGAGGAATTCTCCCTCAAAAATTACAGGATCATAAGCCCTCAACAAACTGACACTATAATTGAATGTTCTCTGGGTAAGAACTCATTGAATGAAATCTACAACTACAGATGCAATTAGAACACATCAGAGAAACTCAAAGACATTTTAATAATTATATTATAAATACTGACTGGATCATATCTCAGTGATGCTTTCTTTTAAAAAGAAAAGTTTTTATAATATTAGTCAACAACTTTTAAAAACTCCAAACCAACAGCGACTCTTTTAAAACAGTCTTAGAACAGAAAAAGTTATTCTCTCCCAAAATATACATCATCCTCAAAGTGGACCTAGCCTCCTCCGTATCTGTGGCTACATCTTTTCAAATCTACTGTTTTAAGTATTTTTTCTAATTTTCTTAATTAAACCTGCCACAGGCTTGTCTACTTGTTTTTTCAAAGATATAGCTCTTCATTTATTAATTCTATCATTTTTTCCTTTTTAGTTTATTAAAATTTGCCTTTATCATGATCAGTTCCATGTTCCTCTATTTATTTGTTCCTTTTCTAGTTCTTTAAATTAAAGACTAAGCTTACTTACTCTTTAAAATTTTTTGGTATATAATAGAAAGCATTTAAAAGTTTGCCAAAGCCCACAGGTTTGATATGTAGTATTCTCAATGTTTATGTCTAAAATCTTTTTTTAAAAAAATTCCCCTTAATTAGGGAGTTAGTTCTCAAGTGATTATGACTATTGTTTTGCCTTTTCTTCACGTTCAGTTTTTAAAGTCATTATTACCTTGTGATGAGAATATGCCCTATAAAATTCTGTATTTTTAGAGAAGATTGAAGTTGCCTTTGTAGCCTAATCTTGTCATCTTTGTGTGAGACGAGGCAGGACCGTGTCCTGCACAACACTTGCAGGAGGAGCTTCCACTGTCCTACTCCAGTTGCTCAGCCGCGTTTTCAGGTCTTCTACATGCTCCGTTTTCCCTTTTCTTGTTTGAATCCCACACTTTGCCTTCTAGCTCTGTGCTCAGATTTTGGATCTCACATCTTTCCTTGCTGCCCACTCCAAACTTAGGGACTTGGGTCCCTAACTCAGCTATTTTTACATTTTGCTATTTATCTTTAGCTGGGCCAGACACCCCAAACGCTGGCTTCATTCAACAAATATTTATTGAGTAACTACAATGTACCAAGCACTGTTTGAGTCACTGAGGATAAGCAGAGAACAAGACTAATAGAGAATATCCCTGCCCTCTGGAACTTGGAAGAGACAAATAAGTTAAGGGTTGTAAAAATAGGGTGCTATGGTAGTCCCCGCTTATGTGCTGTTTCACTTTCCACGGTTTCAGTTACCCACAATCAATCTTGGTCTGAAAATATTAAATGGAAAATTCTATAAATAAACAAGTTTTATATCACACACTGTTCTGAGTACTGTGATGAAATCTCACGCTGTCTTGCTCCATCCCACGTGGGACACAAACCATCCCTTTGTCCAGTGGATCCATGCTGCATACACTACCTGCCCATTCGTCACTTAACAGCCATCTCGGTTATCGGATTGAAAAAACCCAGCATATATATTGTTCTGCACTATCCATGGTAGTTTCTGGCATCCACTGGGAGTCTTCAACAGTATCTCCTGCAGATAACAGGGGAACTACTGTATATATTTATGTTTTAAGAACTAAATTTTTCCACTATAAATGATGCATCCCTGTAGAAAATTTGGGGGGAAATGTTTGAAGAAAAAGCCATAAATAATACCAATAATTCCACAACCTTGAGTTAACTACTATTAATATTTGATGGGTTTCTCTCTAGTCCTTTTTGTATGACTATTTTTACTTTGAAAAAAACTGAAACCACTTCATATGTAATACTTTGTATTCTTCTTTCTACCCTTATTTTATTGTGTTTTCTAAGCCTACTAATATAATCTCTGACAATACCATTTTAATGGCTGTACAATATTCTATCATGATGTACAACATGATTTATTGAGTCATGTACTATTGGATGTTTAGGGGGTTCTCCATTTTCTGATACATCATTACAATACATATGCTGATATCAATCTTTTGTATTTCTAGCCATTTATACTTTAGATTCTTAGAAAGCTAATTATTGAATCAAAGGGTATAAACCTTTTTACAAATCTTGATACACATGCCCAAATTACTTTTCAGAATGTTTATACCAATGTACAGCCCCATCAAAAGTTTATGTAAATTCCCATTTAATCAAAACCTCAAGAGTAACAATTTTAGAATAATTTAATTTTCCATTATTTAACTAATAATGAGCTTTTTGGTTACCTAGTGTTATACAGAAAAGAAAACACAAACAAAACTAAAGCTTTTATGTTAGACATTTATTAGCCACTGATAGATTTTTTTCTATAAATTGTTTATTGATAGCCTTTGCCAATCTGCCTGTCAGTGTTTTTCTTGTACTTAGTATTGTTCATCCTAAAGATGTAATTCATTTTTTTCTCATTTATTTCTGATTTTTGCCCTTTATCAAAAGCAGCCTACTATTTTTGTGTTCATTTGAAATTACGTTCACTGTTTTTATGCTTAGAAATTAAAATTTTCCTCACACATTGTTAGTTATTTTTCAGATCTGGCTTATTACACATTCTAAACATCAGCAATTTGTTTTAGAGTCTAGTGAGGCAAAGCTCTAACTTTAGTTTCTTCCAAATGGTTAAAAAATTATTTAAGCAACATTGTTTAAAAACTCTTATTTTCTCTACTGATTTTTATGTTATCTTTAACACGTTTATGGCCAATTATGTCATAAAAAGATGTGTGTCTTAGAATCCAGAAACTATGGCAATATAAATTACTGAAGTGACATATATTGCTAGAAATAAAACTTGTTATTTATTTGACCCATGTGTTATAAATGACTACAAAATTAAAATGCTCTCCTCTTGAATTCAGGGGGGAACAATGTCCATTTAAGGAGAGATAAATTAGAATCAAATTATTTTATCTCTCATATAAGCTAATGAGAAGCCAACTTTAAATGGAGGGAACATTTATTGCAGGCTGCAGCCTGTTCTCAGCTGGTTATCACAGAATAATTGATGTACTAATGATTTCAACTCATAGCCCCAACTGTCTTCATTTTACATAATTTGAACCAAACCTGAATGTAAATGGAAAACAGTCCTCATGCCTATTTAACTCCCATGACTTTTAACTAAAAATCACTTAATACTGCACAAGCAGAAGAGGAAAGGGAAATTAGCAAATAAAAAGAACTCTCTATTTTAAAACATTCCTGCTTATACTGAAATGGGAAGAATTAAGTAAACACATTAGAAATCTCCAGAGATGTGATTTATCATCTTATTAGTTGAGAATATTTAATTGTATAATGTTTATCTCCAATAGTGTCTCCTAAAAAAATTCCAAACAGGCCAAAGTGCACATTCTAAACACTCCAAAGGGAAATACATTGCTTTAGCGGCTTCATGACTTTTGTAATGAAAAAATATTAGCCAGAAAAAAAATCGAGTCAAAATAATTGCTACATTTGTAATTAACTTCTAATATTAAAAACACCCTTTTCCTGTAAAATACAGTTAACAGAGCTCCTCAATTGAATTAGATCCATTTATTGATTATCACCTACTGACCCATGACATAGGCCTTTTCTTTAATTTTTAAAAATTTTACCATTTTAAAATAACCTCCACTCATCATTATCTGGGACATCCAACATAGTACTCAAGTCTCGCACCTGTCACCAAGTCACCAAAATTGATTATTAACAAGCCTAGTTAGTTAAGTACAGATTAGGTAGGTGTTATCATCCACACACCCACAATTATATCCCAGCATGATGGCCAATTAGTTTCAACCTGGGTAGTGAACCTTATTCCAGATAACACTGTTCAACTAGAAAAACAGCTGCTTCCTTGTTTCTACCTACCGCTCTTCTCTGTTATTCTGAGCAGGCCAATTGGGTAAAACAGACCCTAAACAAGGTCTGACTAATGTATAGACAGCAGGAGTCCTCCATGGCTGGCCCCCTCTGGTTGGTATAGAAATGTCTCATATCGATGTGGTTTAATTCCACCTCTGTGTATGACGTGTACATTTTTAAATGGAACCACAGCAGGCCTGTCTAATTACAGAACACAATATATGTTCATGCACCTAAATTAAAACTTGCTTAGAAATCACGCCATGTGGCTAATTGAACACTGTTTCTGAAACACATGAGGGTCAATGAGAGTTAATGTTAATACACGCAGATGTTCAGGAATGATTTTATAACTCATTAGAAATAAATAAAAATAAGTGTCACAGCCATGAGGAACTCTTATGGACCAAACTGTGTCCTCTCAAAATTAATATGTTGAAGCTTTAATTCCCAATGTGATGCTATTTAGAGATGGGGTCTTTGGGAGATATTTAGATTTAGATGAAGTTAGGAGGGTGGGGCCTTTGTGAAGGGATTAGTGCCTTTATAAGAAGGGATGTAAGAGAACTTGCTTTCTCTCTCTCTCCTTGCCACATGAGGACACAGTGAGAATGTAGCCTAGAAGAGAGGCCTCAACAAGAACCAACCATGATGGCAACCTGATCTCAGACTTCCAGCCTCCAGAAGTGTGAGAAATAAATTCCTGTTGTGTAAGCCACACAGTCTATGGTATTTATTTATGGCTGAGTAAGACAGGAATCTAAGACCAAAGGACTAACTACTACATGATATGCCAGATGGCGTTCTGGGATAGATAAAAGACATTAGGTAAAAATTAGGAAAGACATTAATAAGAGGTAAAATTAGGTGTGAGGTTCGGGGCGGGGGGCGGTTTCCATACATCTTGGCAATTTTTCTGCCAATCTAAGTCCAGTTTAAAAAAAAAGAATTTACTTAAAAAACATAAGTAAATAATAAAGCCTATGTCTTCTATCTCCCACAAAAAACAACCCATCTTATCATTTCTTTTTCTTCTTCTTCTTCTTCTTTTTTTTTTTTTTTTTTTTTTTTGAGGCAAAGTCTCACTCTTGTTGCCCAGGCTGGAGTGCAATGGCATGATCTTGGCTCACTACAACCTCCACCTACCGGGTTCAAGCAATTCTCCTGCCTCAGCCTCCCGAGTAGCTGGGATTACAGGTGCCTGCCACCAAGCCCAGCTAGTTTTTGTATTTTTAGTAGAGATGGGGTTTCACCATGTTGGCCAGGCTGGTCTCGAACTCCTGACCTCAGGTGATCCACCCGCCTCGGCCTCCCAAAGTGCTGGGATTACAGGCGTGAGCCACTGTGCCCGGCCCATATCATTTCTTTATTTTCAGTATAAAACACTTTCTGTTCTTAGCTATGATGTATGATAAATCTGTATCCATTAATGCCAACAAAAAAGAAATTATCCATAAGCATCATCTATGCTATTACTTATAGAACCTAACATTGTACTGTGTAGTTAAGGTCTATTACTATATAAAATCTAATAAGAACTACTTGGTATTTGTGATCACCACTCATTAACACTGAACAATCACAGCTTCCTGAAAATATGTAAAGGACACAAACAGAAAAATCACAGACAAGAAAATAGAACTGGCTAAAAAGGAAATGTTAGAAATGTCCCATTTCACAAATAAAGAACGGTAAGCAACAGCAGTGGAATAATTTTTGTTATTAATACATATCAAACTCCCAAAAAACTTATAGAAAATATTCAAGTTGGCCAGGATGGGAAAGCCAGCACTTTCATATGGTGCTGATGACCTATCAACTAGAATAAACATACAGAAAGTCAGCGACAGTGTGTATAAAGACACATGAAAATAGTTCCAGCACTTCACCTTGTTCTGGGAATATACTCCAATGACATACTCGGACCTGGGAGCCAAGACCTACCAATAATGCTCTGACAGATAACCTCACTTATAATCTGAATGATGAGGTAGTAAAATTAGTGTGTAAAATTAGTGAATCAGCAAATAAGCTAAGGAACTACAGAAGAAATCATTATGCAGTCATTAAAAAGGAGGCTTCTCTATCTGAGCTTATAGCATGTTAAACAAAAAAATTGAAAATACAGTTGCATACAAGGGTAGGGGTATGTAAGAGAATAATGCTAATAATTTTCTCTGGGTGAGAGATTGGGCAGTGATGTGGTTAGGCTTTGTGTCCCCACCCAAATCTCATCTTGAACTGTAAGCCTCATAATCCCCAAGTGTCAAGGGAGAGACCAGGTGGAGGTAACTGAATCATGGGGCTGTTTCCCCCCATGCTGTTCTCCTGTTAGTGAGTGAGTTCTCAGGAGATCTGGTGGTTTCATAAGGGGCTCTTCCCCCTTCTCTTGGCACTTCTCCTTCCTGTTGCCTTGCTTCCCCTTCACCTTCCACCATGATTATAAGTTTCCTGAGGCCTCCCCAGCCATGTGGAATGGTGAGCCGATCAAAACTCTTTCCTTTATAAACTACCCAGTCTTGAGCAGTTCTTTATAGCAGTATGAAAATGAATTAATACAGGCAGTTTGGGTTCTTCATCATATATTTGTATATCTGCAACTTTTCTACACGGAGTATGTTGTTCTTTCAATCAGAGGTTCAGAAATAAGGTTACCTTTTCACTTAGCCACTACTTTCTTTTCGGCTTATTTATGTAATTCAACCAGTTTTTAAAAGAAGTTGTTGTACTAAATCTCTTTGAAAAGAATACCTAAAGAAAACTCAGTAGTCAGATGAAACTGTCTTTTCTGTTCTCAATGTGTCCCCAGTTGTGCTCTAAGTTCTTCCCACGGTGGGTCAGGGAATGGGAAGATCATTGTCCAGCTGTTCAGGACAGGGCTGGGGCTTCTGTCTCTCTCCACAGAATTGGACTTCAAAGGGAGAGTTGATTAATACACCTCCGTTCCCTCAAAGAGTTCCAATTGTAGTGGGAGGGAAAGTCCCTTGGCTCAAAATTTCTCCTTCTCATCTCATAAAATCTGACTCAAGGGAATCATTGTTTTGGGTTAAATATTGCTCTCACCTTGAGTTCTGCTCAATTGTAACCCCTGCTGGGAGGCAGGACAAATTAACTCTTTCTTATGACTCAAATAACTTTCCTTTAAGGTAGTCTGTAAAGAGGAAAGGGAGGAAATATATAAATGAACATCTAAGAAATGCAGAAGAAAAATGTCCCCTACTTCACCAATCTGCTTGGGACAGTCCTGGAATGTTGATTTAAACTGAACTCTAGCAAGCCAGGAAAACATGTTTCTATGAAATGAAACAGGGTATCATTCTATATACACTTGTCATCCAAGCTTATTAGAAAAATGCAACAGTCCAAGTAGATACAAAGACAGAAGATGTAATCTTACAATATAAACAGAAAACCATGCTTCAGAAAATGCTCATCCTTGACAATAAACAAATGTGTGTTTATACACACATGGACATGCACACACAGGCCAACCTGTGCTCAACTTGACCAAAATAACACAATAAATTGACATAACTTCTTGAAAAATAACTTAAACCTTCCTTTAGAAACCTAAATCTGAGACAGCCACTCTTCTCCCCTCTCAAAGAGCTGCCACAGACACCAACCCAACTCTGAGAAGACCAAAATTCCTTCTGCAGTCCTTATCCATCAGGTTATTTTTGTTGAAGGAGGTTTCTCTTCTAAGAATGACTAATTTGGGTATTGCTGAATTTATATGTCACTTGCTTATTTATATGGACTCCCAATGTATCTTTTGACCCTATATCCATTGGTTTTTATTTTCTACCAAGCTGTCAGAAATACTTTTACATTTCAAACAATTTAGAAAGGAATGTTATACTTTCATTTGGGAAAATGTATTAAATTTTATACCTCATTTTCTCCTTTGCTCTAGATAACCCTTTTTTTGCATTTTTAAAGGGTTTTACTAATAACTTTGTTTATAACTGAACAACTGTTATTAGCATTTCTGGCTCAGGTGAAGTCTAAATCTGTGAGCACACATTTCCATATACAGACAACTATCTTGAGAGCTGGCACACTCATTAGTAAGCCTCGTGAACAAACAGTACTTGTTCTAACAAAAGACAATAAATTAGCAGAAATCTATGATCATGGCCTGTTCTTCTCATTGCCACCAGAGTCCTGGCAATCTAATTCTCTCTTCCACTGAAGGCAATAAATGATACTGATCCCACACACATATTTAAGTCTAGCTTAAGCAACTAGTAGCCAGTTTAAAGCAGCATCTCTCAAAATTTTTGTACTGTGTCCCACATAAAAACTTATTTTAGACTTCACCCAGCACATATACAAACATAGCTGAAATCAAAGGTCCTTGAAATAATACTTACCCTTTCTATATGTAACACTAATATTTCTATGTCTGTTTTTTTTTTTTTTTTTTGGAATGCCAGTTGTGACACACTAAATTGATTTCACGTCCTTTTAATGAGTTAGAACCCACAGTTGAAAACCACTGATTTAAAACTCTCTTACTTGATGGGTGCTGTTGTTAGGACTCACAGTAGCACAGCAACTCAGTATGGATCTGTCCCCAAGACTCTTTCACTCCCTTCTTTTCACTCTACTCTCCCCGACTCAACACTGTCCTTTGCACACTTTTCATTCTACTTTTCCTATATTCATTCAACTCATGGTTGCCATTACCACTTCTACAGAACAAGTCTCCCCAAATCTAGTGGGACCAAAGAAACGTTTTCTTGGAGTCACAGATTCTGTGGGTCAGGAATTCAGAAGGAGCACACGGGGTGGTCGGTCTCTGCTCCATAATGTCAGCAGCCTCAGCAGAGAAAACTGGAGGTAACTTTGTGGCTCTATCAAAGGCCACACACTCACATGTCTGGCTCTGATGCCACTGATGGTTGGGCCTCTTCCTCACAGCCTGGTGACATCGGGAAAGCTGTATGCTTTTGACATGGGCTCCAGAGACAAGCATTTCAACTCACAAGGCAAGAAACTGCTTGTTTCAGAAGCAATGTGATACTTAACACTGGATTCTATTGGTTACAGCAAGTCACAAATCCACCCAGCTAGCAGAGAGGTGAACTGGACTCCACCTCTTAATGGCTGAGTGGGAAACTTTGAAAAGAACACGTGGGACTGAAGCTATTGTTACAGTTATCTTCTAAATTGCTATTAGCCATTCTCCTTTCTACAAAGAGTTAACAGTTCAAGTCCACAGTTCTTAACCAGCAATTTCAGTGATTGTATATAATTGTACATATTCTACTGCTTCCCTCTCCCTCCCATCCCTAACTACATGAAGCTCCCTTGGAAGCTCCCAGGTTGCAAATAACCATCTTTCCTTTCATACAAGCTAAGCAGTCTTCCCGTGACTAGAGAGGTAGCATCAGAGTTTAAAGCAGCAATTCTCAAAATGTGCTCTATGAATCACTAGAAGCCCCTAAGACCCTTCCAGAGGTTCACAAAGTCAAAACTATTTTCACAGCAACATTAAGACATGATCTGCCCTTTTTTTTAAGAAAAACCATGTTGACATTTACACTAATGGCACAAAAGCAAGAAGACAACTGCTGATGCCTTAGCATGAGTCAAGTGAATCAAGGCAGTGGCCCCAAACAATACCAATAGTCACTGCACTCTTCACAGACACATATTCATGGTGTTTAGGAATATCTTTGACAAAGCGGTAAAATTCCTAATTTTATTAAACACCAAGATTAGTCCACATCTTTTTAATACACCGTGTGATGAAATGTGAAATACACACAAAGCACTTCAGCTGTATAGCAAAGAAAGATGCTTGTGGAAAAAGAAAAGCACTTATGGGTTTGAGCTGTGAGATGAATGAGCCGTTGTTTTCATGGGCCCTCCCCACTTTCCCCTGCCATGTTTACTTAAAAGAAAAACTAATGAACTATGGTTAAAAAAAAAAAAAAAAAAAAGGAAAATGGCTCACATTTTCTAAAAAAATAAAGCAAGCCTTTAAGGAAAACAACTAATGAATTTGTTGTCAATGATAAGATCTGAGCATTGGAGTGAAAATTAGAATTTTGGAAAACTTCTATGTGGCACTGTGAGCTTGACAGCTTCCCAATACTTAAAGAGTTTTCTGATGAGATTGGTGGTGACATAAATAAATGTGATACTTTGATACTGTATAATTAAGTCAATATTTACAAAGTCTACATAATCAGTAAACCAATATTTCCAAATAATCAATGCATAATATTAGAAAATCATATATAGGGAAAAGATCTATTCAAACTTCAAGACAGATCAACAGATTTTAATGTTACAGAACGTGGTCAGGTTCACTGATATGGTTTCAGGTTCCACCTTGGAACTAATCTTAAGCAACCACCACATGCCAAATTAGTAGTGCAAAGAGGGATATCCACGATTACCTGAAAAAGCTACTAAAACAATCCCTCTTACCCTTCCCAAGTACATACCTGTATGAGGCCAAACTGACCTTCAATCAAAATGATATAGCTCTAGGAGTTAACACAGAAGCAAATATGGGAATCAGATTTTTTTAATTAAGCCAAACATTAAAAGTTTTGCAAAAAAATTGCCATTCATCTCATTTTGTTTGAAAACTACATTAATTTTTCATAAACTTATCTATGTGAACACATATTGTGCTTACTGATATTTAAAATGAATTATTGATAAATTATGTTATGAATGTTAATGAATTATATTAATTTTTTTTAATTCTTAGTTTTAATTTCCAATATGGTAAATATTGATAGCTATAACCCACATAAACCAAAACTCTTTGAGGTCCTCAATAATTTTCAAGAGTCTAAATGGGTTTTATGATCAAAAGTTTGAGAACCACTAGTTCAGAGTATGAATTTAGGGGCCTGATTGCAGAAACTTAAACACTGGCTATCCAATGGACTAGCTGATATTTAAGTAGCTACAATAAGTTAACTTTCTGTGCTTCAGTTTCTTCATCTCTTAAGTGGTAGAAGTAATAATTACTTCTTCACAAAGTAGGTATAAGGATGATATGTGATAATATACGTAAAGAGCTTAAATGGTTTTTGGCATGTAGGAAGTTCCCAATACACCAGTCATTCCTATACGGCCCATGAACTGTCACTGGGCCTTGGAAACTGCTCTCCCGTGAGGCTGCTCTTTTCGATTCTCTCAGTCACTGCACTAGTTCTAGCCTTCAGTTTCTTCTCTTGTCTATGTCAACAGTGTAAATGGACACCTGCCACCAATTCTGCAAATCTTTATACTATTCCTGGCCTCCTGTCCTAAACCACATATTCATTCATGGCTTTTCCTTCTCAGAAACCAAAGCCGTGTGTCCATTCTGACTACAAGCATGGCCTAAATTTATTAACCTGCCATCCAAAGCCCTCTATGATTTGGCCTCTTCTCTATGGTTTGGCCTCTTCCCAACTTGGAGTTTATAAAATGCACCATGAAGAACATTTGTTCTGTACATTGCTGCATGCCAGTGCTAAAACAAAAGGGTGCTATTGTCAAGTAAACTTAGGAAACTAATTGGCAAATCCGATTTCCATCCTGCAATGTTTTCAGAATCCTTCACATGTTCATGTGCACTGTGCCCTTGCAGGAACACAGAACACCACATGAGCTGAAGTCTACTGACCAGGAAGCCCTGTTTCAGGATACATCTCAAGGAACTAGTGGTCAAAAGAACACATTTGAAGGAACACCACTAGCTTTATCTCCCAGCATTTATGGATAGATTGTGATTTCATAAATTTGCCAAGCTTCCTATATTTGTTCTTTCTCTTCCCCTTTCAAAACAAAGAGCAGTCTATCTCATCATCTGCCCTATTATTTCCAAACACTCAACATACATAGCCCTGTCCTCTGCAGCGCCTCCTAATTTCTCAAATCAGAGTTACTTTCCTTTTCTGTTCCTCTATTTTTATTGAACTAACATTCCCACCTTCTGTTCTGGTTTGGGGGGTAGTTAGTGTTTCTTTTGCTAAACTGTGAAGTCTCGATGGGTACGGAAATAGTGTATTGATTTAGGTCAACATTTAACAAGGATCTCAAAAGCACAGGCACATGAGGGAATAAACATTCTCTTTTACTAAAGATTTAATTCAGAATTGTTCAAGATTACTACCTCCTTACATTTGAGTGAGATACCAAGTTCTAAAACAATGAGATATCAGTCCACCTTACAATGGAAAGAATAAAGTAAAAATACCTGAGACAGTTCATAAAGCAATCTAGCAAGCCATTTCAAGCCAAACAGCAACCATGAAAACAACTGATGCTCCTTATCTTATGTCCATCCAACAACAAATATTTACTAATTGCCTACTTTGTGTCAGGCAGATGGTTAAGATACAAAGGTAAACAAGAAACAGCCCCTAAAGAAGCTCATAGCCTAGAAAGAAAGTGAAAAACACAGATTAATTATGATGGAGGAAGGGCTTACGGTAGATAAATCTACAAACACTACAGAAGCAAAGACAAAGAAGTAATTAACACTGCCTGGAGGAATCAGGGGAAGTAGCATACAATAGATACTATGTGATTTGGGTTTTGAATAACCAGGAATTCACAAGGAGACAATAAAAGGCATGCCAGGGAGAGGGAAGAGAGGCGCACACGCACAGGCTGAGACACATGGGATTGGCATTCTGAGTTTGAATTTCCATCACTTTCTATTTTTTGTTTATGCTGTAGTAGGCTGAATAATGGTTCCCCAAAAGACATCTACATCCAAATCCCTGGAACTGATGAATGTAACCATATATGGCAAGGATTTAGCAAGTGTGATTAAGGATCTTGAGGTACAGAGATCATCCAGGATTACCAGGGTGACTCCTAAATGCAATCACAAGTGTCCTGATAAGAAAGAGACGAGGGATATTTAACACAGATAGAAAAAGGAGAAGGCCACATGACCCTGGACACAGAGATGGAGTGATGCAGCCCCAAGCTAAGGAATGGCAGCAGCCACCAGGAGCTGGAAGGAGTAAGGTAATAGTTTCTCCCCTACAAACTGCTCTAGAGTCTAGAGGGAACTCCACCCTGACAACACCAACTGTAGAAGGAATTTGTGTTATTGTAAGCCCCCAGGTTTGTGGTACTTTGTTACAGCAACAATAAGAAACTAATAAAGATGCTGTCTACTATCTGCCTCCAATACCATTTCCTGACATCCATAGAGAACACCAGAGTAGCCTCACATTCTTTGTCCCCCAACCCTACCTCCTACAGTCCTCCTAGGTAATGGCACTGTCCATGCAGATAATCTTCCTGATATGATTTGGCTCTGTGTCCCCACCCAAATCTCATCTTGAATCATAATCTGAATATACTCCTCATGTGTCAAGGGGGGTCCTGGTAGGAGGTGAGTGGAACATGGGTGCAGTTTCTCCCATGCTGGTCTCATGATAGTGAGTTCTCATGAGATCTGGTTGTTTGATAAGTGTCTGGTACTTCCCCTGTGCTCTCTCTTACACCTGCCACCATGTAGGACGACCTTGAATCACCTCCACCTTCTGCCATGACTGTAAGTTTCCTGAGGCCTCCTCAGCCATGGGGAACTGTGAGTCAATTAAACTTCTTTGGTTTATAAATCACCCAGTCTCAGATATTCTTTATAGCAGTGTGAAAACAGACCCACCCACACCTTAAACTCACAACCCCTTGAACAACTCCTTGACTACCAGGACCTTTTCTTCCTCCATGTCTCAATTTCATACCATCATAGACATTCTCAGGGCCATGTCACCAGCAAAACCAACTCCAGCATCCTCTCCTCTGACTACCAATTTCTATTCTCACAGCTTTCTCCGTTTTCAAACTTGACAAAACCTCCTATCTCTTAATTCCTCCATTATCCTGCAGTCTACAAGGCTCTTCAGCTCCATTACTTTCCCTTCCCCAGAGTCATCACTGCACCAACCCCCTCTCAACAGAAACATGCAGCTTTGCCAAGAAGCTTATGAGGCATCAGGTCCCTCACTTGCCTGGGCTCATTCAGAGCTCTGGGAGGGGTCCCAGCAACATGTTCACATGGTCATATTTCTTTTATACTTGTGAAAGTGAGATATCTTAACCACAACCTACTAAAACTGCTGTCTCTTTCCACTCTAACTCCCCCTCTGTCACACTTCCTCCCATATCAGTTGTCACTGGAGTAGCCCCAGGCATTTTTGGGATTCAGCTAAAGGGACGTTGAGTTGAGGATACATTTGGTTTGGGTTCAGCATGGTATATTTATGTGGTTTGTGGTCATTTCTGTGCATAGCTGAGTCACTGCCAGTCTTTACAGTGCAAAAATGGCTTCCAGAAATACTCTTAATGCCCACTGTGCATTTGTAACCAGGATGATAACAGGATATGCAAGAGCAGCGGTCCCACAGCACTCTCAAGTGTCCTGTGGCAGCTAGCACTTGCAGTAAAGTCATCATGCTGGAATCAGGACCAGTGTCTGGAAAAATCTTCCAAACACCAAGCATGTAAAACTGTAAGAAGAGGACTCACTTCTCATTCATATAGTCAAAACTGAAATTAGAGGCTCTCCCACATCAGGAACATATATGATAATGCAGTATATGCAATTATAAATGTACCATGTTCCTTTCCTTTTTGGAGAATCCTGCAAACTAACTTTATCAGAATTCCTGTGTTTATAATTCTCAAACAAAATTATATGCAAATCACATCAGAAAGTGTAAACAAATAATCAGTAGGACTTTGGCTTTCTGGCAATGAATAAAGAGGACTGCATCATAAGAACATTAATTAAGTACTTAAATTACTTGCTGATTTAAGAACAAAGTAGATCAATGAAGAAAACTAAAACCTGCACTTTGCCACTAAAGGTCAATGACAACATTTGATTCAATTCAAAAAACATTTGATATTGATCACTTCACAAAAACTTGAAAAGTACTGAAATTTTACAGCTTGCCTGTAAAAAAAACATTGATAGAGGCTTTCCAAAGTTGGACAGTGATTCTAAAAATTTACATGATGAGCTGTGAAGAAAGCTCTTCTAAACTCTTAATAATAGAAAACTAATTTTGAGCCACCATGATGTTCTCTCTACGGAAATACTATTGCCAGGTTATTTTCATATGAAAAAGAGATCAGAAAGCATGCAGCAAAACCTGTCGGGGAAAATATTACAGAGGTGTGTCAGGGAATTAATATTATATTATTTGTATGGATTTAATAATGTTTATAATATTTGTCAGGTCTTAAAATTTTATGAACTGTCTTTCCCTTTCTCATTTAAAATTTTTACTTTTTTCTGCAATTTTGTACTTTTTTCCTAAGGAGAACCCATAAAACCAAATAAGCTTGAAGTCCATAAAACTAAGACCAGCCTTTGACAAACATTCATCTTCCTCAATTCCTTGCCTTGGGGTCTTAACCCCCAACTCTGGATTAATCTCATCAAACAAATATAAAAGGCATAACCAATGAAGAAGTCATCCTTTATAATTCCCCCTAAAATAAACAATCCAGACAAGGATAACCACTGATCTAGACAAAAAGTTACTGGAAACAAGTTATCCGCATGATGTCCAAGTGTCACCTCATATAGTACTTGCTAATTCCAAAGGGATAAAGGTGCCCTTATAATGGAGACTACCTTAACCAAGTAATTAAACTTGTAATTCCTAACATAGGAGCCACCTGGCATGTATGTCCTTCCTGACGTAATGCAACATGTATCATCCCTATGGAGTATTATCGCCAAAAAAGAGCCAGTTTAATCTGAATCTAATTAAGCCTTTAGACCCAACTTTCAGTTTCCAGAAATGCAACGGATAGAGGGACAAGTTAAACAAGCCCCAAAGGAAACAAGCAGACAAGTCTAGAGTGTGGGATATTCTATAAAACGAGAGATCTGATATCTTTAAAATGTCAACTTCATGGAAAAGTAAAAAGGTGGGAAGACCGTCTTAGAATACAAGAATAAATAAATACAATAATCAAAGGCAATATATGAATTTTGGATCCTGGTTCTCCTTTGGCCACAACAGTTATTAAAGACATTTTGAACACTAGGAGAATCTGAACATGAACCAATTACTAAACAACATTAAGGAATTACTGTTAATTTTCTTTTGCATGACAACAGTAATGTGGTTTTGTAAAATTATATTTTTCTGTTTAACAGATGCCTGCTGAAGTTTTTAGGGGTGAAGTTATTATGTTTACAACTTACTGTCAAATGGTGCATCAACATTTCTTTATGTTTGAAAATTTATAAATTTATAAATATTTTTGAAAACAGAAAATTGAAACAAGTGGAAAAATAAATTGAAAATAAAATTTAAATTGAAAAATAATTGAAAATCTGTATAATAAAAAATTGAAACAAGTAAAAAATATATTTTTTCTCTCATTTGATCAATCTAGCCAAATAATTTTTAGTTGGGTCAAAGTAATTTTATTCTTGTCAAATATTAGCAATGAAGCAGTATCCAAAGCCTAGGGGGTAATGCTTTCAGCTGTCATATTTTACCAAATACAGTGGATCCTTGAACAACATGGGTTTGAACTATGCAGGTCCACTTACATGAGGATCTTCTTCCACCTCTGCTACCCATGAGACAATAAGACCAACTCCTCCCCCTATTCTCCTCCTCCTCCTCCTCAATGTGAAGATGATGAGGATAAAGACCTTTATAATGATCCACTTCCACTTAACAAATAGTGCATACATTTTCTCTTCTTTATGATGATCTTAATAACATTTTATTTTCTCTAGCTTACTGTAACAATACAGTATATGATACATATAACATGCACAATGTGTGTTACCTGACTGTGTATGTTATTAGTAAGGCTTTCAGTCAATAGTAGGCTATTGATAGTTAAGTCTTTGGGGTGTCAAAAATTATATATGAATTTTCAACTACATGGGGGCGCAGCATCCCTAACCCCCAAGTTGTTCAGGGGTCAACTGTAATACCCCAGGGTCCAAATGCAGCCAAGGCTTGCTTATTTAGTGTTTAAGAGTGGCTTATGGGCATTTTTAGACTGCTGTCATTCAGGACGAAAAAAGTCAAGTAGGAGCAAAGGGAAGTAGGGAGTGGAAGTCAAACAAACAAAATTAAATAACAGCTGATTTATTAATTTTAGAAAGCAAAAGAAATTAGGTATGATTCTATTTAGGAACAGTGTACACATCCAGTGATTTATTTCATAATAAAAGGGTTGAGTACTTCCTATTGTTTACAAAGAGCTCATTCGCATATGACACCTTAAAACTGACTTATCAAACAGAGAAGGTAAGTAATAGCCCATTACACAGGTGAGGAAAATGAGGCTCAGAGAGGCTGTGTACCTTGCCCGAGGTCCCACGGCCAGTATGTGAGCCCGGCCCTGTCACATTCAACCGCTCTCCTCTAGTATAGTCGCTGAGTGGCTGTCTTACTCTGGGTGATGTTCATGATTCTCCACTTTGGTTTTCTGTCTAGATAGCCTAAGGCTCAGACGAGAACACACAGAGGTTCATAATCTCGCTAGAAGGTAAAACCAGGCAACATATCCCCCTTCCTCCCATCAACAGAATCTTGGTGGGGGTAGGAGGTGGGAAGGGACAGAAGCCTGGTCTAGGAAGGAGGCACCAGAGGTGGCCTGCACATCTCCCTCCTGGGACACCCCTTCAGACACTATCACCTATCAGGGTCTCAGGACACGAAGGAAAATGGAAAGCCGGATGTGAAGCAGAGCAACCTCTGAAGTAAGTACACACAGACACTGTGAGAAGCAAAAGCACCACGTGAATGAGGGAGATTGCTTCACTCTGGCATCAAGTCCACATGCCTCATACTCCTCACGATGCCTATTTGGGGTGGCTTTCCTTCATAAAACTCTGTAACTGGGGGAAATTACTAATTCCGTGGCTTTCATAAAACACAGAGGTCCACCAAATGTTTGCTTTGGCAGATTTTTTTTCCTCCCGAAGGGCAGCCCATACAGTCCTGCAATAAAGCAAGCTTTGTTCTAAAGATTTACAGTGTTTTCCCAATGAAAATTCTAATTGACAACCATCAAGCAAATAACAATGCATTGCAAAGAGAGCTCTAGTTTCAGCCATTCTTCCGAGATCCATCTCAAAGAAGCATTCACTGCTTAGGTTTCCTGGGCCAGTGTTTAGCGTAGTCTTTATTTGGATACATGTGTAAGTAGATGCTTGTATATTAGAAGTTTATCATTCAAAGCAGTCAAATCTTAAAAATCAAAAGACTTTAAGTTCAAAGACAGGAAATTTCATTTACTTCCCAAGCTCAGAATTACCGGTGCCTCCACAAAGAATATGCATATGACACAGAAATGCAACCATCCCTTTTCCATGTAAGTTGGGGGGAACCCTAAAAAATGAAATGCATAAAAAGCACTTCAGAAATAGTTGCATAAGAATATTAAACGCACTGTTATTCAATGGATTCATCACAGGATGAAAGTTCAAATAGCAGAGGGAGTGATTTTCATATGAATGTGGGTGTTGCCAGTCACATACAAGAGCCTATCATTGACACAGAGAACCAAGTCACATCAAGCAAGTCAGGGGAGCAGTGAGTGACAAGGTATAGAGAGGGCTGTTCAGATAAGGGACAGACATTACCGGATGCTTTCTCAAAGAAAACTTTGAAGATTTTGTTAGGCTTTCTTCGTGGAACTGTCAAAAGTAGCAATACAATTGTAAATGAGTGGTACTCAGGGGCCACGTCACTGTCATTTATGGGCCAGCTGCCAGTGGCTGCCCGTGATGGGAAATTAGCATTAAAGAAGGACCTGGAGTTACCGGGCTGACACACAGCCCCATGAGAATACTCTCAAATAAGGTAAGACACCCAGCACAGTCACACAAATCAAAACCAAAATAAAAACTGTCTGTAAAGAACAGTAGCAAATAGAAATCTTCCTTCTTTCTGAACCTTCCTGAATCTCACCCTTTGCCAACGTCCAGTCCCACAGTAAAAACAAACATTATGCATTTCCAGTTGCACAAGACAGATTAAGGAAAGTGAAGCTGGTGGAAGAGGTGGAAAAAATAACACAACTTATCTTCCTTTTTCTAAACAAAAAGCAGAGAAAAGAACCAAAGGAAGAAAGTGCAGCATGAATGGGCAGGAGCCCCAGACAGGAGTCAGGGGGCCTGAATCCTCACAAGGCTGGTGTCTACCACAAACTGTTTGTTGATAAGTCTCTTAACCTTCCGAATTTCCAAGTCCTTCTCTGTAAGGGAAAAAATTCATCTAAATCAGCAGTTCTGAAACTGTACTTCCTGGAGCTCTAGGGTTTTGTGGAGGTGCCTCCTCTGAGGAAGCCACAGCAACATGGGAGTAAGGTGAAAGGGGCCCCATTCCACTTCTCAACCCAAAAGACTTCAGAGCTGATCCATTTCACATTTTGAGTGTTAAGTAAAGCCTTTTGTTTAAAAAGTTCTACTACCAAGACAATTGACAGCTAAAATGGCTTAAAAGCATTAGATCGGCCGGGTGCGGTGGCTCATGCCTGTAATCCCAGCACTTTGGGAGGCCAAGGCCGGCAGATCACAAGGTCAAGAGATCGAGACCATCCTGGCCAACATGGTGAAACCCCAACTCTACTAAAAATATAAAAATTAGCCAGGTGTGGTGGCACACGCCTGTAATCCCAGCTACTTGGGAGGCTGAGGCAGGAGAATTGCTTGAACCCAGGGGGTGGAGGTTGCAGTGAGCTGAGATCACGCCACTGCACTCCAACCTGGGTAACAGAGCGAGACTCCATCTCAAAAAAAAAAGAATAATAATAATAATAAAAAGCATTAGATCAACATACCTTATAGCTTTTTAATCTTTATAGTTACGTGGTTTCTATGTGCTTCTTTGGAATCTTGCTTTCAGAATTAACCAGCTGATTGGCTGGTTAATATTGATCCTCAGATCAGTATAGCAGGTTCTCCTACTTAAAAAAAATGAGGAATCTGCAACTCAGTTAAGACAAGTGACCCAAAATTATACAGCTTAATAGTTGAAAAGATTCAAACCCAGAAATATCTGACATTAAAACTATTAAGCTTGATTCTGTCCTAATAGATAAAGAATAAACCTCACTGTGAAAAACAATTGGTTACCTCATTATTATTGCAATTTTTTTCTCCACAGAACATCAGGTCCTTCAACTGTATTCCCCAAAAGAAAACACTTACCCTGGTGAGAATAAATGAATAGCCACAAGTTCGACCCAACAAGCAAATCTGTTCGGTACAGGAAAGCCCAAAATGTTGACAAAGCCTCCAGGGCAATAATGGTTGTTAAGAACTTTCAAAGCAAACAAAACTCCTAAAAGAGAATGAAGAACATGCAAATATCAACAATCCAAAAGTAGGAGTATCAACATTTACAAAGAAAGTTAATTAAAAGTGAAAATGATTATTCGATTACATCCAACTTTGTGCTTTAAAACATACCCTATTCCTTACAACCTTGCATTTGGTAAAAAGACAACGTTAAAGGCAGTCACTCCTTTGATGTTTCTAAATATAGAAGTTCATATTGGTGTTCAGTATGCTACTAAATACATAATACCTACCATGTGAATAAAATACTATTATTAGTATTAAACGCCAGTGAACTGTGCACTACAAAATAGTTATGCTATATAAATTTTAACTCAATAAAAATACCAGTAATATGTATTTTTCTAACCTCTATGGAAAAACATGTTGAAGACAGGGCATATATTCTTTCTTCTCCCACAATTAGATGCATAAGGATACATCTTGGAAGGAAAGGGGAAGGATGTCAGGAAAAGCAGAAGGAAGGATTAGATTTCCTTGTTTCAGGACTACCTCTCTCCTCCCCTTCACATTCTAATATTTAGAACGCCTAATTTAAATCCTGCTGGCAATTTTGGTCCCATGAAATATCTGTAAAAAGGAACTAGTGAGGAAGAAAGTGAGAGACAATGCATCACACAGCTAATCTGTAGACTGGGCTCAAGTCCCAGCTCCATCGCTTCCGAGCTGGGTAACCTTGTGCTAGTAACCTCACTTCTCTGGGTCTTGGCTTCCTCATCTATAAAATCAAGACAATCCCTCAACAGTCAGCAGGTGGTCAGAAAAAAAACTACAAATAAAAAAAGTAAAATAAAATCAAGGCCGGGCACAGTGGCTCACGCCTGTAATCCCAGCACTTTGGGAGGCCAAGGTGGGTGAATCACAAGGTCAAGAGATAGAGACCATCCTGGCCAGCATGGTGAAACCCCATCTGTACTAAAAATACAAAAATTAGCTGGGCATGGTGGTGCGTGCCTTGTAGTCCCAGCTACTCGGGAGGCTGTGGCAGGAGAATCGCTTGAACCTGGGAGGCGGAGGTTGCAGTGAGCCGAGATCACGCCACTGCCCTTCAGGCCTGGTGCCAGAGCGAGACTCCGTCTCAAAAAAAATAAATAAATAATAAAATAAAATAAAGATAATCCCATCTCCATGTGGATCTGCTGCATAAATTAAATTGGTTAGGTTATGCAGAGTGATTATCATGGCTCCTAAAACATGGCCAGCATGCCATAGCAGGGTGTGGTCCATTTATTAACGAAGTCATCCAGAGGCATCGCAGGACAGTTCTCCAGGTGGCCTTGGACCTATGTAGTTCTCCCCCTCCTTTCTCGCTTGTAGTTCTCAAGAATAACTATGGAAATGTGCTGGAAATCCAACACCCTGAGATAAAAGGGGGCTGGCTGAAACAGCCTAATCCTCTCCCGAATAGGATGTCTTTCAAAGCTTTGCCCAGTGATTCATGTGATTCCTAGGTTTGTACCTGGCTGCCTCTTTGGGGTTCCTTATTTGCATGCAAGGAACACACACAGTGAAGACTCCAACAGCCCTAGGCAGCTTTTTGAGCCTTGAAGATGGGCTCACGATGAATCCTAGGCTCCTGTTTTCCCTTGCTGCCTAACTGTAAATACTAAATCTGCCTCATGTAACTTGTTGCAGATGAGTGTGCTCTGTCTCACCAGGTGCAGACAAGTTGGTAATCAGAGACAGCACACTGAGCCTACTTCACAAGCACAGTCATCTTTTTTGAGAACTCCCTATTACAAATACATCTGTGGGTCTTTCTGTGACCCTACCATAAGGAGCTGGTGCATATTTCCAATACTATGTCTTCTACAAAACCACCTTCCAGCAGGTCCTAGTGCAGACTAAGAGTGAATAATGCAGCATAATGTAGAATGGCAAAAACTAGTCCCTGCATGCTCCAGCCTCCTCTTCAAGACGCAAAGCCTCAGCAGCCCTTAACCACTCAGAATTTGATAGGGACCCACACTTCATAAAATGACAGCAGCCACACCTCCCTTGCTTCCTTTATGCATGCAACCTCAAAATTTTGTCTCCCTTACCTGAGAAACCTACAGCACAGCTCCTTTTGAAGTCAGGTTCATCCATAAATTCGGCAACAGCAAATTGCAAGAGCAGGTATACCACTCCAGTAAGTACAGAAAATGCGGTGATAACATAGGCAAACCATCTACTTCCCAGTCTTCTTTCTAGATTTATTCCTTTCCAGAGCATGGATGCCATATTGAAATACAAATGCCAATCATCAGCATGGTGAAGGGGAGAGAGCAGTAAACGCTGCCAGTCTTTTTGCTGGTAACACTTCTCCACACTAAGGCAGGAGCTATACAGTGGCTTCTGAGGGTTCAAGAAGAACCAGATGTTGAGGGCCAAAGTTGCTAGGGTGACAGGTGGAATATTGTTGATCCCAACATGGAAGATTTGAGAAAGGAGTAGAATAAGTCCAGTATTTATCCCTCTTGATCTCCGTTGCATGGCCAGATATCAGGGAAACAGCTCAGCAATGGGAAAACGTACTCAGGTGGTCAGTTTCAGGTATCTGGGGAGATA